>NC_000004.12:169546381-170171381 GCF_000001405.40 Homo sapiens | reverse complement strand
TTACAGCTCTCATCCATATCTACTTGCTTTCATAACAAATAATCTTACTATTTTCTCTTACAAAAATGTTCTTAATAGGTTTCCTGATTAGTAACAAGTTTTCTGTGTGTATTATTTATCTTATAACCATTAAAGGTAACCAAAGAAAAAGTAATATAAAAGTTGTAAGCTATTTCCACCATCAAGAGGTGGCTTTTATTATCCAGTCCCAAGAGGCCTGGGCACTTTGGCTACATGCTCTTACATTTCAGGACCTTTGTCTGCCTGACAAGTGCTTATGGACCTTTAAAGTTGCATATCAGATGTCACCTCTTCTGGGAAATCTTCCTCTGCTTCCTCAATCACACATATTTTACATGTGTTTTCTAGTGTGACTGTCTGCCTCATCGGAATCTGAAACTTGAGTTCCTCCCAGACTGTGCTCTTACCTCATCTATCTTGTATTCCTTAATACCTAGCCCATTGCCTAGATAACCCTCTAACCTCTCCCTAAAGTAAATTTTTATATTTTATAGGCATGCAGGAATAAACTGATGCCAGCAGCAAAGCATAACTGTCTAACTTTTCTTTGGAAATTCTTTCCCAGAACCAGAAAATGAAAATATATGTATTTTTAGATATATCCAACATGAAGAAGCATCTGATTCTATGAACTGACAACAGATATTTTTTCCTTTTTATGTGGACATTTTGACATAGTATAGACACAGCTGGTAATTCTAAAATTATAACCTCTTGGCTTCTCATGTGTGTTCCTGCAAGAATTCTGAGTATTGTGTGTTTTGCATTGAAAAGGACTAACAGCTATTAGTCCTATACAAAGAGTTGTCTGTTGTGTCATACATCCAGGAGCTATGAGTTTGCCAGATTAAATAGTTAATATCGCATTCACTAGAAGTGCTGCTATTGAATTCTGCTGCAAATGCCTAACTTTCAAGATGGCTGAGCACAAATAAAGCCAGGTACAAAGCTGAAATCTTTTGATAAATGTCAAGTTGCCATTAGAATGCTGTTCATAGACTTTAGGGTACAGGCAATGTATCATTCTCACCAAAGAAGCAATTGCTTCCTCTCGACACCTTGACAGATCTGCACAAGTCCATAGATTATCACTGCCCTCCAAACTCTTTATCATGTTTTAAATCTGTTGAACTGTGAAAAAAATCAAGTGTGCTTCACAAAACAGGATCATAAAAATGAACTTGGCTGGAGCTGTCTTTGATGGAAGATTTTGAATCATGCCCTAGACAAGTCAAAAAAGAGACTGGGAAGTCAGCTGAGACAGTGTAGAAATGCTAAATACAGCAGTGCATTAAGTGCAAGGAGACAAGGCTACTCAGGTAAGGGCGAATGACACTCTGACATAATACAAAGCCAAGCAAAACCAACAGTGCTTCCAGGCTGCAGAAAGGGTAAGTCTGTTCCTCTGAACTTCCTTTGTGTTTTCACAGTTGAGTTGCTGTCATGCTAGAGTATTAAGTCAGCTCCGAGACCCCATCTGTCATATTCCAGGCTTGTTGAGTTGTTCGTAACCAATACTAATGAGAGACATGCCCTTTCCATAGTTACCTCAAAGATATGCAAAAGCTGCTCTGCTGTGCTCTTCAGCCTTGCCTAATTTCCCATCAAAGAAATAGAACTCCAGCTACTTGACTGACTTTTCATATTGAATCTTGAGAAATCAGAGATGCTTCATGCACTTGCAACACTCAAGGAAATAAAATAGCTCACACTTGGCCATATTTAATGTCTGGATTCACAACCCTTTCATTTTTAACATAATTTGCTACTTTGCTTTATATTTTATTTCCTGGTGTTATTGATTCAGAGACAAGAATTTTTATCTTTTTAAGCTCAAAAACGTAACAGCTATGAAAATTCCCAATGTATCAAAGTGTAAAATTAATGCCAACTTCATTCAATGTGTATGTGTCTATGTGTGGTTGTATTATCTTTTAGTTTGATTCAGCTTTGAATTTTGGTGGGTGTTGTTTTCACAATTTTGAAATTTGTGGGGTTTTCAATAAAATGAATTTTGTGTAATTATGCTTAAGAAAAAAAGAAAAAGATTCTTAGATTAACAATCAAAGATCTTATTTCTAAAATGGGAGAAACTTGCTTTGGTGAGTACACATGATAAAAGTGAGCTTGGCCCTTCTTTAGTCCTTTTGTGTGACATATAAACATAAAAATAAGTCATAAAAAATGAATGCAGGAGAAGGATGAAACTGCTAATAACCTATAACTGCTAATACACCAGAGCAGCCAGGGGAAGAACTGTGCTAAGCAGTTTAAAAGGCCCATTTTCCTGCATCGCCTATTTTATAAAGCACAGGAAAATCAGCCACAACATGGAAATGGGGATGAGAAAGCCAACAGAAACTGAAGGTCAGCCAAGAAAATGGGCCCTGACAAAACCATGGTGACAACATTTAGGGGATGTTTATGTTTAAGACTGAGACTGCTGATTTATTCTTTCATTAAACAACGTTGATGAGATACTGTGTTGCCGTGGGAAAAATAAGGCAAACTCTCTGTTTTGAAAGAGTTACAGTCTAGGAGGGAGGCAAAGGAGCTAATCAAATACACTGAGCAGCGGGCTGCAGTATAACAGAGGCGTATTCTGTCATGGCCACAGGAGCAGCTCAGCTGCTCTCCCAGCTGGTGAGGAATGTTTCTCCACATGTCTTCTTTAGAGATTCATGCGTGCCATAAACAGAATGTTTGTGTCCCCCCAAAGTTGAAGCCCTAACCCTCAATGTGATGGTATTTGGAGATGTAACCAATGGGAGATAATTAGCTTTAGCCAAAGTCTTGAGGGTGGAGCCCTCATAATGGGATCAGTGCCCTTATAAGAAGAAAGCCCCCTCTCTGTCACCATGAGAGGGCACAGTGGGGAAAAAAGCTGTCAACAATCCAGGAAGGGCCCTCACCAGAAACTGATCATGCTGGCACCTTAGTCTTTGACTTCAAGCCTCCAGAACTGTGAGAAAATAAGTTTCTGTTAAGCCACCCAGTCTCGGCAATTTTGCTATGATAAGCCAAGCAGGAGAAGACAGTGAATATTCTTTTAAAATTAGAAACAAAAATATCAAAAGAAGCTAGGAAATAATATTCTGAAGGGTCAACAGAGATGACTATAAGCTGGTAGTCAAGTGAAGGACTATAATAGTGAAGAAAGGAGAAACTCTGAGTTATAGGAGAGAGCTTCAGACTCCCTCAGAGAAACCATCTCACGCTCTGCAAACCTCCAAGTGTTCATGGAGAGAAAGACTTTGTGTTGGTTACTTCCCACTAATCAGCATGAGGCTGCTCCACGTAGAATAAACTGGAGGACTCATTTATGATAGAATGTTTTGCTAGATAAAGAATTCTCAGTAAGCAAAAAAAAAAAAAAAAAAGAATATACTGGATGAAAAGAAGGCATGCTGTCCCTCCTGGAGGGAGGATGTGAGGAGCTGACCTCCCACAGCCAAGCGGCCAAGCTGCACGCCGCAGGATGACGGCCTCCAGACACGTCCCGGCACAATCCGTCCGAGCCACAGCCACAGTTAGCAGACTCACCCATCACTGCCTACCCACACCTTCGATGTAGAGCTGAATGGAATCAGGAAAACTAGAAAGCATCTCCAGATACTTTGAAACTCAGAGTAGAGCAGAAAGTCTTACAAGCCCAGCTAGTGGCTTTGGCAGCTCTATCACTTGGTGACTGTTACCGCAGGAGAGAGGAAACACGACAGGAAAGGAATAATGCTCCACATGCATAATATAAAAATGAAAGAGTTTGGCTTCCTGGACTTTGGTTTATAAAACAATGATACATTCCTCAGACAGGGTACATCTCAGAAATTGAAAAAGTTTGTTTGTCAAGAGACTCGAAGATCTAATCAAAGTACCCAAATTAGATTTTAATGGGAGGAAGGAGGAACAAGGACTGATTCTAAAAGACATAATAGAATAATATTGAGGATATCAAGCACATGATGCCAAGAAGCATCAAAATGCAAGTATTACTCAATATTTCTCAAATCGAAACTAATCAAAAACAATGTCAGCTTTTTCCCCTAAAAAAAAATCAAATTTAGAACTCAAACTTCCCAGAATAGAGTTCTCAATAGCAGATGTATAATCACAGCTCTAGTGAATGTCCCATGCCACCTAAATTATGAGAGTCACCAATGAGTACAAATAGGGACAGTTAAAAAACAGAATTAATTCAGTGCAATTAAACTCTAGTTTAGCCCCCTCTCCTTCTCTCCCTCTCCCCCTCTTCCCCTCTCCCTCTCCCTCCCCGTCTCTGTCTCCCACTTTCCACGGTCTCCCTCTGATGCCGAGCCGAGGCTGGACTGTACTGCGGCCATCTCGACCCACTGCAACCTCCCTGCCTGATTCTCCTGCCTCAGCCTGCTGAGTGCCTGGGATTGCAGGCGGGCACCGCCAAGCCTGACTGGTTTTCGTATTTCTTGGTGGAGACGGGGTTTTGCCGTGTTGGCCGGGCTGGTCTCCAGCTCCTGACCGCGAGTGGTCTGCCAGCCTCCGCCTCCCGAGGTGCCAGGATTGCAGACTGGCTCACTCAGTGCTCCATCTTGCCCAGGCTGGAGTGCAGTGGTGTGATCTCGGCTCGCTACAACCTCCACCTCCCAGCTGCCTGCCTTGGCCTCCCAAAGTGCCGAGATTGCAGCCTCTGCCCGGCTGCCAACCTGTCTGGGAGGTGAGGAGCGTCTCTGCCTGGCCGCCCATCGTCTGGGATGTGAGGAGCCCCTCTGCCCGGCCACCCAGTCTGGGAAGTGAGGAGCGCCTCTTCCCAGCCGCCATCCCATCTAGGAAGTGAGGAGCATCTCCGCCCGGCCGCCCATCGTCTGAGATGTGGGGAGCGCCTCTGCCCGGCTGCGACCCCGTCTGGGAACTGAGGAGTGTCTCTGCCCAACCGCCACCCCGTCTGGGAGGTGAGGAGCCTCTGTGCCCGGCTGCCCTGTCTGAGAAGTGAGGAGCCCCTCCGCCCGGCAGCCGCCCCGTCTGGGAAGTGAGGAGCGTCTCCGCCCAGCCAGCCACCCCGTCCGGGAGGGAGGTGGGGGGCAGCCCCCGCCTGGCCAGCCACCCCGTCTGGGAGGTGGGGGGCAGCCCCCGCCCGGCAGCCGCCCTGTCTGGGAGGTGGGGGGCACCTCTGCCTGGCCACCCCATCTGGGAAGTGAGGGGCCCCTCTGCCCGGCCGCCACCCCGTCTGGGAGGTGTACCCAACAGCTCATTGAGAACAGGCCATGATGACGATGGCGGTTTTGTCGAATAGAAAAGGGGGAAATGTGGGGAAAAGAAAGAGAGATCAGATTGTTACTGTGTCTGTGTAGAAAGAAGTAGACATAGGAGACTCCATTTTGTTCTGTACTAAGAAAAATTCTTCTGCCTTGGGATGCTGTTAATCTATAACCCCGTGCTCTCTGAAACATGTGCTGTGTCCACTCAGGGTTAAATGGATTAAGGGCGGTGCAAGATGTGCTTTGTTAAACAGATGCTTGAAGGCAGCATGCTCATTAAGAGTCATCACCACTCCCTAATCTCAAGTACCCAGGGACACAAACACTGCGGAAGGCCGCAGGGTCCTCTGCCTAGGAAAACCAGAGACCCTTGTTCACATGTTTATCTGCTGACCTTCCCTCCACTATTGTCCTACGACCCTGCCAAATCCCCCTCTCTGAGAAACACCCAAGAATGATCAATAAATACTAAAAAAAAAAAAAAAACTCTAGTTTACCAGGATACAGGAAAGATAACCTGCAAGAAACTGCAAATTTAGCATAATCTCAAATATCTCCAGATAGTGATTTTTAAAGTGTTTCTTTATATTTACTACTTGCTAAATATACATTCAAAATATAAAAACAAATATAATTTTAAAATAAAATAAGTTAGGGGTGATTAAACATAATAATTATACCATAGCTAGAGAACCCATCTGAAACAGAGTAATATAAGCCATGTTATTATTATAATTTAAAGAGGTATATTATTGTTTTCAGAATTCATCACTCTAAATACAACATACAGATGCGTATATGTTATTGATTTTAGTGGTTAAACTTGAAGGCTTTTTAAGTAATAGCAAAAAGGTGCTAAATTTAAGTAGTAAAAGTATAAAGAAAGGGAAAATTTTTGGAGGCTGAGGCAGGAGGATCACGAAGTCAAGAGATGGAGATCATCCTGGCCAACATGGTGAAACTTTGTCTCTACTAAAAATACAAAAATTACCTGGGCCTGGTGGCATGCACCTGTAGTCCCCGCTACTGGGGATGCTGAGGCAGGAGAATCGCTTGAACCAGGGAGACGAAGGTTGCAGTGAGCCGAGATCACACCACTGCACTCCAGCTGGTGACAGAGCAAGACTCCGTCTCAAAAAAAAAAAGAAAAAAAAGAAAGGGAGAATTAATTGACATATGAAATTACAGTGATGTTTTCATGGGGAAAAAAAAATAGAAAATGGTAATATTGGCCAGGCACGGTGGCTCACGCCTGTAACCTCAACACTTTGGGAGGCCGAATTGGGCAGATCACCAGGTCAGGAGATCGAGACCATCCTGGCCAACATGGTGAAACCCTGTCTCTACTAAAAATACAAAAATTACCTGGGCCTGGTGGCAAGTGCCTGTAATCCCAGCTACTCAGGAGGTTGATGCAGGAGAATAGCTTGAACCAGGGAGTCGGAGGTTGCTGCAAGCTGAGATCGGGCCACTGCAGTCCAGCCTGGCAACAGAGCAAGACTCCGTCTTATAAAAAATAAAAATAAAAATAAATGATGATATTGACTGGGTGTGGTGGCTCACACCTGTAATCCCAGCACCTTGGGAGGCGGAGGCTGGTGGATCACCTAAGGTCCAGAATTCGTGACCAGCCTGGCCAACATGGTGAAACCTCATCTGCACTAAAACTACAAAAAATTACCCGGGTGTGGTGGCAGGCGCCTGTAATCCCAGCTACTTGGGAGACTGAGGCAGGAGAATCGCTTGAACCTGGGAGGCAGAGGTTGCAGTGAGCCGAGATCATGCCATTGCATTGCAGCCTGGGCAACAATTGCAAAACTCCATCTCAAAAGAAAAAAATGATGATGTAATTATAAATCTGTAAGATGAAAGTACAATAAATCATCGTTCCATCTGCAAAATGACCCAATCTCAAATACATTCCTGAAAGCAGATGGAAAGAATACTGTGCATTTTATTTAATCTCTATAACCCTATAATTTAGATACAATTACTATCACCATTTTAAAGATAAGAAAACTAATCAGAGAGGGGAAGGCTCATGCTAGTGGTTAAAAAAAAAAAAAATGGACCAGTGGAGCAGCTAAGATTTGTACTCAGACAACTCAGCTCTGGGATCTGAAGTCCTAACTACTACACTAAGCAGCAGAGAAATATCGGGACTCTAAGTAACATTAAGTGTAGAAGGGTCATTTCAGAAAACCTATAGTTCAAAGAGAAAAGTTTCCAAGAATAATGCCAGAAATCCACACAGTTTATTTCCTTTTCAGAGTGATTACTACAACCCATGCATGCACGGTCTACCACATAGTACTCATCTAGGGGTAGGAACATAAAGTAGCAAAACTACTACTTTGTGTGATGCATTGCCATGGCATGAGGAGGATGATCAAACCATAACTCCTGATTCCAAAAATCAAGAGGGTTTCCAAATAACATCCTCAAGAACGTCTGAACTCTACCTCAAGGTTGTGGATATCTACTCAAACTCCAACAGAGACTACATGGCAAGACAATTTCCCAATATGACCTGCTGCTGAGGACCGATTTCAGTAGATAGTAGCCTACCAAAAGGCTAAGGGTAAAATCAGAAAAGCTCAAGAACCTAATTCTTTTTTCTTCCAAACTCAAGTGGAAAAGTGAGGATTCACTGCCTGGAAGTCATAGTTGTACACATATATATTTTATTCCCGGCCTATATATCTTCATCTGTTTTCTCTTATCCGTTTCAAATTCTCTATAATTCTGGAACACTCTGCCAGTAACATTCCTTAGATCCTTGCCTCTGGGAATTTGCTCATGGCATCTCTTACCTAAATAGCATCCCACTTACATTTGTCTATCCAATTTTTAACCAGCCCTCAAATACAGTTCAAATTCTATCTCATCTTAAAGTCTTCCATAGAAATTCTAGAAATGATTTCTCCCTCCTCTGGACTTGAGCAAATTAGTGATTGAGTGCATCTGAATTTATAGTTTGCATGTGACCTTTAATCATGTACCTCATAGAGTAGTTGTAAAAATTAAATCTGATAGTCAAGATAATTAATGCAAAGTGTTTAGCACAATTTGTGGCATATAGTAAGCACTAAGGGTTAGCTGTTACGTATATTTCTGATTTTTAATCATATCACCTTATTATATGCTATTATTAAGCCATGATATTTCATTTTATTATATGCATCCTTTGCCTTTCCAATAAGGATGAAAGCAATATTATTGTATCTAGTTTTCCCCAAATTCCCAAAACTCTTCACATTGTGCTGAACACAGCATGTATTGCCAATAAATACATAGGTGGTTGAAAAGAGGACATTAAAATTGTTGACAAATATTACTGTTTTTATACTCTGCAATTTCTGAACCATGTTCAAGTAGTAAAACAGGTGGGACCATTCTTATCAAAAGATTTATAGTACAAAATAGTTGTTAAAATCTCTGTCAAGGCAATAAACTGCCATTCTAAGAACTAACTAGGTGGTCTTGACCTCAAGATCTAATGTGAGCTATAAATTCTAGGGAGAAGTTGGTTTATAGCCAACCATCAATCTGCAGACATGTTTCCAAATAAATTTCAGAAGTCTTGTGCTGGCTCACAAATTTCCTCATCAGAGGTAGTCCACAAAGTTCTAAAACCCTAAGTAGGCAGACACATTTGACAATGTACATGTTTGTGTTTTAGAAATACCTGTGGAAGCAGCTTAAAGAAAACAGATTGCATGTGGAGAGGTGAAAACAACAAAAGCATAGGAGGCCACTACAAGGGCCCAGGTGAGATGTGAAGACTCAGTCTGAAGCAACAGAAGTGAGGACAGAGGCATCTGAAATCCCCTTTCTTGTGCTGCTCCAAATGGTGCTTTCTCTATGCCTGATCTCCCTTCTTCTATGAAGCATTCCAGTTTCTGGTATCCTGTGAGTAGAGTGAATTCTATCATGGCAGAGGTCACATGTTTCCTACCACAGAGCTCATCATTTTTCTTATAGCTTACAAATAATGTATTGTCTATAGATTTCATTGATAGCACTCAAAGCGCAACTCAGCACTCTGAGAGTTTCCATTTCATCACTTCTCTTGTTACATTTTTATCCTAGATTTCGCTTTTCTTTTCATTTACTCATCGCCAAAATGCAAGATGAAATTAATAAATAAACATAGGAGGAAAACATTTTATTCTGCTAGTAATCAAACAATATGTGGTATCATAATTTAGCTGTTTAGAAAAAATATAACTATTTTCCAGGTGAGAATCGATATTTCCAAAGATGAAAGGAAGCTCAGGTCTGCAGAAGGCAGTGTAAATACATATAAATGTTTTAGAAAACAGGTCATAAATAGCTATAGGAGATTCCCTCCCCTCCAAAAAAATGTCATGCCCTTTGACCTTGTAATCCCACCTGTAGAAAGCTGTCCTCAAGAAGTAATCAAAACAAAGGAAAAGCCTCTGCTCACAGAATGTGTTCATTGCAACTTTGTTCATAATAGGCAAAAACTGGGAGCACCATTAATGATTAGTTGAATTACCTGTTTTTGATGTCTTAGCATTTTGTGTTTTTCATTTCTTAGCAACTAATACACCTCTAACTTAATACCTCTGTGAAATTAAAGTAAACGTAATCAAAGCAAAAAAAAACTAAAGCAAATGCAGAAGTGAAGTTAGTTTACAAAACGTGTTGACCTATGAGTAATTGCTGTTGCTGAAGATGAGACTATGCAATCAAAGATATAATAATATCAAGTAGCAAGTAGGACCCAGATACATGCCCACACTGCCTGCTCCAGAGACTGTAAGTGAATCGCCACTTCCCTCTACTGCCTCCCCATAGTTAGCCCTTTACCCTGTTCAATATTTAAAAATATGATAAACCAAGAAGAGTCAAAATGCCAAGCATTAGAAATTTGCATATACTGTTTTGGAAGTACATATTTTAAAGCTTTGCTAGAAAGTAATATTGATCAAGAGCCATATTAGGAAGGGACCATCAGTTCTAAAAATCCACTATCTAAAAAGACTATGACATTGAGGAATTATAGCTAATTATTTTAGGTGTGATAATGACAGAATTGCTATGATTTTTAAATAGTCCTTTTTTTGAGGTATATGTTGGCACATGCATGACATCTGGGACTTACTTCAAAACAGCCTGAGGCATACAGTGTGCAAAGAAGGTTTCATTTTACTAAATCTTCCCTCTTTTGTATCTATTTGGCATCTTCCATGATAAAAAGTTCAAAACTCATCAGAGATGCACAGAAAGATTTGTGTACAGGACTGGGCATTGCAGGGTTACGTGAAAATAGTCAATATTGGTAATAACTGAGATACTCAACCATGAAAAATCATCACATAAATTATACTGTATCTATATATCCAAGTATTAGCAGCCAGTAAGAATTTGTTTTTGAGGGCTAGTTAATATTGCAAAAATGTTCATGATATTAATATAACATTAGGTAAAAAGGAATTGAGGGGGGAAGATGGTGGATAGGAAGCAGGTATGACCTGCAGCTCCCACTTGGACAGAGAAAATGGCATGTGAAGACTCACACCATTGACTTTTGCTCTAGAAACCACTGTAGGAGCCTACCAGGAAAACCAAAAGAAATCACAGATTTTTGGAAAGAAATGACAGGCCACTGAAGATTCCATATGACAGTCAAAAAACTGTGAGTTCCCAAAGTGTGAGAGGAGGAAAACCTGCCTCTGAACACACATCCCCGCTGAGGAACCTGAAAATCCAGATTATGAGAGAATGATTTAACCTTACCTAGAGCTGAAACAAATTTAGTGTAAAATATAAAAGTAAAAGCAGCAGTAGGAAGAGACTTGTAGGCACTCACATTCTCCAGCTCAACCCCAGCCATCACTGACTATATCTCACATGGGTCTTCAGGGGTCACAGGGTGAAAGAAGCTTCCAACTGAACTTTGTAATAATTTTGACTGGGTGCAAACACTCTTGAGCAGAGTCCAGGGGTGAATGGGAACTGCTACAGAAAGGAGAGTTTCAGTATATGAAATCAATGTATACAAATCAGTAGCACTGCAATACATCAACAACCAAGCTGTGAATCAAATCAAAAACTCAACCACTTTTACAACAGCTGCAAAAATACTTAAAAATATACTTAACCGAGGAGGTGAAGGATCTCTACAAGGAAACCTATAAAACACTGCTGAAAGAAATCATTGATGACACAAACAAATGAAAACACATCCTATGCTCATGGATGGGTAGAATCAATATTGTGAAAATGACCATACTGCCAAAAGCAATCTACAAATTTAATGCAATTCCCATCATCATTCTTCACAGAACTAGAAAAAATAATCCAAAAATTCATATGGAACCAAAAAGAATCTGCATAGCCAGAGCAAGACCAAGCAAAAGGAACAAATCTGGAGGCATCAAATTACCCGGCTTTATATTATACCACAAGGCTATCGTTACCAAAGCATCATGATACTGGTATAGAAACAGGTACATAGATAAATGGAACAGAATAGAGAACCCAGAAATAAAGCCAAATACTTACAGCCAATTGATCTTCGACAAAGCAAACAAAAGCATAAAGTGGGGAAAGGATACCCTATGCAACAAATGGTGATGGGATAATTGGCAAGCCACATGTAGAAGAATGAAACTGGATCCTCATCTCTCATCTTACACAAAAATCAACTCAAGATGGATCAAAGACTTAAATCTAAGACCTGAAACCATAAAAATTCTAGAAGGTAACATTGGAAAAACTCTTCTAAACATTGGCTTAGGCAAAGAGTTCACAACAAAGAACCCAAAATCAAATGCAACAAAAACAAAAATAAATAAATGAGACCTAATTAAACTAAAAAGCTTCTGCACAGCAAAATAAATAATCAGCATAGTAAAGACACAACCCACAGAGTGGGAGAAAATATTAGCAAACTATGCATCCGACAAAGGACTAACATCCAGAATCTACAAGGAAGTCAAACAAATCAGCAAGAATAAACAAATACTCTCATCAAAAAGTGGGCAAAGGACACAAATGGACAATTCTTAAAAGAAGATATACAAGTGGCCAACAAACATGAAAAAATGCTCAACATCACTAATGATCAAGGAAATGCAAATCACAACCACAATGAGATATCACCTTACTCCTGCAAGAATGGCCATAATTTAAAAATCAAAAACTAACAGATGTTAGCATGGATGTGGTAAAAGTAACACTTTTACACTGCTGATAGGAAGGTAAACTGGTACAACCACTGTGGAAAACAGTATGGAGATTTCTTAAAGAACTAAAAGTAGAACTACTGTTTGATCCAGCAATGTCACTACTGGGTATCTACCCATAGGAACATAAGTCATTATATGAAAAAGACACCTGTGTATGTATATTTACAGCAGCACAATTTACAGTTGCAAAAATATGGAACCACCCTAAATGTCTATCAACCAATGAGTGGATAAAGAAAATGTGGTGTATATACATACCATAGAATACTACTCAGTCATAAAACAGAATGAAATAATGGCATTTGCAGCAACCTAAATGAAGTTGGAGACCATTATTCTAGGTGAAGTAACTCAGGAATGGAAAAGCAAACATCATATGTTCTCACTCATAAGTAGGAGCTAAGCTATGAGGATGCAAAGGCATAAGAATGACACAGTGGACTTTGGGGATGGTGGGGAAGGGTGGGAGGGTGAGGGATAAAAGACTACATATTGGGTATAGTATACACAGCTTGGGTGATGGGTGCCCCCAAATGTCAGAAATCACCACTAAAGAACTTTTCCATGCAATCAATACACCACCTGTTCCCCCAAAACTATTGAAATGAAAATAAAGATAATTGAAAAAAAGTTAGGTAGGAAAAGTATTGTATAAATGCTAAACCATGTATAAAATGATCTAATTTAGGGAGTTATATCTAATTTAATGTGGTATAATTTGTCTTTTTCCATAGACAGAAGTTAAAAAGAAACATATCAAAATATTGTCTGTAACTCAAAGGACAAATGCCTGAGGGGATGGAGACCCCATTCTCCATGATGTGCTTATTTCACATTGCATACCTGTATCAAAACATCTCAGGTACCCTATAAATATATATACCTACTATGTACCCACAAAAATTAAAAATAAGAAGAAATTAAAAATAAAATAAAAATAAACCTACCAATATATTAACAATGGCTATTTCCTTGCAAGTCATAGGTTTTCTTAATTTTTCTGCATTTTTAAATATTTCTACAATGATAGTGAACTATTTGTATAGTCAGCAGAAAATTAATATTATTAATAGATTTAAATAGCAAAAATAAACCTGACTCTGTTCAGAGAGTAGAAGACTTTCTAGAGACTGTTGTTTGGGGTCACTGTTCAACCAACAGAGCCCTCACTGTGGAGAGATTGAGGCAGAGTCCCATTATCACCCTGACTGACTAAGCTGGCAGCCACTAGCCTGCTGGCTCTGAGCCCTCCTGATATCCTGAAGTCAGGGGCCCAGGGGCTGTGGGAAACCTGCCCTTCAGTGGCCTCATCAAATGTCCTCAATCCATATGCTTTGCGTACATGAAAAGATGTGGACAGTAGAGTAATTATAAAAAGAAATAAATGACTGGGCAAAGTTAGGAAAAATGGAGACACATTATACATTATTATGTATAGTATCAGCTGTTACTGTTTCTACGTGTCTGGAGGTAAAATTTTAAAAAATGACATAAAATTTTTTTAAAAAAGACAACTTAAGTAGAACACTTAGTAATTGCCAAAAAAACAATACAAATTTTGCTTTAGTTTAAAAATTCCCAGTCCATTCACAATTGCTTCAAAGAGAATAAAATACCTAGGAATCCAACTTACAAGGGACGGGAAGGACCTCCTCAAGGAGAACCACAAACCACTGCTCAATGAAATAAAAGAGGATACAAACAAATGGAAGAACATTCCATGCTCATGGGTAGGAAGAATCAATATCTTGAAAATGGCCATACTGCCCAAGGTAATTTATAGATTCAATGCCATCCCCATCAAGCTACCAATGACTTTCTTCACAGAATTGGAAAAAACTACTTTAAAGTTCATATGGAACCAAAAAAGAGCCCACATCGCCAAGTCAATCCTAAGCCAAAAGAACAAAGCCGGAGGCATCACGCTACTTGACTTCAAACTATACTACAAGGCTACAGTAACCAAAACAGCATGGTACTGGTACCAAAACAGAGATATAGATCAATGGAACAGAACAGAGCCCTCAGAAATAACGCCACATATCTACAAATATCTGATCTTTGACAAACCTGAGAAAAACAAGCAATGGGGAAACGATTCCCTATTTAATAAATGGTGCTGGGAAAACTGGCTAGCCATATGTAGAAAGCTGAAACTGGATCCCTTCCTTACACCTTATACAAAAATTAATTCAAGATGGATGAAAGACTTCAATATTAGACCTAAAACCATAAAAACTCTAGAAGAAAACCTAGGCATTACCATTCAGGACATAGGCATGGGCAAGGACTTCATGTCTAAAACACCAAAAGCAATGGCAACAAAAGCCAAAATTGACAAACGGGATCTAATTAAACTAAAGAGCTTCTGCATGGCAAAAGAAACTACCATCAGAGTGAACAGGCAACCTACAAAATGGGAGAAAATTTTCGCAACCTACTCATCTGACAAAGGGCTAATATCCAGAATCTACAATGAACTCAAACAAATTTACAAGAAAAAAACAACCCCATCAAAAAGTGGGTGAAGGACATGAACAGACATTTCTCAAAAGAAGACATTTATGCACCCAAAAAACACATGAAAAAATGCTCATCATCACTGGCCATCAGAGAAATGCAAATCAAAACCACAATGAGATATCATTCACACCAGTTAGAATGGCAATCACTAAAAAGTCAGGAAACAACAGGTGCTGGAGAGGATGTGGAGAAATAGGAACACTTGTACACTGTTGGTGGGACTGTAAACTAGTTCAACCCTTGTGGAAGTCGGTGCAGCGATTCCTCAGGGATCTAGAACTAGAAATACCATTTGACCCAGCCATCCCATTACTGGGTATATACCCAAAGGACTATGAATCATGCTGCTATAAAGACACATGCACACGTATGTTTATTGCAGCACTATTCACAATAGCAAAGACTTGGAACCAACCCAAATGTCCAACAATGATAGACTGGATTAAGAAAATGTGGCACATATACACGATGGAATACTATGCAGCCATAAAAAATGATAAGTTCATGTCCTTTGTAGGGACATGGATGAAATTGGAAATTATCATTCTCAGTAAACTATCGCAAGAACAAAAAACCAAACACTGCATATTCTCACTCATAGGTGGGAACTGAACAATGAGAACACATGGACACAGGAAGAGGAACATCACACTCTGGGGACTGTTGTGGGGTGGGGGGAGGGGGGAGGGATAGCTTTAGGAGATATATCTAATGCTAAATGACGAGTTAATGGGTGCAGCACACCAGCATGGCACATGTATACATATATAACTAACCTGCACATTGTGCACATGTACCCTAAAACTTAAAGTATAATAATAATAAAATAAAAAGAAAAAAAAATTCCCAGTCCAAAATATTTGACCTTTATCTTCATTTATATTCACAAAAGGCCAAATGTAAGCTTCTGGCCAAGAGCTAGGTGGTTGGCACATCTAATTGTCAACTTACCAGAGAGGGCATCATGAAAAAGTGCTTTAAGTTGCATATTTGCCTTGGCATTAACCCTCAGACAATATGAATATTTTCTAAATATCTAAACTCATACATGATTTCAAAGTGAATAAAAAAAGTTCTTGAACCAAGTGATTTCCTGGTGTTTGGATGTGTGAGCTCAGCCAAATTTTTTCAGTCTTATCACAAAAAAGTAGTTTGAGGAAGAGTATGGACTTCAAAACCCCTTTCTTGATAAGTGTTCATACTCTATCTCAACCAAATTGAAGTAACTTCTCCCTATATTACAGAGCCTCAGCTCACTGTAATATGTTTATATTACACCTAAAAATCACTTAGAATCATTAGATATGTATGTAAACTATGTTTACCTTTGTTGATTCCTCAGCTTATAATTTTGGTTTCTCAGACCTCTGAATTGGTCAAAAAAAATTATAATAGCCACTCCACAAGCACTCACGCCTTGGACATCTAAGCCATTGCCACAGAGAAATAGTCTACTCCCCAGTCCCCAGCTCTGCTGTCACTCTTCACATGCTCACACTCCAGACCCCAACTCCATGGCTGCACTTTGCCCCTCTACACATCAGATACTAGAGACACCACCACTGTGAGCTAGCCCACACCATGAGGCTTGGAACTGTGACCTCTGCACAAGTCAATGCTCCACACAATGGCTACACCACCACAAGCAGCTAGCCCATCCCCTGGTTCTGAAGCCACTGTTGCTCCCCATATGCCCAAGCTTCAGGCCCCAGCTTCACAGTTGCTCCACTGTCACTGTGCATTAGAGACCAGTTCCACTGCCATTGTAAATGCATCCACAAACCAGACTCAAGACCAAGAAAGATTCCCTCAGCCACACTTTCCAGGTGGGAGAAAAAAAAATCAAGAAGATCCCAACAGGCTTCACCACTGAAAACCCCAACATCCTCACCACTGCTAAAGAAAACAATAGCCTTACCTGCTGAGGAACCCTGCAACATTCACTAATGCTGACCTCAACAAACAGAACTGCAAGAAGACCATGCCACTGTACATATACACCATGGAATACTATGCAGCCATAAAAAAGGATGAGTTCATGTCTTTGTAGGGACATGGATGAAGCTAGAAACCATCATTCTCAGCAAACTATCACAAGGACAAAAAAAAAAAAACACTGCATGTTCTCACTCATAGGTGGGAATTGAACAGTGAGAACACTTGGACACAGGAAGGGGAACATCACACACCGGGGCCTGTCGTGGGGTAGAGGGAGGGGAGAAGGATAGCATTAGGAGATATACCTAATGTAAATGACGAGTTAATGGGTGCAGCACACCAACATGGCAAATGTATACATACGTAAGAAACCTGCACGTTGTGCACATGTACCTTAGAACTTAAAGTATAATAAAAATAAAAAGAGATTATGCCTCTGTACCTTCACTGAAACTGAAACCACTGCACCCCTCATAGCTGACGCCCCTTTACCCACCCAGAGGTGAAGGGTTTTTTCCCACCAAAAACAGTTCGTAAGGTCTGGAAGAGCTGACTGCTCCAGAAAAATGTGCAAACATCAACTCAACAGAACAAGAAACATGAAAAATTAGGAAACATAACACCATCAAAAAAGCATAATAAATTTCCAGTGTGAAAGTAAAATATCATGGACTCCCCAAATCACTAAGCTAAAGGGAAAAGTTAAGCTGGGAACTGCTTAGGGCAAAGCTGCCCTCCCATTCTATTCAAAGCCACCCCTCTGCTCACTGAGATAAATGCATATCTGATTGCCTCATTTGGAGAGGCTAATCAGAAACCCAAAAGAATGCAACCAGTTATCTCTTATCTACCTGTGACCTGGAAGCCCCCTCCCCACTTCCAGTTGTCCCACCTTTCCAGACTGAACCAATGTTCATCTTACATGTTGATGGATGTCTTATATCTCCCTAAAATGTATAAAACCAAACTGTGTTCTGACCACCTTGGGCACAAGTCGTCAGGACCTCCTGAGGCTATGTCATGGATGCACATCCTCAGTATTGGCAAAATAAACTTTCTAAATTAATGGAGACCTGTCTCAAATTGTTGGGGTTCACACCAGTAACCAACTCCCAAAAATAGATATCTATGAATCATCTAGCAAAGAATTCAAAATAATTGTTTTAAATAAGCTCAGTGAACTGCAATAGAACACAGAAAGGCAATTCAATAATATCAGAAATATAATACATGAACAAAACTAAAAGCTTAACCAAGGAGATTAAAATTATTTTTAAAAAAACAGAAAATCTGGAGCTGACAAATACAATGAATAAAATGAAATAGAGAGCATCAACAGCTTACTTGATAAAGAAGAAGAAAAATCTGTGAGCTCAAAGACTGGTTATTTAAAAATATCCAGTCAGATGATAAAAGAAAAGATGGAAAGGAAAAAAGAAAGCCTACAAGATTGATGGGACACTATCAAGAGAACTAACTTTCATATTATAGACATTTAAGAAGAGGATAGAGAAAGAAAGGACAGGAAGCTTATTTAAAGAGATAATGGCTGAAGGCTTTCCAAATCTGGAAGAAAAAATAAACAACCATGTATAGTAAGTTCAGAAGTTTCTAATAAATTCTACCCAAAGAAAACTACACGTTGGTAGTCAAATGATAATAAACTGTCAAACATCAAAGACCAAGATAGAATCTTGAAAGCAGCAAGAGAAAAGAAGATCCTCATATACCAGGGAACTTCTAACCAGCTATTAGCAGATTTCTCCGCAGAAATGTTGTAAACCAGAGGAGAGCAGAATGATATAGACAAAGTGCTAAAAGAAAAAAAAAACTATTAAATAAGAACACTTTACTCAGCATAGCTGTCCTTCAGGGATGAAGAAAGGATAAAGACTTACCCAGACAAAACAAAGCTGAGACTTCTTCACCATTACAACTGCCTTACAAGAAATACAAAAGGGAGTTCTTCAAGCTGAAATAAAAAGTCACTAGCTAGTAACATGAAAACATATAAAAGTATTAAAAACAGTGGTAAAATGAAGTACATAGTCCAGTTCAAATACTTTAATACTGTAAAGGTAGTGTGTAAATGACTTATAACTACAGCATAAAGGGACCAGGCATGGTGGCTCATACCTGAATTCCCAGCACTTTGGGAGGCCAAGGCAGGAGGATTACTTGCACTCAGGAGCTCAAAATCAGCCTGGGCAACATGGTGAGACCTCATCTCTTCCAGAAATTTTTTAAAAAGTAGCTAGTCATGATGGTGCACACCTGTAGTCCCAGCTACTTGGGAGGCTGAAGTGGAAGCATCGCTTGAACCTGGAAGTTCAGGGCTGCAATGTGCTATAATCTCACCATGGCATTCCAGCCTGGGCAATAAAGCAGTGAGATTCTGTCTCAAAAAAAAAAAACCCTCCAGTATAAGGGTTAAAAGGCAAAATTATTTTTTAAAAAACTGTAGCTACGATAACTTAATGGATACACAAAATAAAAAGATATAAACTGTGACATCAAAAATATAAATTGGGGGGAGTAAATGTGAAATGCTTTTGTATGCAATTAACATTATCAGCTAAAATAGACTTATGTAACTAAAAGATGTTCCATGCAAGCCTCATGATGGTCACAAAACAAAAATATATAGTAGATACACAAAAATATACAGATAAAGAAATCAAAAGATAAAGAGTAAGGAATCAAAGTATATCACTACTGAAAACCACCAAATCACAAAAGGAGAACAACCACAAAAGACAAAGAAAGGAACAAAGCATCTACCAAAAAAATAAGAAAACATTTAACAAAATGATGATAGTAAGTCTTATTACCTTAAATGTATGTGGATTAAATTCTCAAATCAAAAGACATAGCATGGCTGAATGGATTTTTTTTTAAATACCCAACTAAATGCTGCCTACAAAAGATTCACATTAGCTTTAAGAACACACAGACTGAAAGTGAATGAGGTGAAAAAGGGTTTTCCATGCAAAGAGACCAGGGGTAACTACACTTACATAAAAATAGACTTTAAGTCAAAAATTGTAAAAAGAAAAAAAAATACAAGTCCATTACATATGATGAAGGGGTCAATTCAACAAGAGAATATAGTGGCTGTAAATAGATATGTACTGAATAATAGAGCACCAAAATATACAAAACAAATATTAATTGATCTGAAGGAAAAGATAGATAGCAATATAATAAAAATAAAGACTTCAATACCTCAGTATTAACAATGGGTAGATCATTCAGACATAAAATCAATAAGGAAACATTGACATTAAACTACACTACAGACCAAATAGACTAACAGTTATATACAGAACATTCTATTCACCCAATAGCAGGAGAATACACATACTTATCTAGTGCACATGAAACATTCTGTAGCATAGATTATACGTTAGATCACAAAACAATTCTTAGCAATTTTAAGAAGATTGAAATCTTAGCAAGTGTACTTTACAACCACAATGGTATGAAACTAGAAATCAATAATGGGCAGAAAACTAAAAAAATCACAAAATGTGGAAATTAAACAACATGCTCCTGAACAACCAATGGGTCCAACAAGAAATAAAAAGGGAAATTTAAAAATATCTTAAAACAAATGCAAATGGCAAGACAACATAGCAAAACTTATGGGATTCAGCAAAAGGAGTTCTAAGAGGAAATGTATAGTAATAAACACCCATATTAAAATAAGAAGAATGATCTGAAATACACAGCCTAATATTACACCTAAAGTAACTAGAAAAAGAAGAATCAACTAAGGTTAAAGTTAGTAAAAAGGATGGAAATAACAAAGATCAGAGTCTAAATAAATGAAATCGAGACTAGAAAAACAAAATAAATGATAGAAAAACTAAGTTCGTTCTTCAAAAAAAAATAACCAAAATCAATAAACCATTAGCTAGACTAAGAAAAAAAAAGAGACAACTCAAACAAATAAAATCAGAAATAAAAAAGGAAACATTACAACTGATACAATAGGAACACGAAGCATGATAAGACACTGCTATACACCAATAAATTGGATAATCTAGAAGAAATGCATAAATTCCTAGACATATACTACCTACTAACAATAAATCATGAAGAAAAAGAACATCTAAATAGATTAATAACAAGTAAGTAGATTGAATCAGTAACCAAAAATCTATTATCAAAGAAAAGCCTAGGGCTTGATGGCTTCACTGGTGAATTCCATGAAACATTTAAAGAATAACTAATATCATTCCGTCTCAAACTGAAAAATTCAAGACTTCCAAACTCACTTTATGAGGTCAGCATTGCCCTCATACCAAAGACAAACAAGGACACTACAAGCAAAAAAAAATTATAGGACAATATTTCTAATGAATATGAATGCTAAAATCTTCAACAGAATTTGGAATTTAGCATTTATGTTCACTAGGAATATAGGCCTGTAATTAGCAAAATAAAGGATAAAAATTATGTAATCATCTCAATAGATGCAGAAAAAGCTTCCAACAAAATTCAATATCCCTTTATGACAAAGACTCTCAATAAATTAGATATACAAGGAAACTCAACAGAATAAATGTCATATGTAACAAGCCCACAGCTAACATCATACTCAATGGTGAAAAGCTGAAAACCATTCCTCTAAAATCAAGAATAAGGCAAGCATGCCCACTCTCACCACTTCTATTCAAGATAGTACTGGAAGTCCTCGCTAGAGCAAGTAAGCATGAAAAAAATACAAAAGGCATTCAAATTGAAAGGAATAGGTAAAATTGCCCCTGTTTGCAGCTGACATGATCTGACATGTAGAAAATCCTAAAGATGCTACACAAAAAAACCTAATAAACCAATTTTTTAAAGTTGCATGATACAAAATCAACATACAAAAATCAGTTTTTAATGTCTATACACTAATAACAAACTATCTGAAAGGACATTAATAAAACAATTCCTTTTACAATAGCACCAAAAATAATAAAATACTCAGGAATAAATTTAACCAAGGAAGTAAAAGATCTGTACCCTAAAAACTATAAAAATTGATAAGAGAAATTAAAGAAGACATAAGTAAATGGAAAGATATGCCATGTTTATGAATCAGAGGAATCAGTATTGTCAGAATGTCCATACTATCCAAAATGATCTATAGATTCAGTGCAATCACTATCAAAATTTTAATGCCATTTTTTACTGAAATAGAAAAACAATCCTAAAATTTGCATGAAACCACAAAACACTGTGAATAGCTAAAGCAATCTTGAGCAAGAAGAATAAAGCTGGAGACATTACACTTCCTAATTTTACATTATATTACAAAGTGATAGTAATTAGAACAGTATGGTATTGGCATAAAAACAGACACATAGACCAAAGAAACAGAATAGAATGCCCAGAAATAAACTTACACATATACAGTCAACTAATCTTTGATAAAGATATCAAATATCCAATGGAGAAAAGATAGTCTCTTCAGTAAATGGTGCCGGAAAAACTGGATATTCACATGCAAAAGAAAGAAACTGGACCCTTATCTTTCACCATATACAAAAGTCAACTTAAAATGGATTAAATACTTAGACAAAAGACCTGAAACTGTAAAACTACTAAAAGAAAACACAGAGGAAAAGCTTCACGACATTGATCTTGGCAATGAATTTTTTAATATGATACCAAAAACATAGGCAACAAAAACAAAAACAAGTAAGTGTGTGAACCCCGAATATCTGAGACAGGTCTCTGTTAATTTAGAAAGTTTATTTTGCCAAGATTGAGGATGTGCGCCCATCACACAGCCTCAGGATGTCCTGACAACTTGTGCCCAAACCACAGTTTAGTTTTATACATTTTAGGGAGACAGGAGACATCAATCAACATATGTAAGATAAACATTGGTTCGGTCTGAAAAGGTGGGACAACTAAAAGCGAGGAGGGGCTTCCAGATTATAGGTAGACAAGAGACAAATGATTGCATTATTTGGAGTTTCTGATTAGCCTTTCCAAAGGAGGCAATCAGATATGCATTTATCTCAGTGAGCGAGGGGCGACTTTGAATAGAATGGGAGGCAGTTTTGCCCTAAGTAGTTCCCAGCTTGACTTTTCCCTTTAGCTTAGAGATTTGGGGGCCCCAAGATTTATTTTCCTTTCACAAGTGGTACTACATCAAGCTAAAAGTTTCTGCATGACAAAGGAAATAATCAACAAAATGAAAAGATGACCCATATAATGGGAGAAAGTATTTGCAAACCACGTATCCAGTAGAGTTAATATTCCAAAACACATAGGAAACTACTACAACTCAACAAGAAAAAACTAAATTACCAAATTTTAAAGATGGGCAAAGGACCCGAAGAAACATTTTTCAAAAGAAGACACAAATGACCAACAGGTATATGAAAAAGTGCTCAACATCACTAGTCATCTGGGGAATGCAAATCAAAACCACAGTGAGGTATCACCTCACGTCTGTCAGGATGGCTATTATCAAAAAGTCAAAAAGACACCAAGTATTAGTGAGGATGTCACAAAAAGGGAACTTATATATTGTTGGTGGGAATGTAAATTGGTATGGCTATTATGGAAAACAGTATGGAGCTTCCTCAAGAAAATTAAAAATAGATTTACCATATAATACAGAAATCCCACTTCTCACTATACTATTCTGAGGAAATAAATCACTATCTCCAAGAGATACTGGCACTCCCATGCTCATTACAGAATTATTCACAAGAGCCAAGATAGGAAAACAACTTAAGTGTTCATCAACAGATGAATGGATAAAGAAAATGTGATAGGTGATAGAGAGAGAGAGAGAGAGAAAGATGATGGATGGATGGATGGATGGATGGATAGATAGATATAATGGAGTATTACTTGGCCTTTAAAAATAAGGAAATCCTGCCATTTGTGGCAACATGGTAAAATGGAGGACATTATGCTAAGTGAAATAAGCCAGACACAGAAAGACAAAATACTGAATGATCTCATTTACATGCGGAATCCCAAAATGTCAAACTCCTAGAAACAGAGAGTAGAAGGGAGGTTACCAGGGGTTAGTGACAGTGGTGGGTGGGGCCGCAGGGATCCGAAGATGTTAAAGGTTACAACCTTGCAGCCATGAGATGAATAATTTCTGGAGACCTATGGTGTAGCATGAGGAACTATAGTTAATAATAAAAATATTCTTGAAATTTTCTAAGAGAGTATATTTTATGTGTCCTCACCACACACACACACACACACACACACACACACACACACACAAATGGTAACTATATGAGGTGGTGAATATATTAATTAGCTTGAGTGTGGTAAGCACTTCACATTGTTTATGTACATCAAACATTACATTTTACCCCTTTAATATGTACAATTTTTATTAGACAATTATATGTCAATAAAGCTAAAAAAACTATAATATCCATATGTATTTTCTCACCTGCCTTATAAAATTTCTTGTTATATAAATTCTGATCTTAACATTTCCATTTATTCTTATACTTCTCAGGAACTGCCGTCCATTGGTGCACAATACGACCTATGCACACTTTGGAGAGTGAAGCTTTAATTTGCCTAATGGCTGCTGTCCACCCAAACTCTTTTATGTATTTGTATCAAATATAGCACAAATATGTATTTATTCTGCCAAAAGGCTTCAGGTTGAATAGTCTTATTTTGTTGTTGACATTTTCAAATCCTATCTTGAAGCCTTTCTACAAAAAAGGAAAGAGATAGCAAAAAACAAGTTTTAATGCCTAGTTATGGCTAGTCTTTTAAATAAAAATGAAAATTCGAAACTCTAAAATAAACATCCTTCTTAGTCTCTTTATATGAGCTATAGGGAAAAAAAAGAAAGAAATATATCTGAATCTGTAAATGAGTCAGAAATGCTCAGAAATATGTTTCATTTCATAATGCCTAGCATTTTTAGAAATCAAATTAGTGAACACCTGTGCCATGGAAGATTTATATATTAGAGTTCATGCTGCAACTACAGTTTCCCTACAATATCAATTTCAAATGACAACCTGTGGTTTTGTGCCACAGCATTTGTCTCAGCATTTGTCAAAAGTCATTTCATTTCCTATGATTCATTTCATTTATATTCTGGTGTATTAACTGGATACTTTATTGATCCTTGCTCCATCTAATTGTGGCTTTCACAACACAGACAAAAATTTGATTTGAAAGATAAGTATTATAATCTACTCACCGGTAACAGTGATGACATTAACAAAATTATGTTTAGGTAGGTTGTAGTATTGAGGTGAGTTAAAAAGAGTTCTGATTTCAGAATAAAAATGTAGTCTTTTTCCATATATTCCCATCTTCTTATTTATGTGCAAATATATAATTAAGAGATGATATAAATGCTCCACAAATCAGAACATGTCATCACATTTTTACTTTCCTGATTAATAGTTTAAGCACTATTTGCCACATTAGCAGAAAATACAGTATTCATTTATACAATAAATATTCATTGAGTCACTACTATGTGTCGGTCATTGTTCTATGCGCGGGACACATCAATAAACAAAATGAGCAGGAATTTCTACTTCCAGTTAGCTTACATTCTCCTAGATCTTTCTTTAGAGGCAAACTTATCCTTACATTACCCAAGAACGTAATAGCTTTCTCAGCCCAAATATGAGAATGCAGTCCAACTTCTATATCCAAGCAAAAAGAAACTTTACTCTTCTAACAGTGTTACTAATGCCACTGCTTCTTGCTGGCACATGGGAGCTAATACCCCTAGTCCCCTTTCAAGAGATGATGCTGATTCTGATGCTGGTTTTGGTGCTGGTCATCGGGGCTGGTATTCATTCTGTTCCCACAGAGGAACCAAGTAGACCTTAAAGAGAGGATAACCCAACTCTTTCTGAATTAGACCAAGACAGAACAGGCCTTTCTATCTCCCTTAGTCACCCATCCTTAGCCTGTCCGAAGGGGCAAGCCCAGGAGCAGTGTGCTTAGTTTCCTCCCTTTGTAGACCCTAAGCCACTGTCACTTTTTCCTTCTAAGGAATCAACTTCCTCAAAGATCAAGCAGGTATTCCTTTCCATCTGGGAAACACAGAGTCTGATTACATCTCTCTTCTTACATAATGGAAGTATTCTCTTCACCCTCCAGAGGGCATTACACTGTTCATTCATCCATCCATTCATCCATTCACACACACCTACTCTGTGTCAAATGCTACTCTCAGCTCCAGCTGCATCCAGGAAGACCCTTTGTCAGGAAACTGCCTTCATATCCACAAAGGACAACAAGTTCTGATAGTTCTCTCCCTAGAATGAAGGGGAGGAAAACACCTCATAGGACCTTTAGCTGGGCATCCATCCTATTACATATGTGAGTGGATTATAAACAATAAAAAACTGATTAATATTTTAAAATATCCAGGTGATAATAAGCACTATAACAATGGAAATTATTATCTATTTCATTATCAAAACAATCCAGGCAGGTGCAGTGGCTCACGCCTGTAATCCCAGCACTTTGGGAGGCTTAGGTGGGTGGATCACCTCAGGTCAGGAGTTCAAGACCAGCCTGGCCAACATGGTGAAACCCAGTCTCTACTAAAAAAAAAAAAAATACAAAAATTACCTGGGCATGGTGGCGGATGCCTGTAATCCCAGCTACTTGGGAGGCTGAGGCAGGAGAATCGCTTGAACCCAGGAGGCAGAGGTTGCAGTGAGCCGAGATCATGCCATTGCACTCCAGCCTGGGTGACAAAAGCGAAATTCTGCCTCAAAAAAAAAAAATCCATGAGTAAGTGTGAACTTTAAGAATTATTTTAGCAAGAAAATATACCTGAATTCTCAAATAAGCCACCTTGTAGCTGTTGGTTTTATTTTATATTTTCCAAAACCCTGTGTAAACTACCCTCTACCAACATGAAAAAACAACCAAACAACAAAACAATCTAACCAGCCATGGATACTACTCAACCATAAAAAGGAATGAAATAATGGCATTTGCAGCAACCTGGAAGGAATTGGAGACCATTGCTTTAAGTGAAGTAACTCAGGGATGGAAAACCAAACATCATAAGTTGTCACTCATAAGTAGGAGCTAAGCTGTGAGGATGCAAAGACATAAGAATGACACAATGGACTTTGGAGACTGCGGGGGGAATGCTGGGTGGAGATGAGGAATAAAAGACTACAAATTAGGTACAGTGTATACTGCTCGGGTGATGGGGGCACCAAAATCTCAGAAATCACCACAAAAGAACTTATTCATGTAACCAAACACTACCTGTTCCCAAAAACACCTATGGAAATAAAACATAAAAACAAAACTCATCAGGTATTCATTTCTTAAGATTTTCCACTTAGGACAAATTATTGACTCAGAGCGTTAGAAGAGTCTTTAGCCGGATGAGTTCATGTCCTTTGTAGGGACATGGATGAGGCTGGAACCACCATTCTGAGCAAACTATCGCAAGCACAGAAAACCAAACACCGCATGTTCTCACTCATAGGTGGGAATTGAACAATGAGAACACTTGGACACAGGGTGGGGAACATCACCCACTGGGCCTGTCGTGGGGTGGGGGGAGGGGGAGGGCTAGCATTGGGAGATATACCTAATGTAAATGATGAGTTAATGGGTGCAGCACACCAACATGGCAGATGTATACATATGTAACAAACCTGCACGTTGTGCACATGTACCCTGGAACTTAAAGTATAATACAAAAAATAAAAATAATAATAATAAAAAAGTCCTTAGCCTTAGTAAGATCCACGCTTAGCCTCTGAATCCCCTTGGCCACATTTAAATGGCTATTGGCCTATACTCAGTACCTCCAAGTTCAGGCCACTCTCTTCCCCTTGAGTCACCCTCGCCCTAATTCACTTTTAATAGCTCTGACAGTAACAAGCATTTCACATGGTACTGTACCATCTGTCTCCTGTAGCTTCAAGCTACTGGTACTAAACAATGTATTTTTGACTTATATAATTCTTCTTTTCAATGACAAGCACTGAAATATGTGAAAAGTTTTGAATCTCCATTTTTTTCTCTTGCAACTATCCTCAAATGATATTGTTTCCAGTCCATAAATAAAGTCACTATTCTGAACATACCTTGGTTTGTCCATGTCTCTCTTAAAGAGTAATGCCAATACTCTTGTTATCCAGAATTTACACATCTAAGAATTTTCTTTAGGGAAATGTTCAGGAATATAAGCAAATGTTTATCTGTAATAATGTGCATCATAGCATTACTTCTAATATTTAAGAATAATAGTGTAGTATACCTATATGATAAATTTTAAAAGTGTTTGAATAGACAACAGAATGTCACTTAACTGAGAAACTGAGATATGTTGTCAAGTGGGGATAAAAGATGACAAAACAAAATGTGATCATATGTACATATGTATTTATGTGTGTGTGCATATATCTGAAAGAAGACATAACAAAATGTTAATGATTCTATCCGATCAGCGGGGTTATAGATTATTTTTAATTGATGTATTTTTCTGTGCTTTCTAGATTTTCTACAGTGATAATATATTACTTTGTAATAAAAATAATCAATGTTATTTTTGAAAGAAAAGCATATTGCTAAAACCTGAAAGCAGTTCCCAGGTGTGGCCTGATCAACTCACAAGAGGAGGATTACACCCACTCACTCACTCAAATTCACTTCCACTAATATTGTTTAACATATTGATGTTTCTGCTGCTACATTACAGTTGATTCATTTGAGAATATTCTTCTTTATAGCCCCTAAGACATTTTCACAAACATTACTGCTAAATCTGTAGCATCTTGTTCTTAAAGATTAGATGGGGTTTTTTGTCTTGTTAGTTGTAATTTATAAGTTTTATCCTTAAAATAATGGATCCCATTACTGCCACCTCAATCTCCACCAGTCCCACTGAACCTCTACCATGCCCAACCTGGAAATGCTCAGGACCACTCTCAGAAACAGGTGAACAGGTGGGTGTGGATCTGAGTGAGGTGATCACCACCAAAGTTCAACAATCAGGACAACAGAGTAGAGACTGGTGAGCATGTAAGAGGCAACACTGCCTATATCACACAGAAGGGCTGACAAGAAATTAAGGATAACTCAGCGACCTCAATGGTCAACACTTGTGAAATTACATCATCATCCAGAGTGATGTTCCCATATGCCTAACGAGATAGAAGGAACATGAGCTGTGCTCTAATTCTGCAAAAATTGTAACCAATATGCTTTCAGTTGTTGGGGTGGATCACATATTTACGATGGAGGTGCTTCTCAGATACATGAGAATCTCTCAAGTATCAAATCAAGTAAAAAATTACTCTTGGATACAGTTTTTGTTTTGTTTTGTTTTGTTTTGTTTTGAGACAGAGTCTCACTCTGTCATCCAGGCTGGAGTGCATTGGTGAAATCTCGGTTCACTGCAACTTTCACCTCCCAGGTTCAAGTGATTCTCTGTCTCAGCCTCCCAAGTAGCTGGGATTACAGGTGCTCGCCACCACGCCCGGCTAATTTTTTTGTATTTTTAGTAGAGACAGGGTTTCACCATGTTGACCAGGCTGCTCTTGAACTCCCGACCTCAGGTGATCCACCTGCCTCGGCCTTCCAAAGTGCTGGGATTACAGGCATGAGTCACTGCACCCGGCTGCAGAAAACCTCTTTTAAACATTCCTATGGATAACCCTAAACACTGCAGTGGATTCACGAAAAATATTATAGAATGAAAGAACTGTATCATTACTTCCCCTCATGCAACCGGTTCCAAAACTGTTACCTAATGCAGGTAAACAAATTCAATGCTGAATTCACTTTGAGTGATAAAGGGAGAAAGAAAGTCAATGGATGGATAGGGTGGTTTTGTTTGGTGATCTTAAAAGTGTGTGACTATCCTCATGAATAAAAAGGCTGACAAATGTAGCCAATATGTCACACTGTAGACAGGCTATTCTTAGCTGGAATCATGAAAGTTTAAGATATTCTTGCTCATGAAGACTTCTCTGTCTAGTTATTTTCAGAATAAATAAGGCTGCCTTAAGCCTGTCAATGTCAAAAATACAGTTTCCAAAGAGACAAAATGAAAGTTCAGGATTCAGGCTGTTGCTATTTTAATGATCTTGATAAGCTGATCTAGAACTCACAGAGAGAGATTTATGCCTTACCTATTTAACCATGTCTCACTGTAATACCAAATATTGTGTTTTGAACTATTATATTCTGTTACGTTTTTGCTTGTTTTTGTTTTGTCATACTTCTAATGTTAAGATTCAACAATGCTGTTAAACAGAAAAACCTTAGACCAAATTTAAATTTAACTGACTTTATTTGAGCAGAGGAAAGCAAAGCAAAGTAAAAACAGAATGAAAATGATTCACAAATCAGGCAGTCCTCTGAACCAGGGCAGGTTCAGAGAACTCCAACTAATAACATGATCTGACAGCATTTATAGGAAACAGAAGTACGGTGTACAGAAAACTGAATTGGATACAGCTTCATTGGTTAACTGGCTACGGAGCGTCCTGCAGTAACTAAAGCTCAGCTCCTGGAGTTCAACTTTATGTTGGTTTGGTCTGTCAGGCCTAGTGCAGGAACCTAGTTTATTTTGGTTAACAATACTAAAGTTATATATATATATATATATATATTATATATATAGTGCTTAATGTTTATCTCTATCACACTTCTTTTAGAGTTTGGTTCATCTTTCTATCATGTTAGGACCGCTTTCATCTGATTCTGTCATTTAGGGTTTTTTTTCATGAACCCTCTTAACTCTGTGTCATCCACATGTTTGGTGAGTGTGTCCTTCATATCTTTATCCAAATCCCTGATGAACGTATTGAACAGAATACGGGCCACAACAAGGCTCTGATATTTACCAGCAGAAAACATATCAGATTAGCAATGTGTGGTTCAATGTTCAGCCAGAAACTCATCAAGCTAATAGTATTACGATCCAACCCATAATTCTTCCTCTGTGTGATATCATATAACATCAACAAAAGACTTTACAGATGATATTGGACTTTTTCAAGAAATTAAGAAAGTAATCTTTTTGTTTCACACATAAACCAATGAACTCAGAAGTCAGAAATGTATTAAAACAGAGTTGAGCCCTACCTTAAGAGTAAAGGGACTTACAAAACCTTATTTGCATTTACTGTCTCAAGTAGGGAAATACTTACCCCAATGTATTCCCCTCCTGACCTGACACTTTATCATGGACCCATAGTATCCATTCTGCCCCATAAACAGGAATCAGACATAAGGAATCAAGTCTTATTCATCTCTATTTAGTCTACAATGCCTAGCATAGAATTTCATACACGATACTGTGGAGTTTACTTCATGACTTTCTTAGGTTAGGATGGTCCTAGCAAAACAGAAACTTCTGCCACACTGCTCATCCCATTAGAAGTCCAGTGGTCACTCGAGTTTACTATTTCATATGGTATTGCAGAAAGGAAACCTAGACATAGGTTTGCCAAAATATGTGTCATGCTCAAGGCATGGCGCAGAACACAGATTCCCCCATAACCAGATGATGAGGTAATTGGCTGATAATATCTCTGGGTGTAGGCAGGGATGTTGCTACTACTAGGCAGTCAATATCTTAGTCATTGATACTAGCTGTTATTGACTTTGAATGAAGCACGATCCTCCATTTAATAAAAATAATGACTATTTAATGAGGACAGCTGGCCCAGCTAGGTCATCCCTGAGCCACAGGTTTGGACACAAAGAATACACCCATTCCAGGTCATCAACCACGCTCAGACCTCTCAGGGGCATGAATACAGGCTCTCCCTAGCCAAGTCCATCCTTTTGCTGACTTCGTCCCCTCTTTAGTAGTCTCTTCCTGCTCTGCCCAAACTCTCATTATCCCTTCCATGCAAAAGACCTCATTCTCATTCTGCTTCTTTTCTCACAATAGAACTCAATGTGGCCTCCTTCCCCTGACAAACATTAGAAGCAACACAGAATGTATTTATCCTTTTCTAAGAGAGAGATCTTATATTTTTAGAAAAATTATCCTATCTATACACTCCAGTGGATAAACGATATCCTTTATATGTGTTAGGGAATTTTCATATTCCCTAAATATTCTTCTGAATACATCAGGAACAAATACTTGAGTGTTTACATCAAAACATAAGATGATTCTATGCTGCACACAAAACTAAATAATGTTTGTTCAGTGAATCAATGACTTTATATAATACTTTATATAAGATGTCATACTTTGTATAAGATCGTTACACAAGGTACTTTAGATATTAAAAGATACTGAAAGATATTTTATAGACATTATACATTTATATTTTATGTAAGATATTTATATCATCCTTTATATAAGATATTTTGGATCTGGTGCACTAAGAGGCCTATGGATGGGAGTGTAGATATGGTATACTGCCGAACACTTCTCAGAAAAGAAGAGCAAAAATGTTGAGACCTAGAAAGCAGTGAAATGGAATTAAGGAGTTCTGTTCTTCAATAAGCCAGAAATTTGAGGCAGGTGAATGAGGTTCAGGCAGAGAGCATAGGTTAGCAGGAGATTGGCACAAACATCCGAAAACAATGTATAAGTGTGGGGCAAAGATTCGGAAGAACTGTAAATCAAGTGTTGGGTCTAAGCCTAAAATACCGTCTCTGAATCCTACGGCTGAAAACAAGTGCGCGAGCGACACCTAGTGTTCAAGTCCATAAATGATGCTGCGTCAAGGCTTCCTTTCCTTTCCTGGAGCCCACGCTGCAAGGACCGCCCGCTCCTCGGTTAGGTACAACTCTCATCTGCGTACACAGCAGATACAAACCGCTATATTAGAAATTAAGGCCTTCAGAGAAGTCTTTAACCCATTCCATTTCATAGACCACCCACTCTTTTTAGATATTTCATAGCCCACCCACTCTTTTTAGATATTTCATAGCCCACCCACTCTTTTTAGATATGGGGAAACTGAATTCCCTGTATAGTTTTAGGAAAATGAATTGCCATTTCATAACGAGATATGTTTTCACCTCCTTAAGCTAGTTTCCACTCCCTCTAGAGCAAAACAAAGTATCAGCGAAGTTAAAAACATGGGATGTTCCAGGAGCAAAAGGCCTGGTGCAAGCAGATTGCTTTCTGGACAACTAATAACAATATCTAATCGTTATTGAGTCCCTTGTATGTACTAAATTTTGGACCAAAGAAACGGCAAATATCACCTCAAATGCTGACAGCAGTCCTGCCATTCAGGGATTATTATGCAGAAATTCTATGAGGAAACCGAAATTTGGAGGCTGTGAGTGATTTACCCAGACACATCTCTAAATTGCAGATTTAAATCCAGGACTGTCTTCCAAAACTCACATGCTTCCCATATGCCTCACTGCCTCTCAGCTGTGCATGCATCCCAGCTGAACCTATCTCAGCATAAAAAATTGGTGTAAAAGAAACATTTCACCATGAACATTTCATTACCTCTTTATTAGTGAGTCTTTTAGAGTTGAGCAACTAATTAATTCCACTTGATTTCTTACCCTCTAAATCAGTGTATATCAAACATCATTTTAATAGCTTTTATGATTTTTGAGCATTTATTTTTAAACTCATTTCCAAAAAATATTTAATATTTCGTCTCAAGTAAAGCTCCCTAATTTTCCAAAGAGGAATTAAGTTAATTTACATCACCTAAAGAAACATAGCAATATTAGCGGCACAACCAGGCTAAAAATAAATATTATAGTTAGTGTGTGTATGGCAGATGCACCTGACAGCAATAACTTAAGCACACCCTGACAATGACCATACAAAGAATGTGTGTTCAGAGTTCTGAGCTAAGGAATCTGGGAGTGGCCAACCCAGAGGTTCACTCCTTCTCTATGAAATCTCGGCCCCATCCCTTGGAATACAGGACGAACAGGGGATCGGAGCCCTTTGTTTTGAGTTAGATGTAGGTTGCTAGGTAGAGGGTGCTAAGTGAAAATGCTATATAAACTGCTGCATTTATGAACAGCAGCAGTTCTCCTGTCCAGCCTACCTCCACTGAACTGCCCCTGTATGTAAGTTACCCATAATAAACCCTATGTCTCGTTCACTGTCTCCAGGTGTCTTCTTTGGCCTCTCAGACACAGTGCCATCCCTGTTGGAGTCAATAGGGGTCCAGTCCAACAATTGCCAAGCCCAGCCAGGAGGTCAGAGAATATCCCATGAGTGCCAAAAGGATAGGATCAGGAAGGGGAGATCCTCAGGGGGAATCTCAGGCTGGCCATCTACATCTATGTGGGGCCCAATAGATGGATGGGTCCCACTGCCTGAGTATGAGGACACTCCAACAATGCCAAAGGATCTGGACAAGCTGTTGCAGGGGGTTAATCCAACTAAGCGAAAGTCAGATGCCCAAGCCATCACAGCCACACTTGGCTAGCCTCTCCTGACTGTGCTCCAAGCAGCCAGAGACTGAGTTTGTGGTACAGGCAAGGGTGACTCACTTATAAAATGGATGAGATTAGAAAGAGATACCAGCTTAGCTCAGGCTAAAACATTGGAGACCTTTGGGCGCAGGATGACAAAAGGTAAACCCTGGCTTGTCAGGTGGGTCATTCAGAGGGTCGCCAGCTGCCACATCAACAAGTCAGGGCTATTATGACTAAATAATTCTGGGACCCTAAGTCCTGGAACCCCATAGAGAGAAACTGTGAGAAGGACAGTGAGGACTGGGACAAGCCTATAGAGGTTCCTTTCCTCTCTTCATGTCCAGTTGTCACCACCAAGATAAAAGCAGACCAACTGTGCATACAGGGAGTAGCTCCACAAGACTTGCCCCCACCTGAAAGACTGCAGTGAACCCCAATGCAGGATTATACCACTAAAGAATTGGCAGAGCTGGGAAATTGGTTCAGATAGAAGGGGAGACAGTTGATCAAGGGATGGCTTCTCTGTCTATGGAACATGAAGACAGAGGGTATTATACTCTCCAGACTTGAGATAAGTAAAATGGCATCCCTCACAAACCACCCATCCCTGAGGCTGGCCTCTCCTTACCTGAGTGTTTGTGGGCTGTCAAGCAGTGACAATAGATATAGAGCTACAAGTTGAGGCCCTGGCTAAATCTATGGCTGCAGCCTTCAATGATACCTGCCATGCTATTACTCTTCTCACTAAAGAAACTACCCAAATTGGATGCCTTACTTTGCAAAACTGTATGGCCCTGGTCATCTTAACTGCCATCCAAGGCATAACTTGTGTGTTAATTAAAACTAAATGTTATGTATATATCCCTGATTACTCTCACAATGTAACCCAGGCCATGCAGTCCCTAAGTACCCATATATCTGCTATAGACTCCCTTGTCTTTTTTTCAAGATGGTGGATAGGAGGCAGAGTTATTGTGCCTCTCCCACTTGCAAGGACAGAATAGTCAGTAGAGAGTAACACTGTGAATTTCTTTTTTCAAGAGCCACCACAGAAACTTACCAGGAAAGAAGTGGCAGGCTGTAGTCTAGTCCATGAGACTGGCAAAAAACTAAATTCCCAGATTGCTAGAAGGGGAGAGAGTCTGCCTCCAAGCACTCATCCTGACCAAGGAATCTGCAAATCCAGACCACAGGAGAAGGCCATAACCCTATCCAAAGCTGGAATGGAATTGGGGAGCAGCATGCAATATACAAGTAGAAGCATCATCAGGAAGTACTTGTAGGCATTCCCAGTCTCCAGCATGAGCCTAGGGAAGACATTACTTACTAAATCTCACAGGGGTCCTCGGGGAAGTCAGGCAACATGCTTAGGGAAGAGTTGCAGGGTGAAAGAAGCTCCAAACTGAATTTTGTGACATAATCTCAAGTGGGGATGAATTCCCTTGAACAGAACCTGGAGTGGGACGGTGAGTGGGAAGTGAGCCACAGACACGAGCAGAGCTGGGCTCCCAGCCTTGCCAGCAGACATGGAGAAGCATGGCCTCAAAGCTGTGGTTTCTATCTCTGTGGGAAGCTTATGGCCTGGGGCAGGTCTGAGTTCTGTGCACAGACCGGGATCTAAACCCAGCGCTGTTAGTGGAGCACTGCAGGAGCAAGACCAGCCTCTCCAACTGCATGGGAGCTGGGTGAAGCTTACTGCTGCCCATGACTCCCCACTCCCTTTGTGAACTCTTCTGTGCAGCAGAGGTGCAGAGGCACAGAGGGGAGAGGCAGTTTTACTCTCCCCTCTGGAACATTGCCCCAGTGGCCTGAGAATGACTCTCCCCATAGGGGCTATGGCCTGCCCCACCCAGGAGTCTGAACTTAGACCCATGTAACCCTACCCCCACCTGGTGGTATGTCTCCACCAGCCCTGGTAGCTTAACACAAAGGATATAAACTTTTGGGAGCTTTATGGCCCCACCAATCACCTGAAAAAACAGATTACTTCCCCTGGGCAACTTACGGAAAGCTCAAATCCCACTGCTACTACTGCAGCTGGTGCTGTCTTGCAAGCACCACCTCCTGGCTAGAGGCCAACCAACTCAGGCCATTACAGTACCTCTAGCACTGCACCCAGGAAGGAGAAAATGGCTGCATGATCTCAGCTATCGCCACTGCCTGCAACACCCTGGCTAACCAGAGATCCTGAGTCTGTCCATGTCATGAGTTCACTACCAGTATAAGCAGCATTTAAGGAAGCCAGCCCAATAAGTTTGTCTCAAACCAAGGAATCTCACAGAGCCTACATCACTCCCCTTCCACCTTTGTCAGAGCAGGTGCTGGTATCCACTGCTGGGACATTTGAAGACAGGTCATATGACTGGATCTTTTGCAGATATTACCCAGCACCAGCAGAGAATCTGGTAGCCCCATTGGGTTGCTAGACCGAGAAGAGCAGTAACAATCATTGTAGTCTGGCTCCCAGGAAATCCCATTCCTAAGGGAAGGGGGAGAGCACCACATCAAGGGAACACCCTGTGGGACAAGAGACTCTGAATATCAGGACTTGAGTCCCAGATTGTTCCACTAGTGGAAAGTTTCTTACAACAGAGACACAATTGCAGTGCTGGACACAGTAGAGAAAGTCTGCACCTCTACCCCATCAGGCAGGCAGCCTCTGTGATCATAAAGGGTCTTGAAAAAGGGGTCCTTGTTCTCCCAGGCACACTACTGCGGAAATGGCTAGGGCTTCTCTCATAGGCATGCAGCATAGATGCACATACAGACAGCCTTCTTGAAACAATTCGGGTTGATTGCAGCCCCACAGGAGAAGCACTCTCCAGGTTCAGGACTGCACAAGAGGCAGAGTCATAATTCTTTTCTACTTGGAACATCAACATTTCTACAGATAAAAAGAGATGCCTGTCTGATCTGAGTAACCAGAACATTAGGACAGGAGTGTGGCTGTGGATAGCTTTTCTGCTGGCTTCACAGGAAAGATAAGGTAGCTCCCACCCTTCAACCTGATAAAACTTCAGCACATCTAATTGAGACCCCCCTACACCAGCCACCACCTTCATCAAGGCTGGGACCTCTACCCACCATTGGGTATTATATCTACACACCTGTTTTAGCTACAACTGGTGCCAAAAGAGGGATGCTTCCCCTATTTGCCTGAGGCCTAAATCATCAACTCAGTAAATAAAATACTGTGGGAAAGAAAGTTTCTGGGTGTCAATTGAGTTGGTCTCACCTGTGTGAGACACCCATGGGGAGCCATGGGTGGCCTCTGAGGAGAAAAGTCTCCTTATTGCCTTCATGTCTTTATGCCCCGAGAGCATAACCACTCAGCAGCATTCTGCAGGTTGCTCAGGGAGATAACACTCCCTTGAAGCAGTGGAGTATAATCAAACATCTTGGCTCCTCCTGAACCCCACTCCCACCTGTTTCAGTCCCGATAAGTTAAAGATCTTAAGTAGTTTAGACACATGCCTTTGCTCAATGAAATTCACAGAAACTGCCACTGCTATACATCTTATTGAATGACTCACGAGTTCTCCTTCACTGATTAATCCTTTTCCTCATCCTTCCTCCCCCTGCCATCTGCCCTAAGAACGAATTGCTTGTAAACCAATAAATTGTGCAGAGCCCAAGAGCTCTGGGCCATGAGCAAGCCTCCAAAGCCCCGGTCCCTTGGACCCGCCTTTAAAGTGCTTATTCTGTCTCTTTCTAACTCCTTTGTCTACGCTGGACTCAGAATACCCACTGGGTGGTGTGGGGCTGGTTTCCCCAACATCTGGCACCCAACACGGGGCTCCCTGTAATCTCTACAAATAATCCGGTGAAGAAACACCAAAATGTGGAAAGTGGAGGACGACCGACAAAGGACACCCGAGTATGTTTTCACTTCAGGTTCTACAGGTAAGTAGGGCACTGGGAGAATTCCAGGGTTACCTCAGGAAAGTATGGGTCAGGCTGAAAGTAAGCTTGCTAATTACTTAAGTCTAGTGTGGCAGTTATTGCACCATGGAGGGGTAATTGTGAGTACCCAAAATCTCACATCTTTGTTCCATCTCGTAGAAAAGTATTCTTCTTGGTTCCTGGAATATGGAACCATGAATGTAAAAGATTGGGACAAGGTCAGATCAGACTTAAAACGAGCACAACAAAAGGGCCACGATATTCCCTTCTCCACTTGGTCTGTGTGGTCAGCAATTAAAATAGCACTGGAGCCCTTCCACACTGAGGAGGAGGAGGATGAGTTTCAGGATGACATAGAAAAGTTTAATAATCAGGAGTCTGATGCTCAGCAAAGTGAACCATCACAGTCTAGTTTAAAAAAGGAGGAGAAACGGGAAGGTATATATGCTAACCTCCAAAAACTTAGGACAGAAAGAGTTCCACCTACTGCAGAAATAGTGCCACCTACTGCACCTTTAGGGGAAGGTCCAGAATGGCCACCCCCGCCTCAGCCTTACGAATTTTTGGAATGGGAGCCTGAGACGCGACTCACCACTCCCATTGTTGCAACCCCCACCATTAACTATGGTGAAGGGAAGCTTCAGCTCGCCCAACAGCCAATTAAAGTGAGGGAATGATCCAGGCTTGCCCACCTGTTAATTATGATAGAGGAATGCTGCAAGCCGGCCCAAATACAAATTATGGTGCAGGGACAATCAGGCATCCATTCACCAGGCACAAGAAATGGGGGATTTGGATGCTTGGCGGTTTCCAGTAATCATTTCGCCAGCTAAGGAGCCCAGAGAACATGCTCAAGCATGCTGGGAGCCATTTCCTTTTAAAATATTAAAAGACTTAAAACAAGCAATTGGACAATATGGGCCAAATTCTCCTTGTGTTCATTCCTTGTTACATTCTGTGGCTTATAACCGGCGTTTAATACCTATGGATTGGGAGTCATTAGCCCGATCCACACTGTCCCCCTCTGAATTTCTCCAATTTAAAACCTAGTGGATGGATGAAGCAACAAATCAGGCATGCAGGAGTGCTCAAGCCCAACCTCCCGTTAATATCACATCTGATCAATTGCTTGGAATCAGACAGGCATGGAGTACTCTAAATCAACAGATGGTAATGGGTGATGAGGCTGTTGATCAGCTCAGAACTATATGCCTAAGAGCCTGGGAAAAAATTCACAACCCTCATACTACTTATCCTTCTTTTAACTCAGTTCAAGAGGGTCCAAGGGAGCCTTATCCAGATTTTATTGCCCATTTGCAAGACGTGGCTCAAAAGGCTATTTTGGATTCTCATGCCAGGAAAGTGATTGTTCAGCTGCTTGCTTATGAAAATGCTAATACAGAATGTCAGGCAGCTATTAGACCTATTAAGGGAAAGGCAGATCTAAATGAGGAAAAAACTTTAAGTGAATACATTAAAGCCTGCGATGGCATTGGGGGGCGCTTATATAAGGCCAGTCTCCTTGCTCAGGCAATGGCTGGACTAAGGGTAACAAAAAACACATGAGTGTTCCCTGGATCTTGCTTTAATTGTGGACAGATAGGACATACAAAAAGAGAGTGTACAAAGAGCCAAAAAAGGCAAAACTCAGGAGGAAAAAGCAGGGAACCAGGTACCTTTCCTAGATGTAAAAAAGGAAAACACTGGGCTAATCAATGTCACTCAAAGTTTGATAATAGTGGACAGCCCTTGCCGGGAAATGGACAGAGGGGCCAGCCCCGGGCCCCAATTCAAAATGGGGCATTCTCAATTCAGGACATGATGTCCCCGACTCCAAATGGAGTGTTCCCAGCCCAGTCTATCCCTGTTACAAATGTAAAGCAATCATCCCCCTTCACAGCTAAAAGTGGGGCAGTAGATTTATGCTGTACCAAAGCTGTATCCCTCCTTCCTGGGGAGCCTCCTAGGAAGGTCCCAATGGGAGTTTACAGCCCATTGCCAAAAGGCACAGTGGGACTTATACTGGAAAGGTCCAGCTTAAACTTAAAGGAATTCAAGTACATACTGGAGTAGTGGACCCTGATTTCCAGGGAGAAATTCAAATTGTTATCTCTTCCACTGTTCCCTGGAGTGCTAATCCAGGTGACAGAATAGCTCAACTGTTGCTTTGATCGTATGTTAAGTTAGAAGACAAATCAGAAAAAAGAACAGGAGGATTTGGAAGCACAAATTCAGCAGGGGAGGCTGCCTGTTGGGTAAATCAAGTCTCTGACAAAAGATCTATTTGTAAGGTCATTATTCAAGGAAAATAACTTGAGGGTCTGGTCGACACAGGAGCAGATGTGTCAATCATAGCTCTTTATCAATGGCCAAAAAACTGGCCCAAACAAAAGGCCCCAGTGGGTCTTGTTGGGGTCAGAACTGCTTCAGAAGTTTTCCAAAGTACTTTTATCTTATTGGTCTTGGTCCAGAAGAACAGGAAGTCACAATAAAACCTGTAATTACACCCATTCCTGTTAACTTACAGGGGAGAGATCTGCTTCCACAATGGGGCACAGAAATTTCAATCTCTTCTCCCAGGTATGGTCAAGCTAGTCAAAAAATAATGTCAAACATGGGCTATGTTCCCAGAAAAGGCCTAGGAAAACAGGAGGCAGGCATTATTGAACCCATACAGGTTACTGTAAAAAATGACCGAAAAGGATTAGGTTGCCATTTTTAGGGGTGGTCACTGTTGAGCCTCCAAGTCCTATTCCCTTAAAATGGAAGACCTGAAATCCTGTTTGGGTCTAGCAGTGGCCATTTTCTCAGGAAAAATTGGGGGCCTTACAGGAATTAGTCAAAGAGCAATTAAACAAAGGAAACATTGAGCCCATATTTTCTCCATGGAATTCACCAGTGTTTGTAATAAAGAAAAAGTCTGGCAGATGGCACATGCTAACCAACTTACAAGTGGTCAATGCAGTCATCCAGCCAATGGGGGCCCTGCAGCCAGGGCTTCCATCCCCTACCATGATTCCTAGAGACTGGCCATTAATAATTATAGATTTGAAGGATTGCTTTTTTAATATTCCTCTAGTAGAGTCTGATTTTGAGAAATTTGCTTTTACTATTCCTGCTATGAACAACAAGGAACCAGCAGCCAGATATCACTGGAAAGTCCTGCCACAGGGTATGTTGAATAGTCCTACTGTTTGTCAAACTTCTGTGGGGAAGGCTATTCAACCTGTGAGAGATCAGTTTCCAGATTCGTATATCATTCATTATATGGATGACATATCGTGTGTGGCCAAAAATCAAGACCAACTTATCCAGTGTTACTCATATTTACAGGAGGTGGTAGCCAATGCTGGATTGCTCATGGCACCAGATAAAATTCAAACGGCCACTCCTTTCCAATATGTGGAATGCATGTTCAGGAAAAGGCAATTAAACCCCAAAAGGTTCAAATTCAAAAAGACTCTCTGAAAACTTAGATTTTCAAAAATTATTAGGGGATATCAATTGGATTCGACCTACTTTGGGAATCCCTACCTATGCTATGTCTAATCTGTTCTCTATTTTAAGAGTAGACCCTGCTTTCAATAGTAAATGAGAACTGACTCCTGAGGCTGCCAAAGAATTACAAATGATTGAAGAAAAAATACAGCAGTCCCAGGATAATAGAATAGACTCAAGTTTATCATTACAGCTCATTGTGTTCCCTACTCTCCATTCTCCTACAGGGGTTATAGTTCAGAGTGAGGACTTACTTGAATGGTCCGTCCTGCCTCAGAATACTGTCAGAACACTCACAGTATACTTGGATCAGATGGCAATCTTGATTGGACAAGCTCACCTTAGAGTTGTTAAACTTCGCGGTTCAGATCCAGATAACATTATAGTTCCAATGAATACAAATCAGATCGGCAAGCCTTTGTTAATTTGGTCAATTGGCAAATAAATTTAGCTGGCTTCATTGGAGTTCTTGACAATCACTATCCAAAAAAAATTTTTTTCAGTTTTTAAAGCTAACAACATGGGTCCTTCCAAAAATTACCCATTGTGCTCCATTGGAAGGAGCAGTGACTGTGTTTACAGATGGCTCTAGCCATGGAAAAGCAGCTTATGTGGGACCTAAAAACAGAATTATTCAAACTGACTTTCAATCGGCACAGAGGGCTGAATTACAGGCAGTTATAGCTGTGTTAGAAGACTTTAAGCAACCTGTAAATATTGTCTCTGATTCAGCTTATGTTGTTCAAGCCACTCAATACATAGAAACTGCACTCATTAAATATCTTGTGGATGAACAACTCTATCAGCTGTTTTCTTCTTTACAAAAGGCAGTGCGTGATCACTATTTTCCTTTCTATATCATGCACATTCGAGCATATACTAATCTCCCTGGGACCGTTGTAAGGGCTAACGATCAAGGTGATTTACTAGTTTCCACTGTGCTTACTAATGTCCAAGATTTTCACTCCCTAACACATGTTAATGCAGCAGGACTTAAACAAAAATATCAAATTACTTGGAGACAGGCAAAGGACATTGTGCAACATTGCCCTCAGTGCCAGGTACTACAACTGCCACATGCAGGGACTGGTGCTAACCCACAGGGATTAACCCCCAATATGTTGTGGCAAATGGACGTAACCCACGTACCTTCATTCGGGAAACTTCCATACGTCCATGTTACTATAGATACCTTTTCTCGTGTTGTATGGACAACTTGCCAAACAGGTGAGGCAGCAGCTCATATTAAGAAACATTTACTTTCCTGTTTCGCTGCCATAGGCATCCCACAAAAGATTAAAATAGACAATGGCCCAGGCTACTGTAGTAAATCTTTACAAGTGTTCCTCCAACAATGGCACACTGAGCACAGTACTGGAATACCCTATGATTCTCAAGGCCAAGCCATTGTTGAATGGGCTAACTAAACCTTAAAATCTCAATTACGAAAACAAAAGACAGAAGGGGGGATCCAGAGAATACTCTACTCCACATACACAGATACAACTGGCTCTTATTGAGAGGTGACAATGTGCTAGCAGCCCTCGCTTGCTCTCATCATCTCCTTGGCCTTGGAGTCCACTGTGGCCACACTCAAGGAGCCCTTCAGCCTGCTGCTGCACCATGAGGGCCCCTCTCTGGGGCAGGCCAAGGCCAGAGCCAGCTCTGTCTGCTCGCGGGGAGGTGTGGAGGGAAAGGCATGGGCAGGAGCCAGAGCTGTGTGCCGCGTTCACAGGCTGGTGTGGGTTCCAGGTGGGCATGGGCTCGGCAGGCCCCACACTCAGCACAGCCAGCTGGCGCCTGCTGGGCTTGATCTGGGGATGAGCTCCCTCTGGGCTGCCAGAGTGCCCAGGCTAGGTGCCGCTAAATCCCATGGCGAGTGCCACTGAGAGGTGAAGCTGGCTGGGCTTCTCGGACGGGTGAGGACTCAGAGAACTTTTCTGTCTAGCTAAAGGATTGTAAATGCACCAACCAGCACTCTGTGTCTAGCTAAAGGTTTGTAAACACCCCAATCAACACTCTATGTCTAGCTAATCTAGTGGGGACTTGGCGAACTTTTCTGTCTAGCTAAGGGATTGTTAATGCACCAATCAGCACTCTGTGCCTAGCTAAAGGTTTGTAAAGGCAGCAATCAGCACCCTGTCAAAACAGACCAATCAGCTCTCTGTAAAGTGGACCAATCAGCTCTCTGTAAAATGGACCAATCAGCAGGATGTGGCTGAGGTCAGATAAGGGAATAACAGCAGGCTGCCCCAGCCAGCAGCGGCAACCCACTCGGGTCCCGTTCCATGCTGTGGAAGCTTTGTTGTTTTGCTCTTCATATTCAATCTTGCTGCTGCTAACTCTTTGGGTCTGTGCTGCCTTTATGAGCTGTAACACTCACTGTAAAGGTCTGCAGCTTCATTCCTGAAGCCAGTGAGACCACGAACCCACTGGGAGGGATGAACAACTCTGGTTGGGAGGAACGAACAACTCCGGACATGCCACCTTTATGAACTGTAACACTCACTGCGAAGGTCTGCAGCTTCACTCCTGAGGCCAGTGAGTCCCCGAACCCACTGGAAGGAATGAACAACTCCAGACGTGCAGACTTTAAGAGCTATAACACTCACCGCATAGGTCTGCAGCTTCACTCCTGAAGTCACCGAGAACACAAACCCACCAGTAAGAAGAAACTCCAGACACCTCCAAACATCAGAAGGAAAAAACTCCAGACACACCATCTTTAAGAACTGTAACACTCACCGTGAGGGTCTGCGGCTTCATTCTTGAAGTCAGCAAGACCAAGAACCCACCAATTCCAGACACATTATCACTTTAAATTTTTTGGATTTGTCTAGAGATCAGGTTATAATGGCAGCAGAGCAGCATTTGACAGGGCAAAAAATAAATCCTCATGAAGGAAAACATGAGTGGTGGAAGGACGTCAGAACTAAAACCTGGGAAAAGGGCAAAATCATTACATGGGGTCGAGGGTTTGCTTGTACCTCACCAGGAGAGAATCAGCTTCCTGTCTGGGTACCACAAGACATCTTAAGCTGTTCCATGAGCCAGAATCCAAGGAAGAGGAAAAGACCTCAGAATGTCCCTGCACCCCCAGTTCATCTGATGGCTCAGATAAACATCTCTGTTGAGCAGATGGAAACCAGTAAAACTCACCAAGCAACTCCACTGACCTGGGGGCAGATGAAGAGACTAGCTCACATTGCAGAAGAGAAACTGAGGTCTCAGAACAAGCTGCTGACCATGAGTAATCTAATGGTAGCTATGATGGTGGTAATCTCCCTGGTGGTGAGTCTCCCCATAGCTGAGGCAGATCAAAATTACACACAGCCCTAGCAGAGGCTCTCCATGAGAGTCTTGCCCCTGTAGCAAACTTCTGCCTGGACATCGAGGTGTTTCCAGACATCCTCTGAAATCTAAGCAAAGGTTCCCAAACTCCAATTCTTGACTTCTGTGCACTGGCAGGCTCAACACCACATGGAAGCTGCCAAGGCTTGAGGCTTTCACCCTCTGAAGCCATGGCCCAAACTCTACATTGGCCCCTTTCAGCCATGGCTGGAGTGGCTAGGCCACAGGGCACCAGGTCCCTAGGCTGCACACAGCATGGGGGGCTTGGGCCCAACCCACAAAACCACATTTTCCTCCTAGGTCTCTGGGCCTGTGATAGGATGGGTTACCATGAAGGTCTCTGATATGCCCTGGAGACATTTCCCCCATTCTTTTGGTAATTAACATTCAGCTCCTCATTACTTATGCAAATTTCTGCAGCTAGCTTGAATTTCTCCTCATAAAATGGGATTTTCTTTTCAATCACATTGTCAGGCTGCAAATTTCTGAACTTTTTTGCTCTGCTTCTCTTATAAAACGGAATGCCTTTAACAGCACCCAAGTCACATCTTGAATGTTTTTCTGGTTAGAAGTTTCTTCCACTAGATACCCTAAATCCTCTCTCTCAAGTTCAAAGTTTCACAAATCCCTAGGGCAGGAGAAAATGCTGCCAGTCTCTTTGCTAAAACATAACAAGAGTCACCTTTGCTCCAGTTCCCAACTTCCTCATCTGAGACCACCTCAGCCTGGATTTCATTGCCAATATCATTATCAGCATTTTAGCCAAAGCCATTCAACAAGTCTCTAGAGAGTTACAAACTTTCCCACATTTCCCTTTCTTCTTCTGAGCCCTCCACAATGTTCCAACCTCTTCTTGTTACCCAATTCCAAAGTTGCTTCCACATTTTTGGATATCTTTTCAGCAGCACCCCACTTCTAGTACTAATTTATTATATTATTCTGCTTTCATACTGCTGATGAAGACATACCCAAGGCTGGGCAATTTACAAAAGAAAGAGGTTTAACTGGACTCACAGTTTCATGTAGCTGGGGAGGCCTCACAATCATGGTGGAAGGCAAGGAGGAGCAAGTCACATCTCACATGGGTGGCAACAGAGAGCTTGTGCAGAGAAACTTGTGTTTTAAAACCATCAGATCTCATGAAACTCATTCACTATCACAAAAACAGTGCAAGAAAGACCCGCACCCATAATTCGAACACCTCCCACTGGGTTCCTCCTATGACATGTGTGAACTGTGTGAATTACAACTCAAGATGAGATGTGGGTGGGGACAAATCCAAACCATATCACTATGTAACCCAAATGCCACAAACAGTGTAAAATAATTGAAGTGCTTACTTGTCCTAGAAATATTTATGGAGTACCACAGATGTTCCAGGAACTAAGGAAAGCAGTTCATTCTGAAAAATGAAAGGAAATAAATTAAAAAGGCATGAGGGCCAAATGTTCTTGGCCCCCTAAATGACTGCTAAAAAATCACTGACAGGAGGCAGATTGATTAATGAAAGAAAGGGCATACAAATTTATTTAACAATATATAGAAGGGAGCCTTCAGAATGAAGACCCAACATCCCAATGAGTTACAGACACTTACATACCATCCTGAGGCCACTGTAAAGAAAGCACACTCAGAGGATTGCCAGAAACAGCTAAATCAGCTTCAGTGGCAAGAGGTGTTAAGAGAGAAAAGAAGAAGTTTGGCTAGCAAAGATGGCCTTGTTATGTGGAGGAAGCCCCCTTCAGAGGAAACAGATGGTAAATGTTTCCTTTCAGACTTTAAAAGATGTCAGACTGTCAGTCTCTCCTGGACCCAGGGAAAGGAATAGGAAGGGGAGGGAGGCATGGCTGCATTAAGGGAGATTCTCTGCAGATGCAAATTTTCCCCACTTAAGATAGTTTTGCAATGCCACCTCTAATAGGATGGCCAAGAGGCAGCCATTTCAAAATACATCAAATAAATATATTTGGGGGTAAAATATTTTAATTTCCTTCAGTCTCCTATTTGCAATTTAAAATAAGTTTCATATCAAAAACCAAGCTGATAGCTTTGGAGAGATTTGATCTAGAGATTGTTAGACAGAGATAGAGAAAGGAGTAGAAAGACAAACTGAGATAAATAGAAAGGAGCAAATTTAAATATATCTTCCCATATCTTCTTTAGTCAGTCTCTGAATACTGAGAATAGATGAGTTCCATTAAACAACTGTGTCCCATTCTGAGAGGTGGCATTGCAGATGGGCTAGACCTCTATATATGATATAGGCAATAGGATCTCTAAAAAAGGTATTTCTATAAAAGCAGAAGAATAAACAAGGTTAATGGTTGGAGCAGTCTATAGACTGCTTTCCTAAGGTCTCTGAGGCATCTTCAGATTGCAACGACAATCTGACAAATTCTTCTGGATTGTAATTCAAACCGGGCATTCAGGCTAACTTTCTGAGAAGTCTTTACATTAGCAAGCAGGCTTGAAGCTTGTTTATATATAAGTTGCTGTTATTTTCTCCTGGAGTTTAAGTTGTATAGCTTCAGTTTGCAGAGCTTTAAGAAAAGCAGAGTTTTAATTTCTAGTGATTTCAAGTTAAAAAAAATTGGAGGGCAGAAATTGAACATTTTAGCTTGGCAACTTCAAAAAAAAAAAATTAGGATCCAGTCCAAATGGTAGAAAATAATCAAAACTGAATGCAATGGATAAGGTTAAAATCCAATAACAGTTATACCATAGTTTCCTTTGAAACATAATTTTTCTGTCCCCAATCTTCCAATATTACTAAAGACAAAATCATAGTAGGATCAATTTCTTAGCAAAATTAGTTTAGTCTTATTATACTTGGCCTGATTATTTGCATAAAGTGCAGGCAGAATAATTATTTGTCATACAGACTGTTGTAAGTTGGCTTTTCTGGAATCTTTTTTCATAAAGAATCACAAATTAGACCTTTTAAAAGTCATGAACACAGCCAAGTATTTATCCCTGCAGATACCTGTATGAATTGGGAAACTTCTCTCTTCTTGAAATCCCAAAATAACTTGGGGTTCCTGGGCCTGTGAGAAAGTGACATTCTTTACTTACCACAAGTCAGGAACATGTAAGGAAATCTGTAAAGGAACTACATAGAAAATGTTTGAGGTCAGTTTTTCCAAAGAACTTTTATCAGATCTATAAGTCAATCTCAATTCCTCACAGAAATCTGCTCATATCTGAAAATATACCCTTCCAATTAAAGCCTTGGTAAAAGAGCCAGTGCCTCCAACTGTGTCCTGTTACAAAAGAAAATAGATCTTACTGAATTTATGCAAATAACTATATTACCATAAGTTAAGAATACTCACAAATAGCTTTCAAATTCTGGAAAAATCAAGTAGAAAGAAAGAAAAGTGTTTCAAATTTTGCTCTAATCAATTGTTAAAAGCTGTAAGTAACTCAAAAAAGATTTTCTTGATTCTGTAAAACAAAAAGAATTAGCAATGTTTCAAACACAAGAAGTCATAAAAAAATTATTTCAGTCTTCTATTAGCTCAGTCCATGCAATTGTAACTGCCCCATGGGTTCACCTTGCCTGCTGCCTAGACAGAGCCAATTTATTGAGACAGGAGAATTGCAATGGAGATGGAGTAATTCACTCAGACCAAGCTGTGTGGGGAGACCAGAATTTTATTATTACTCGAATCGGTCTCCCCAAAAATGAAAACTTGGGATTGGAGTTTTTAAGGATAATTTGGTGGGTAGATGATTGGGAAGTGAGGAGTACTGATAGATTGGGCTGGAGATGAAATCATAAGGGGCTGAGATGAGTTCTTCTTGCTGACATCTGTTCCTGTGTGGGATTGCAGAACTGGTTGAGCCAGATTACTGGTCTGGGCCATGTCAGCTGGTACATCAGAATGCAGGGTTTGTGAAATATCTTAAGCACTGATCTTAGGTTTTACAACAGTGATGTTAATCCCAGGAGCAATTTGAGGAGGTTGAGACTCTTGCAGCCAGAGGCTGCAAGGCTCCTAAATGGTAATTTCTAATCTTGTAGCTGATTTGTTAGTCCTACAAAGGCAGACTGATTCATAGGCAAAAAGGGAGTTTTTTCAGGAAAGGGCTATTAACAGTTTTGTTTCAGGATTAAACTATAAACTAAATCCTTTCCCAAGGCTAACTTGGCCTACACTCAGTTTCATGCACGTCCGTGTGAAGAGACCACCAAACAGGCTTTGTGTGAGCAATAAAGCTTTTAATCACCTGGGTGCAGGTGGGCTGAGTCCGAAAAGAGAGTCAGTGAAGGGAGATAGGAGTGGGGCCATTTTATAAGATTTGGGTAGATAAAGGAAAATTACAGTCAAATGGGGGTTGTTCTCTGTCAGGCAGAGTAGGGGTCACAAGGTGCTCAGTAGGGGAGCTTTTGAGCCAGGATGAGCCAGGAGAAGGAATTTCATAAGACAATGTCATCAGTTAAGGCAGGAACAGGCCATTTTCACTTCTTTTGTAGTGGAATGTCATCAGTTAAGGCAGGAACCAGCCATCTGGATGTGTATGTGCAGGTCATAGGGGATATGATGGCTTAGCTTGGGCTCAGAGGTCTGACATTCCTGTCTTCTTATATTAATAAGAAAAATAAAATGAAATAGTGGTAAAGTGTTGGGATGGTGAAAACTTTTTGGGGATGGTATGGAGAGATAATGGGCGATGCTTCTCAGGGCTGCTTCAAGCGGGATTAGGGGTGGCGTGGGAACCTAGAGTGGGAGAGATTAAGCTGAAGGAAGATTTTGTGGTAAGGGATGATATTGTGGGGTTGTTAGAAGAAACATTTGTCATGTAGAATTATTGGTGATGGCCTGGATATGGTTTTGTATGAATGGAAAAACTAAATGGAATAAGAGAAGGAGAAAAACAGGTATAAAAGGTCTAAGAATTGGGAGGACCCAGGACATCTGATCACAGAGTGCCTAAGGAGATTCAACATAGTCCTGCCAGCAAAGATTATTTATTTACTTCAAGAGTTAAGAGTGGAAGTTTGGGGATAGCACCAGGAGATATCAGCTGTGATGGCTTGGAGAAACAGTGTAAACTGGCAGTGTAAACAAGAGCAGGGCATGTATGAGTAGTTGAGAACAGTGAATAGGAGTATGACTAGACAGAAGACAGTAGGGATGAAAAGTTTTTTGGGGGGCATAGTCTAAGTTGGTCTGGTGTCTGGAATGAGACTTGGGCCTAATGAAAAGGAGCGTCTATACAGGAGCTCAAATGGGCTGTACCCTGTAGCATTCTGAGGACAGGTCTGACTTCTGGGAAGGGAAAGTGCTAAAAGTATTGTCCAGTCCTTTTTAACTTGGTGGCTGAGCTTGGTGAGGTGTGTTTTTAAAAGACCATTAGTCTGTTCTACTTTTCCTGAAGATGGAGGACTGTAAGGGATATAAAGTTTTCACTGAATACTAAGAGCCTGAAAAACTGCTTGGCTGATTTGACTAATAAAGTCTGGTCTATTATCAGACTGTATAGAGGTGGGAAGGCTAAACTGAGGAATTATGTCTGACAGAAGGGAAGAAATGACTGCGGTGGCCTTCTCAGACCCTGTAGGAAAGGCCTCTACCTATCCAGTGAAAGTGTCTACCTAGACTAAGAGGTATTTTAGTTATCGGACTCGGGGCTTATTGAGTAAAGCTAATTTGCCAGTCCTGGGTGGGGGCAAATCCTCGAGCTTGATGTGTAGGGAAGGGAGGGGGCCTGAATAACCCCTGAGGAGTAGTAGAATAGCAGATAGAACACTGAGAAGTTATTTCTTTGAGGATAGATTTCCACGATGGAAAGAAATGAGAGGTTCTAAAAGGCAGGCTAGTGGCTTGTTCTATAGCATAGTCTGCCTTTGCTGGTGTGTGGCAATTAGGCCTGTTGGAACTGCCATCAATAAATCAAGTGTGATCAGGGTGAGGAACAGGAAGGAAGGAAAAATGGGGAAATGGGGTGAATGTCAGGTGGATCAGAGAGATACGGTCATGGGGGTCAGGTCTGGTATCAGGAATAATGTGGGAGGCCGGATTGAAGTCTGGGCCAGGAACAATGGTAATTGTGGGACTTAACAAAGAGTGAGTACAGCTGAAGGAGCTGGGAAGCAGAAAGTATATGTGTCAGGTATGAGGAAGAAAATAGATTTTGGAAGTGATGAGAAATGTAGAGAGTAAGTTGAGCATAGTTTGTGATTTTGAGGGCCTCTAAAAGTACCAGGGCGGCAGCAGCCACTGCACGGAGACATGATGGCTAGGCTAAAACAGTAAGGTCAAGTTGTTTGGACTGAAAGGCTACAGGGTGCAGTCCTGGCTCTTGCGTAAGAATTCTGACCACACTAACCATGCCTAGGAAGGAAAGGAGTTGTTGTTTTATAAGGGATTGAGGTTTGGGAGATTAATCAGACATGATCAGCAGGGAGAGCACATGTGTTTTTATGAGAATTATGCTGAGATAGGTAACAGATAAGGAAGAAATTTAGGCTTGACTGAAGTAATGGGGGCCGTCTGTGAAGCTTTGTGGCAGTACAGCCCAGGTAATTTGCTGAGCCTCATGGGTGTCAGGGTCAGTCCAAGTGAAAGCAAAGAGAGGCTGGGACGACGGGTGCAAAGGAATAGTAAAGAAAGCATGTTTGAGATCCAGAACAGAATAATGGATTGTGGAGGGAGGTATTGAGGGTAGGAGAGTATATGGGTTTGGCACCATGGGGTGGATAGGCAAAACAATTTGGTTGATAAGGCATAGATCTTGAACTAACTTGTAAGGCTTGTCTGGTTTTAGGACAGGTAAAATGGGGGAATTGTAAGAAGAGTTTATACGCTTTAAAAGGCCATGCTGTAGCAGGCGAGTGATAACAGGCTTTAATCCTTTCAAAGCATGCTGTGGGATGGGATATTGGCATTGAGCGGGGTAAGGGTGATTAGGCTTTAATGAGATGGTAAGGGGTGCATGATCGGTCACCAAGGAGGGAGTAGAGGTATCTTATAGTTGTGGGTTAAGGTTGGGGAATACAAGAGGAGGACACAAAGGAGGTTTTGGATTGGGAAGAAGGGCAGTAATGAGATGTAGCTGTAATCCAGGAATAGTCAGGGAAGCAGATAATTTAGTTAAAGTGTCTCAGCCTAATAAGGGAACTGGGCAGGTGGGGATAATTAAAAGGAGTGCTTAAAAGAGTATGGTCTAAGTTGGCACCAGAGTTGGGGAGTTTTAAGAGGTTTGGAAGCCTGGCCGTCAATACCCACAACAGTTATGGAGGCAAGGGAAACAGGCACTTGAAAAGAAGGTAATGTGGAGTGGGTAGCCTCCGTATTGATTAAGAAGGGGATGGACTTACCTTCCACTGTGAGAGTTACCCAAAGCTCGGCATCCGTGATGGTCTAGGGGGCTTCCGAGGTGATTGGGCAGCATCAGTCTTCAGCTGCTAAGCCAAGAAGATCTGGGAAGGAGTCAGAGAGCCTTGGGCCAGAGTTCCAGGGGCTCTGGGAGTGGCTGCCAGGTGAGTTGGACAGTCTGATTTCCAGTGGGGTCCTGCACAGATGGGACACGGCTTAGGAGGAATCCTGGGCTGCAGGCATTCCTTGGCCTGGTGGCCAGATTTCTGGCACTTGTAGCAAGCTCCTGGGGGAGGAGGTTCTGGAGGAAGGCCTGGCCAATGCAGCTCAGGCGTTTGGAAGTTCTTGTGTGCTGGAGATGTGGCTGGGGTTTGTCTCACAGTGGAGGCAAGAATTGCGACTTTTTTCTATTATTGTACACCTTGAAGGCAAAGTTAATTAAATCCTCTTATGGGGTTTGAGGGCTGGAATTTAATTTTTGAAGTTTTATGTAATGTCGGGAGCAGATTGGATAATAAAATGCATTTTGAGAATAAGACGGCCTTTTGACATTTTAGGATCTAGGGCTGTAAAGTGTCTCAGGGTTGCTGCCAAACGAGTCATGAACTGGGCTAGATTTTTATATTTGATGAAAAACAGCCTAAACGCTATCTGATTTGGGATAAAGAAAAAGGAGCATTAACCTTGACTATGCATTTAGCTCCAGCCACCTTTTTAAGAGTAAATTGCTGGGCAGGTGGGGGAGGGCTAGTCACGGAACGAAACTGTAAGCCAGACTGGGTGTGAGAAGGGGAGGTGGTAAAAGGATTATAGAGCGGAGGAGAGAAGGCTGAGGAAGAATTGGGACCTAGCTCAGCCTGGCGAGCAGCAGCCTGGGGAGGAGGGGAGAGGTCAGATGGGTCTGTAGAAAAGGAAGATTAGAAAGACTCAGCGACGCTTGGGGTTGGGACTGAGGGGACAGGCGGGAGAGAAAGAAGGAAGATTTGGGATGAGTTGTGCTGGGCACAGACACTAGGGAGGGACCGATGTGTAAAAGAATGCCAGGATGTCAGGCACCTCAGACCATTTGCCTATTTTACAACAAGAATTATTTAGATCTTGCAGGATGGAAAAATTGAAAGTGCCATTTTCTGGCTATTTGGAACTACTGTCGAGTTTGTATTGGGGTCAAGTGGTATTGCAGAAGAAAATAAGATGCTTAGGTTTTAGGTCAGGTGAGAGTTGAAGAGGTTTTAAGTTCTTAGGAACACAGGCTAAGGGAGAAGAAGGAGAAATGGAGGGTGGAAAGTTGCCCATAGTGAAGGAGGCAAGCCCAGAGAAAAGAGAGAGTAGAGACACGGAGGGAAGGGGTTCAGGGGTTCTTACCCTCCAGAAAAGCAGAGAAGGGTTTGGGGCACAGAAATACAAGGTCGGGGTGTGGAAATAAGGGATTGGGGTACAGAGATATAAGAGGTTGGGGCACGGAAATAAGGGATTGGGGTGCAGAGATATAAGAGGTTGGGGCGCGGAAATAAGGGATCAGGGCACAGAGATATAAGAGGTCAAAGCGTGGAAATAAGGGATCGGGGCACAGAGATATAAGAGGTCAGAGCGCGGAAATAAGGGATCGGGCACAGAGATATAAGAGGTCAGAGCGCGGAAATAAGGGATCGGGGTGCAGAGATATGAGGTTGGGGTACTTGCCCCTCCCCCAGAAAAGCAGGGCTTGCCGCTAAGGGTGAAGGACCAAGGCAGGCGTCCCTGCGTGGTCTGACACCTCTGAAACCTGGGTGAATAATCAGAGAGGCATCCCTGCAATGATTAAACACCAAGGGAAGGCTGCCTTCCCTAGTCCGTGACCGGTGCCGGAGTTTTGTGTCCATGGATAAAACGTGTCTCCTTTGTCTCTACCAGAAAATGAAAGGAATTGAAATTAAGAGAAGGGAGAGATTGAAGTGTGGCACCAAGATTGAAAGGAGAAAGAGGTTGAGGGATAGTGAGGGAGGTTGGAGAAGAGAGTAAAAAGAGGCCACTTACCGGATTTGAAATTGGTGAGATGTTTCTTGGGCTGGTTGGTCTGAGGACCTGAGATCATAGGTGGATCTTTCTCACAGAACAAAGAGTAGGAGGACGGGGGATTGATCTCCCAAGGGAGGTCCCCCATCCGAGTCATGGCACCAAATTTCATGCACGTCCGTGTGAAGAGACCACCAAATAGGCTTTGTGTGAGCAATAAAGCTTTTAATCACCTGGGTGCAGGCGGGCTGAGTCCGAAAAGAGAGTCAGCGAAGGGAGATAGGGGTGGGGCCGTTTTATAAGATTTGGGTAGATAAAGGAAAATTATAGTCAAAGGGGGGTCATTCTCTGGCAAGCAGAGTAGTGGTCACAAGGTGCTCAGTAGGGGAGCTTTTGAGTCAGGATGAGCCAGGAGAAGGAATTTCACAAGACAATGTCATCAGTTAAGGCAGGAACAGGCCATTTTCACTTCTTTTGTGGTGGAATGCCATCAGTTAAGGCAGGAACCAGCCACCTGGATGTGTACGTGCAGGTCACAGGAGACATGATGGCTTAGCTTGGGCTCAGAGGCCTGACACTCAGGAATGAACAAGAACAGCTTAGAGGTTAGAAGCAAGATAGAGTCTGTTAGGTCTGATCTCTTTCACTGTCACAATTTCTTCAGTTATAATTTTTGCAAAGGCAGTTTCACGGTTTGCCCCTGTTCTGCTCAGTATTGGGCCAGCAAGCCTCATGAACACATCATGAGTCCTAGATGCTTTTTTCTCTATTCCAATGGCAAATTTCTAAAGTTATCAGAAACCTGCATTCAAGAGCATCTGTAAGAATCCTTTAACTATAATTAGTTTATAATTAAGCTGTCTTTTTAAAAAGATCACAGTAAAATAATTTTAGATAACAAAAGTCTTAGAGCAGTCATGGTCAAAGACACAATTGACAAAGAAATTTGGTTATTTCTGTGGTATATAACAATTTAACATAATAATTATAATTACTACTGATAACGTATACTAATATGTATCAGAATTACAGAAATCTCACAATTTTGGAACACATACTAATAACACATTTACATAAATATAAACCAAAAAAAGTTGAACACAGTTTTATTTTTGACAATGTTTCCTGTATGATTTTAACATATTAATTAAGCTAAATCTCTCTCTCTTAGACTTCTATAAAGTTAGTTTGAGGTCAAAAGTTTGAATCTAGAATTTGATTTTGGAATAGTTGTCAAATATTGAAGGTTTAGAACACTATATCACAAAATAGAATCATGAGTCATTGTAAAATAAATCAATCATTTACCCAAAATAATAACTTAAAATTTTCAAAAAGCAAAAACCTTTACTCTTTGAGAATGGAGACTTACTTCCCAAACAATAAGACCTAATAGACACAGCATGAGGCCAACTAAATCTGTCTCTCGCTCTTTTGCAATTTACTCAAAAGGTAAACAGAAATCTTTTACTATCTCTTAATATTAAACAAAAATTTTGTTCAAGAGAAAACCAATTTTTACCTTTGTGTAGTGTATTATTAGCACTAAATCTAATTTTAATAAAACCAAATGAACAAATCTAACTTTAATGAACTTGGCCATAATATAAGGTTGTCATAAGCCTTCTATAACCTTTTATAATTTCCTGTCAAAAAGCAGATAGATCAAGACTCCAAGAAAACTCTGTTATTCAGACACAGCAGCCCAGATACTGGCTCTCCATCACTGTGCTTTTTATTTTAATGCTTAATTTATAGAAAAACTAAATAATCCCCTTCAAATTTTAGCAAACTCGTTCACATACAGAATTCCTTTTACAAGATCAATCTTTTCTCAAACTTTCCCCAACTTGCTTAAACACCTTCCATTTTGTTCTATTTATAACTTAAAAGAATCCTTAAAAACCCTTAAACTAGACAAAATTCCTTCCCCTTATTAAAAAAAAAAAAAACATTCTCATGCCTTCTTTTAACTTTTTTTGCCAAAAATACATCTTACTTTTCTTACACACTTTGTATATATCTAGTAACGTTCATTACATGTATTAATTGTAATGTTAATTCTCAGTAACTCTTATTTTAGTGAAAAAACCTAGTAAGTAAGCAATTTTAATTATGTACCAGGTACATAACCCAGAGCAAAGAACGATGCCTGGAGCTAGGCTTCATATCCTAAAGGCACAAATCTAAGCACGTAAGTTACAGACAAGTTAAGCAAGTATCAGGAGCAAAGTTTTGCATCTTAAAACATCAGAGACAGTGACTAATTCAGGTCAAATGTCTAAATTCTGAACATGCTTCTATTTTATTTTACCGATAATTTTAAAACTATCTTTATTTACCAAAAATTACTAAAATCATATGAACTTGAAAAGCATTTAGGATTATCTACTTTATTTATGAGTAAGTCAATTTAAAACCCATGCAGACAGTATACAGACAGACATATACCCATGTACACATAAAGATTATAGTAACATAAAGACTTTATAGTTTTTATTTTACTTTAAGTTCCAGGGTACATGTGCAGGAAGTGCAGATTTGTTACATAGGTAAACGTGTGCCATGGTGGTTTGCTGCAGCAATAGACTCATCACCTAAGTATTAAGCCCAAAATGCATTAGCTGTTTTTCCTGATGCTCTCCCTCCCACAACCACTTCCCCATAGGCCCCAGTGTGCATCATTCCCCTCCCTGTGTCCATGTGTTCTCATTGTTCAGCTCCCATTTATAAGTGAGAACATGCAGTATTTGGTTTTCTGTTCCTGCATTAGTTTGCTGAGGATAATGTCTTCCAGCTCCATCCATGTCCCTGCAAAGGACATGATCCTTTTTTGGCTACATAGCATTCCATGGTGTATATGTACCACATTTTCTTTATCCAGGACTTTATAGTTTGATTTTAAAATTTTAGCCATAAGATAGATACACTCACTAGTCTAAAAAGACAGTTGGATTAAATTGTGAAAATGTTAAAATTTATTTATCATGGCCATGACTAATGCCCTCACTGAGTTTTGGAGAAAACAAGATAGCAAATTTACATCTCAAATCAGAGAGAGAGAGTTTGAGTGTGTTAGAGGAAGTTTTAAAATGGATGTCGGTCAGGCACAGTGGCTCATACCTGTAATCACAGCACTTTGGGAGGCCAAGGTGGGCAGATCACTTGAGGTCAGGAGTTCAAGAGCAGCCTAGCCAACATGGAGAAATCCTGTCTCTACTATAAATACAAAAATTAGCCAGGCATGGTGGTGAGCACCTGTAATCCCAGCTACTCGGTGTCTGAGGCACAAGAATCACTTGAGCACAGGAGGCAGAGGTTGGAGGAAGGCAAGATCATGCCACTGCACTCCAGCCTGGGCAACAGAGCAAGACCCTGTCTCAAAAAATAAAATTAAATAATAAAATGGATGTCAGGACAGCACAAAATCATAGAACTCTATCATAGTATTTTGTCAGACCAATTTTATTTAGATAGGTGTTTTTTAATTTACTATCTTTTAACTGGACCACTGAGCCCAGAGCAGAGCCCACACTGAATTCTGAATCCCCAAAAAGAGAAAAATACCACAGGGCCAGGTCACATAATATTTTTAGAGCACATTTTGTCATGAAGACATTTGTCTAAGTGTTTAAACCATGTCCTTTCTTATCTTAAACACACAGAGTATCCCCTGTAGTAATAACTGTTTGCTCTAAGCAACTACCATTAGCCATCTCAGAAAGTATATCTATTACAAACACCAATGTCAAAAATTTTTTCATAATGCAAAGTAATTTTCAATTCCCCAAAAGCCAAAAAGATTAGGGAATGCAATACAAAAGAGAGAAAAGCTTTTAGATCTGAGTGGAATCTGTCCGTTTACAACTCTTGGGATTTCATGAAGAAAATCAGAGTTTCCTTCCAGACACAGGAGTCTGGTACATTTTCCATTTTTCCCAGGGGATCCTGGGCAGTTAGAAATTCCTTTTGTATTTTTAGGTCCCTCGTGTGGCATACAGGATAGAAAGTGGGAGGAAGATAGGAAGAAGTAAATGGTGGAACAGACAGAATTCACTGAGAAGTTTATACAGAGAGAGAACAGAGGCTTTAAAACAATATAGATACACATGTAGCCTAAATACCTGTTTTAATTAAGTTGACTTTTGACTACAGAACTCTTTAAAAATTCTTTCAAATCTCTTATTATCAGATTTTAGTCAGGACAAACAGCTGATATTTCTGATTTTTGAACTTCTTTACCAAAGGTAACTTCCTAGGTGAAATCAATAAGCCTAAACTAAGGCTATGACTTAACTATGGCAAATTTTTCTCAAAAAAATTTCTTAAGGCTAGCCATAACACTATTACATGTCTTTTTAAAAATTTAACCTTTTCATCAATGGTTTAGAATAACAGGTCTCAAAAATCTTTCTTTTAATTTATCTTCTGGCCATTGGCAATTAGAATTTTCAATGGTGTACTTTATTCCAATAGCAACTAAATTCAAAAGCCTCTTTAAAGCCCAAGTGGTAATTTTTCAGGTTTTACATTCCTGGAGAGGGCATGAAGGAGACATCCTCATGACTCCCAAAAATCCACTCTGAAAAATAGAGTTAAGATAGACAAAAGATCACAAAAGCTCCATAGAGATGGGTCTTGTAGACAAAATTTCCCTGAGAGTGTGACACATTCAGTATAAAAAGTGTCTTGCTTAAAATATTATGTTTATCAGATTCCCAGTCTTTTCAGACTGTCCATCTAATGTGAACCAAAAAATTCATGCCCTCTATTCTAAACAATTGATGAAAAGGTTAAATTTTTAAAAAGACATTCCCAGATGGTAGAGACTAAGAGAGAGTACCCCCATGTAGCCATAAAGTCAAGTTCTTAAGGACATAAAACAAGATGAGAGGGAAACCTCATCTGATTTTTGTATCAGGGACTCACAGAAAAGTTTGTGTGAACACATGCTGGTCTATCCAGAACTGTAAAAACTGACCAGTATGCAGGGTCAGCTTGAACAGCAGGCATAAAGGGGTTCTAGGCCCATGTTCTATCCAATGCTACCCCTCTTTATGACAGAACAACACAGAAAGACAAAGGAAAATGGCAACAGAAAAGGCTATTTCTGAGAGAAAAGGGGTCACACAATATGAGTATTCATACCACAAAGTACTGAAAGTACACCAGGACACTACAATGCAAGACTAGTCAAATTCCTTTTTCCTGTTAATCAAAACCTTGCAGATGAGACTGGGATTTTTACCATCTGCTCACTGGGGTACACAGAGAAAGACAGGCCAGTAGCCTAGTTGGTAGGAAATTTTTATCCCTTTGCCAGCAGATCAGTCTCTTGTTTCTCTTCCCTGTAGCCTCTAGAAGAGAAGAGCAACTCTGATGATCATCCTGTTCTGTAGGGGACGATACGCTCTTCGCCCCCTAAATGATCACTAAAATCACTGACAGGAGGCAGATTGATTAATAAGAGAAAAGGCATACAAATGTATTTAATGTATATATAAGGGAGCCTTCGGTGTGAAGACCCAAATTCCCAGAGAGTTACGGAAACTTATATACCATCCTGAGGCCACAGTAAGAAACACAGACTCAGAGCACAGCCAGAAACAGGTGAATCAGGGTTAGTGGCAAGACAGGTTAAGACAGAAGGAAAGAAAGAAGCTTGGCTAGCAAAGATGGCCTTGTTATGTGGACGAAGCCTCCCTCAGAGGGAACAGATGGTAAATGTTTCTTTTCAGGCTTTAAAAGGTGTCAGACTGTCAGTCACTCCTGGATCCAGGGAAAGGCATAGGAAAGGGAGGGAGGCAAGGTTACTTTCATGGGGATTCTCTACAGATGCAAATTCTCCCCACTTAAGACAGCTGTGCAGTGCTATTTCTGACAGCATGGCCAAGTGGCAGCCATTTTTAAACATGTCAAAGGAATATATTTTGGGGTAAAATATTTTAATTTCCTTCAAAGAGTTTCTACCCTCAAGTAGTTTACCAACTATTGGAAAGAGAGATGCTTATAAGCAATGTTGTAGATACTGTGATAAACCTGCACAGCATTGTAAAACCAAAGAGAATGGCTGAGATGAATCTCAATTAATTTAGAGGTTTATTTTGCCAAGATTGAGGATGCACACAGGAAAAAGAGACACAAACCACAGTAAGATCTGTGGTCCATACTTTTTCCAAAGAGGATTTTGAGAGTTTCAACACTTAAAGGGGAAAAAACAGGCAGGAGGGAAAAGAAAAAAAGAGGGAGGAAGGTATGGTCACATCTTGTGAGGCTTTGATTAGAGCTCAATGAATCCACATGTTGTACATGAAAAGGAGGTGGTAGAGGGAACAATAAATTATGTATTTGTCTCATGCTTAGCGTCTCACGCTTAGTAAACCTGCACTTTACAAAAGATAAACATAGTGAGTACAGAGAAAAGTCAAATAGGGATTTGTCTCAGGTTCGGTGAGGGGATGATTTCTAGTCTCCTCTTGTCCCATGCCTGTGAAGATAAGCTGTTGATTTACATTGTCAGCATGAGAGAGGTCACCTGCAGAGATACGTGACCTTCTACCCTGTAGCTATTGGTTTAGGAACAAAAGGAAAGGCAGTTTTGTTGTTGTTGTTGTTGTTGTTTTGGCATGACTCAGTTTTCAAGCTTAATTTTTCCCCTTTGGCATAGTGAATCTAGAGTCTCACGATTTTTATTTTTCTTTCACAGGGTAATGGTAGGAAGTGGTGAATTAAAACCAGAACGGACATCTGTAGTAAACCTCACAGAAGCAGATGAATTGGAGATCAATTATTATACATGAGTCCTTTGCCCTGGTAAGTCATTTTTCTGAGTCACTGCCCTACACAGACTTCTTTTCTGTCTCCTTATGCAATCATCTCCCTCCCTTCCTCCTACTCTTTCCTATTTTACCCATCCATGTGCAACAAATTATCTCAGTTATACTCTGGAGTCTTTTAAGCAGCTCTGGTCTCAATTTTCAAACCCACGCTATTTAAAGTGGACAGCTTCTGTAAGCAATGGCTGTAATACTGTATGGGTTTCTAAAAAGCAGACCACGGAATCTCAAAAAGTGCAAACTGAAAACCTCATCCATCTCAGGACACGTCCCAGAGGCACACTGCAAGGTGGACAGTGCTGACCATGGCATGTTCATGCACTACCGATACATCATAGGTAAGATCCAGCCTGCCTTGGAAAGGCTCCACATGCTTTTCTGATTGAAACAAGAACAGACAGACACTAGGCAGGCATTCTCTCTTCACAGGAATACAGCTGCCATAGCAACCAGCAAGGAGCAATAGAAAGGAAAGAAACACCCAAATACCCTGCCAGCCAGGTCCACCAAGTCAACTCTGGAAATCAATGTAATGTGTTAACGAAGCTATTCCTGCCAACACCCACATATCCAAAAACAACAACAGCCACAACAAAATCCTAAAACCTGTCAAGTGAGAATATTTCCCTATTGTTCAACAAATCCCATTGTCTGGATGCAAGATGTTCGAATGGATTAATGCCATGGTTGCATCGTCAGTTACAATTTCTACTATTACCTCTACGAGTATACATACTCACTGAGGAGACTTGAAAAAAATACAAATAGATCATCCTGCATTTTTTAAATGTTATAATAATAAAATTCACAACATTCATGTCTGTTTCCCTTCTCCCAGATATTATTAAAATATTCTGTTATTTTAATATCTTATTCCAGGTCTTAGCAATTTTTTTCCCCAAGTTTGCTAAGCAGGCTGTTTCTCAGAGCACAATCTGAAACTTCAGTGGAATGCTGTGAACCCATATGACTAAGTCTAATATCTTGTAAAACAAAGGTACCTTAAATTGTTAATTCAGATTTTAGCCAAAACACTCCTAAATCAACATACAGCATTCTCTTCTACTATTACTAATAATAATAGTTAAACTTCATGCCTTATAAAAATTGGCTGGATGCGGCGGTGACTCACGCCTACAATTCTAGCACTTTGAGAGGCTGAGGCAGGTGGATTGCTTGAGTTCAGGAATTCAAGACTAGCCTGTGAAACATAATGAAACTCTGTCTCTACCAAAAATACAAAAATTAGCCAGGCAGGTGGCACGCACCTGTGGTCCCAGCTACCTGGGGGGTCAGGAGCACTGAGTGGGAGGATCCCTGGTGCCTGGGAAATCAAGGCTGCAGTGAGCAGTGATCACACCACTGCACTTCAGCCTGGGTGACAGAGCAAGACCCTGTCTCAAAAATAAATAAAAATTAAAACCTTTTGCATAGAGTATTTAAATTTTATTATTATTGATACAAGCCTCTTTTTGGCTTGTTCTCGTTGGTTATATCATTGATTTTGTATTTTCTTTGTCACTGATGGCCACACTTACAGAGGAAGCCCTTTTCTAGGCTGAAGGCCTTGTCGTTCCAACACTACCCCCAGATATCCTTGAAAAAGATCTTTGCTTTCCTGACCCATGCTTCAGGAGCGCCAACCCTATGGGCAAGCCCCCATTCTTTGGGTAGAGATATGCAGTGGGTTAACCATCAGACCCTGAGCTTTCTAACTATATAATAATTATTCGCCCAAAAAGATGACATCAGCGAGCCTGCCTGGGCTGTTTCAGAGACAAAGAGATTTTCAAAATCATAACTCCAATCTAATCCTTGCTTTACTAGATCCTTTCTTAACGTGTTCTAACATAAAATATTCTCAATTTCAATTTTCATTTCCTTTATTTGATACTAGATTTGACAAATGAATTGTCATATAGTCTACCTGTTTGTTGACATATTGCCCAAGATTTATTTTAAAATCTGTAACATTTTAGTGGACCAATTAGTGTTTTCAAGGCTCTTGAATTTATAAAAATTATTTTATTTAATTTATTAGCAGCAGTTCCTCTATCTGGTAGATTCAGGTTAGTCTGTTTTCCATATTAGCCTTACCTAAAACTCTTTATCTTCCTTAGAAATGATTGGGTCATGTGTACATTTTCTACAAAAATATTCATTACATATGTGAAGAATTACCCCCAAATAATTATCTATTTATGCACAATAAAGGTTCATCTTATTTTACTGTGTTTAGCTTATTAAATTTCACAGATACTATGATTTGCACAAATTAAAAATTTGTGGCAACCCTGTATCAAGCAAGTCTATCGGAGCCATTTTTCCAAGAGCATGTTCTCATTTTGTGTCTCTGTGTCACATTTTGGGTAATCCTACAATATTTCAAATGTTTACATTACTGTTATTTCTTTTATGGTGATCTGTGATAAGCGATATTTGATTTTACTACTGTAATTGTTTGGGGGCAACAAGATTTACACCCATATAAGACACCAAATTTAATACATAGACAGTATGTGTGTTCTGACTACTCCACCCTCCAGCCATTTCCCACATCTCTCTTCCTCTCCTCAGGCCTCCCTATTCCCTGAGATGCAACAATATTGAAATTGGGCCAATTATGAACCCTACAATAGCCTCTAAATGTTCAAGTGCAAAGAAGAGTCATGTCTCTCACTTGAAATCAAAAGCTAGAAATGATTCAGCTTAGTGAGGAGGGCATGTCAAAGGCTGGCAGAGGCTAAAAGCTAAAACTCTTGCATCAGACAATTAGCCCAATTGTAAATACAAAAGAAAAGTTCTGGAGGAAAATTAAAAGTGCTACTCCAGTCAACATGTTACCAGCAGTGAATCCATATGGCCTGCAGCAACCTCAGTTCTTGCCTCCTCAGAAGAAATAATTAGACCACGGAGGCATAAGGCAGAAGGAGAGACCGAGGCAAGTTTTAGAGCAGGAGTGAAAGTTTACTTAAAAGCTTTAGAGCAGGAATGAAAGGAAGTAAAGTACACTTGGAAGAGGGCAGAGTGGGTGACTTGAGAGATCACTTGATGTCGCCTGACATTCCTGGTGGGGGTTGGGAGCCCTGTCCTGCCCTGCTCATGTTTAACTAGCTACCTGCTATAACATTTCCCCCTCTGGAGTCCAAGACTCCAATTCTTTGGGGAAAATGGATGAAGGTCAGTCTTCTGTAACTGCTTCCTGCAGACAGAGGGGCGGTGGTGGTGGTTCTGTGGGTCTTGGCCTCCTACTAGCTGTCAGGGCAGGGTTGGCTCTATGGGTTGTAAAAAAGCAGTATCCAGCCAGGCCTAAGGGAGACAGGGGCAAGATTTTGCCTCTGTTGTGTCCCATTGATGGGCAGTCTAGAGGCCCGCTATAGAAGGGTAACTCTTGAATATTTGAGAGGTCAGTATCCTTCACTGAGGATCATCTGGAGCTTGATGACCTGAAGGTAAAAGGGGACAAATCAAGTTATCAGATTTAGAAGAATGGTTAAAAAGAAAAAAAAGAGGAAGATAACAGCTCCAAAAAATCCTAGGGCTACCAACACACCTAGGTAGCTGGTGGGTATAGTCACACCTGCTAAGACTTGGGTGCATGGAGTTGCTAGCTGATTATAATACATGCCCAGAATTAGAATATTGATCCAGATTTTTACACTACCCATCCATCTTTTCTTCTGAGCTGCAGCCAGAGATCACTGATTGTTTCACAGGAATAAGAAGGGTTAGTCTAAATTGCTGACAAAACTCAAAAATAACTGATGAGACTAGAATCTAAATACAGGTGTACTGTAATTCTTGAAACATAATTTTTCTCTCTCCAATCCTCATTTTTATTAAAAACAAATCATGATAGGACTGATTTGTTTGTGAAATAAGCTTCAGTCTTAATATACGTGGCCTGGTTGTTTGCACAAAGCATAACAAGAATAATTATTTGCCATTTAGCCTTCTGATACAGTTTTGATTTCTGTCCCCACCCACATCTCATGACAAATTTTAATCCCCAGTGTTGGAGGAGGGGCCTGCTTGGAGGTGATTGGGTCATGTGGGCAGTTTCTAATGGTTTAGAACCATCCCCCTAGTGCTGTCTGGTGATAAGACGTCTCCAGAGATCTGCTTGTTTAAAAGTGTGTAGCACCTGCCCGCCTGTCTCTCTTTCTCCTACTCCAGCCATGGTGGATGTGCCAGCTTCCTCTTCAACTTCTGCCATGGTTGTAAGTTTCCTGAGGCCTCCCCATAAGCAGAAGCCTGGAGAGCTGGCAGAACCATGAGCTGATTAAACCTCTTTTCTTTATAAATTACCCAGGTTCACGTATGTCCTTATAGCAGTGCGAGAACAGACTAATACAGCTCCTCTTTTCCTTCTTTCATTTGTTCTCTTAAATTTCTTGCATCAATGTTTTACAGTTTTCTATGTAGAGATCTTTCACTTCTTTGGATAAGTTTATTCCTAAGCATTTTATTTTATTTGTAACTATTATAAGTAGGATTACTTTCTTGATTTCTTTTTCAGATTGTTCACTGTTGGCATGTAGAAATGCTACTGATTTTTGTATGTTGATTTTGTATCCTGCAACTTTACTGAATTTGTTTGTTAGTTCTAATAGTTTTTTGGTGGCATCTTTAGGATTCTCCAAATATAAGATCATACCATCTGAAAACAAGAATAATTTGACTTTTTTCTTTCTAATTTGGATGGCCTTTATTTATTTCTCTTGACCGATTGCTGTAGCTAGGATTTCCAGTACGATGTTGAATAACAGTGGTAAAAGTGGGCATCCTTATCATGTTCCAGATCTCAGAGGAAAAACTTTTAGTTTTTTGCTGTTCAGTATAATGCTAACTGCAGGTCTGTCATATTTGGCTTTTATTGTGTTGAGGTATGTTCTTTCTATCCCCAGTTTTTGAGGGTTTTTTTAATCATGAATGGGATGTTGAATTTTATCAAATGCTTTTTCAGCATCAATTGAAATGATTATAAGGTTTTTGTCCTTCATTCTGTTGATAGGATGTATCACATTGATTGATTTGTGTATGTTGAACCAACCTTGTACCCCTGAGGTAAACTCTGCTTGGTCATGATAAATGATCTTTCTAATTCACTGATGAATTTGGTTTACAAGTATTTTTGAGGATTTTTGCATTGATGTTCATCAAAAATATAGGCTCATTGTTTTCTTTTTTTTACGTGTTTTTGTCTGCTTTTGGTATCAGGGCAATACTGGCCATATAGAATGAGTTTGAAAGTATTCCCACCTCCTCTATTTTTCAGAATAGCTGGATAGGATTTGTACTAGCTCTTCTTCAAGTGTTTGGTCGATTTCAGCAGTGAAGTCATTGGATCTCAGGGTTTTCTTTGCTGGGAGACAATTACAGCTTTGATCTCATTACTTGTTATTGGTCTATTCAGGTTTTTAATTTCTTCATGATTCAATCTTGTAGCTTTTATGTGTCTAGGAATTTATCCATTACTTCTGGTTTTCCAATTTATTGGCATATAAGTTGCTTAAAGTCCTTTGAATTTCTGCAGTATCAATTGTAATATGTCATCTCTGATTTTATTTATTTGTGTCTTTTTTTCATAGTCTGGCTAAAGGTTTGTTAATTTTTTTGTTTTGTCAAAAAAACAACTTTTTATTTTGTTGATCTTTGGCACTTTTTATTTAAGTGTTATTTATTTATACTCTGATACTCATTATTTCTTTTCTTCTACTAATTTGGGGTTTGGTTTGCTCTTGCTTTTCTAGTTCTTTAAGATGCATTGTTAGATTATTTGAAGTTTTTCTACTCTTGATGTAGGCACTTTTTGCTATAAATTTCCCTCTTAGTATGGCTTTTATTGTATCCCATAGGTTTTTGTATGTTGTTTTTCCATTTTCACTTGTTTCAAGAAATTTTTTAATTTCCTTCTTAATTTTTTCATTGATTCAGGGGTCATTCAGGAGAATATTGTGTAATTTCATGGGTTTGTATAGTTTCCAACATTTCTCTTGTTATTAATTTCTAGTTTTATCCCACTGTGGTCAGAGAAGATATTTGATATGATTGCAATTTTTTTGAATTTCTTGAAAAACTTGTTTTGTGGCCTAACATATGCTCTATTCTTGAGAATGATCCACGTGCTGAGGAGAACAGTGTATATTCTGTAGTGTCTGGATACGATGTTCTCTAAATATTTATTAAGTCCATTTGGTCTATAGTACAGATTAAGTCGGTTGTTCCTTTGTTGATTTTCTGTCTGGATTATCTACCCAATGTTGAAAGTGGGGTATTGAAGTATTTAGCTATTATTGTGTTGGGGTCTATCTCTCTCTTCTTAGCTCTAATAATATTTGCTTTATGTATCTGGGTGCTCCACAGCTGGATACATATATCTATTTACAACTATTATATCCTCTTTCTGATTTGGTCCGTTTATCATTATATGATGACTTTCTTTGTCTCGTTCTAAAGTTTTGTCTTGAAATATATTTTATCTAATATAAGTATTGCTACTCTTGCTCTCTTTTTGGTTTCCATGGTTTCCATTAGCATGGAATATCTTTTTCCATCCCTTTATTTTCAGTCAATGCGTGTCTTTATAGGTGAAGTGTGTTTCTTGTAGGCAACAGATCATTATTGGGTCCTACTTTTTTTCATCCATTCAGCCTCTCTTTGTCTTTTGATTGGAGAGTTTAGTCCATTTACCTTCAACTTTATCAATGTTATCATTAACAAATCAGAACTTACTACCATTTTGTTATTTGTTTTCTGCTTATTCTGTGGCCTTCTCTTTCTTCTTCCTTCATTCTTTCCTTCCTTCCTTCCTTCCCTTCTTCCTGTCTTCCTTCTCTCTTTCTTGCCTTCCTTTTTTGTGAAATTGATATTCTCTGGTGGTATGTTTTAATTTCTTGCCTTTCATTTTTTGTGTGTCTGTTGTAGGTTGCTTATTTGAAGTAACCATTATGCTTAATGACATTCTATAACCCATTATTTTAAACTGATAACAACTTAACTGATTGCAAAAACAAACCACAAGCAAAGAAAAAACTAATAAAACCTCTATACTTTAACTTCATCTTCCACCCTGCTTTTTAACTTTGTTTTTTCTATTTATATATCATTATTTTGTCTATGTCTTAAAAAGTTGTTGTAGTTATTTTCGATAGATTTGTCTTTTAGCCTTTCTACTCAAGATATGAGTAGTTAACACACTACAATACGGTATTATAATATTCTGTATTTGTCTATTACCAGTGAGTTTTGTAGCTTCAGATGATCTCTGATTGCTCATTAACATCCTTTTCCTTCATTTTCCTTTTTTTAATTTAATTTTCATTTTTTAAACATTTCATTGCTTTTTCTTTTCTTTTTTTTCTTTTTTCTTTTTTCTTTTTTTTTTTTTTGAAACAGAGTCTCACTCTGTCACCCAGGCTTGAATGCAGTGATGCAATCTTGGCTCACTGCAACCTTTGCCTCCCAGGCTCAAAAGCTCAAACAATCCTCCCACCTCTGTCTACCCTGGAACAAGAAGGGAGCCTGCTATCTAAAGGGAAGGACCCAGTCCTGGCTGGATTCACCACTTGCTGGTTAAAGAGCCCTTGGGCCTTGAACAAACATCAGTTGTAGCCAGGCAGTAGTTGCCCGGGGCCTGGGATGGTGATGGCCACAGGAGAGGGTCTAGAAATGTTGTCCAGGAATTAGGGCCTAGAATCAGGAATGTTAGAAATCTACTTGGTGCTTCATTTTACTGTAGCTGAGGTAGTACCCAGGTTGCAAGACAAAGTCCTTTTTACTCTTTCTTTTCCTTTCCTCAGGCAGAAACAGTTTCTCCCCATGGCCACCGCTGTCCCAGGCCCTTCACGACTACTGCCTGGCCACTGCTGATGTTTGTTCAAGACCCAGGGACTCTTTAGTTAGCAGATGGTGAATCCTGCCAGGACTGAGTCCGTCTCTTCAGTACAGTAAGCTCCCCTCTGGCCCAGGGTGGGTCTAGAAATGTCCAGGAACTAGGGCCTGGATTGAAGAACTTCAGGAATCTACTTGGAGCTTCATTTTACTGTGGCTGAGCTGGTACTGAAGTTGCAAGACAAAATCCTTTTAACTCTTTCCTCTTCCTTCCTCAAGCAGAAGGAATCTCTTCACATGGCCATCACCAGGCCACTGGCAATAACTGCCTAGCTACCACTGATGTTTATTTCAGGCCCAGGGGCTCTTTACTCAGAAGATGGTGAATCCTGCCAGGACTGAGTCCTTCACATCAGTATAGCAGCTTCCATTCTGGCCCAGACTGGGTCTAGAAATATTGTCCAGGAACTAAGGCCTAGAACTGGGGACTTTAGGAATCTACTTGGTGTCTTATTTTACTATAGCTGAGCTGCAACCCAATTTGCAAGACAAAGTCCTTTTTACTCCTCCCTCTCCTTTCTTCAAAAAGAGTCTTTTCCCATGGCCGTCACTGTTCTAGGTCTGTGATGAGTACTGCCTGGCTGCTACTAATGTTTATTCAAGGACTACGGGCTCTTTAGTCAGCAGGTGGTGAGTTCTTCCAGGACTTTGTTTTTTCCTTCAGGGTAACAGGTTCTTTTCTGGCCCAAGGTGGGTCTAGAAATGTTATCCAGGAGCTAGGGCCTGGAATGGAGACTTCAGGGATCTGCTTGTTGTTTTATGTTACTGTGGCTGGGCTGGTATCCCAGTTGCCAGACAAAATCCTCTTTACTCTTCCCTTTCCTTTCCTCAACCAAAAGGAGTCTCTCCTAGAGCTGCAAGCTGTGCTTTCTGGAGTTAGGAGAGGGGTGACACTAGCACTCCTTTGGCCACCCCAGCTGGTGTCTCACTGGGTCACACGCACTGCAAGTCCTGTGAGTGGCTCTGAGCCCAACACCGCACCAGAACTTGCCCAGGAATTGCGGTCCTTGTGGCCTAGACTGCCTTTCAAATTTATTTGGGACTACAGAGTGCTTTAGCTCATGGTAAGTGGGGCTAAACAGAACTGAGTTTCTGACCACTGGCATGGACAATTCCCCTTTGGCTAGGGCTGGTCTAAATGGTCCCTCCGTGGGCACTTAGCAGCTGAATTCTGTCTATGTTGCTTTCTGCTGTGACAGAGCAGCACTGAGTTTCAATGCAAGATCCCACAATCACTGCACTCTCCCTCCTGCAAGCACACAGATGCTCTCTCCATGCCACACAGCCACTGCTGAGGGAAAGGGGAGGGGTGATGTAGGCAATTCAAGACTGTCTTTCCTACTCTCTTTCGTGCCTCTTTCCTTGACATGACATTAAAACCAGGTACTGTGATTGCTTCTCTGATTTTTAGTTCTTATGAAGGTGCTTTCTTGTGGGCATAGTTGTTCACTTTGGTGTTCCTGTAGGAGGGGACAATCACTGGAGGGTTCACTTGGCCATCTTGCTCCACCTCTCCACTCAGCAATAAAATATTTTTAAATTAAGGTATGTATATTGATTTTCAGACACAATGCTGTACACACTTAGTAAACGACAGTATAGTATAAACATAGCTTTTACATGTACTGGGAAACCAAAAAATTTTCATGACTCACTATGCTGAGATACTCACTTTATTACAATGGTCTGGAACCAAACTCACAATATCTATGAGGTATGCCTGTATATATATGCACATGTAGAAGTAGGTACCAAGAGCAACAATTTGCCACAACAAATTTTATGCAGAAACTTGCTGATCTATTTTTCTCCCTTTACTTCAAACACAAAACACAATAGGGCATTAAATATTTTTAAAACATAAAAAGACAAAAGTGAGTTCAAAAACAATTTAGAAATCTATATGAAACCAGAAATAGAATGGAACTACACAGTGGTGTCTGGGATATGAAAACACACATCTATAGGGCCTGAGCCTCAGTATAGGCTGTCCACCCTAACTCAAAGAATTGTTTCTGAATGGATTCCATTTATGAACAGCAATTTCATAAGCCTCTGCAGGCAGCCAACCAAGGCTTTTTGCACAGGGATACCGACCCTCCCTGCCTTTCTAGTAACTTTCCTCTCCCTGCCCCAACACACCCCAGCCCACCCAAAGTTTCCATTCTTACCCATAGAGGTCATGATGGAAATTTGGGCCCCAGTTCCCTGCAGCATGTGCAGCCTCTCCTCATATCCTGGGTGGTAATCATAGGTGCAGGCAGTGAAGATGCGCAAGCTCATGTGTCTATTCTCCCTCAGGAACCCAGCCATTTCCTGGGCACAGTTGAAGCAGGAGCTCCAGGAGATGAAGCAGGTGATCCTGTAGCACTGGGCCAGGTCCAGATGCCAAGAAGAAACCAGGTCCAGGAAGCACTGCTCCACATGGTGGCCTTGATAGCCATTGAGAATATTCCAAGCCTAGAAAAGAAAACAAAGACATTGGTCACTTGTGAACAGGGAGGAAGAACCTGGACCAGATGAGACTAGGGAGGCAAGGAGCCTCCAGCACAAAATTAGAAAAGGCACCAAAATCTCAGTTATCAGAATGAATGAATTTCTATAGAATATTTAAAATGTAAAAATTGAAGCAGCAATTCCAAGACGAATAAATATCAACCATTTAAATACAAAGAGATAGGGAACGAGGATGTTTTATTTTGCCCCAACTCCAACATACTCAACACAGCACTGTTACTATGTCTTCTTCTTCTTTTTTTTTTCCCAACTATTTGTCTTTATTTAAAATCTTTTGGATGACTTCTGGTATTTCAACACCTGCAAGGGAATAGGACTGATATGGTTTCACTGTGTCCCATCCAAATCTCATCTTGAATTGTAGCTCTCATAATCCCCACATGTCATGGGAGGGACAACATGGGAGGTAATTGAATCATGGGGGCGTGTTTTTCCCATGCTGTTCTTGTGATAGTGAATACGTCTCACAAGATCTGATAATTTTATAAAGGGCAGTTCCCCTGCACACATTCTCTTGTCTGCCACCATATAAGACATGCCTTTGCTCCTCCTTCCCCTTCTGCCATGATTGTGAAGCCTCAGCCATGTGGAACTGTCAGTCCATTAAACCTCTTTTTCTTTATAAATTACCCAGTGTTATGTATGTCTTCATAGCTGCATGAAAATGGATTAATACAGTAAATTGGTACTGGTAGAGTGGGGTATTTCTATTAAGATACCCAAAAATATGGAAGCAGACTTTGGAACTGGGTAACAAGCAGAGGTTGGAACAGTTTGGAGGGCTCAGAAGAAGACAGAAAAATGTGGGAAAGTTTGGAACTTCCTAGAGACTCGGAGGGCTCAGAAGACGGAAGATGCAGGAAAGTTTGGAACTTCCTGGAGACTTGTCGAATGGTTTTGACCAAAATGCTGATAGTGATATGAACAATAAAGTCCAGGCTGAGGTGGTTTCAGATGGGGATGAGGAACTTGTCGGGAACTGAAGCAAAGGTGACACTTGTTATCCTTTAGCAGACACTGGAGGCATTTTGCTCCTGCCCTAGAGATCTGTGGAACTTCGACCTTGAGAGAGATGATTTAGGGTATCTGGTGGAAGAAATTTCTAAGCGGAAAAGTGTTCAAGTGGAAGCAGAGAATAAAAGTTTTGAAATTTTGCAGCTAACCATGTGATAGAAAAGAAAAACCCATTTGCTGGGGAGAAATTCAAGCCTCTGCATAAATTGGCATAAGTAACAAGGAGCTGAATGTTAATCACCAAAACAATGGGGAAAATGTCTCCGGGGCATGTCAGAGACCTTCATGAAAGCCCCTCCCATCACAGGCCTGGAGGCCTAGTTGGAAAAAATGGTTCCATGGGCCAGGTCCAGGGCCCCCCTGCTGTGTGCAGCCTAAGGACTTCATGCCCTTGTGTCCCAGCTCCAGCTGTGGCTAAAAGGAGCCAAAGTACAGCTCGGGCCATGGCTTCAGAGGGTGCAAGCCCCAAGCCTTGGAAGCTTCTACATGGTGTTGAGTCTGAGGGTGGAAAGAAGTCAAGAATTGAGGTTTGGGAACCTCTGCCTAGATTTTAGAGGATGTATGGAAACACCTGGATGTCTAGGCAGAAATTTGCTGTGGGGGTGGGGGACCTCATGGAGAACCTCAAGTAGGGCAGTATGGAAGGGAAATGTGGGGTAGGAGCCCCCACACAGGGTCCTCAGTGGGGCACTTCCTACTGGAGCTGTGAGAAGAGGGCCACTGTCCTCCAGACCCCAGAATGGTAGATCCACTGACAACTTGCACGGTGCACCTGGAAGAGCCGCAGACCCTCAACACCAGCCTGTGAAAGCAGACACTCAACACCAGCACCTGAAAAAGCCACAGACACCCAACACCGGCCTGTGAAAGCAGCCAGAAGCGGGGCTATACCCTTCAAAGCCACATAGGTGGAGCTGCCCAAGGCTGTGGGAGCCCATCTGTGACATCCTGTGGACAAGAGCCACAAACCTCTACAGCAGAGCTGATTCTACCTCTCTTGGAATTTTGGAGGAAGCAATGAATACTGCCAGAAGAAAGGAGAGAGTACTAGGAGAGAAAACACTACCCATTCAAAATGTCAAAGACATGGGGAAAGCAGACACTATGAAATATGTCTCAACAGATGGGAATTCACTCTCATGAAGATGAAAATAAGAAAGCAATATGAGAAACGCCTAAAAACAAGTATATTTAAGACCTGAAAGAATTAGTGGTGAAAATGATATCCCCTTTTCAAAATCTAAATAAAGCAGATGAATATGTGAAAGAATCACAAATATGGAAAAGAATTCATCAGAATCCTAGAAACAAAAAATATTTTCATTGACATTTAAAACTTGGCTGGGTGCAGTGGCTCATCCCCATAATCCCAGTACTTTGGAAGGCCGAGGTGTGTGGATTGCTTGAGCTCAGGAGTTCAAGACCAGCCTGGCCAACATGGCAAAACCCTGTCTCTACAAAAGCTACAAAAATTAGTCAGGCATGGTGGTGTGCACCTGTTGTCCCAGTTACTCGGGAGACTGAGATAGGAGGATTACTGGAGCCTGGGAAGTCAAGGCTGCAGTGAGCCATACTTACACCACTGCACTCCAGCCTGGGTGACACAGCAAGACCCTATTTTCAAAAAAAGGAAAAAACAACTGAGAAAAATGTGCAAACAACTACAAATAATTGAATTTAAAAATGAATACTTGAAAAATATAACTACAAAATCCACAAGGACACAGCACAGTGAGAGTCATAAAATATGAAAGATGTTAAAAGAAATGAGGAATAGACTGACAAGATTTAAAATACATATAATATAAACAAGTATCCTACATACGATGCATGTAACAGAAAAATGGCATTATACCAAATGAACATTAGCTATTTAACAGCTGAGCAGCCAGCATCCTGAATGACAAGGACAGCATTCCACAGAGTCATCCTATGGTCTTCAGTCTAAAGATATATTGTGTCTCTTTCCAAAGACCATACCCATAGACTCAACACACAAGGGTGTTGATTCTGAACAGTTCTCTAAGATGATACTATTTCTATTTAATTATGAAGTTCTAGAGTTGCCTACCCATTTCATGACAAGTAATATCTGCCATCCCTCAAGCTTTGACTGACCGTTCTATTATGATGGTTACACTACGGACCTCAGTACATTTCTGTCTCTATCAGAATCCAGTGGTTATTTTTGTGTTTCTCTTCTGCACTCCAAAGTGCACCCAAATTAATGACTGAGATCTCCAATATACATAACCTCAATAGGGATATATTGGCCATAAGGCAAGGCTGTCCACCTAACTCAAAGAATTATTTCTGAGGTAGATGCCATTTATGAATAGCAATTTTTTCAAGTTACTATGTGATGTGGTTTGGATTTTGTCACCACAAAAACTCATGAAGTTTAATTACCAGTGCAGCAGCATTGGGAGGTGGAGCCTAATAGGAGGTCTTTGGACCATGGAGGCAGAACCCTCATGAATTGATTCATGCCATCTTATGAGAGTAAGTTTTCACTCTCACAGGACTGGATAAGTTACTGCAAGAACAGGCATTATGAAGTAAGCCCAGCCTTTAGTGTTTGTCTCTTTGCATATGTCCCCTCAGTGTTCCACTTCTCTGCCATGTCTTGACACAGCACATGGCCCTCCCCAGAAGCTGATCAGATGCAAGTATCATGCTCTTATATTTTCCAGCCTTCAGAATCATGAGTCAAATCAACCTATTTTCTTTATAAAGTACCCATCCTCGGGTGTTCTGCTTAGCAACACTAAATGAACTAAGACACTAAGACACAATCTCATGCTTATTCCTTGATGAGACATGGGCTAGCATAAGAACCCAAAACAGTCTTAAAGCAATTGAGTGTTACTCGTATTAGTTAGCGGTAATTGAATCTATGACCCCGGAGTTGCAAGATAAAAGATATAAGTTTATCCTCTTAGGAGCCCTTCGGTCTTTCTCAAAACATTCCCTTCCTTTGCTGTCTTTCTCACTGTAAACTTCTGGTTGTCCTCTAATCTCTCAGACTATTACATATTAGGCTCCTTTAGTCATTGACTATAGTGGTCTGAATAGTCTCCCAAAAATCGTGCACACACACAACGTGTGAATGTGATCTTATTTGTACAAGTTGCACATCTCTAATCCAAAAATTTGAAATCCAAAATGCTCCAAAATCTGAAACTTTTTGAGCACCAAAATGATGCCACAAGTGGATGATAAAGATAATGTTAACTCAGCAGGAAAAGTGTCTATAGCTGACATGGTGAAAATCTGTGATGGGCTTTTTTAAGCACTAGAGCAGCATGCATGTATAAGAGAACAAGAAACCATGTCAGCTTATGAAATCAAAGAGTGCCTTCTCAGACAAAAACCATTGTTAATGAGGTGAGGCAGATGACTCTGGAGGACAGATTTTTAAAATCCATCCAGCAGATTGACTCCTCATCCCTACGGGACCCACTTTCTGGTCCTTCAACTGCTTCTGACATTTCTTCTCATCTAAAATATAAAATATGGTCTACATAACCTTAATCAAAACACAGCATCATATCTAGAGACTGAACTCCTGCCATTGTTTGCTGTTACTGCTGTTTAACAGCTGATACAGGTAATGTGCTGATGCTGCTGTGCTGCTCAGTTGACCTAAACACATTATTTCTTCACTGTACTAATGATTAACAAAATATTTTACTGTTAATTACTATGTGTGAATAATTATAAGAAAATGATTGCCTATCAGTAGCATATAAACTCAGAGTCAGGAATGATGATGATGCCAAACAACCACAGAGGGCCTACATGGGTGGTTCAATGTACATGAACTTTGTTTCATGCACAAAATTATTTTAAATATTGTATTAAATTACTTTCAGGCTATGTGCATAAGGCGTATATGAAATGTAAATGAGAATTTCATGTTTAGGATTGGGTTCCATCCCCAAGGTATCTTATTATGTATATGCAAATATTCCAAAATGTAAAGAAATCCAAAACCCCCAAATACTTCTGTTCCCAAGCATTTCAGATAAGGGATACTCAAGAAAAGAAAAGGAGAGGGGAGGGGAGGGGAGAGGAGAAGAAGAAAAAGACTTCCTTCTCTCTGCTTTCCTTAGCAGCTTGTACCTGCCTCTGCCACAAACATTGTATTATCTGAAATTGTTGATGTCTTAATGTACAAACAGTTCCTTTTCAAGAGTAGTGACTTGTCATAGTTATCTTTTTAAATCAATTACAGTTCCTAGAACAGAGTAAGAATTCAGTAAATGTTTGGAGAAAGAATCTGGTGTCTTTAATTCCGTCCTTGGGCAGTCCTAAGCCAAGCTTCTAAAAAGGCAACACTGAGCTATGAACCTTGCTCATTTATCTTAGTCCCTCAGGAGAAGCCTTCTGCTGTTGGTGCCTGACAAATCCAAAGTCTAGTTTCTCTGGCAATCAAATTTACCTTCAGTCTTCAGCTTCTATTGTCTGGTAAGCTCTTCCCAACTTAACCCTTGCTTGTCCCTTCCCCACCACTGTGACTATATTCTGCCTTGCATTTGCTGATCATGACCCCCCAGTGCCCCTGCATTCCATTAGCCTGCCCTGATGGGCCATTTCTCTGCCTCTCCATCTGGCCTGAATCATCAGCCAGCTTGCAATCAATCAGCACCCCCAACCGTCTCACCAGTACAACTCCAGGACAGGCCAAATAGAAAATTCAGCAAACTGTTTAAGGGTTGAAAACCTGCACCTTAGGATTTGATGCTCTCACAGCTCTTCAGTTTGGCTTCCTTAAATTGTGTTACCACTGATTGGAAAGGGGGTAAAAAAATCAATTAATTACGTATTTTTAAAAATGCCTGTGTGAGGCCAGGTGCGCTGGCTCATGCCTGTAATCTCAGCACTTCCGGAGGCCAAAGTGGGAGGACTACTTGAAGCCAGGACTTCAAGACTAGACTGGGCAACATAGGGAGACCCTGTCTCTACAAGGTATTTTAAAAAATTATCCTGGTGTAGTGGTGTTCACCTGTAGTCCCAGCTACCCAGGAAGCTGAGGTGAGAGAAATGCTTGAGCCCGGGAAGACGAGGCTGCAGTGAGCTATGGTTGGCGCCACTGCATTCAAGCCTGGATAACAAAGTGAGACTCTAGACACTCTGCCTCTCAAAATAAAATAAATAGCCTGTGAGTAATAAATACTACAAATCACAGACGGGTGCATCAACGTGCTTACAAAAACCTTTGGTCTTTTCCTTGGCCCAGCACTCCAAATTCCTTTGACCGAACAGGTTCCTACTACCAAATGGAAGAAATTTAAATTGAGACAGAGTCTCGCTCTATCCCCCAGCTCAATCCCCCACTGGAGTGCAGTGGCGTGATCTCGGCTTCAGCTGACTCCAACCTCCGCCTCCCGGGTTCGAAAAATGCTCATGCCTCAGCCTCCCGAGTGGCTGAGATTACAGGCATCTGCCACCAAACACCGCTAATTTTTGTATTTTTTAGTAGAGATGGGGTTTTGCCATGATGGTCAGGCTGGTCTCCAACTCCTGACCTCAGTTGATCCACCCACCTTGGCCTCCCAAAGTGCTGGGATTACAGGCGTGAACCACACCTCCTGGCCAAAGTTTAAATTTTCTTCTAAGTATCTAAGGAAACCTTGCTCAGTTAGAGTCCTCCCCTATCAAAAAAAAGCCTTAAGTCCCCAGGAACATCAACATATCTAGTTACAAGTTACAATTTACCTTGATCTACACCTTATTTAGATGTTTCCGGTGCTTGTTAACTTCTATAAAAATTCAGGAACTACTTTTAGAATGGACAAGCTCAAACACATAAGGATCTGTGTGCATGGATTAACTGAGAACAGGCCTTAAAAGTTGCCAAATAGCTTTAGTCAAAAACATTTGGAGGCTGAGGCCTTAAGGTTTGCTTAAATGCATGTTACTAACAACAGCCAATGTTCATAGCGTTTTTACAACGTGCAGACCACTGCACTGATTAGTTTAACACAGATTATCTCATTTATTCCTGTCAACATGCCTGCGAGAAAACCAATACAGAGAAAGGTTAATTAACTTGTCCAAAGACACCCAGCTATTAAGCCATCAAATGGGATTTCAACTACTTGAAGTCTCTGAACGCAGAAGCATTTTGCCTCGTGGGTTTCTAACAGGTTTACTAGATACTGTGCCTGGAATTGGTGGGGTTTTGGTCTCACTGACATCAAGAACGAAGCCGCAGACACTCGCGGTGTGTTAACAGTTCTTAAAGTCAGTGTGTCCAGAGTTTGTTCCTTCTGAGGTTCGGATGTGTTGGGAGTTTCTTCCTTCTGGTGGGTTCGTGGTCTCACTGGCTGCTGGCGTGAAGCTGCAGACTTTGGCGGTGAGTGTTACAGCTCTTAAGACAGCTCGGCTGGATTTGTTTACTCCTCCCTGTGGGTGCGTGGTCTCCACGGCCTCAGGAGAGAAACTGCACACCTTCGCGGTGAGTGTTACAACTCATAAAAGCAATGTGGACCCAAAGAGTCAGCAGCAGCAAGATTTATTGCAAACTGCGAGAAAACAAAACCACCACACGCTGCAAAAGTATCCAAGCGGGTTACCGCTGGTGGCTGAGGCAGCCTGCTTTTATTCTCTTATCTGGCCCCATCCACATCCTGCTGATTGGTCCATTTTACAGAGAGCCAATTGGCCTGTTTTTCAGAGCTGATTGGTCCATTTTGACAGGGTGCTGATTGGTGCGTTTACAATCCCTGAGCTACACACAAAAGTTCTCCAAGTCCCCACTAGATTAGTTAGATACAGAGTGCTAATTGGTGTATTTACAAACCCTGAGCTAGATACAGAGTGTTGATTGGTGCATTTACAAACCATGAGTTAGATACAGAGTGCTGATTGGTGTATTCACAATCCCTTAGCTAGACATAAAGATTCTCCAAGTCCCCATCAGATTAGCTAGATACAGAGTGCCCATTGGTGCATCCACAAACCCTGAGCTAGACACAGGGTGCTGATTGGTGTGTTCACAATCCCTTAGCTAGACATAAAGGTTCTCCAAGTCTCCTCTAGACTCAGGAGCCCAGCTGGCTTCCCCCAGTGGAGCCGGCACTGGGGCCACAGGTGGAGCTGCCTGCCAGTCCCGGGCTGTGAGCCCGCACTCCTCAGCCCTTGGGCGGTAAATGGGACCGGGTGCTGTGGAGCAGGGGGCGGCACTCGTCAGGGAGGCTCGGGCAGCGCAGGAGCCCACGGGTGGGTGGTGGGGAGGCTCAGGCATGGCTGGCTGCGGGTCCGAGTCCCACCCCGCTGGGAGGCAGCTGAGGCCTGGCGAGAATTCGAAGGTAGCGCCGGTGAGCCGGCATTGCTGGGAGACTGGGCACACCCTCCGCAGCTGCTGGCCCGGGTGCTAAGCCCCTCACTACCCGGGTCTGGCGGAGCCGGCCCGCCGCTCTGAGTGCCGGCCCGCCAAGCCCACGCCCACCCGGAACTCTAGCTGGCTCGCAAGCGCCCGCACAGCCCTGGTTCCCGCCCGTGCCTCTCCCTACACACCTCCCCGCAGGCTGAGGGAGCCGGCTCCGGCCTCCGCTATCCCAGGAAGGGGCTCCCACAGTGCAGCGGCGGGCTGAAGGGCCCCTCAAGCGCGGTCAGAGTGAGCGCTGAGGCCGAGGAGGCGCCAAGAGTGAGCGAGGGCTGCGAGGGCTGCCAGCAGGCTGTCACCTCTCAATACTTCCTTTTTGTTATTTAGCTGCTAGCACAAAGATTTTACTGGGTTATCTCAGCCTTTTGCTGCCAGGACCTAGATAAAAGCAGTGGCTCCTTGACCAACCTATTAGGTAAACTTAAAAGAGAGCCATTTGGCAGTGAGTCAATAATCATCTAGGAAGTACTCAGTAAATTTGTGCTGAATGAATGAATCTGTTCATTCATTTTAATAACCATTAAAGAATTTTTTAAAGTCAAAGAGAGGTTGTCTGAAACCCTTCCCTCATTAAGTGCTCACATTAAACCTTGTACATTCCATTTTGGTGATTCAGGAAGGAGAAATTGCAGAAAAGTTGAGGGAGGTGGGGAGTAAGAAGGGTTATTTTGTAAGAAAAAAAAAGGCAAGGTGCTAGACCCAAAAAGATCCGGATATTCACTTCCAACATAATTCTTATTTAACGAAAGGTCAGAAATTCAATGTGAGGGTAGACACTAAAATTGAAGAGACTCAGAGTGATTTTTCAAAAATTTTTGTCAGAACTCCATCGTCACTCCAAAATGCTGAGATCTTCGAGAAAGTGATGTTGAAATTCGTCTTGGTCGCCGGGATGCTTCCCAGGAGAGTGCCCAGAGTTTCACTAACGAAAGATGGGTATTTAGCATAGCCATGGTCTGAGCGGGCAAAATGCACAGTCCCAGTGACTGAGAGGAGGCCAGCGGAGCGCGCGGGAACGAGGGTGGGGCCGCTCCCGGCTGGGCGCAGCTCGGGAGCCCCCTGCAGTGGACCCAAGTCGCCGCCAGATGGTTCCCGAGGATTAGGATCACGGGCACTTCCGGTCCCCTCGGTCAGCCCCTGGGCTAGCCTCTGGGCCGGCGCCTAGGCCGGCCAACGCGGACGCCGGGTTGCGGTGATTCCCAGCGGCGAGGTCAAGAGTCATTGGCCTGGGGCTGCAAGCGCCTCGCGCCTGGGCTACCCCGCGCCCTGCGCTCTGAGGGCGATGATCCGGGACGGGGAGGCGCGCGCCGCGGGCGGCCATAGGCCACGGCGCGGGGCGGGAGGGGGCGCGGCGAGGCCCGCGGCGGGGCAAAACCGGCCTGGGCCCTGGCGGCCGCAGGAGCGCGTGCGGCGTGGACTTTGCCGGGCTCGCCACACAGCCCCAGACCCGTTTAGGACCGGGAGACCGAACGCAGCGTCCAGCCGGGGAGTTTCGGCGGCGTTCTCCGGGCACCGCGCGCGGGAAGCCAGACGCAGCGGGGGGACACATCTCGCGGTGGCGTTGCCAGAGTGAGGAGTTAGCAGGCAGGACTTGACGAGGCTCTTTGGTTTTTCTAGTCCTCAACCACTGAAGAAGAAGCTTGATGCTTGGCTGTCAGAAGACATGAATTACGCACGGTTCATCACGGCAGCGAGCGCAGCCAGAAACCCTTCTCCCATCCGGACCATGAGTGAGAAACGGGGTGACCATCTCTCCTTTGGGGTGGGGCATTCCTCGCACAGCCTCTAAGGAGGGTTCCCTAGCAAGCCACCGCTTGGTTGCATCCATGCGTACCCCTGTGCACGCTCGCGGTGAGCCAGGCTCTGCGTGCAGAAATGAAATAGACACAGCCTTTGTTCTCAAAGAACTCGGGCTGAAACGGAAGGCGGGTATTTCTGCTGGAGCAGAGTAGGAGCAACAGTAGAGAGAGGCGCAGACTGCTGTGGGGCACGGCCTTGGAAGGGAGGGGGCGTGCTATCAAGAAAGGCTCTTCCTGGGAAGCTGAGAAGGGGCATGCACAGCGTGCAGATGGGTGTACAGTGGAGAGGGCCAGGTAAATGGGAGAGGGGTGGGCCATGAAGCTCACAGACAGGTCGGGGCTAAGTGGAGGAGGGCTTCTGCTATTGTGGCCCTTTGCTGTCTTTCTGATCCCTCTGCCTTCTCTTTGGTCACCTTCATTCTTTAGTCCCTCCACAAGTGAGGTGCCTAGAAAAAGTTATTCTGTATGTTTATTTTAGACTAGCTTTTGTCTTAGTCCATTCAGGCTGCTATAACAAAATACCACAAACTGGGTAATTTATGAACAATAGAATTATTTCTCACAGTTCTGGAAGCTAGGAAGTCTAAGATCAAAGTGCCAGCAGCTTCTGTGTCACCATGGTGAGAGCCCTTCCTTATAGACAGAGCCATCTTGCTGCATCCTCACGTGGTAGAAGGGAGAACCTATGTCCTCACGTGGCAGAAGGGCCAAGGGCATTCCCTCAGCCCTCTTTTATAAGTGCACCAATCCCATTCAGGAGGGTGGATCCCTCCTGACCTAATCACCTCTAGAGACCCCACCTGTTAAAACTATCACATTAGTATTAACTTCCAAGTATGAATCTGGGGGAGCACCAACATTTAGACCATAGCACACTCTATCACTAGAAATCGTTAAACTTTATAGTTTTATTGACTATAATGCATGCTTAACTATCCGCTTATAACAATCTTCAATGAAATTGTTTCTTCTCTTCCATGTGTATTGTAGCTGACATATTGAGCAGAGGACCAAAATCGATGATCTCCTTGGCTGGTGGCTTACCAAATCCAAACATGTTTCCTTTTAAGACTGCCGTAATCACTGTAGAAAATGGAAAGACCATCCAATTTGGAGAAGAGATGATGAAGAGAGCACTTCAGTATTCTCCGAGTGCTGGGTAAGTATCAATACTTAACATAATTTTATTGGCTTATTTTCATAAGAAATATTCTAAGGCCCATTGATAAAGAATATTAAAGAAATATTCTAAGGTCCATTCATAAATATTCTAAAGCCATTGACCCATTTGGTCATTCAATGACCAAATACTCAGTCATTGAATACTAACCAAATGAGTATTCAATGGTTAGGAAGGTCTGGGGAAAGGTTTTCAAAGGATAATTAAGAACAGAAAGGATATTGAATGTTTAACACTCCTCAGTGATTGCTTCTCAATCGCAAATGACCAAGAAGGCTTCTAGAAGGAAATACCATTAGAGCTGAGTCCAAAAAAATGAGAAGATGTCCAGGTGAAACAAACATATCAGGAGAAATGAAGAAACGGAAGATCCAGGAAGCTTCAACTTTTTAAAGTTTAAGCATCCTGGATCTTCCGTTTCTTCATTCTATAGTCTAAACAAGCAGTCATGCAAATACATTGAATATAGTCATTCATTTCTATAGTCTAAACAAGCAGCCATTCAAATACATTGCCCTCATAGGTTCAAATGTCTTTAATTTCTTAAAGGCAAGCTGAAACATATACCTTGACTTTCTTAGCTGGTCTTCTTCAAGTGATAAAGGATAATTTATAGAGAATCTATAAATTATACTTTATTAAAACCTGCTTTGTTCTGTGATTGAAAAGTGTATTGAAATGTTATTCATGTATATATGTGTTAGTTATGTAATATGTTAAATATACATAGGCTTATTCAAACATTCCATGATACAAACAACTTATTGAGTCTGAACTTCTAGGTAGCCATAGAACTCTTCCTAGAGAGAACAAAGAATCGATTATGCAACGCATGCGCTAAAGACTTCAGGTTTGGAATAAGAAAGATGTAGATTCAAATCTCAGCTCATTTATTACGTAATTGACTTTCTGAGAATTTCTGGCTGAATGACTTACAGGAATTTCCTAATCTCTAAGTCTACTGCCTATCTTTTAAATAGGAATATTCATACTGGCAAAAAGCATTTGAGGGTTTTTTAATTGAGTGTACAAAGTGCTTGATAAAGCTGTCATTTATTATTTCCTGTCTACTACTGTTACTATGATTTTTACTACTATGAATTTAAATATACATTTTTTGCTTTAGAATTCCAGAGCTTTTGTCCTGGCTAAAACAGTTACAAATAAAATTGCATAATCCTCCTACCATCCATTACCCACCCAGTCAAGGACAAATGGATCTATGTGTCACATCTGGCAGCCAACAAGGTCTTTGTAAGGTAAGACTGAAAGGAAAACTCAGCCAAAATGTAGAATTGGAAGCATTCATTTCTATAGTCCTCTCGCACTTAACCACAGAGAATTATATTTTATGGATTACTGGTAGTCTTTCTTGTCTTCACCTAGAATTATAAACAGGGAACTAAAAGACAAGTCATAGGATGGGGGTGGGAGCAGTTGTGGCCGGGGATGGGCAAGGGTGGGTAGGGGGTGTTGACTGTAAGCAAAAGCCAGGTGGAAATATTGTAGGTTGATCTATCAATATTTCCCCCTAGTTTTCCTCATTGTGAACACAAGGACTTTGAAAAATTACCTGCTCTTAACATCATTCACTAGCCTAATCTTTCTTAAATATTAAATACAGAGCATGTGGTCAATTACCCAGACCTATTAACCATTAAAGCAGGATGCCCACTAAGGGAGTACTCAACTCCTACCAAAAGCTTAGTGAACACTGCTTAATTTCATCTGGCTCAAAAATTCAAGTTACGTTTGATTTCCGCCTATAGTTAGGAAATTTCAATACAATTTTTAAATTTTTTAGAGGGCATGCTTTCATATTCCTGAGATACACATATTTATATTCTTTTACATATCTGTCTGTAGAATCTCTCCTTGCCACTGCTTGTATCTTGTCCCCCTCTTGGGTGTATTTCTCTAGATCTATTTATATGTCTGTATTTCTGACTTCTTATATGGATTGGTTCTCTCTCCCTCTCCCCCTGGCATTAGTTATTCCATCTTCTTCCCTTCTGGGTTCCGGGAACTCCACAGATGTAAACACCACTGGTTAGTTGCCACAATAAAGAGACCACATCTGTGGTCCTCAGTTTGATCTGTTATTTTCTTTTCTTTCTTTTTTTTTTTTTGAGACAGGGTCTCACCCTGTCACCCAGACTGGAGTGCGGTGGCGCAATCACGGCTCCCTGCAGTCTCGACCTCCCTGGGCTCCAACAATTCTTCCACCTTAGCCTCCCAGGTAGCTGGGACTGCGGGTGCACACCAATATGCCTAGCTAATTTTTATATTCCTTTGCCATGTTGGACAGGCTGGTCTTGAGCTCATGGGCTCAAGCAGTCTGTCCACCTTGGCCTCCCAAAGTGCTGGTATATTTTCTCCTTTGTTTTCCATGAATAATAAGATTCTCTATATTCATTCTCAGATCTAAATTAATCTATGACTCCCATTTATCTTTATCTTAAACCAGAGTAGTTTTCTTTTTCATGGAAATATGAAAACTGTAATCTGGTTTGCTTTAATGAATTTTAATTAAATTATTGTTACAGAATAATGGGTTACAGTAGTAAAAACATTTTTTAAAGTTTTTAAAAATTAAAAAAACTTACCCTTTTTGTATTTAATTAGGAAAAGTAAAAGAATTAGCTAGTGTTTGAGTCTTTGCTTGAAGAGAAACATTTGTGATTGTATAGAATGATATAAGAGTATTTTTTAATGAAATAAATTCTTTCCTCAAGAAAGGATACTATGGACTTTTTCTTCCAGAAAGTTGCTCAAGACAGTTTCTTCTTTATCCATCACAACACCAGTTACACAAAAAAGGAAGATAGCATAGATTGCTAAATACGTCAATAACTTACTACTTACAGACATGCTTATTATAGGGGCACTAATATGTATCTGGTTTAATATTTCTTCCACTTTGTTCTCCAGGAGTCATGTTATTTTAGACTCCTGTGTTTCTCTCTCATCTTTTAAACAGTGCTCCCAGATGATAAACAGCCTTCCCTTCTAATTTAGGATATTTGAAATTTGTATGTCCCCTAACTGATATGAAAAATATATTTACAGTTGACCCTTGAACAACGCAGGGGTTTAAGGGCAATGACTCCATGCAGTTGAAAATCTGCATATAACTTTTGACTCCTCCAAAACATAACTACCAATAGGCTACTCTTGACCAGAAGCCTTACTGATAATATAGTCAATTAACACATATTTTATATTTTATATGTATTGTACACTATATTTTTACAATAAAGTAAACTAGAGAAAATAAAATGGTATTAGAAAGTCATGAGCAAGAGAAAATATATTTACCATTAAGTGGAAGTGGATCATCATATAGGTCTTCATCCTCATCTTCATGTTGCTTAGGCTGAGGAGAAGGAGGAAGAGGAGGGGTTGGTCTTGCTGTCTCACGGGAGGCAGAGGCAGAAGAAACTGTGCGTGTAAGTGAACCTGTGCAGTTCAAATCTATGTTGTTCAAGGATCAACGCTAATTAGGTTTTCATTTGATCTGTTGATATGTACGTGCTGCCACCCAAGTGATTCCTTTGGTCCTAGGATGTCTTGTAAAGCTTAAGTCAATTAGAAACTTTTCGGAGGAGGATACTGTTTGTCATAAGATGCCAAAAGCTCATAAGGAAAAGGTAAATTCAACATCACAGGTCAGTTGGGGAACAAAAGTCAAATCTTCTATCTCAATTGATAATGGCCCTACTGTTTGTGGTGAGATGTGGGTTGTTAAAGTGATAGGAAAAAGGACTCAAACTGGGGATTGTGAAACATCACAAGTTAAGAAGCAATTATTCTGTGACTTATGTATGATTTAGTCATAATAGACCCCTTTGATTTAGGCTGGAAAAATCTATTGCCTGGCTCTAGTGATTGTAGTAGAAATCATATTATCCACATAATTTACAAAGATTGTCAAACCTTTTATTACTTGACCTAGAAATATTCTTTAACTCCGTTGATCTCCCCATCCATTTTATTTTAAAAAATTAATTTTTAATTTTTTCTGTTGCCATAAAATACACATATAAGATTTGCTATCCTTGCCATTTTTAAGTATACAGTTCAGTGGTAATAAGTACATTTATATTCTTTATTTTTCCTTCACCCTATCTCCCTCCTGTCCTTTCCAGCCTCTGGTAACCACCAATCTACTCTCTATCCTTATGAGATCCACTTTTTTAGCTCCCACAGATGAGGGAGAACATGCAATATTTGTGTTTCTATACTTGGCTTATTTCACTTAACATAATGACCTCCATTTCTATCCATGTTGCTGCAAATGACAGGATTTTATTCCTTTTTTATGGTTGAATAATATTCCATTGTGTGTATACCACATTTTCCTTATCCATTCATCAGCTGATGGACACTTAGGTTGGTTCCATATTTTGGCTATTGTGAATAAGTGCCATAATAAACATGGAGGTGCAGATACTTCTTTGATATATTGATGTTTTTGTTTTGGATATATACTCAGCAGTGGAATTGCAGGATTATATGGTAGTTCTATTTTCAGTTTTTTGAGGAACCTCTGTACTGTTCTCCATAGTGGCTGTACCAATTTACATTTCCATTAAAGTGTATAAAGGTTCCCCTTTCTCTACCCTCATCAGCATCTGTTATCACTTGTCGTTTTGAAACTAGCCATTTTGAATATGGTTAGGTAATATCTCATTGTGGTTTTGAGGTTTTTCTGATTGCATTGGTAATATTGAACTTTTTTAATGCCTTTTGGCCGTTTTTATGTCTTCTTTTAGAAATGTCTGTTAAGATCTTTTGCCCAATTTTTAATGGGATTATTTGGGGGTTTTGCTATTGACTTGTTAATCCCTTGTCAGATGGGTAGTTCGCAAATATTTTCTCCTCTCCTGTAGGTTGTTCTAGTTCCTTGAAGTGCATTATTAGGTTGTTAATTTGAAGTCTTTCTACTTTCTTGAAACAGGCGTTTATTGCTATAAACTTTCCTCTTAGTACTGTTTTTGCTGTCTTCCACAAATTTTAGTATATTGCGTTTCCATTTTCATTTATCTCAGTAAAACTTTTAATTTCCTTCTGAATTTTTCATTGACCCATTCAGGAGCACGTTGTTTAATTTTCGTGTGTTTGCATATTTTATAAAGTTCCTCTTGTTATTGATTTCTAGTTTTATTATTGTGGTCAGGAAAGATATTTGATAAGATTTGGGTTTTTTTATTTGTTCAGACTTGTTTTATAGCCTAAGGTATGGTCTGTTCTGCAGACTCTTCATTGTGCTGATGAAAAGAAAGTATATGCTGCAGCAGTTGGTTGAATATTTTTGTAACTGTCTACTAGGTCTATTAGATCTAGTATGTAGTTTTATCTCACTGTTTCTTCATGTTGATTTTCTGTCTGGATAATCTGTTCATTACTAAGTGAAATGTTAAAAAGTCTCCTACTATTATTGTATTACATTCCATCTCTCCCTTTAAATTTACTAATATTTGTATACTTGGGAGGTTGTATTATCTTGCTGAATTGACCCCTTTATCATTATATAGTGACCTTCTTTGTTTCTTTTTACAATCTTAGGTTTGTAGTCTATTTTTTCTAAGTGTAGCTACACCTACTCTTTTTAGGTTTCCAATTCCATGGAATATGTTTTTCCACCTCCTCATTTTCAGACTGTGTGTCTTTATAGGTGAGGTGGGTTTCTTGTAAGCTGCATATGATTGGGTCTTGTTTCTTTATCCACTCAGCCACTCCATGCCTTTTAATGGGAGAATGTAGACCATTTCCATTCAGTGTTATTATTGATAAGTTAGAACTTACTACTGGCATTTTGTTGCTTGTGTTCTGGTTGTTTTGAGACTCCTCTCTTCTTTTCTTCCTTTCTTACTGTCTTCCTTTGTGGTTAAGTGATTTTCTCTGGTAGTATTTTATAATTTGTTGCTCTTTATTTTTAGTGAATCAATAATAAGTTTTTGTACTGTGGTTACCATGAGGCTTACAAAAAAAAAATCTTATAACAAGTTATTTTAAAGAGGTAACAACTTATCTTGGATCAACTTATCTTGGAGAAGCAAACAAATGCAAAAAACATAAAAAAATCCTCTATTCTTTAACTCCATTCCCCCCACATTTTGGCTTGAGATGTCTCAATTTACATATTACCTATCTTAACATGTTGCTGTAGCTATTATTGTTTTTGATCAATTTGTCGTTTAGGCTTCATATGAGAATTATGAGTGGATTGCACACCATAATTACAATCATAGAGTATTCTGGGTTTGTCCATGTACTTAATTTTACCACTGTATTTTTTACCTTGAAAAGTTTTCTTTTGCACATTAGTATTTTTTTCTTTCAGGTTGGAGAACTCCCTTTAGCATTTCTCGTAAGATGGATCTGGTGGTGGTAAATTCTCTCGGCTTTAGTTTGTCTGGGAAAGACTTTATCTCTCCATCATATTTGAAGGATAATTTTGCTGGATACAATATTCTTGGATGATCGCTTCTCGGCCTTTTGGCTAAGATCAAGTGTACAATATTTTTGGATGGGCCGGGAATGGTAGCTCACGCCTGTAATCCCAGCTCTTTGGGAGGCTGAGATGGGAAGATTGCTTGAGGCCAGGAGTTCGAGCCCAGCCTGGTTAACATAGCGAGGCCCCATCTCAGTCAATCAATCAATAAAAATATATGTATATTCTTAGATAGCAGCTTTTTTCTTTGGGCACTTTGAAAATGTCATTTCTCTTTTTCCTGACCTGTACAGTTCCATTGAGATGTCTGTTGCCAGACAAATTAGAGCTCATGTATGTATTATTTTCTTCTTTTGTCTTGTTGCTTCTCATATCTTCTCTTTGTCCTTAGCCTTTGAGAGTTTAATTCTTATATGCCTTGAGGTAGTTTTATTTGGATTGAATCTGTTTGATGTTCTCAGACCTTCTTCTGTGGCCTGGATATTTATCTCTCTCACGTTTAGAAACTTTTCTGTTATTATTTCTTTAAATAAGCTTTGTACTGCTTGCTTTTGCTCACCTTCCTCTTGCAGACCACTGATTCTTAGATTTAGTCTTTTGGGGTAATTTTCTGTATTTCGTAGGCACTCTTTGTTCTTTTTTCTTTTTTCCCCGACTGTATTTTCACGTAGCCAATCTTCAAGCTTACCTATTTTTCCTTCTGCTGGGTCCATTTTGATGATGAGAGCCTCTAATGAGTTCCTCAGTTCAACAATTCTGAGTTCAGTATTTCTCAGTTCCAAAATTTCTGGGGTTTTTTGTTATTTTTATTATTTCAATCTCTTTGTTAAATGTCTCTGATAAATTTCTGAATTGCTGTTCTGAGTTACCTTGAAGATCACTGAGTTTTCTTAAAACTGCTATTTTGAATTTTTGGTCAAAAAGCTGACAAATTGCCATCTTGTTAGGATCAGTCACTGGATTTTTGCTTTGTCATTTTGGGGAGGTCATGGTTTCCTGTTGGCTATTGTTTCTTGTATGTATACATCAGTTTTTTGCATTAAAGGATTAGTTATTTATTCTAGTTTTGTTTGTTTGTTTGATTTGTCTGGCTTGCTTTGCTTTTTATTGGATATATTTGCTTAGTAAATCTCTATTGTTGGGTCACTGCTTCCTTGTTGGCATCTTCCAAGGTGGCACCTTAAGTCCAGGTTTAGTAAATAATTCGAGAACAGCCTGTCCCAAATCAGGGAGGTCCCAAAGGATTTATTCCATTGGCATGAGATGGCTAGCAAAAGAATTATACCCAGGAACCTCTGGAACATTCCTCCTGCAGTGTGGTGCTGCTGAACAGTCACTCTGTTTTGGCATGCCTTTCGCTGAGTTACAGTGCAGAGTTTCCAGGGCTTGGGATGGTAGTCCTGCCTCCCGATTTTGTCTCTGCCTGTCCTCAGGGATGTTTTTCCCTCCAGGCAGTCATGATGCTTCCAAAGGGTTAAAGGCAAGGACAGGTCTCCAGCCAGGGAACCAAAGATGGTGGGGAAAACTCTTGGCCACCTCAATCTCACTTTTTCCAGTGTAGAAGCCGTGAATTAGGGGGAGTTTTTCCACGTGCTTGGTGCCAGGCAGAATTGGGAGGAGGGGTATCATAGATGCTGAAGTATGCCTTTCTTACCATCTGTTCAGAGTTTTTTCACTTCTCTGTAGTCCTAGGAACTGACTCATCCTCATATTTGAGTTCTGGGTTGTTTCTGGTGTAAATTTTAGCACTGTATATTTGTTAGTGGTTTTGTGGGAGGGAATGAAGTCAACTTGCTTCTACACCACCATTTTGGAACTGGAAGTCTCCCCCACCCTTTTGAAAACACTGTCCTCCTCTAGCTCTCTCAGTAGCATGTTGTGTGGTTCTCCTCCAGCCCACTTTCCCTCCCTTCCTTGCAGTGTCCTCCTCTACCCAGCCATTATTTATTGGAGTTCCCTGTAGCTCAGTCCTTAAACATCTCTCCTTAGTCTATGTACTTTTCCTGGGTATCTTCATTTACATTCACATGATCAACCATATGCCAGTAACTTCCAGGCTCCTTCCAAATCCATTTGTCCATCTATCCATCTGACATCATCACAGGGTGTTTCAAAGGCACCTCACACTAAAACAAATCATCCTGTCACTCAGATATGGATGGCTTTTTGGTTATGTGTTTCAGTGAATGGCACCACCCCCACCATCTATCTAGTTCCATAACCAAGTATCTAGGCATCATTCTTGACACCTCCTCTTCCTCATTTCCCTATTGTCCATAATCATGTTCCATTACTTTTCATTTCCTAATACCTCTCAGTTCTTCTCTACAATTCCTCTGTCACCACTCTACTTTAAGATGACCCTTACCTGTTCCAGGCCTGTGGCAGTAACTTCCCAAACAATCCTAAAAACTTTCTAAACTTTCCACATGTATTCTCACCCTTCTTTCATTCTTTCATACTGCAGCCAGATTGATCTTTTCAAGACGAGTATCTAATCATGTGACTCCTCCTCCCCACTCTCTTCCTAAAATCCTTACTTGCCTCCCTTGGCTCAAATGCCTACATGGTTGGTCTCTGCCCACTTCTGTCTGATGTCACACCACTCTTTTCTCTACATTCTGCCTCAAGACACATAATTATTTTGGTTTTTCAAATCTAACTGTTGTTACCCCGTACACCAACTCATCGCTTCCTCCAGGATGCCTTCCCTGAATTCCCTGAATGCCTAGGTCTTCCTACAATGAGCTCTTATGTCATTGTGCATCTGTACTTAATATCACTCACCACCGTTTTTAATTTGCACATTTATTGGGTAGTTATTTAATTGGTGTCTAGCTTTCCCAGTGGACCAGTAGCTCCATGAGAGTAAGAACCATGTCATTTTGCTATTTTATCTCTGACACTTTACACAGGCCTGGCGTATAGTAAACATTTAATAGATTTTCAAAGAAGCAATAAAAGGAATAAATGAATGTTAGCAGCCAAACCTCTGTTCACCTTTCTCTGGAACAGGAGTTGGCAAACTATGGTTTGAGAGCCAAATCCAGCCCTTCATCAAATTTTGTAAATAAAGTTTTATTGGAACTCAGTCACACCCATTCATTTATATATTGTCTATGGCTACTTTTTCACTATAGAGGCAGAGTAGTTGCAGGGTAGTTGCAACAGAGATACTATGACCCGCAAAGTGTTTACTGTTTGGCCCCTTATAAACAATTTGCTAATTCTTACTCTAGAACCATGTGAGCTCAAACTAAAAAATGGGCTTCTGAGCATGGAAACAGTACTAACCTATGCTGACTAACAAGCTAACCTATGCTTCTTTTGTTAGGTGTTTGAAATGATCATTAATCCTGGAGATAATGTCCTCCTAGATGAACCTGCTTATTCAGGAACTCTTCAAAGTGTGAGTATACATTTTTACTAAAGGCAACTCTCTTGTAGTAAATAAGAAGAAAACTTATAATAAAGGTTTTATAATAACTTTATTATAATAAAGTTAATATCTTATTAACTTTAAAATAATCTGTCCACAGAAAAATGAAATAGCATATTTTATCCATAAGCAGGATAATCTTAAAGGATATATACAAAGTATGTGAAATGTATTCTCTTCTTTATACATTTCTTTTTTGAAATCCAAGTGTATAGGCATTAAAATTAGATTATGCAAAATCATGTCCAATTCTCTTAATATTTTACTTGAAATGTAACTTAAATTACAAAAATTTATTTTTTATTACTATCTTATTACCATATGCATAAGTACAACTATGTTATATGTCAGTTTAGTATACTTATATGGTATAATGACGACTTTCCATTCCAAGGTTAGATCCGTGGAACTGTGATTTACAGAATGAGGAAGCTGATGATCTGACTCTGCTCTGCACTGGTCAGAGCACATTGCTGAGCATTAGGTTTGTTTGGGGCAGTCTACTTTAAGACAGAAATGTCCACAACTGGAGCATACTCAGAGAAAGATAGTCAGAGTAAATAGGGAATTGGAAGCCATATCATATGATGAATGGTTGTAGGAACTGGAGCTATTTTCCCCAGAAAGAAAAGACTCAACAGAGGCATGAAAACTGTCCTCAAATACATAGAAGTTAGCCATGTGACAAAAGAATTAGATTTATTTGTACATGACCTTAGGTTAATAGAACTGGAACCACAGGGAAACAATTTCAGCTCTGTATAAGAACTTGCTAACCATTGGCCTTACCGGACTTCATAATGGGTTACAACATTGCCCATCACTGTAGGTGCTCAGTCACTCTTGACTGCCACCTAACACAAATATGGCTAAAGTAATTCTAGCTTAGAGTAGGGGAATTCAATGCGATGACTTTTATGCTCTATTGATTCCAACTTCATGGATCCTTTTATTTTTTTCAAATTTTATTTTATTTTTATGAAAATCAACATATAAAGCAATATATAAAACAATTCCATTTGTAATAGCATCCAAAAGAATAAAATACGTAGGAATAAATCTAACAAAGGAGGTGGAAGACTTGTACATTAAAAACTGAAAAATTTTGCTGAAAGAAATTAAGCAAAACTCAAATAAATGGAAAGACTTCCACAGTTCATAGATTGGAAGACTTAATATTGTTAAGATATTAATACTACCCTAAGCAATTTACAGATTCAATACAATCCCTATCGATATGCCAACAGCCTTTTTTGTAGAAATGGAAAAGCCAGTCCTCAAATTGATGTGAGTTTAAAGGACCTAAATAGCCAAAATAATCTTGAAAAAGAACAAATTTGGAAGACCCCCACTTCCCAATTTCAAAACTGCAAAGCTGCAGTAATCAAACAATGTGGTACTGGCATAAAGACAATCATATAGACCAATAGAATAGAACTGAGCATCCAGAAATAAACCCACAAATCCAGTTGATTTCAGTAAGGGTGCCAAGATCATTCAGTGGGGGAAAGGATAGTCTCTTCAACTGTGGTGCTGGGACAACTGGATTTCCACATGCATATAAAAGAACTTGGACCCTTACTTCACACCATATGAAAATTTAACTCAAAATGGATCAAAGACCTAAATATAAGGGCTAAAACTACAAACACTTAGGACATAAGGGCAAATTTTTATGACCTTAGATTTGGTGGATTTTTTAGATATGACCAAAAATATGAGCAACGACAACCACAAAAATAGATAAATTGAACTTGAAGATTTAAAAGTGGTTGTGTATCAAAGGACATTATGAAAACAGTGAAAAAAGAGTCTATACAGTGGGAGAAAATATTTATCATAATATATCTGATAAACCTTTAATAACCAGAACATATAAAGAACTCCTACAACTCAACAACAGAAAGATAAACAACCCAATTTAAAAATGGACAAAGGACTTAAATAGACATTAGTCTGAAGAACATGTGCAGAAGGCCAATAAGCACATAAAAGATGCTCAACATCATTAGTAGAGAAATGCAAAGCAACATAAATCAACGTATGAAAGCCGCAAGTTCCATGATCGTGTAGTGGTTAGTACTCTACAATGTGTGACTGCTGTACCTGCAGTCTGATTATTTGGCAAGACTCAGGCTTGGGGAAAAAATTTTTTTAAATAGAGAAAAGCAAATCAAAACTACTGTGAGATACTACCTCACACATACCACGATGGCTATTATTTAAAAAAAAATAGTGAATATGTGAAGAAACTGGGTTCATTCACTGCTGGTGGAAGGAAATGTAAAATGGTATGGCCACTGTGGGAAAGTTTGTCAGTTCCTCAGAAAATTAAAATATAATTACCATGTGACCCACAATTCCACTCATGGCTATATACCCAGAAAGGATTGAAAACTGGGACTCAAACAGATACTTGTATACAAATGTTCATTGCAATATTATTTACAGTAGCCAAAAGGTAGAAGCAACTCAAGTGTCCATCAGTGGATGAATGGATAAATAAAATGTGGTATATACATACAATGGAATATTATTCAGCCATAAGAAGGAACACAGATCTGATACATATTACAGTATGGATGAACCTTGAAAGCATTTTAACTTTAAGAAGCCAGACACAAAAGGACAAATATTGTATTATTCCAATTATATGAAACATCTAGAATAGACAAATTAGTGGAGATAGAAAGTAGATGAGTGGTTACCAGGGGCTGGGGAGAGTAGAGAATGGAGAGTTATTGATTAATAGGTACAGAGTCTCTATTTGGGGTGAGGAAAAAGTTTTGGAAATAGACAGAGGTGATGGATGCACACATTGTGAATGTAATTAATGCCACTGAATTGTACTCCTAAAAGTAGTTAAAATGGACTAGACGAGGTGGCTCACGCCTGTAATCCCAGCACTTTGGGCAGCTGAGGCTGAAGGATTACTTGAGGTCAGGAGTTCGAGCCCATACTGGGCAACATAGCAAAGCACATGTCTACAACTTTTTTTTGTTTGTTTAATTAACCAGGCAGAAGACTGAGGTGTAAGGATTGCTTGAGCCCAGGAGCATGGTGTTACAGGGAGCCATAATTGCACCACTGCACTTCAGCCCAGGCAGCAAAGTGAGACCTTGTCACTTAAAAAAACAAACAAAAAAGGCTTAAAATGGCAACAATTTTACCACAATAAAACTAAAATAAAATAATTACTTTTTCTCAATGATTGGATACTCATAATTTGTTTTCCTAAACTCCTAAGATTTAAGATTACATAATGTCTATGAATGTAAAACCGGTGTCTACATATAAAGCGTGCATATACACACGCACAAATGTTTTCACATACCCAAACAGAAAAACAGAAACTGTATGCCAAGCTTTGAGGAAATATGCTAATAAGCAGTATGTGTTTAGTTTATGGCCCAGTATTGATTTGCTTTATTCATGGTAGATGTGCTTCATAAGGTTAAGGCCTTTTAAATTTGTCATAAGGAGGATCTGAATTGTTCTTTTTTTATGCGTAATTCTACATTTGACTGCTAAAAGAGTGTTTGCTTTTCATTTGCAATTTTTTTAGAACCTCATTCAATTATTATTTCTTAAGTTCCTTTTTTTTTCTTTTTAATGCTCAACCATGAATGAGATTCCACAAATTTGTATAAAGCTAAGTCTATAAGCAATGCCAGTACAAGCCAGTTCAGCCTTAGCAATTGGTAAAATATGGAAATTCTACTGTACTGCCTGGTGATCTGCTCATCCCATTCAGTGTCCCGCCACTACCCTGGCTTCCCTGACCCCTCTCCTAGGACCACCCTGAACCTCCCATGTTCCAGAGTTAATGTCGGCATAACAGGGGGCCTACAGGTCCCCATTCCAGGCTGCGCTGTATCTGATATACCCATGCTATACCACTTGTTAAATATTTTTAATATCACCTCTGCTTGTGACTGTTTTATATATGAACACAACAGTAAATGAAACATATGATTTACTCTATCAAAAAACATTCATTTGTAAAACGCCTACTTCATAAACCAGTAATAATTATAATTATGAAGATAATTCATGGGTACTCATCAGGGACATAAAGATGTCAACAAAAGATACTGAGGCTGACTGCTGGGGGGAGTCAGGAAGGGGGCAAGGGCTTGAAAAACTACCTATTGGGTACTATGCTCAGTACCTGGGTGACAGGAGCAATTGTACCCCAAACCTCAGCATCATGCAGTATACCCATGTAACAAACCTGCACACGTACCCCTTGAATCTAAAATGAAAGTTGAAAAAGTAATAATAATAAAGGAAAAATCAGAAAAAAAGATAATTCCGTCAGAAGAAGCTAGGTTATGCTGTAACCAATGACCCCAGTACAGTTTTATTTCCCTTACGTTCCATATCCACTACAAGACTGCTGGAGCTCAGTTCCATGCCATCTTTCTTCTAAGCCCCAGATTGACAGAAGCAATCTCTATCTGAAACATGGTCAATCTTAGAGCAGAGGGAAAAGAGACATAGACAACCACAAGCTGGATTTTAAAGCTTCTTACTGGAAGGAACATGCATCACTTCTGCCCCGAATTTGTTGCCCACTGCAAGACACATGGCCATACCTGACGTAAACGGGGCAAGAAAGAATTATATAATTCTCTGGGAAGGGACAGGAGGTATTTTTGAACAATAATGGTATCTGCCCCAGGGGCGTGGCAGCTCACGGCTGTAATCCTAGCACTTTGGGAGGCCAAGGCGGGCGGATCACGAGGTCAGGAGATCCAGACCATCCTGGCTAACATGGTGAAACCCCATCGCTACTAAAAATACAAAAAATTACCTGGGCGTGGTGGCGTGCACCTGTAGTCCCCAGCTACTCGGGAGGCTAAAGCAGGAGAATCACTTGAACCAGGGAGGTTGCAGTGAGCCAAGATCACGCCATTGCACTCCAGCCTGGGTGACAGAGCGAGACTCCATCTCAAAAAAAAAAATAAATAAATGTGTAACCTCAACCCTCAGGAGCTCAGAGCTGGTTGCGGGTTTATATATTTTTAAGGGTATGAATGAGCAAGTTCTTAGTTAGAAAGAAAAAAAAAAAACCAATAGCACTTACATTTGTAATCATGACTGACTCAGGCTTTCTTTTGTGCTCAACAGCTGCACCCACTGGGCTGCAACATTATTAATGTTGCCAGTGATGAAAGTGGGATTGTTCCAGATTCCCTAAGAGACATACTTTCCAGATGGAAACCAGAAGATGCAAAGAATCCCCAGAAAAACACCCCCAAATTTCTTTATACTGTTCCAAATGGCAACAACCCTACTGGAAACTCATTAACCAGTGAACGCAAAAAGGAAATCTATGAGGTATTGTAGAAGAATGGGTTAAAGTAGTTGTGTTCCTGTTTCTCTGTGACTTTTTAGAAGAGCACTATGCAAGCTCCCTTTCTTCTTAGCCTTTTGCTTTCAAGGAATATAATTTTTAATAAAAGGAAATCATATATGCTCAGGGTCCTAATAAATTTAGACACAATAAATTTCTGCATCTTTCATTAGTTATGAGATTTTTCTTTCCCCATAATTGATGTTTTAATATAAAAGAAACAGCATTCTTGGCCTGATGTTAAATTTTTTGAGATTATTTAATATTTTATCCCAAGTTTGATTTCCATTATTTTCTGTGTTGTTAACTTGTCTGTTCTGCTTCCTACTCCTTGTCATCTTAGGTTACCAAGAATTCTTTAAAAATGAGAGGCATGCTCCCCTTTCATAAAATCTATTTGAGATACCGATGATGCCTAGCTTTTCACTATAAACATTTTTTTAAGTATCAAACATATATTAAGCTCCCCAGAAATCTTTGAAAAATAAGAGAAATGTGCTTTTTGGAAAGTCTCTTTTTATGTACCTGACTGTGTCCCCAACCTTTCACTACAAATAGCTTTTTAAAATAAATACCAAACCCATGTTAAACTCTATAGAATTTAGTCACATCCAGTGGAATCATAGGAAAGATTTCAGCCAGTTCGTTTTACTTAGAAAATTTTTAGGTTCAAAATATTGCCTCAGGTTGGGTGCAGTGGCTCACGCCTGTAATCCCAGCACTTTGGAAGGCTGAGGTGGGAGGATGCTTGAGCCCAGGAGTTCAAGACCAGCCTGTGCAACATAGCAAGACCCCAACTCTAAATATATATATATATATACACACACACATATATATACACACACACACATATATATACATGTATCTATATAAACACACGTATACACACACACACATACACACACACAGTCATGTTCTTATGTTTGTACTTTCCAGGCTCTGTCCTAAGTTCTCTTCTCTGTTTACATACTCACCAGACAGCCTTGTCCAGTTTCGTAGCTGTCTATTCCATTACGTACACGATGACCGGCACATTGCCTGGCCCCTACCTCTTCCCTGAGGCCTATGCTTCTGTATCCACCTTTCTGCTGATACCTCCACAGAGATGTCTAAAAATCATTTCACACTTAACATGCCCAAAATAGAACTCCTGGTTTTCCACAGCCCCACCCCAAACCTCTGATCTACAGCCTCTCACATTCTCCATCTCCATAAAGAGTGCAACTATGAATGGTTACCCTTTATTCCTGTCGTTCCCTCCTTTGCCCCCCATCCCCCACATCTTGCTTCTCCTGTGGACTCTACCACTGAGCTTATCCAAGTCCATCCATTTTTCTCTGTTGTCATCACTGTCCCCATCTTCTGAGCCCCTGCCTGCCCTCACTGGACTCCTCCAATGCCTTCTTCACTACACCAGCTGCATTTCGCCCTGCCCTCTAACCAGTCACACTCTTCACACAGCAGCCAGCCACATCTGTCCCTGCAGAAATGTCAGTATAAAGCCCGGCTCCGGGTTCTCCTGTTTACAGCCCTCCGGTGGTTTCTCCTTGCAGTTAAAATAAAGCCCAAATTCTTTTATCTGCCTTGCAGAGCTAGGTAACACGGTCGGTCTGTTCTCAAGCCTTCTCTCTTATCATTCTTCTTGCTGCACTTGGGGCAGCCGCACTGTCCTTTTTAGCCCTTAAACATGTCAAGCGTTTTGCTTATCCTGGGGCCTTTGCCCACATTCATCCCTCAGTCTAGATTCTTCTCTGATATTTGCACAACTGACTCCTTCCTGTCATTTTAAGCTCTGATATTACCTGGTCTGGAAGGCCTTCTCAGTGATTGAACCTGAAATAGCTACCCTGTCACTCTCTCCCTCACCTGTTGTAATGCTCTGCCCAGCACTTAAAAGCCACCCATCTAGCTGGGCGCAGTGGCTCACGCCTGTAATCCCAGCACTTTGGGAGGCTGAGGCAGGTGGATCACTTGAGGTCAGGAGTTTGAGACCAGCCTGGCCAACGTGGTGAAACCCCATCTCTACCAAAAATACAAAAATTAGCTAGGTGTGGTGGTGCATGCCTGTAATCCCAGCTACTCAGGAGGCTGAGGCAGGAGAATCACTTGAGCCCAGGAGGCAGAGGTTGCAGTGAGCCAAGATCGCGCCACTGCACTCCAGCCTGGGCGACAGAGCGAGACTCTGTCTCAAAAAAACAAAATAAATAAAACCACTCATCTAATGTTTATTCTGCTCATGATCCACAGGCTTATGTATATTCTGTCTTTCCCCCTGGAATCTAACTTCTGTGAGAATAAGAGCCTTTAATGCCTTGTTCCTCTTTTTATCCTCGTTGTCTAAGACAATAGACACACAGTAGTTCCTTGAATGAGTACAAAGAATTATAATTCCAAATGAATTTAATTTTAGATAACTTTTAAGAAATAAATAGATTAAGAAATAAACAATTACTTCAACCTTTTTTAGCTTGCAAGAAAATATGATTTCCTCATAATAGAAGATGATCCTTACTATTTTCTCCAGTTTAACAAGGTAAGTGATTATGTGAACTTACTTCACTATTAGAAGATAAGTTGTTTTAAGTTACTGCACTGTGTTGGGTATTAGGCTGACTGCTGAGTCAGAACTAATCCACTTTTACATGGAAAATAAATCAATTATGATTAATTTGCTACTACTTTACTTTTCAGTCTTCCAGTTTTATTATGGAATTAGTACCTTTCTTTTTTGGTATTACTGCTCTTTCCAGAAATTACTTACCTTCAAAATAGTAGCTGGCTTTCTATACCAGGCACTGGGACAAACAGAGTAAATCAGGGCTGATGGACGTCTTAAACTCCACATCCAAGTTAACAGCTCCTCAAACATCACCCAGGGATGTGAACTGAGTTTCATCTTTGGCCGTTGACTTCTGTGTCTTGGTGGTGGCCGATTAGAATGATGTATGAGAAGGATTAGGAAGCCGTGCTCAAGCTGAAGGAGAAAGAGGCTGTGCTCTGTTAGCAGCATCCCCGATGGACACAAGAGGAGGCATCACAGGCAGCGCATCCCACATTTGCCACCCTGTCATTTATGTCCTGGATCTTACTGCAGAGTAATGGGCATTTAGATTGATTCTCACACTATCATGTATGTGAGCTACCTTTCATGATGACTTTTTTCTGATAGATGATGATAATGTTAAGACCAACGCCTGATTCTTCAAAAGCCAACACTTTCTTTGCTCTTAGGGCTGCAAAGAACATATACTTGGATTCAGCTTGCCCTTAAATATACTGGGAAGAGATAAGAACTCTTGATTTCTCTACAGGGTTTCCTAAAACATCACTTTTGCCTCCTGCCTCCCACCATCAGCATGCCAGCAAATTTCCTTTCTCATTTGTAGCTACTTTTAAAGTAAATGTTGAAGTCAGTCTTTCATGTTGACTAATTTCTCATCTTCATTCTCATCATTTTTCTTTCTGTCGGTCCTAAGGATCAGCGTTCTCTCTCTGAACACCCTTCAGTGCTGCTGGCCATCCTCATTATGGTCTTGTTCAAACTAGTGTTTCTTGAGTCCCTCCTGTAAGTCTGTTAATCCTGGATTTCAACCTCTGGGGCAAAGAGGGCCTGTTTGAAGTTTCCTTAAGTTCATAATAATGGCATCTGGAGCAAATAATAAGCCCTTGTGTGTGTTTTTGGCAGAAAAGCCATGAAGACAAGCAGATGCTAATAAAAGAATCTGCATCTTTGTTTGTTATTCCATGTTAAAGGGTTGAAATAAAGGTAAGAGAATATTTGTACTGTTGTTATCCAAATCCATCTCCTGTTCTACTCTCTATTCAAAATAATCGTACAGTGACTAACAGAGCTTTCAGACCAACAGTATTTTTTATTTTTCATTTTAAGTTCAGGGTACCAACATTTCTTTCCATGGATGTTGATGGACGTGTCATCAGAGCTGACTCTTTTTCAAAAATCATTTCCTCTGGGTAAGGCCCTGTGTCTCTAACTTGACGCTAGATCTAATAGAGCCAGAGATAGTACCTCAGTATCTTTTAGTCTAGACAATTTTTTTCACTTAAAATGCTTGTAGTCTACTTGTCTTAAAATACCAGTTTCATGATTAATATTAACACAGGCCTTTTTTTCCCTTTATTCACCTGCAATAGTCAAAGATTCTTGGCTGTTTATCTAAAGTTGTAGTCGGACCAGTCAGGTTTTTGATATCAGGTATGAAAGGGCACATTTCGAAATACGTAGTCGATCTTGTTTTAAATGTACACTTAAATTTGTTTTTGAAATAAGAAGTAGTTAGTTTTATTAGAATGTTTTAATTATCTAGATCCTTTTGTCCCCAGGTCACAATTGTCTGTCTAATGAAATCAGGAAAGTGATATGTATTAATTGTTAATATGGAATTGGTATCGTGCCTTTTCTCTTTCCACGTAGGTTGAGAATAGGATTTTTAACTGGTCCAAAACCCTTAATAGAGAGAGTTATTTTACACATACAAGTTTCAACATTGCACCCCAGCACTTTTAACCAGGTAAGGACAATTTAGGAAATCGATTTTTTTTTTGTAATCAGATTAGAATTTTAAAAAAATAATAGATGGTAGAGCACAGGAACTCCAAACCTGTTTAGTGACTCATAGTTTGCCTTCTTTGCAGACATGCTAATCTTTCTAAAGAAATGGGTTGGAATGCATTTTAATTAAAATAAAGTAAACTTAATTTAAGAGAATGTGTAAATTTCCTTACAAACTTTGAGAAATTATTGGATCCGTCTGTAACACAACCTCTCAGGTTGCAAGAATATGAATAGAATAGAAAAGTTTGTGTAGAATAGGACACTTGTTTGATATTGTATGTTCCATAAAGTGCAGATGGCCCCATGTTTTACCAAGTTGGAGACTTTTTTTCATATTTTTTGTATCTGTTATCAACAGACGTTCACTATCAATTTATAACATTTTAATTTTTTTTTTTTTTTTTTTTTGAGACAGAGTCTTGCCCTGTCACCCAGGCTGGAGTGCAGTGGCATGACCTTGGCTCACTGCAACCTCTGCATCCCGGGTTCAAGCGATTCTCCTGCCTTAGCCTCTCGAGTAGCTGGGATTACAGGCACACGTCACTATGCCCGGCTAATTTTTGTATTTTTAGTAGAGACAGAGTTTCACCATGTTAGCCAGGCTGGTCTCTAACTCCTGGCCTCTGGTGATCCACCCCTGTTGGGCCTCCCAAAGTGCTGGGATTACAGGCATGAGCCATCGCACCCAGCCTAGAACTTCTATTTTAAATAGAAAATCTCCAAATATGTCATGTAACTTTACACATCTACTGTACATTTTTATATTTAGAGAAGCAGTACAGTATGGCAATTAACAGCGCGGGTCAGGAGCTGGATAGCCTGACTGATTTCAGGCTGTGGGACTCAGAAAAGTTAACTTAACCCTTGTGCCTCATTAGTAAAATAGAAATTTATAGAGATTACATTTGGTAAAATATATTAGTATCTTACAACAGTGCCTGCTACATAACAAATAGTATATCAATATTTGTTATTTTTACTAGTATTATCATTGTTATTAATTGACATTTGTTTTAAATCACTGACTATATAAGCTAGGCTCAGCTTGTTATATCTTATTGTGGTTTACATGTAATCAAAAGTGAGTTGCTTTTATATATGGCAAAAAGTACATTTTCAGGGGATGAAACATGGTATTTATGATTTTATCTCTTTTAGCTCATGATATCACAGCTTCTACACGAATGGGGAGAAGAAGGTTTCATGGCTCATGTAGACAGGTATTGTATCATTTCTTTAAATATTTATGAACAAAACAGGAGCCCAGTGAACATAGTACAGATCACCTACAGTATTGATTTATTCTTCCTTCCTAAGTATCCTCGGAAAGGAGAGACAATAGGAACGGTCTATTATAAGTCAAAAGTCTATTCATTTTGTTAGTTCTTCACCTAGCAAGTCTTCTCAGCATCCAAGGTGTGGTTTGAAAGCAGTGTCCACCCACTCCTAAGGTAGTCCAAAATTCCCACCAGGTTAAGATTTACTTACTTAAATGATGTAATGGGTAAACTTCATACATATAAATATTTTATTTAATAATGATTAATTGTGAAGGATACATGACACGGGATTTGGCTCAAGTAAAGATGAAGGTGAACATAATTTCCCTAAATAGTCTGTATATTGGTACAAGTTATGGATTACTTTAGCTGTGTAAATATGGTACCTCCTAGGACATTTAGAAATAAGGAGGAATGGGGTATTCGCATTCCCAGACCGGTGATTCATTATTTCAATAGTATTGTCTTTTATCCTGAGTGATGAGAACCAGTATTTAGACAACTAAACACAAAGATTGATCCTGCTACTTCTAGGTTCCATATTTTACATAGAAATGGACTTCTCTTTATGAATTTTTATTTTGTAATTATTCTACAATGAAGGAAAAAACACAGCAGTTAAAAGTTTTTCACCAGACAAGTGAAACAAATATGCTCCATTCTTCTATCAAGCATTCAACATTTTAATCAAGATAGAAAACAAATTCTTATAGCCTGGACTCTGGAGACTGTTTTGCTTCTGCAATCAATGTACTGAGCACATCCATTTCATTGTTTTCTTTTTCTAGGGTTATTGATTTCTATAGTAACCAGAAGGATGCAATACTGGCAGCTGCAGACAAGTGGTTAACTGGTGAGTGGAACGTATATTCGTCCTCATGATAAACAGTAGCATCTGTAAAAGTAGGGGATAAACACTGAATATTACTAACAATCCTGGTGGAAAAGAAACAGTCCAGGAGTATTCTTGCCAAGGAAACATTACACCATAAATCATCTCAGAAGCAACATTTGATAAACCTGGGCACAGACCTTCCTATCCACTTTACCTGTCTGCTGCAAAGAATTTGTGATTAAAAAAAAAAAGATCTAAAAATCAATCACTAACTTACTTAAAGCTTAATAATATCTATTTTCAAAAATTTTAGTTATTTCAGAATTTTACCCCAAAGGGTAAAATTGTCAAACCATGCTTCTCTAACTAAGCTGTACAAAGGCAGATGTCTTACTGACAAATTATTTGCCTTCTAATCATTAACCTCATTTATCTCTGTAGTATTATCTATTGCTAACTTGATTGCAAAATGTTTTAGATTCTTTTTTTATTATGAAGGTCAAATTAATCATATGGCTTTAATTATATTATTAAAATGCCTTTGATATAAATAATAGTAAACCAAAAATAGCAATTCCTTATTTCTGTCCTATCTTATTTTCTATAAAGTCTTGGTAAAAACAGAATTAGTGGCTGAGTGCAGTGGCTCATGCCTGTAATCCCAGCACTTTGGGAGGCCAAGGTGGGTGGATCACCTGAGGTCAGGAGTTCCAGACCAGCCTGGCCAACATGGTGAAACCCCATCTCTACTAAAAATATAAAAATTAGCTGGGCGTGATGGCGGGCACCTGTAATCTCAGCTACTTCGGAGGCTAAGGCAGGAGAATCACTTGAACCTGGAAGGCAGAGGTGGCAGTGAGCCAAGATCATGCCATTGCACTCCAGCCTGGGTGAGGCAAAACTCCATCCAAAAAAAAAAAAACAGAATTAGTATCTTTCTGACAATAGCATTATTTTACCACTTTGCATAATAGTACTGAAGAAAAACTTTGAATCAACAGCAAGTTCTTTTTTTAAAAAGATAGTAATTTAAATCAAAGATCATTATGCTTGTTTTTGATTTCTCTATCCTAATACTCAATGAAACGTAAAGCCCACAACTGCTTCTGGAATTCTTGAATTTTAAGTATTTCTTTTCATAATTAATTACATTCTGATAAAAACGCTAATCCACTGGACATCTAAACTATTACAAGAATACTAGGATTTGTTGTAATGCTGGAAGAATCCACAAATAATGGAAGAATCCTCTTCTAAATTGAAATAGCCATGTTTGTCTAGGTATGGTTCTAAGTGAAGGAGAGAGGAGTGGGATTTCTTGCACTACCCTAAGACTGACTACATTGTAAATACGCACACGCGAGCTATTCACTTGCCCACCCTACCCCTCCCTTCTTCCCTCACCCACAGTAACTCTTTGAAATAAAACCCAGAACATCAATTTTGAAGGCTCACAAAATGATATTTTTAAAAATGCTATAATTGAAGGAACTTTTTTAGGAATACTAGTTTCTACTTACTATACTTATGCCATTTAACAACACACTTTGATATCATCAAAAATGCCTTCCTTTGGAAGACATTTATTCTCTTCTTTTGTTTGTAGGTTTGGCAGAATGGCATGTTCCTGCTGCTGGAATGTTTTTATGGATTAAAGTTAAAGGCATTAATGATGTAAAAGAACTGATTGAAGAAAAGGCCGTTAAGATGGGGGTAAAACTGGGAGGTGAAGGGCTGGGAAACCTAAGGAAAAGTTATACTTTTTCTTTAATATTTTGCTTGAATAGAATGGAAAGAAATGTTTCTTGTTGCCCACCAGCCAACTCATAATGTTCTAATATTAGATATTTTATTGCATTATCAAAATCGTAAGAGGTTTTTGGGTTACGTAATTATCCAGCTGGTCTAAATTAGTGGAAATATAGTTGTTCATCTCAGCTACTGATTAGCGTAGTGGCTGAGGGTAGTCTCCGGAGCCACACCTGTTGGGTTTGAATCCCAGCACCACCCCTTAGGGGATGTGTGGCCTTGAATAGGTTACCCTTTCTGTGCTTTGTCTGTAAAACAGAGGTAATAAGAATCCCTCTCTCATAGGGTTGCTCTGATGATTAAGTGAGTTAATATATGTAAAGCCCTTAGACTAGTATGTGGCACATACTCAGTGCTCAGTAAGTATTAGCCACTAGTATTTAAAATGAAGGGTTTGTTTTCTGATGATGGAGATAAAGTATACTCGTGGTAGGATATTTGGAAAATGTATAAAAGCATAATGAAAATTTTTTAAATAGCCCATGATTTTACTACCCAGATTTTGTGACCATTTATAGTATAGTTCCTTGAAAAGCTTGTTCTTACAGTATTTTGGCTGTGCACTTATGTTACATAGTTAAAATTATACAGAAAAGTTTGTATCCTGATTTTTTTTTCACTTAAAATTAGCTCATAGAATGTATTCTAGGTTTCTTTTTTTTTTCCTCTTTTTATATTTAAATTATAAATCTACTTAGGTTTCATTGGAGGCATCAAGTAAGCTGAAAATTCTAAATATTTTTCTGTGTAGCTTTCCAGTTTACCAGATAAATTATTCCTTCTCCATTAATTAAAGCCATTTGCATGTTTGTCAGTCTTTTATACACACTGAAACCCTACTGCTAGATTCACTTTTGTCTTGAATCATAAGAACTAAAGGACAGATTGGATTGATGATGGCAAAGTGCCATGCTGGTGCATAAGAGACAAGGTGCTCTAGAAGTTAGAGCTAGAGACAGACTGCCTGGACTTCAGTCCTACCTCCACCACCTTGGGAAAGCTATTATCCTCTCTTAGCCATCTTACTTGAGGGCAGGACTCAGACTTCATTAATTGTTCTAACCCTAATCACAGCACATAGTAGGTACTTGATAAACAATTGACTTACTTCAAATAAATGCATTGTAGTATAATAAATCAATTTGATACATTCTTTTCTGTCAATGCCATTATCCTCAAAATATGTGGTAAGTGGTTATCTGTAGGTATGTCTAAGCGAGGCGCTAAGGATATAGACTTTGTTTTTACTCTACTCTTCTTCAGTCCTCTTCATTTATCCCATATATCCTGCTACATGTTCTTTTTTTACCTTTTCTAAATAATCTCCAGCTTTATCCCCACTTTGTCAGCCCAGATGTTGGTTATCTTGTGAAGAGATTACCACCACTCCCTTCTCTTTCAGCTCCTTGCTTCTAGTACATCCCAGAACTTTTCCATGCTACTGAGAGAAATGATGGTTTTCATTTTATTTTCAACCAGGACAGAGAAACCCATCTTCTGCCTTGAAATCTTTTGCCCAGAGTACTCCAAATCATATCACTCCCAACTCCTCTTGTCTTAGCAGACAGTGTAACAAGCAGTTACTCAATGCTGTTGAAGATCATGATTATACTAGTCAACCCTAACCACCACAGAAGATAAACTTGAAAATCTCAAAGACTTAATAAGCAATAGAAATTTATCTCTGACTCACATATAATTCTAAGATGTGACCTGCAACCCTCTGTGTTCCAACAGTGATTCAGAGACCCGGGTTTCTTACATCTCATTGCTTTTCATTCTTCAACACACAGATTCCAAGATGGCTACAAAATGGAAAGAGCATGGCAGATCACACATGGGATGATTTGTATGGGCCAACCTTAGACATCTCTTACCTGGCTTCTACTCACATCCATTGATTAGGATTCGCTCTCATGGTCACACACAGCTAGAAAGAGGCCGGGGAATAGGGTACATGTGATGCCCAGGAAGAAGAGGAAATGGAGCTTACAGTCAGTGAGCTGTCTGCCTGTGTGGCCATCAAGAACAGCAGCTGTTCCGACCACCCCATCTTGACACGCTTATTTAATACTTTTATTTCTTCATTTTATACATTACATTTTTTACCTCCTTTCAGTTCTTTGAATGCAGCAATTTTCTTCCCATCTCAGGGCCTTTACTCTGTGTATCTTTGCCCTCAAATACTGCTCCCTGCTTTTTGCCTGATGTAATTTATCTTTCAGGCCCCAGCTTAAAAGTAACTTTCAGACTTATTAACTTAAAAATTACTTTTCTAGTTAGATTAAACATTTGTTTGTATTTATTACCATTTATCTTTCTTTAGGAAGCTGTCCTTTCTACATTAAAGCTGAAATTTGAGTGTTCTCAGTTTTCGTGTATTCCTGATGTTTTGAGAAGAGATAGCATTTGCCATATTGATTCTGAACATTTTTTCAGTTTCTATGTGTTTAGTTTTGTTCATTGTATGACATACGCAATTTTTATATAAATTAGTATTTTTTCTTGTGATTTCTTTAACTGCTTTTAAACTTAAAACATCCTTCCCTACTCTGAGATTAGGCTTAACTATATTATCTTTGAGTTTTTCTTTAGTGGTACATTACTTATCTTCCACAAACTCTCTTAGGTATTAATGCTCCCTGGAAATGCTTTCTACGTCGATAGCTCAGCTCCTAGCCCTTACTTGAGAGCATCCTTCTCTTCAGCTTCTCCAGAACAGATGGATGTGGTGAGTGTAGTATTCTCCTCAGAGTAACACTAGCTAGCAGTTCTGTTTTTTTAATGCACGTGTATACTTTGTGAATTAGAATATTACTTAATATCTGTTTGGGTTTCTAAAATTCAGATATTTGTTGACCAGTCATGAACTATCATTAAAAGACCCATTTTACTTTGTTGCTAGACTTCTATAGAAATGAGACTAAATTGGAGTTAAAATTTATTGTCTGCATGAATAATGTATCACAACCTACTGAGCTGCGTAAATTGTCATGTTATGAGGAAAACTTCTTTCCTTCCTTTATTGAATTAACATGAGCCAGAAGTACAAATTCATGATGGCTGTCACTTTCTCTGAAGAAAAAAGTATCAGCAAGGGTCAAATAGAATAATATTCTGAATCACAATCTAGCTTTAACCAAAATAAGCTGTGTATGTGGAAATCAAACAGAAGAGCTATAAATTGAACAGTGCCATTAACCTTGAGAAGAGTTTATATTTATCCTTGGAAAGGGACATTTTTGGCATGTTCTTTATTTACTTGCTTTCTCATGTCATTAAATGTGTTTTTCATAAGGTCTCTCTGTTTTAATGTATTAGTGGAGTTGGGCAATTGAATCTATATAAAATGCAGGTGAGAGATTATGTAAAATCTAAAATAATCCATGTTATGGATAAAATGGAAAATGATCTTGAAGGCCACGAGAACAACAACAACAACAAAATCCTGAAAATCTGATGTACTTCAGTCTTCATATTTTAATAGAAATTGATGGCATCCTGCACAGATAAAGTTGATGTTAAACTTGACTTTTCAATGCCTTCTCTCAACCTTAGACAGATACTCTTTGTTTGGATTTTTAAAGTTATTACAGAGTTTTCCAATATAGTATCCTAATTTAATTAATTCTAATTTTTTTTTTCTGTTTTAGGCCTTCCAGGTATTAGCACAACTTATAAAAGAATCTTTATGAAGAAATTAAACTAGGTTGGGCATGGTGGCTCACACCTATAATCCCAGCACTTTGGGAGGCAGAGGAGGGAGGATCACTTGAACCCAGGAATTCAAGGCTGCAGTAAGCTACGATCACACCACTGCACTCTGGCCTGCATGCACTCTGGCCTGCATGGCAGAACAAGACCCTGTCTCTAAAAAAAGAGAAAGAAATCAAACTAATCATGCTGCTCATGGATTTTTCCAATAAATTTCTTGTTTTGGCAGGAAGAAATGAACACTGGTATTAGACTTAAAGATTAAATTTCCTCAAACATGTCCTATCTGTAGTAGTTCAACTAGACACCTTTTAAAGTGCCTCTAAATTCATCAGATGGCCAAACTGTATTTATAATCCACTTAGGCATTTTGAAAAACTTTCAACCTGTAAAAAGTTACTTTTATCTTGGATTTATTATGAAGAACTTTGTAGTTGCTTTGTAATTTCCCATAAATTGTCTTTGAAACTAACATTTTACACTGAATTATTTTGAGATTTTAAAGAAGTAATTAAGTGCAAAATGGTATATAATGTGTACTTTTTCTACTTTTAGGAAAATTTAATGAGAGCTTATTGCAAAAATTGTTATAATTTGGTCATTATAAGTGACTTTTAGTAAAAGTACCATAAACCTTATGTTATGCCACAGAAATTCCTTTAAAATAAAATTCTTAAACTAAACATACCTAAAGGCATCAGACCCATTAATTCTAAGTAAGGAGGGGAGATCATGGACTTAGGAAAATTTACTACATTGTATTTTCATAATACTACATAATTTACAAAAATACATTCTTATCAATTATGTAATTTAAATCTACTACAACCCTTTAAGGTATTAGGAAATATTTTTTAACTATTTTTTTCTCACCTTTTAAAATCTTTATTAAAGTAAGATATGCTCATTTTAGAATTTTCAAACAATCCAGAATGTATAAGGAATAAAGTAAAAGCCACTCACTGTCTCACCCCTGGTGATAACTGCTATAAGCATTTAGCATGCTTCCTTTGCAATGTTCTCTGCATACACATGTAATATCTAGAATAGGATCTCATTGTGACAGTGTATCATAAATACCCTGTATTCATTTTCTATTCATTTTCTGTTTAACAAATTGACGAAGTGTCCTATGACCCAATAATTGTAAAGTTGTAAGTATCTTTGCGGAATTAGGAAGTTTATGTCATTATCATTTATGCCATCCCTTGTGTATATAAACATCTCCATCACAGTTATTATTTTCCTGCACGTCTGGATGAGATGTTACATCTTTCAACAGCTAAAATTCTCAAGCAGAAATCTCAACCTCAAAGATCAAAGCAGCTGACCCCAAGCCCAAATCCCTATTTCTAAGGCAACCAGTGGTAATTATGTAGGACTGATTGAAGAGACGCAGGGCCTGGAGGAGGACCAAGATGAGGAACCTGACAATTCTCTTCACTGTGGGAACAGAAAATTATAAATTAGAGAGACTTATAAAAGTAAAATAAGCCTTCCCCATACTTTATTCAGTACTTTTCAACAATAACCAAAATTGCTTAGTCCAGCATTGCACGGATGAGTGCCTTGCTTTGGTTTTGTTTGTTTGTTTTTAAGTCACCATCATAGAATAGTTGATTTGTAAATCGACTTAGAGTTGCAGCTTTCAAGCAAGGGATTATTCCTCACCACAATCTTAACAAATCTGTTTTCTTCAAAGAAAACAGCAAGAAAAAGAGTGAGCACACACAGTGCCTTATGACTTAGTGTTTGTTTTTGTCTGCTGAGATTATCTTTCCCTCATTAGGAAACTATAAAGTGTTGGAAAAATGGAGCGTTATTCATTGCTATTGCCATTGTGAATTTCTCCAGCCTTCTGGAAAAGCAGTTTGGCAGTGTCTACCAAGAAACGTTAAAATATTCATACCCTTGAATGCAATGTGTTAGATACTGTGGATTAGCTCACTCAGCATAAATTCTAATTTCCTGCTTGTATCTTTGAGCACTGTAAATGCAAAATGCTCCATTTGCAGATGCCCCTGCAGTTACAGTGTCAGATATGGCTGTCATTCAGATGCCTGGATTCAGGGGTGAGTTAAGAGGGCAGCAAGGTAAGATGTAAGGCACGCGTTTTGCTGACATGGATCCTAGCTAAGGCAGTATGATTTTTATAGCAAATAGCTTATTAGTTTGGTGGCTTTCTAATTCTGGCAGAAGCGGTGAAATGCTGGTGCTAGAAATGGTTCCTGGAAGCTCCATTTACTTTTTTAGCAATTCCAACATCTTTGGAAACCACAGAATACGTGCTAGTAAATAATTTTCAACAATTTTGGAAATCATAGAATACATGACAATAAACACTTATTGCTTTAATCAGCTAGAGTAGTTTTCATTATCTGCAACTGATGCCAATCAGTATAGCCAGGGGTGTCAAGGGTCTCCAAGCTTGACGATTTACTAAATGGACTCACCTGTGATTGTGCATGGAGCGAAATCTGGAGGAAACTTCCAGGCACAAGTTTCCAAGTCTCCTGTCTCAGTAGAGTCTCTGTGAGGTCCCAAAGGATGTACTTAATTCCTCCGGCAAGGATGTGTGATAACACATGCAACCACGCCTCACCTCACCTGAGACTGGTGGCCCAGAGTTTTTCTTAATGGCCATCACATACGCATACAGTGCCTGCATGGCTGACCTCAGTTACTGAAGCTGCAGCCAGAGAGGGAACGCAGGTCTTCACTGTAAATCACATTGTTAGGATAAACTAAATGGAAAAACTAAATGAAGTACAGTATAGCTGAAGACCTCCCAGCAGGCAAAATGCTCTTATCAGTCAGAATGTTTCAAGGGCTCAGTTCCAAGGAGCCAGCCAAGGGCCAGTCATGAAAACCCCCATTCATTGGTAATGTGTGTGGTTTAAGTGGCCGAGATCCGCTCAGTTAACCCTTTCCTCCCTGCCAAGGATCCCACTTTTAGACATTTGTAGTAAAGAATTATGCAAACTATGGAAGATGCTTTAAAAATGTGAAGATAGTAATTGCAGTTTAAAATAGCAGAAAGCTGGGGACAGGGGCAGAGGTGTTGTGACTAAAGGTCTCACAATAGGAAAATGTTGTCAATTATGGTTCATCCACTTAACTGAATTTGAGGCAACCACTAAAACACCATTATGAAGCAGTATTACTCATTTTATGATGAGGCGGTAAGGTAAAAATGAGTATAATAGGAATGAAAACCCAGGGTATAAGAAGCATAGCCATAGTTGGCCAGGCGCAGTGGCTCACGCCTATAATCCCAGCACTTTGGGAGGCCGAGGCGGGCGGATTACCTGAGGTCAGGAGTTCGAGATCAGCCTCAGCAACATGGTGAAACCCCGTCTCTACTAAATACAAAATTAGCCGGGCGTGGTGACACATGCCTGTAATCCCAGCTACTTGGGAGGCTGAGGCAGGAGAATCGCTTGAACCTGGGAGGCAGAGGATGCAGCGAGCCGAGATCATGCCATTGCACTCCAGCCTGGGCAACAAGAGTAAATCTCCGTCTCACCTAAAAAAAAAGAAACAAAAAAGAAGCATAGCCATAGTTTAATTACAACTATGTGAACACAGAAAACATTACCAAAATGGTAACAGTTGGGTAATTTTTTTCCTTATTTTCAAAATATTCTATAGCATGGCTCTTTTATCATTTACAAATACATTTAACACCTTAACTGGTGACATGATCCCTTTTTCAGTTGGACAAACAGAGATTCCTAAAGGCGATGGTAAAAATATATAAATATCGGTGGCAAAGGGGCTACTACCAAGCAATAGGAATCACATTGAAAGTCACATCCGTGCAGTCACCGTCAGTGTGGGCCTGAACAAAAATTACATGGGTTTCCTACCGTGGTCTGCTTAGCTTCTGTGTGGAAGCCATGGTCTCCCTGGTCATGGTCTACAATGACTTCAAGCAGCTGGAGTAGCTGGTCCTGGTGGTATTCAACATGGCAATTTCAAGGTGGCCGATAATGGAGCAGTTGTCACTTGGCATAGTTTTCTTTTAATTTAAATTTGACTATTTGTCCACTCTAGGAATTTCCTCCCCTGCACATAAGATGCTTTCCCTGTAATTCGTGTAGAGCACAGTATATCTTCAAATTTCTTTTCTAACACAACTAATTAAATAGTGGGTAGGAAATATTAACTTTATCAAAAGTAGGTTTAATTATTTTAGAGAATCTAAAGTCTTAATGAAAGTGAAATATCAACCGGTCATATAATTTTCACTAGTGATGTGTGTTTATTAACATTTTAAGTTCTCTGAAGTCCAGAACCATACTCTTTCTCTAGGACCCAGTGGTAACTAGGAATATCTCATTTTAAAAAGGAATGTATTGGTTAGCATGCCTTTACAGTTAACCCTAGTTCCAAGCTTCAGGATTTAAATTTTCACATATATGTGCGTGTGTGTGTGTGTGTGTGTGTGTATATATATATATATATATATATTTTTTTTTTTTTTTTTTTGAGACAGACTCACTCTGTTACCCAGGCTGGAGTGCAATGGCATGATCTCAACTCACTGCAACCTCCACCTCTCAGGTTGAAGTGATTCTCCTGCCTCAGCCTCCCAAGTAGCTGGAATTACAGGTGCCCACCACCATGCCCAGCTAATTTGTGTATTTTTAGGAGAGATGGGGGTTTCACCATGTTGGTCAGGCTGGTCTTGAACTCCTGACCTCAAGTGATCCACCCGCCTCTGCTTCCCAAAGTGCTGGGATACAGGCGTGAGCCACCGTGCCTAGCCTTTACTTACATATTTTACTCATTCATTCAGCAAATATTTATTAAGTGCCTATTACTCTAGACTCAGCATATACCAGTGAACAAATTAAAGAAATTCTTTACCTTCATGGAGCTTATATTTGGGGTAAGGGATTGGTGAGGGATGACAGTAAAACGTATTAAAGTACATCATATGTGAAGTGCCACAGAAAAAAATAATACAAGGTAAAGGGATAGAGCATGAAAGGGCGGGGGTGCTGTTTTTGTTTTTTGTTTGTTTTGAGATGGAGTCTCGCTCTGTCGCCAGGCTGGAATGCAGTGGTGTGATCTCGGCTCACTGCAATCTCCACCTCCCAGGTTCAAGTGATCCTCGTGCCTCAGCCTCCCTAGTAGCTCGGATTACGGGCGCCCGCCACCATGTCCAGCTAATTTTTATATTTAGTAGAGACAGGGTTTCACCATGTTGGCCAGGATGGTCTCGATCTCTTGACTTCGTGATCCACCCTCCTCGGCCTCCCAAAGTACTGGGATTACAGGTGTGAGCCACCACGCCCAGCCTGGGTGCTGTTTTTAATAGAGGGCCCAGAGAAGACCCCTAGAACAAGCGGCATTTGAGCAGAGAGGAGTAAGGGAGTGGGCCATGCAAATACTTGTGCAAAGATACCAGGCAGCCTGAACTTGCAATGCAGAAGCCCTGAGGAGGAACTACATCTGGCCTGTTTGAGGAACCATAACAGTCCAGAATGCTAAAGAGCAAACAGAGGTGTAATAGTCCACTAGGGTTGCTGTAACAAAGTACCACAAACTGAGTGGCTTCACAGAAATTTCTTGTCTCACCGTTCTGGAATCTTGAAGTCTAGGATCAAGGTGCCTGCAGGGCCATGCTCCCTCTGAAGGCGTAGGGAAGGATCCGTTCCAGGCCATCTCCTAGGCTTGGTATTTCCTTGGCTTGTGGCAGCATCACTCCAGTCTTCATGAGGCATTCTCCCTGAGTGTGTGTCTGTGTCCAAATGTCCCCTTTTCACAAGCATACCAATCATAATGGATTAGGGGACCCATCCTACTCCAGTATGACCTCATCTTAACTAACTACATCTGCAACAACCTTATTTCCAAATAAGGTCACATTCTGAGGTATTGGGGGTTAGGACCTCAAAACATGAATTTGGAAGGTAGGGAGACACAATTCAGCTCACAACAACAGGAAAGTGGTAAAAGAAGAAAAGTCAGAGATAGGAGTGAGATGGTGGCCAGACTAGGAAAGGCTTTACAGGCCATGTGAGTGTCCAAATTGTTCTAATGGAAATTGGAAGCCATTGGAGGGTTTTAAACAGCAGAACAGGTAAGTCACGGTGGTTTACACCTGTGATCCCAGCACTTTGAGAGGCCAAGGTGGGCAGATCACAAGGTCAGGAGTTCAAGACCAGCCTGGCCAACACAGTGAAATGCCATCTCTACTAAAAGTACAAAAAAAATTAGCCAGGCATGGTGGTACACGCCTGTAGTCCCAGCTACTTGGGAGGCTGAGGCAGGAGAATCACTTGAACCCAGGAGGCTGAGGTTGCAGTGAGCAGACATCAAGCCACTGCCTGAATGACATCTCTAAATAAATAAACAAACAGAACAGCATGGGCTGACTTGGGTTTCAAAAGAGCACTCTGACTCCAGCATAGAGAATGGATCGGAAAGAACAAAGGTAGAAGCTGGAAGACCATGTAGGATTCTGGAGACAGACGCTCTATTTTAATTAGTGTGATGGGAGAGAACTCTGATGTCTTGGCATTTAAGGCAAGACCTAACTAAAGTGAAGGGCAATTCACAAAGATGTCTGAGGAGAGAAGCAAAACTATTTTTTCAAGAAAAACTGAATATAAAAAGGCCACTCAATGAATTTAAGGTAAAATAAGTATTATATGCCTTCTCCTCTCATATAATTTGAATTTATAACTCATCTTATTTCTCTCTTTAGTATGATTTGGCCAATTTGCTTTTTCTTTCCTTATTCCTGCTTTCAGATTTTTTAATTTCCATTTTATTTCATGTGCTTCTTGTAAACGACTTCGTGCCTTTTTTTATTTGGAATTTAAAACTGAAATTGAAATTTTCAGTACTAACCTGCAAAATGGTCATAATTTCAGTACCACTTAGTATTTAAATAGCTAGACTGCCCGGATACTACAATAATGTGTTCATCAGAGTCACTGAAAAAGCAATCAAAATTAGAACCTTATAGAGTTCTTCAATGACTTTCCATTTAAGAAAGAAACTAAGTAAAGAGAAAATAGGCAAAGTGTGGTGTCTCATGTCTGTAATCCCAGCACTTTGGGAGGCCAAAGCAGGCGATCGCTTGAGCTCTCTGGCCAGCATGGGAAAACTCTTTTGTACAAAACAAAAACAAAAACAAAAAAAATTAGCTGGGTGTGGCGGTGCACACACAGGAGGCTGAGGTGGGAGGATTGCTTGAACCCAGGAAGCAGAGGTTGCAGTGAGCCAAGATCGCAGCACTGCACTCCAAAGGGAGACTGGAAGAAGAAGGAGGGGGGAGGGGGAGGGGGAGAATGAGAAGATTTCTCACTACACTTCAGATCTACTGGAACCTGATTTGAATGTTCAGCATTTTCGATGCTCTTTATACTTGAGGCATTGCAGCTACCTGCCAGCCTCAGTTTGCAAAGATTTCCCATAGGGTCTTATTTTCCAAGGCTCCTGGAATCCTGTCTGAATCATCTTGAGAAGGAAGCAGCAAAATAGTAGGGGACTTGGAATTCCCTAGACACCTAAACCACCACCCTTCCAGCAATGTGATACATAGGAAAGGTTTAAGAAAAAAGAAAAAAAAAAGAGAGGAAGGGAGGATGGATCTGCATACATCTAGACCTAGCAATATCAGTTCTAGGGATTTGCCTTAAGGAAATAATTTAAGGCCCTTCATTACAGCATTTATTAGTGAAATAATTAAACAACCTACATATCCATCCACAACAACATTCCAGTCCCCCCACCAGCCGTTCTCCCTTCGCCTGCCTGACTCCTACTCATCCTACAGGGCTCAGCGTAAATTCCACTTCCTGGCAGGACCCTGCCCTGGGCCCTAAGACTAGTTAGGGTCTTCTGTTAATTACACATAGGACACGCCGTCTCTTTTCCTGTGTAGCACTTACCACACTAAGAAGTAATTATCTGTGCAAGTATTTATTAATTTCTGCCTGTCCCCTTCTCCCCACAGACCATAATCTCTGTGAGGGCAAGCACTGTATCTTCACAGCTGTAACCTCAGAACCGATTGCAGTGCAGATGTCTTGCTCTCAATAGATATGTGTTGCCATGGAATTGTACACTTTATTATTTGTTTTTTGTTGGTTTTTTTTTTTAATTTCTTTGAGATGGAGTTTCGCTCTTGTTGCCCAGGCTGGAGTGCAGTGGCACGATCTCGGCTAACAGCAACCTCCGCCTCCCAGGTTCAAGCAATTCTCCTGCCTCAGGCTCCCGAATGGCTGGGATTAGAGGCGCTCGCCAGCACACCCAGATAATTTTTTTTGTATTTTTAGTAGAGAAGGGATTTCACCATGTTGGCCAGGCTGGTCTTGAACTCCTCACCCCAGGTTATCCACCAGCCTCGGCCTCCCAAAGTGCTGGGATTACAGGTGAATTGTACATTTTAAATGGGTGGATTTTATGGTATGTGAATTACATCTCAATAAAGCTGTTTTTAAAAAAGGTTACCATGAAAGCAAATTAATTGCTTGATTGATTAAACATTAACTGACGAAAACTGGTATTCAGTAGTAGCCCATGATGCGGATAGAAAAATATTTGAATCGTATGTCTGTTGACATGAGAACACATTCAAAAAATATGAGGCCAAAGAGTCTTTATAAAGCAGTTTCTACAATACAATCCCATTTTTATTTGCGAACAAAAGGATATGTTTATTCAAACTGTATGTATGGATGCCCACATTGCCAGGAATCGTTCTGAGTGTTTGTGAACTATCAGTGAATAGGTCCTTGTTATCGTGGAGCTTACATTCGAATATGGGGAAAGCCCATAAGTAATAAGCATAATAGGCCGGGCGCAGTGGCTCACGCTTGTAATCCTAGCACTTTAAGAGGCCAAGGTGGGTGGATCACTTGAGGTCAGGAGTTCAAGACCAGCCTGACCAACATGGTGAAATCTTGTCTCTACTAAAAATACAAAAAATTAGCCGGGCGTGGTGGTGCATGCCTGTAATCCCAGCTACTTGGGAGGCTGAGGCAGGATAATTGCCTGAACCCAGGAGGCAGAGGTTGCAGTGAGCCAAGATCACGCCACTGCACTTCAGCCTGGGTAACAGAGCAAGACTCTGTCTCAAAAAAAAAAAAGAAAGGAATAAGCATAATAAATAAGTGGATTGCATAGGATGTTAGAAGTGTAAAAGGACCATGATGGGTTGGAGAGGGTAAAGAAGAGGGTCTGGGAGTGCAGGGGAAGAGCATGTCGCAGTGTTCAGTGGGGTGGTGCTCAGTCCTCATTGAGAAAGTGAGAAGGTGAGCAAAGACTCATGTTAGACAAGTGGTGGCTGAGGGAAGAGCAAGGCCCTAAAGCAAGTTTGAGCCTCCTCAATTCAGCAGCCCAGGAACAGGCAGGAGACCAGCATGGCAGCAGCAGAGAAAACAAGGCATGTGCAGGGCTGCCTCACTTTATTGAGCTTTACTTTATAACACTTTTCAGAGACTGCATTTCTTACAAATGGAAGGTTCGTGGCAACCTTCTGCATTAGCACCATTTTTCCAACCACATGCCTTCACTTTGCGTCTCTGTGTCTCATCTGGGTAATTCTCACAATATTTCACTTTTTAATTATTATTATATATGTTATGCTGCTTGATAATTGTCTTTGACATTACTATTATAATTTTGGGGGTTGCCATGAACTGTGCCCCTGTAAGATAGCAAACTTCATCAATAAATGTTATGTGTGTTCTGTTTCACACACCAGACATTTCCCCATCTCTCTCCTCAGGCCTCCCTATTTTCTGAGACGCAACAATATTGAAATTAGGCCAATTAAGAATCCTACAATACCGGCCGAGCAGAGTGGCTCACACCTGTAATCCTAACACTTTGGGAGGCTAAGGCGGGTGGATCACTGGAGGCCAGGAGTTTGAGACCAGCCTGGCCAACATGTGAAACCCCATCTCTCCTAAAAATACCAAAAATACAAATCGCTCCTAAAAATACAAAACAAAAACAAAACAATACACCTAGCCAGGCATTGTGGCACATGCCTGTAATTCCAACTACTTGGGAGGCTGAGGCAGGAGAATTGCTTGAACCTGGGAGGTGGAGGTTGCAGTGAGCTGAGATTGCGCCACTGCACTCCAGCCTGAGCAACACAGTGAGACTCCATCTCAATCAATCAATCAATCAATCAATCAAAAATCCTACAATAGCCTGTAATCCCAGCACTTTAAGATGCTGAGGCAGGCAGATCACTTGAGTCCAGGAGTTCAACACCAGCCTGGGCAACATGGAGAAACCCTGTCTCTACAAAAACTACAAAAATTAACTAGCATGCTGGTGCACACCTGTAGTCCCAGCTACTTGGGAGGCTGAGATGAAAGAATCACCTGAGCCCAGGAAGTGGAGGCTGCAGTGAGCCAAGATTGTGCCACCACACTCTAGCCTGGGCGACAGAGCAAGACCCTGTCTCAAAAAAAAAAAAAAAAGAATCTTGCAATAACCTCTAAGTGTTGAAGTGAAAGGAAGAATCTCAAGTCTCTCACTTTAAATCAAAAGCTAGAAATAATTAAGCTTAGTGAGAAAGGCATGTTGAAAGCTGAGATACGCAGAAATCTAGGCCTCTTGCACCGAGCAGCTAGCAACCTCCCGGAACCTCGGTTTCCTCCTCATTTGTAAAATGGGGCAAATCTGCTTCCAGTTGTTTTGAACATTAACTTAGGTAATGCATGCAAAGCACATAGCGTCATTGTTGTTATTTGTGAGCCTTAGAAGACTCTGCTATACATGTCTATTATCAGCAGTTAAAAGGTTCACCGAGATGTGACGCATGACTTTCTCCCTCATCTTTATTGCCAAATCCATTTTTCATTCTCGTTTTCCTTTCTCATGTACTTTGAAGACCTCCTTCCTTGGCAGACAGACTTTGCAATCCCAGGGACTCCAAGTTTCCTGCATCACAGTTAGCACCACAGAATTCATCTGGAGCCTGGGGAGAAATGCCCCAGGCGTCCTCCAAACATTTGAAGCTTCTCCAGCTTCACTTGTCTGTTTCTTACTTAGTCTGTGCGCATTCCGCCTAACTTTGTATTTGCTAGATGAAGGGGATAATGATTATGACTGTTTCAGTAAGCAAGAGCAAGTGAGGCAATTAGTTCAATAAATGTTAATTAAGTGCTAACTATATGCAGCTACTGTGAGAGGTGCTGGAAATACAAGATCAGGAAAAGAGCCCATGTCCAGAAGAAGTTCACAAAAATCTCTTAACTATTTTAATCCCAACAACAAAGTAACTTTCCTGGCTATTACATAATGTCACATTTGAATTTCTCAAGATTTCTTTTTTACCTTTCTTGGTCTTACAAACTTCACGTGCCTGAAATTTCTTGTGTTTGCCTTTTTTTCCTCAATAGAGTTGATAGATACCTCTGCTGGATGGGTCTCTCTTGGCAGTCCTGAATAAGCAGTGTTCATGGTGCAAATTAAGCATTTGGAAAGCACATTCATCTTTTTAAATGCAGTATTTAGCAAGTTCTTGCTACCTGGAAAGTGTTCCATAAATATTTGTTTAATCATGAAAAGGATTTTCAAGTTGTCAGGGTACAATTTAATTTCAACATGCTCAGTAAGTTTGGGGAGAGCAGACAGGATGTGCATAATTTGGTATTCTTGGGAATAAGGAGAAGGTGGAGCAATGTCTGGGAACTGAAACTGACACCCAAGAACTTGCATCTGAACTTTGTTTCTTAGACCTGAGCCCCCTTGGAACTCAGCATCAGCCTCAGGTCAGGGCAGGTTGGTGGTTGAAGCATTTAGGGAAGGATGTTTATAACAACTTATTTTTTACTTATTATAGGAGTGCATGCTCATCACAACCAAAATGAGTAATTGAGGTGGTCAGGGGTAGAGCAGGCCTTCAAACTCAGTTATCTGTCCCCTAGAGCAGGGTTGCCCAACCCCCAGTCCATGGCCCAGTAGGAACTGGGCTGCACAGCAGGAGGCGAGCTTCATCTGTATTTACAGCTGCTCCCCATCACTTGCATTTCTGCCTGAGCTCCGCCTCCTGTCAGATCAGCAGGGGCATTAGATTCTCACAGGAGCGTGAACCCTATTGTGAACTGCACATGTGAGGGATGTAGGTTGCACACTCCTTATGAGAATCTAATGCCAGATGATCTGTCACTGTCTCCCATCATGCCCAGGTAGAACCATCTAGTTTCAGGAAAACAAGCTCAGGGCTCCCAGATTCTACATTACGGTGACTTGTCTAACTTTTTGTTATATATTACAACGTAATAAAAATAGAAATAAAGTGCACAACAAATGTAATGCACTTGAATCATCCCAAAACCATCCCCCCAACCCCGGTTCATGGAAAAATTGTCTTCCACAAAACCAGTCCCTCGTGCCAAAAAGGTTGGGAACTGCTCCCCTGGAGTCATGATACAAGACTGTGTCACCTTAGGGCTGAGCTGAGGATCACCTGAGTGATGGGTGACCTTGGGGCTGGGCTCAGAGCCAGTGAGAGGAGTGGGGGACATCTTTATGCTGGGGTTCCAGAAGAGGACAAAGCAGCATTGCCAATATGTTTGTGAGATGTCGTCAGAAAAAGATAAGGTAGAGGAGTGCAGTTATGCAGCAGGTTCAGCAACACTTAGAGATCTCTCACCTACAGATGGATGCTTAGCTCACATTGCTCAAGAGAAAGGAGCATAAATGCAACTTAGCCCCTAAGTTGTACATTTCAAAGACTCAGAAATATGCAGCCAGAGATTTGTTATCAACAGTCATCAAGAGGGAAGGATAAACACGAAAGGCTTGTGGGAATGATAATTGTTAGAATGTCCAAGCATCAATAATTTGTGACAACCTAGGACATCTCAAAAGTCTGTATGTTGGATTGCTTTGAATTGGATTTATCACATCCTATGCTATCGTGAAAAACAAGTTTGAAATGTAAATGAGCAACACATCTTGACCAGCAGGCGGCAGTCTTACCTCATATAATTTCTTTAAAAGCTTGCAGAAAGAATTACAGTAAATTATTTTTTTTTAATTGTACTGAAAATTTATTAGAATGGATTTTTTAAATGCCAAATTCACAACTAAAATGCAATTTATTGCAAAAAATTCAAAATTCCTTTTTGTCTCAGTATAAAAAACATTGAATGTATCTATTAGAAATTAATGAACAATTTTGTAAATGATACAAAAGAAAATTTTAACAAATGGTGAAACATTTTCTTATCTCAGGACACCAAATTAAAAAAAATTTAGGGCAGGTGCGGTGGCTCACACCTGTAATCCCAACTACTTTAGGAGGACAAGGCAGGAGGAACTCTTTTTTTATTTTATTTTATTTTATTTTATTTTATTTTTTTATTGATCATTCTTGGGTGTTTCTCGCAGAGGGGGATTTGGCAGGGTCACAGGACAATAGTGGAGGGAAGGTCAGCAGATAAACAAGTGAACAAAGGTCTCTGGTTTTCCTAGGCAGAGGACCCTTCGGCCTTCCGCAGTGTTTGTGTCCCTGGACTTGAGATTAGGGAGTGGTGATGACTCTTAACGAGCATGCTACCTTCAAGCATCTGTTTAACAAAGCACATCTTGCACCGCCCTTAATCCATTCAACCCTGAGTGGATACAGCACATGTTTCAGAGAGCACAGGGTTGGGGGTAAGGTCACAGATCAACAGGATCCCAAGGCAGAAGAATTTTTCTTAGTACAGAACAAAATGAAAAGTCTCCCATGTCTACCTCTTTCTACACAGACACGGCAACCATCCGATTTCTCAATCATTTCCCCACCTTTCCCCCCTTTCTATTCCACAAAACCGCCATTGTCATCATGGCCCGTTCTCAGTGAGCTGTTGGGTACACCTCCCAGACGGGGTGGTGGCCGGGAAGAGGGGCTCCTCACTTCCCAGTAGGGGCAGCCAGGCAGAGGCGCCCCTCACCTCCCGGACAGGGCGGCTGGCCGGGCACGGGGCTGACCCCCCCCCCCCACCTCCCTCCCGGACGGGGTGGCTGGCCGGGCAGAGGGGCTCCTCACTTCCCAGTAGGGGCGGCCGGGCAGAGGCGCCCCTCACCTCCCGGACGGTGCGGCTGGTCGGGCGGGGGGCTGACGCCCCCACCTCCCTCCCGGACGGGGTGGCTGGCCGGGCAGGGGGCTGACCCCCCCACCTCCCTCCCGGACGGGGCGGCCAGCCAGGCAGAGCGGCTCCTCACTTCCCAGTAGGGGCGGCCGGGCAGAGGCGCCCCTCACCTCCCGGACTGGGCGGCTGGCCGGGCGGGGGGCTGACCCCCCCCACCTCCCTCCCGGACGGGGCGGCTGGCCGGGCGGGGGGCTGACCCCCCCACCTCCCTCCCGGACGAGGTGGCTGCCGGGCGGAGACGCTCCTCACTTCCCAGACGGGGTGGCTGCTGGGCGGAGGGGCTCCTCACTTCTCAGACAGGGCGGCTGCCGGGCGGAGGGGCTCCTCACTTCTCAGATGGGGCGGTTGCCAGGCAGAGGGTCTCCTCACTTCTCAGACAGGGCGGCCGGGCAGAGATGCTCCTCACATCCCGGACCGGGCGGCAGGGTAGAGGCGCTCCCCACATCTCAGACGATGGGCGGCCGGGCAGAGACACTCCTCACTTCCTAGATGGGATGGCGGCTGGGCAGAGACGCTCCTCACTTTCCAGACTGGGCAGCCAGGCAGAGGGGCTCCTCACATCCCAGTCGATGGGCGGCCAGGCAGAGACGCTCCTCACTTCCCAGACTGGGTGGCGGCCGGGCAGAGGCTGCAATCTCGGCACTTTGGGAGACCAAGGCAGGCGGCTGGGAGGTGGAGGTTGTAGTGAGCCGAGATCACGACACTGCACTCCAGCCTGGGCACCATTGAGCACTGAGTGAACGAGACTCCGTCTGCAATCCCGGCACCTCGGGAGGCCGAGGCTGGCGGATCACTCGCGGTTAGGAGCTGGAGACCAGCCCGGCCAACACAGCGAAACCCCGTCTCCACCAAAAAAATACGAAAACCAGTCAGGCGTGGTGGCGCGCGCCTGCAATCGCAGGCACTCGGCAGGCTGAGGCAGGAGAATCAGGCAGGGAGGTTGCAGTGAGCCAAGATGGCAGCAGTACAGTCCAGCTTCGGCTCGGCATCAGAGGGAGACCGTGGAAAGAGAGGGAGAGGGAGACTGTGGGGAGAGGGAGAGAGGGAGAGAGGGAGAGGGAGAGCTAAATTATTTTATTCTATGTGATATCTCAACAGGAATCTAAATATAAAACTCATATTTAGAATGAATTATAAATTGAATATTATTTAATCATACCGTGGCCTGGAGTTCTATGACTAATGATAACTAAACCTGTTCATTCAACTAACTGCAAAAATACAAGACACGTGTAGCTATTACTTGAATTTACCATCAAGACATATTTCAGCACACTAGATAGAAAAGTATAATGTCTAGACTACTCTTAAGTCATAGGGGGGCAAATACAGTTAAATATCAATTTTCCAATTAAGATATTTAATTTATTTTGCCTTCCTATGTCAGGCCTGTATAATTTTATATTACATACCTCAGAAGTCTCATTCATTTTTTTCAAATGTATAAGTTTTCATTCACTCTAAAGAAATATTACTTTCAATGTTTTAGAACGGTTAATGTATGGTTGCAATTTTTATAACATTTAAAAGCATATGTCACATACTTAGTCCATTTTGTGTTGCTATAACAGAATGCCACAAGCTAGGTAATTTATAAGGAAAAGAAGTTTATTTGGCTCATGGTTCTGGAGTCCTGGAAGTCCAAGTGCATGATGCTGACATGTGGTGAAGACTTTAGTGCAGCATGATCCCATGGCAGAAGGCAGAAGGGCAAGAGGGGGTGAGAGCACGAGAGGGCCAAACTTGCTTTTATAACAAACCCACTCCTACAATAACAACATTAATCTATTCATGAGGGCAGAGCTTTCATGGCCTAAACACCTCTTAATGGTCCCACCTATTAAACCTGTCATAGGCTGGGCATGGTGACTCATGCCTGTAATCCCAGCACTTTAGGAGGCCGAAGCAGGTGGATTGCCTGAGGTCAGGAGTTCGAGACCAGCATGAGCAACATGGTGAAACCCCGTCTCTACTACAAATACAAAAACTAGTAGGGCGTGGTGGCAGGCACCTGTAAGCCCAGCTACTTGGGAGGCTGAGACAGGAGAATCGCTTGACCTGGGAGGCAGAGGTTGCAGTGAGCTGAGACCAGGCCATTGCACTCCAGCCTGGGTGACAAGAGCAAAACTCCATCTCAAAAAAACAAAAGCTAAAACAAAACAAAACAAAAAACCTGTCACAATGGCAATTAAATTTCAACATGAGTTTTGGAGGGCATACTCAAACCGTAGTACATACTATTCAAAATTAAAATGACAAACTCCACTTGGTAATTATAGTAAATTTATGTTTAGTTGCAAAATATTTACTGAGTCTATTACAGTAAGAACACATTTTTCTTTTTTTCTGTTTTGAGACAGTCTCACTCTGTCTCCCAGACTAGCGTGCAGTAGCGTGATCTTGGCTCACTGCAACCTCTGCCTCCTGGGTTCAAGCCTTCTCCTGCCTCAGCCTCCTGAGTAGCTGGGATTACTGGCGCCCACCACCACGCCCAGCTAATTTTTGTATTTTTAGTAGAGACAGGGTTTCACCATGTTGGCCAGGCTGAACTCGAACTCCTGACCTCCAGTGATCCGCCTGCCTGAGACTCCCAAAGTGCTGGGATTTCAGGTGTGAGCCACTGTGCCTGGCCACATTTTTCTTTATTTACTTTATTTACATTAAGGAAATCTCTGGCTTCACTAATGCTAATGTAATGCATTAATAAGCATGCCTCTGTCCCCAGAATTATGCTGGGCTTTAAGAAGTAAAAGAAAAGGTTCTTGCCTTCACACATAACCTTGTCACAGAGACAGGCCCAATAGAGTCTGATGTCCCTGGAAACTCTCAAATTCCCAAATACATGATTGAATATACATTCCCAGCAATTTGCTTATGTTATCAAAGTGGAAAATGGCGGCTGGTTTGCTTTTTGGACAATGTATAGTCAGCTGAGTACTCAATAATTAACAGACTCATTGCTACCTCACTGCTCAACTCCACCCCAACACGTTCACACATCCACTTTTTTTTTTTTTTTTTTGAGACAGAGTCTCACTCTGTCACCAGGCTGGAGTACAGTGGCGCGATCTCGACTTACTTCAACCTCCGCCTCCTGGGTTCAACTGATTCTTCTGCCTCAGTCTCCTGAGTAGCTGGGACTACAGCCAAGCGCCACCACGTCTGGCTAATTTTTGTACGGAGTGTCACCATATTGGCCAGGCTAGTCTCGAACCCCTGACCTCATGATCCGCCTGTCTCGCCCTCCTAAAGTGCTGGGATTACAGGCATGAGCCACCCTGCCTGGCCTACATATCCACTCTTAAGATTAATTAAGGTGATTAATCTGAAGGTGGAAAAGTTTCATGTGCCTAAGTATCGGAGTTCCTTTTCTTAATAAAACCAGAAAGTGCTCAATTTATAAATGCCAGGAACCTAGTAAATGCATGGCATGATAGATAACATATGGTGGCTATGCTTTAAATATCAGCTAGAAAAAAATAAGGAGACAGAATGAACCAAATTACTAGAGGTTGGTGGTCAAGATTGCAAGTGCAGAGTTGGGCAAGGTCCCTGCCAGTGAGAACAAAGATTTCCTAATGATGATAAGGTGAGCTGGAGCTGGGATGATGGGGAGATTCAGAGAGACAGAGAGGAGGAGAGGGGTCACTGGGTTGGGAGAAAGGCATGAGGAGCCTGGACGCAGTGCCTCATGCTTGTAATCCCAGTATTTTGGGAGGCCAAGGCGGGCAGATCACTTGAGATCAGAAATTCAAGACCAGCCTGGCCAACATGGTGAAACCCCATCTCCACTAAAAATATAAAAATTAGCCTGGCATGGTGGTGTGCAGCTGTAATCCCAGCTACTTGGAAGGCTGAGGCAGGAACATTGCTTGAACCCGGGAGGCAGAGATTGTAGTGAGCTGAGATGGCACCACTGCACCCCAGCCTGGGCAACAGAGGGAGACTGTCTCAAAATAATAATAATAATAATAAGGTTGCATCCAAGAATCTTCCAGAATCCTACTGGTGCTAACCCTCCATAGGCTGGTTATTGTCATTATGTCCCCTCAAAATTCACGTCGACATCCACAGATGCACACAAAGGGAGAATGCTGTGTGAAGACTGGAGTTTGCTGCCACAAGACAAGGAACTACCAGAAGCTGGGAGAGAATCCTGGAACAGATGATTCCTTAGTGCCTTCAGCGGGAGCATGGCCCTGCAGACACCTTCATCTTTGACTTCTAGCCTCCAGACCTGTCAGACATTTCTGTTGTTTGAGCCGCATCTGTGTCCACATATTCCCATTTTATCAGAACACCAGTCATATTGAATTTAAGGGCCCACCCTACTCCAGCATGACCACATCATAACTAATTACATCTGCAACAACCTTATATCCAAATAAGCTGACATTCTAAGCTTCTTGGGGTTAGGATATCAACATGAATTTTGGGGGGACAGAATGACAATAACCAACCTATGGAGAGTTAGCACCAGTAGGATTCTGGAAGATTCTTGGGTGCAACCTCTTTATGGTACTTTGTTCCAGCAAACCTAGCAGACTAATAACACCTATCAATCAAAATACACTGCGTTTATCTCAATATTTTATATATATAAACACATACAGTGAAATCCAACATAAGTAGTCAGAGGTAGTCACCCCATTAGACTTGCAGATTGGGGAGAAACTCATGCAGAGGACTCTAAGTAAATTCTCATTCACCAATTAATTAATTTATTTATATTTATTTATTTTGAGATGGAGTTTACTATTATCTTATTATCTGTTAACCATATTTCCCTACAGCAGGCTCAATAACAAAATATAACTCCTTCTGTAGGAAAACACAGTTTGTGAAAAATGTTTTGTGTATGTGTGTTTCTAACTTGCTCTTGTTGCCCAGGCTAGAGTGTAATGGGGTGATCTTGGCTCACTGCAACCTCCGCCTCCCAGGTTCAAGGGATTCTCCTGCCTCAGCCTCCCGAGTAGCTGGGATTATAGGTGTGCATTTTCTTTTTCTTCTTTTTAGTAGAGATGGGGTTTCACCATGTTGGCCAAGCTGGTCTCGAACTCCTGACCTCAGGTGATCCACCTGCCTCGGCCTCCCAAAGTCCTGGGATTATGGGCATGAGCCACTGCACCAATTTAAACTTAAGTGTGGCCGGTGGTGGAGGCCAGTTAAAAAGTAGCAAAAGGGTCCATATGAGGCTACTCCCTGGGTTTTGCATGAGGTAGAAGGCTGGTTGCACCAATGCTCTATAAATCATCAGCTTGTTGGAACATCGTCCTGGCTTTAGGTGTCCACACTGACTTTCTTTGAGTCATTTTTCTTGTTCTCAGCCAAACATTGCCTCAGCTGGCTCATGTACCCTGTGCGGCGGAACTGGGCTTTTAGCTTGGACTGCCACTCTGAAAGATGATCCAGAATGCCCCTGATACTGATCCTCAAACCTATGACTCTCCATCTTCAGGGTGAATACTGTGCTGACGCTGAGAAGAAAAAGAAAAAAAACTGTCCATATATCCTTGTTTATTTACTGTACTTATTTCATTGGCATCCCTGTTTCCAAAAAAGGCTTGAAATGACTTACAATAAAAACACCTGGCCAAGATGTACATTATCAACCACGTGGCCTGAAACGGACAGGGTAGTTACACATTCTATCAAGTCTGCTTTCATGGAATGGTAAGTTCCACTCAGATACCAAATGGAAATGCATGCCTGGTCTGTGCTATTAGAACAACATGTCCTTATGTTTTGGGATCTTTGGGGTGTTGCTTTTTCTTTGGGGTGTCCAGTGGCACCTTTGCCTGAGTTCTTGTCCTACGTCCTGGATTCTTCCTGGAAGAATCCAGGAAGAATGTGGTATTTAGACAAATGAAGGGTGAACAGGACAAAGAGGAGTTTTATTGAGTGCTGGAACAGCTCAGAGGAGAGCCACAGTGGGTGGCTCCTTTCTGCAGGAAGGTTGTCCCATCAACTCTGCAGCTCTCAGCAGAGAGGAGCCTCCTCCCAACGTGTGCTCAGTTCTCAGCAGATACTGTAGCTCCTCTCTGCAGCTGGTGGTCCCATCATCTTCCCAGCTCTCCACAGATAGGATAGCTCTTCTCTGCAGCTGGTCCTCTAGTGACTCTCCATCCTCTGATCTGCCCTGGCTGAGCTGGGGAGCGGGGTGGGGGTTGCGTTTATGGACCTCATAGGGTAGGAAGTATGTGCCAATTGGTCCATGGGGAGGCCCAGAAAAGGCACCACAAGTCCACACTCCAGTGGGTGGATCTGGCAGCCCCTCCTGCAGCCTTCCGGCCCTCCCTGGCCCCTTCCACCCAGGAATCTGCCTCCTGCCATTCATGGCACCCAGGCTTGGCCAGACTTTGCTCCAAGATCAGAGCTGGTGCCAACAGTAGGGAGAAGTCAGGCAGCAGGAGCAGGGACTTCCAAGACTGCAAAAGCAGGGGAGCCTTCCCAGGCCCCCAAGAGTGCAGGAATATCTAAGTCTGCAGCCACTGGTTTGGGCGGCTGCAGCTGCGAAGTGGGTAGGAGCAAGGGCGGGGCTTCTGCCTGGTCCGTCCCTAAGACCCCCCAGCTCCACATCGAGATCCCTCTCTGCCTGATCTCCCTGCTCCCCTGTTGTGCTGCTCCCCGCTGCAAGCTGTGGGGGAAAGTGAGGGGGCTGTCTGCCTCCTCCCCATGCCCTGCAGCGGCTGGCGTGATGGCAGCCGCACCAGACAGCTGCTGCTGCCATCACTTTCAAAGACTGAAACAAGTTTTATCTGCCATGACATTACTTTTTACATAGAGCAGCTAATCAAAGATAAATTGGTCAATACAAATGGCAGAGAAAAGTCGGGGGAAGCTCTCATTTCTCATTCTTATTATCTGTTAACCATATTTCCATATAGCAGGCTCAATAACAAAATATAACTCCTTATGTAGGAAAACTCACTTTGTGAAAAATGTTTTGTGTATGTGTGTTTCTAACTTGTTCTTGTATATACTTTTTTTTTTTTTTTGAGATAATTTCTCACTATCTTGCTCAGGCTGGAGTGCAGTGGCAGGATGACAGCTCCCTGCAGCCTAAACCTCCCAGGCCCAAGCAATCCTCCCACCTTAGCCTCCAGAGTAGCTGGGCCCACAGGCAGGCACCACCCTACCCAGCTAATTTTCTTATTTTTTGTAGAGACGGGGTCTCCCTATGTTACCCTGGCTGGTCTCAAACTCCTAGGCTCAAGCAATCCTATTGCCTTGGCCTCCCAAAGTGCTGGGATTACAGGCATGAACCACCATGCCTGGCATTTGTATGTACTCATTAGTGACAGAACTAAAAAACAAGAGACAGAAAAAACTATAATCTGAACCAATTCTATAACAGGAAAACAAGGAGCACACACAAAAAAAAAAACCCAGGAGAAATAAAAATGAATTAAATCAGTGAATAATTTTTATTTACTACAATACAAGCACTATAAACGCAATTCAAGAAAAGAGGTGGGGGTGGGGAATGATTTACACAACTTAAATGTTTTAACAAATTAATCTTAATTTTAAAAGAAGAAATCAGAGCCCAATAATTTATTTTAGAAAGAGCAAAATGATCATGGGCATTTTCTCTGAGATCCCTTGAATTATACTAAAGTGTCCCAAAACAAACTAACAAAAAAGAACCATTCTTCAAATATATATATATACATACACAGTAGGGTTGCATTTGAAACACAATTCCACATATACCACCTACAAATTACTCCATGGCAACACGGCATGCTCTACCCGGAAAGCTTCATTAAATCACATCCTTGCAGAAAGAAAAACTCAGCCAGTCATCTGAGCAGCCCGTCCGTTGCACTAACATGACACTAATATTGGCCCCTTCTTGAATTGTTAATCAAGTGTCTTGCTGTAAGTCAATTCCTCTGTACTGGCAGACTTGAGTCACAGTAAGACTGATGAAGGATGGCACTATGTCTGTTTTGGATGAATGTTTTCCCCTATTTCTTTCTTTCTTTCTTTTTTTGAGACAGGGTCTTTCTCTGTCGCCCAGGCTGGAGTGCAGTGGTGCAATCTTGGCTCACTGCAGCCTCCTCTTCCCGGGCTCAAGCGTTTCTCCCACCTCATCCTCTCCAGTAGCTGGGACTACAGGCATGCACCACCAGACTTGGCTAATTGTTTTTATTTTTTGTAGAGACAAGGTCTCACTATATTGCCCAGGCTGGATGAATGTTTTCTGCTACTCATGTGTGCACAGTTGTCACACAAACCCAGTAGAACTGAACCCGTGGCTTTTGAGTGTGCAACCCAGGCTGCGATTGTGCTAACCATACCACCACACACAAGTCACGTGACACTTTTATATGCAGCTTCGCTTTCAAACAGTGCACTCCACACTTACGTACATGAGGTCACAAGCATCTGAGAGAAAGACCATTATCCTCATTGTGGAAATGAGGTGGCAACTCAAAAGGTGGGAACACACAGGTGGGAGGAAAGAAGGATGCATTGCAGGCTGGCCAAGGATGCTGGCTGGAGAGCCGTCTGCAGAGACTCCTACTCCTGAGTAATTCAGCGTGTGCCGGGGGGGCAGCTACTCTGCCTCCATGTAATGCCAGCCCATTGGAAAGGGGTTTATTACACTGCACTCTAGGTTGGAGGTATGAAGTGAAATTAAAATGAGAAGAGCACAAAAATTTATGGAGCCCATAGAATCATGCTCTCCATCACTTCGTTTTTGCTCAACAGTGTGGCAAATGAAAGTGCTCTTGTGACCCCCAGGAAACCATTTGGAGCTGAAGCTCTTCATAGAATTTTCAGGAATAAATCTCATTGCTCAGTCAGGTCATGATGGTTGCTAATATTTGGAGCTCGAACTTAAGTCAGCATTCCTGGCAACTAAACCATTGTTTCAGGATAAATCTTGCACCAGCTTTGACCATACAGGTTCTTCATGCCCTGAGTTACAAACAAGTTACAAACAAGGCCCTGGATAGGCCTTAAATTAGTAAGGATCTCATTAAAAGAAAGGCTGAGAAATGTACAGCAGGCTCACAGCAATGGACAGAAATACTACATCTTTGCCCAAAAACAGTTAATGATGAACTTTGGATGCATAATGGACTTTAGACTGCTCACCAGATTTTGCATATTTTTCCCAATCATGGTGACACACTGCACTAGTGCACTATGCCTTATGCAGTCTCCCCTGTGACCATCTTAAGATGGTTGGGCAAAGTCTTCCTAAAACCCAGAATAATGTGAAATTAAATTTCAAACATAAACGATATTCTGGTTTTACTGTCACACTGTAGTTCATCATGATCTGAGAGCAGTAACCAACCAAACAGGACTTCATCAAGCAATTCTTTACTGGATCAAAACTTCTCTAAGCAAACCCCACTCCAGGATGGCTAAAGCACGAAGCTCTAGCAACTGCGAAAGGATGGAATTGAATCCGAAAACTGCCATGAATCTCCAGTCTCCTTTCACATCAGATAAAACCATATTCATAAGATAAAAGGGCAGTGGGCTCCCTGACTTCAGCATCTGGCCCTTCCCTCCATAACATACAGAAAAGGTGACTCCTTATCAGGTTTAATCCTCATAGTGATACATATTAAAGCCATCAAGGCTTAATATTAAGGCTGAATGGAGTAAATCCTGTGGGCAAGCAGGAGCCCCTTGGACATCTCACCCTAGCCTCCACTCACCTGGCAATTTGACAAATCCCTTCAAGACACATGGCTCTGATTGTCACCCAGACATTGGCATAGGGACTTTCCTTTTATCCCTCATTTTGGAAGTTTTTGTGTGCAGAAGAATTACTGCATAGATTATACACTCAAACATATGTTAAATTTTATGGTCAGTGTAAGGGATTTTCTAGATTCATTTTTACGATGTACTAACTTTGGAACCTAAACCTCCATGAGAAAGCCACTTCCGTGAATACCAACTGGCTTCTAACCAAATAATCTTTTCTTTTTTCTTTTTAGGTGAACAGCTACTCAAAATGAAATCATTGCCTTTCTTTCACATATCTAGTTCCTAATATAGAAGAGTTTATTTGAAAACTGTATAATTATAAATCAATAGTAAGTTTATGTTTTCATTAACAGGCACTCAGCAATACCTTTATGTGTAGGACAATACCAGGATACAACAGATGCAAGAACATGAGATGAGTCCTTTGTTCTCAAGGGGCTTTAGCCCTAGTTTGGGAAGATGGGCAATGCACGTCAATAGAGTTTGCATAATAAAACAATTTTAATGTGAGTGATAAAAATAATATCACTTATTTTGTTGTGCAGCAAAATTCTTCAGACTGATTAAAAATGTAAAATTCATTTTATTTTTATTGTTGCTAGTATTTTTTTTTTTTGCTGTAATCCTGTCACTGAAAATACATTCATCATGCTTAATGTTTTTATTAATCTTCCACCATAAATAAATCATGGGATAAGAGTCACTGTCCAATTTATTTTATGGCTTAAAAAAAAAGACATTCTAGTTCTTTCGTAAATGAACTGTCACTACCAATTATGCAGTGTTCCTAAACTGTTAGACAAATCTGGCCTATTTATTTTATAATGAATTAAAATGTAGGCAATGGACTAGATTTCCCCACTTATTCACAATACTTGTTTCACTGGTCTGAAATATTGAATCTAATCCATTCTAAAATGCATGAATCATATGGCTAATTTCTCATGGTGACATTAAGAGCAAATCGTACTGAAGCTCATACAATATTTCCCAATTTACCACTTCAGTGACACGGTGGTGATGTGTAGTCATCTTAATGTCTAGAATGATACAGTCTGAGAGTTAATGCAACAAATGAAAAACACTCTCTCCCCAAAACAATCAATATGCATTTGTTTATATTAAATATACTGATTCCATTAAAAAGTTACACTCGGTTGACAAGAGTATAAAATGAAGACATACCTACCTGCTTCTTAAATTCTGTTTCTTGTCATTCCATGGTCCCACCCCCAGGCCTCTTTCAAGCAACTGCTTGCTCTTACTGCAACCCCAGACAGAGCTGCAATTCTGACAGGTGGACTAGATTTTAGGGGATTCTGAGGAAATCCCCAGGGGTCATCCATAACACCCAAGGTATCTTGAATAAAACTGGGGCAGGTGTAACAGTGCCTGAAGAAACTGGCAAGAAACTAGCAAGCCCGCAGCCCATGCTTGGGGAAGCAGGGACAAGAAGAGGACAGTGGAAGAGTCCTTTCAGCCCCAACCCCAGGCTTCAACCTCTTCTGCCATCAGGAAGGGCTGGGAGGCCATTGGGTAGCTAAGGGCAGTGGTGAATGATCACCACATTCTTCCATCATCCTCAACCCTGGTGACCAAGGACAGGGGCCAGGAAGTGGCTGGTACATGAAGCAGGGTAGGACACTCCTGACCAAAGGTGACCTTGAGCACTGAGTAGGTCTCCATCCTCCTGGGCTGCTTCTCAGCTTCTGGGCCCCCAGGCACTGCTTACAGAAAGGTATACTCAGACCATGGCCTTCTCCTTCAGGAAGTGAGACCCTGATGGAGCCAGAGGCAGAGGAACTTTAGGGGAAGCTGAGGAGGTTAAGCAAGGACACCTTAAAAGGGAGTTGGAAATACAGCAGCCTCTTTGAAGCAGACAATATTGGTTTCTTAACACTTAAATGCAACCTACATTAACACTTAAATGTAGGTTGATCTCACAGATAAACTAATGGTATATTCATGGTGAGTCAAAGAGCCAGAGATCCTTGAATTATGTAACTTATGTGTTCCTGACTTGTGTATCATATCTTATGTCTAATGCCTTAGGTTAGACAACAACTGCTATTTAAAGCAAACCTATGCCTGAGCCAGCGTCTTATAGGAAATAATCAACCATTTATGCCTGTAGCCTTTGAAAACTGTCCTGGAAGTCAGGCTGACAGGAAGGCCGTTGGAGGCTACAACGTGGCTTACATCTGAGAAGTCTTTTGGATGCTTCTAGAAATGGTTTTGGTTCCTCATTTTCCCATAAGTCTTCCCATAACATTATGAAAGAGGGCAAATAATGCTCTCAAGAAAAATAAGTAGCAGAGAGTAAATGTGAGCAAAAACAAGAGGTAGAGACAGAAAACCAGATTAAGACATTTAGAACCTGAAGCTTCCAAGTACCAAAACAAGTAGGCAGTCAATGCACAAACAAGTCCAAGCTGTAAAATGAGTGTAAGGCAGGGTGGAGGAACATGATTGTCCTGTGATGACAATTTTGGTACTCTTTTGTAATACTGACCTTTTTAGAGCTGTCTTTGGTTCTCCCGCTTTTCTGGTGCCCTCAGAACAGGGAGCTGGCGCTAGGCGAATCACAGGCTGGTTAATGGCTAAGTGATAACCAACAGTTGTGCTCAGAGTAAACTCATTACCTACCTTGTCTCTTATGGGCAATAAGCTATAGTTGACTTTTAATATAATTAAATATAATATTCATGTAACAGCCCAAGTTTCCTAAAGGCATCTGGCAATTCCCTTTTTAATCTTAGTCCATTTTCAGTAATTAGTACTACAGGCCAAAAGCACATACACACACAGCAGTATACATCACTGAAATCAATCACATTGACAGAGATCTGCAGGGTCCTTTTATACTCCACTTTCTCTCTCTCCCCGTCACTGCTAACCCACATCAATATGCTTATTTGCAATTCTTAGCTGCCCTTCTTACCCTACGCTCCATACTTCTGAGCAGCAAGTTGTAATTTCTATTCATTTTAGGAAACTGTCCCAGTTCATTCACAAACACAATGACAACATTCTTCAAATGTTAGGGATGGTTCATTTCAACATGCTTTTAAAATTCCTATTAAAGCAGCAAGGAAGTCTCATTGGAACTAGCAGCGAGGAAGGCTCATTGGAACTAGCAGCAAGGAGGGTTCATTGGATTTAGCAGCAAGGAAGACTCTTTGGAATTAGCAGAAGAAATGCCCACCTATGATGAGACAGCCCATAAACCATGATGCTGAAAAAACAGCCGCTGCTTCAAGGTCATCCATACATTTGGCCATACATTCATCATGGATTAATCAATTTTGTCTTTTTGCTGGCTGACTGAAGTCAGGGAGAAACATGTTGGTAACAGATCTGAAACATGTCACCAGAGAGAAAAGCAGAATCAATACCAAATAGACTTAAGGCCAAAGTCTGAATGATATTTCAGACCAACCAACTGGACTGATGGTTGCCTGTATTTTAAAATGCCTTCCTCCAGGATTCTCCAGCATGAGGTTCTTCCTGCAACTTCCAGCAGATAATTCAACAAAATGTATTGGCATCTCTTGTGTGCCAGAAACTTTACTAGATTAGACCAAAAAGACTTCTAAAGAAAAGCTGCAGAGCTTATAAATGCCTGAATATCATAAAAGAAACATAATTTCTTAAGAAATTAGGTCCAAATAAAGAAACCTACTTCCTCAGCTGGATAACTGCAGTTATGACATATGTTCCACATAATACATAAATAAAGAAAAGCTATTGAGGAGCATATTTATCCATGATCGAGAACAAAACAAACCAGCCAATCATTCCTGGAATGAAGGATAGAAATAATATTTATTATTTGGGGAAGACAGAGCCAGCATCATACTGAAGGTGACAGCATTTGGCCTCTTATCATGGGGAATAAAAAAGGTCCAATTTGTTAGGAACTTCATTTCTGGGGTTGAATCAAGTCAAAATTGTGACATCATCTAAAGTAGACTTTAGTGTCAAACACACTTTCCCATTGTGACAATCTACTTGCACATGGCCTGGGCCTTTGGGCTCCCCACTGTGAGGCCTCTCACGGTGGGACCCAGGCTTTGGGTAGCTGGCTCCATGCTCTAGCAAAGCCTCACTTAGCAGTGGGGAGGTCCCAAGAAGAGAAGCGAGATACCCATATAAAGCAAGCCTGCTTAGCCTTCCAGGGTCCTTCAAATCTTACCAAATGAAAGCCAGCTTGCTCCACCTACTGTCAAGCCAGCATCTCATTCTCCCCATTCTTGTCTCTGTAAGTCCCCCAGACACCACTACAAAGGCCTTTGTACACCTCTACCATCCACCTCAGCCTCATCCCTCCTGGCCTTGGCCATATCTTGGGGCTTCTCCTCAGCCTCTGCCCTCAAAGGAGCCACGGTGCCCACACCAGGATTTTTGGTGTCATGACTATCCAAAAGATAAAAAGACAAGGCTGGATGTTGTAGCCCATGCCTCTAATCCCAGGAGTACTTTGGGAGGCCAAGGTGGGAGGATCACTTGAGGCAGGAGATGGAGACCAGCCTGGGGAACATAGCAAGACACCCATCTCTACAAAAAATTGGAAAATTAGCCGGGCATGACAGTGTGCACCTGTAGTTCCAGCTACTCAGGTTGTTCAGGTGGGAGGATTGCCTGAGTCCAGGAGTTTGAGGCTGCAGTGAGCCATGGTTGCACCACTGCACTCCAGCATGGGCAACAGAGCGAGACCCTGTCTCAAAAAAATAAATAAATAAATAAATAAAAAGATAAAATACAGAATTCTGTTTCTTCTCTCTTAATTCTAGTAAACAACTACTCAAAAAAGGAGAGCCATGAAAGTCACCAGCCTAGAAAATTACAGTCGACTTCATGAGCTTCATTTGGATTTCTCATCATGCAATAGCAAAGTCACAGTTATTCCTACTGAGATCACAATGATGCTGCCAGAGCCTCCCCTGAGCTTGAGAGCCCTCCTCTTCTAAGCAGCATTTGGAGGTGAGTGGCGCAGCCTCCCTGTCAAGCCTGGGGACAAAGGATTCACCTGGTGGGCCACATTCTTGGAGAATATGTTGGCTTCTTTGCGTGTTTGTTTTCCCATATGTTGACTGCTGATGTTTGTTTCCTTGCTTATTTGTTTCCCTGGGTCACCCAACTCCAGCATCCTCCATTGTATAGTGGGAAAGTGGATATCTGGCTTTCCTTCCTTCCTGAGGAAATTATGAACAAGAAGAACAAACTCCAAGCTAAATACAAGTCACGACTTTTCCAGAATCCAAAAGTAAAGTAACTGTGAAGTCAAATTCTTTACAAAGGGGTCCCCTCTAGAGCTCAGCCATCCCCATACTTGGAGTCTCCAGGGCTCTGTTTCATACTTCTCTCACCAAGACATTCCTTTTCTAACCTTCCTCTGCAAATATCCACCCACCTTTCAAGAAATGCCACCCCTACACACAGGAGGCAAAGTTCCAGATGCATCCTTTCTCCTGCCAATAATCCATGGCCCTACATCTGAGTTACTGACTAAAATGAAACCCTGGTGGGGTGGGAGGCTCAGCTGTGATGGTCATTAGTGTCCCAAGCTGGCAAGCTGCAAACTCTCCAGGAGGGAAGGGCTTTGGTGTGGTCTCAGAGGGAGGTCTAGGAAGGATGCGACCCTTCACGCTGGGTCTTCTGCCGCTGTGAGTTGCAGCCATGCCATTTGATCTCCTGATTCTTCCAGCTGGATAACCACTTAACCCACACACATGCACACCCCTCCAAGGGACCGATGTCAATGCTGAGTCCAAACCCAGAATGAGGAAGGGGAATATTTTCCTAATACTGTATTGACTCAGCCTTTTCAAGAGGCCTTGCTCTCCTCAACCAGCAAATCACAAGACTAGAGAGAAGTACTGGGTTTCTTTCATTCTTCCCCTAACCCTCCTTCTAATTGTGCTGTTTCAAACTCCCAGGAATAAGGGATAGCCTAATGTAGGTAGCATCATACACCTCTTATTGTCCTCTTCCAGGAAGAGTGTGAGGTCAAAACCTCCAATGCTCCACTCACTCTCTGTTGGAGGGGTTAGAATATAGAAAGGAGAAACTGGAGAGTACCATTGGGCCTGCATCGATTACAAAGCAAAATCTCTATGTTGTTCAACAAGTGCAAAAACAAGCAGCTACTTTACTGGGTTACTCTCCTATGTTCTCCAGACCCTCTAATATAAGCCAAGGCTATGTAAGAAGCACAGATATTAACAACACTTTTATTAATGGGCAGATACCTCTCCCACCCACATAGATCTCTCTGCCAAAGAAAACCCAATACAGGGGCTACTTGAAGTTTTTGACCAAGAGTTATTATTTTTCCTTTTATCCATGTGACTTAGAACTGTTTCTCACATAGAGTGTGCAGAGTCACCAGGAGGACTTGTTAAAAATCACTGCCTCTTGGACTACTCTATCCAGAGGTCTGGAATGGAAACTTCATCCACCAGGTGATCCTGAAGCTGGTGATCAGTTCGCCCATAGTTAGTACCAGGTGCCCCCAGCAGACATTATGAGCTGATAGAACTGTAAAAAATTATGCTAATTCCAAAAAGGCTAGTCTGCCCTCCTGGGGTGCCATGCTTTCAACAGAAAAAAATAAACTAAATCTATTCTAAGGAGTAACCACATAATTAGAAGGTTATTACCACGTTGTGGAAAGAAATAAATACAGTGATAAAGAACAATGGAATTTGTGGGTTAATTAGTAATACAGTGCTGGGCTTCATGCAGTTACAGACCAATAAAACAAGGACATCAGACTGGTTCACAAAATACTTCCTGATTTCTGAAGCTGAAGAAAATTCATTGGGCTTAAGGAGGTCAAATCTGAGAGCTCAATTATCTTAGTCTCCTAACTTATTGTTAGGAGCATAACCATTCAGCAGGTTGCATATGATGTGACTGTTCTGGCATTTTTTCTTTGCAATCTGTTTATAATTCTCAGCAACATTTTTTTTAAATTAATAAACTTTAAACATTATATCAGTCCATATGTTAAGTATTTATTTATTAAGTAAAATTCTATTGAAGACTAAGAACGAAGACACAAAGATGGCTGAGACACAGCCCTTGCGATCAGGTTGCCTACAGTGTAGCGGAGGAGATGAAAGAAAAATCAATCAAGGTTAGGTGTCAAATGAAAACAGGTGAAGTACTCAAGAGGCATTCACCTTGGGAAGATCAGAGGACATCCTGCCTGAACTGGATCTCCAAGGCTCAACAGTTTGTCAGGTGAAGAAAGGAGAAAGAGAGACAAAAGAACTAACAGATATATGGAGGTGTGAATTCACACGGCAGGTAATTTGGACTGGTGAGGATATGGGATATTAGGGGACACAGGCTGGAGACTAATCTGGAAAGGAAGGCAGCAGCCAGTTCATGCTTAAAGTTTGGACCTTATCCTGAAGGCATTATGAATTCACTTAAGGATCTTTAGCAGACATATTGTAATACAATTGGCTTAAAAAGAAAAGTCTGAGGAGCTATGGAGGATGGATTGGAGGGGACACAGAGAGAGGATCCATCTAGGAGTCTGTTGCTCTGTGGTTGATCAGGAAGATGATGGGGACTGGAGTAAGACAGGCAATGAGGCAAGGAAGGGAGGTGTTCAGAAATGAATAAGGACAGGATAGATAATGCCAGGAGACCAGCTGGATGACACGGGAAAGGCAGATGAATGAATCTAGGGTAACGCCCAGATTCATCATGTAAGTGACTGAGAAGATACGGGTACCCGCTAACCAAGCTAGTAAATACAAGCAGAAGAGCAATTGCAGGTCATCCTGTTTCTTCTCATCCTCCTCCTCCAGATTCTCATCCTTTGCACCGCCCCATTGTAGGTGTTCTGTGGTCTCTTCTTCCTGAGAGCTGTCATCCTCTCTGATGATTGCCGCTGTCAAAGGGGTGTTAGCTGGTATGTTCTCACATGGCCATGCGAGGTGTTCATTTCTGGAATCCTTTCTGGTTGATCAGGCAGTTGTTCTGATAGGTCAGCGTCTTCCCTTTATCCATACTATTTGTGTGTGTGTGTGTGTATATATATATATTTATTATTTTTGAGATGGAGTCTGACTCTGTTGCTCAGGCTGAAGTGCAGTGGCGCAATCTCTGCTCACTACAACGTCTGCCTCCCAGATTCAAGCGCTTCTCTTGCCTCAGCCTCCCAAGTAGCTGGGACTACAGGCACACACCACTATGCCTGGCTAATTGTTTTGTATTTTTAGTAGAGACTAAAAATCTCTGTGAAAGATTTTTGAAAGATTAATGTCATGACAGACTCAGGAACAGAAAGCTTCAGATGGATGGAAGTGGCAGTACAGACTGTTGAAAAGACATCTTGTCCACCTTTGTAAGGCTAGACTATTTGTGGTGTGGATGTCAAGGGGTACCTGGGCAAGTTCAAGGGCACTGCTCAGGGCATACCAGCAACAATGGATTCTCAAAGCACAGGAGGAGGATGAAGGGGACACTCCAGCACAAGCTAGGATTCCATGGTGGAAGCAGCTAAGTAAATGTATTCTTCCAGGAGTGACCTTCCATAGAGATAGTGTCTCTGACCACGCTGAAGCTGAACTGGAGCTGGGCAAGGCAGAGAGGTTCAAATGAAGGGTGACTCCCACTATCACACCAAGCCCCACTGGGCAGCTGACCTGCCTGCCCATCCTCCTCCTCCTTAGACAGAAAACAGCGAATTCCATTCGCCTTTCTGCTCTCAATGAAAGGCTCTCTTTGGGTTCTTTACTAATCTACAATCTGTAAAAGTACTTTCCCTGTGACTTTTCTCCATTTCAGTACTGTCTTCTCTAAATGAGAATTAAAAGCAAGTTCCCCACACCGACCTCAAGTGGTTTCTAAGATAGCAAGAGTGCATTTTGCAGGTTGTCTGAGAATTTAAAAGAGATGGGGGAGGGGAGGAAATAGAGTCAGAGTGAATGCAGAAATGCTGGAGAAGAAAACGGGATATAATACTGCGGAATATTTTAATAGTGGGGACACAAATGTCATAATTAATAAAGCAGGTGGAAAGTTCGCGCTGTGGTGCAATTGTAAAGAATGCTTATTAAATACTTAAAAACAAAGAAAATTTACGTTTCTCAAAAGGACAGCTGAAAAATTCCTTGAGCTAAAATGTGTTGCTATTCAAGATGCCATAAAACTAATGTTAAAATATGATATCTCATTTCAATCTTTTTGGGGGAAAAAATCAGGCTTTGACTCACTCATACGACAGATCCCACGCACCCACCCACCAACATGGCCCTTGGCATGGGCGACCTGCCCACGTGTCGATGCAATCGTGCCTCTCTAGAGCCCTGCTTCCATCCGTTTCCCGAGCTTCGATGTCGTGACGAGAGACCGCGGCTACATCAACCTTGGGCAACCAGATGCAGCCGCGTGCGGCAGCCTGGCACTGCCCGGAGCATGCTCAGTCGGGTCCTGACCCACTTCTGCAGGTCCGACCTCGGGGCGTGGGGTCAGAGGCACTACTTTGCCAGTTTGCCAGGAACAGAGAGGAGCAGAGAGACTGAGAGTTGCTAAAGCTCCTCTCTTGGCACAGCAATGCCTGACCCGGCGGCGGAACATGCCCAGTCTGGCTGCCGGAGCCGCCGGGAGCGTCAATGTGGAAAGTCCACCTTTCCGGGTTTTCGCAGCAACCCACCGGGAAGAGGGCGGTACGGGAGTAAAAAGGCCGGAGTGGGGTGTGGCCAAGAGGGCGGGCACTAAAAAGCCGGGGGAAGGAGCCTGGTCCCGCCCCAGAAATTGAGAGTCTCTGTTCTCTTTTAAAATTAAAAAAAAAAAAAAAAAAAGGGAGATAAGGAGGAGAAGAAGCCACTAACATTGCAGGATCGTGTAGCGAAACTTCTGTAGGTACTTAATAATTTTAGAGTACTCTACTTTTTAATTAAAAAATCAACTTATGGTTCATTAGAAAAAACGTGGAAATTACAAATAATATTTTTAAAGAAAATGAAAAAAAAATTCCTGGAACCCCACCACTCAGAAAGTCACCAGGGAACGGCCCGCTGGGTTTTTTTCCAGACTCTTCCATCTGTGGACTTTGCTTTAAGAGACGTTTAAGACTTACAGCGCAGTCGCCCGGGAAGGCCTGAGAAGCTTTCGGAAGCAAGGTGGTTTGCTCGTGATTGCATTTGATTGCAAGGAGACAGGGTAGGCTTGGGGGTGGGTTGACTGGTTCCCATTTAGCGCCCCAGGATGGGACCCTAAGAAGCCTTTTCCTGGGTGTCCTTGAACACGCGTGCGATGCGACGCCCACAGAAGTTGCGGTGGAAGCCCCGGGCGGGAGAGAGAGCGGAGTGAGAGTCCCGCGCTGCCGCGGAGGCCCTGGGCCTGCGGGTGTGGGGCTCTGGGGGCCGCCGAGGCCCGGCCCAGAGGCTGAGCGGACTGAATGCGGGACTCCCCGGCAACTACAGCCTCCGGTGGCTCCTCCGCGGGGCCGCTCCGCAGCACCGACTGGCTCGCGCCGCACCGCCCGCCCCGCTGCCCCCGCCCGCGGCTGCCGCGAAAACCCGGCGGCTACACCCGCGCCTCCGCGCCGCCCGGCGAGCCGCACTGGGCATGCTCGGCCCCGGCCGGCCCAGGCTCCTGTAGGTGGGAAGCTCCGCGCTCCCGGCAGCCGGCGGCGCAGCTCGCAACGCTGTGAGGCGCCGGCGGAGGCGGCTCGCCCGCAGTAGGCGCTACCGGGCGTCCGGCGCAGAGTGCGGCGCAGCGGCCGCTGTCGGGCTGGCCATGGCGAGGGGTGCACGGCGGCCACCTGAGTGGCGCGGCGGTGTCAGGTTAGCGGGGGCCCCCGGCGGGCCGGGGCGGAGGGGCACGGGTGGGAGCCAGCCCCGCACCGGGTCGGCGGCCGAGTCGGCGCCGGGGCCGCCGAACTTTCGGGTGTTTGGGCTGGCTGAGACTGCGGCGGAGGCTGCGCTGCGAGACGCCGCAGGGTCCGGGCAGCGGGCTCCAGGGGGTCGCAGGATGCTTCGAGATCCGTGCGGGGCGGGGGCTGGCCGTTTGGGGACTGCCGCATCCTGGGCTCGAACCGTAACCTTCCGAGGGCGAGGAGCGCGGAATCCACTGCCAGCTGCCGGCGAGCCTCCTAGGTGTCGTGGGGGAAGGGGACGCCGAACAGCCGTGGGGGCTTTCGCTGGGCTCTGGATCTCTCTCATCGCTGTGCCTCAGTTTACCCGGACAGGGAGGAGCGTGCGCTGGCCAGGGCTCCGGAGAACGTGAATGCGGGTTCCGCGTCGGGAGGGCGCCGTGTCCTGATGCCGCAGGAGTGCGGGCGGCTGTGGGTGCTGCGAGCCGCCGCCTCGCTACTGAAGCTCTCGGAGTTTGTCGCATTTGACTCCATAACAAGTTGACATCGAATTGCTTCATGGCGTGGAATGGGGAAACGTGCTTCATCGGATTAAAATACAGAGTGATTGCAGAACCGATTTATTTTAAGCTTGATCATTAAGCTGTCTTCTCCAGCCCTGAAAAAAAAACTTGCAAGCTTTATAAAGCAAGGTAGCAAAAAAAGGTTTGTAGGTGTATTATCTGCTCACATTGTAGAAAACAGTTAAGATACGATCGAACTGTCATTATTTTTAAGGATACTTAGCAGAAAAGTTTGGTTACTGTGGCAATCTTTATTTTGCGTTATCTTCGATTTAATGTTAAAAACTTGGAAACCGAGCATTGCAGAAGCTCAGTGTTTTTTGTAGTTTTCTCACTTTTGTTTCTAGATGAAACACATTTTTTTCAGTTGCTACTATGCTGAACATAGTAAAATCCTTCAAGATGAAATACAAGATGGAAAAAAATGTCGTTTCATGAGACCGTAAGTTATAACAGTGTAGTTCTTCTGACATTTTACTTACACAGAAAGTGCAATTTGTAGGTCCCAGTGTGGTTTCTACAGTTGTTTATTCCTAAAACATTTAGTACCATTAACACTATTAGGATTATTGTATCTAATAGGGGCAAGATAAACAATCCTGTTCTAGTGGGAACTAGTTCTGCTAACTAAAGCTAAATTCTCAAGCCTCTTTTCTATAAGTACCACTTAGTGGGTTCAGTTGTTTTATTCATTAAGCTTATTACAAAACAATTGTTTACATTCTTTATAGACCTTAATAGACTTTAGAAATGCATTGACTTTTCATTGAGTTGTGGGTAGGCTTTAAGGTTGGTGCTTGCTTGCAAGCCTGAGATGGCTCCAGCTCTAATTCTGGATACTCTCTGGGGTGATTTCCCCCAGTATAGAGTTGGCTCTGTCCTGTGATGCTGCATAACCGAGGTTTAATAATAGGAAAGGCTTGAAACATCCAGACAACAGCAGTAGCAACAACATGATTACCATTTTTATGAATTAGAACCTGCAGTCCCCCATTTTAGCCAAATAGTCTGGTTGGTGATGTTCACTCATCCTAAATTTATTTCTAAATACATTTATAGAAAAATAAGTTTGAAAACTCCAACACAAATATTGAATAATTGTGCTTCTCTTTTCTATAAAAATGCATCAAGTTTAAAATCTTTCATGAAGTACTGCCTGCATGTACACCTTATCCTGAACAGCAGGTCTCATATCCTCAGGTGACATTCCCCAGTAGAAGTAGCTAGAGTCTCCCCTTAGCCTTGGGTTCTTCCTGACCTGGAGGAAGCAGCAAGGCCTCAGTTTACTTTTTGTGAATGTGAGGTTTAATACAGATCAATAGGCCCCCTTCTCGATCCACAAATCCTAAGTACAAATCCTAAGTATTTTCTCAGTGTTAAGAGACACGATGAAATTTAATCAAAGACTTACTTACATACTGCCCTTGGCTTCAAAAAGTCCACATTTCCCTAACCTAAAACTCAAAAAAACAACAGGAGTTAGGTTGAAAAGGGGTTTTATTACTGCTCATGAAGAAAAAAATAGACTTTGTAGGCATGTTACAAAAAAAGGTGATCATTTCTTCTCTTTTGTAGTTAACTATTGGGTTCTTGCAGCTCACTTGCTAGGCACGTGATTTTTAGGTTTATTTCCATGTGTTTAGATTTCTAGACTGTATGATGTTGTTGGTGACATTAGACATTTACAGCAAATTACTCCCTTTAAAAATAGATCTATCCCCCAATCCCTGTGACCTTAATTTATCCAATTCCTATTTGGCTTGCAATTTAAATACTCGAGGCATTTTAAATTGTGCTTAATTTGGACTTTTTATTCTACTTTTTAATGCAAGAACTTTTAGATACTGGAATACAAATAAATATTGTAGCCAAGTTGCTTTTAACCTCAACACAGCCTAGCCAGATTTGTTAAACAAGTGTTAGTTTTTGGAATTTAGAAATCATGCAGATACTATCACTCCCCTAAGTTGGCATCTAACCCAGCACTTAGGGTGTGACTTGTCTTTCCTAGCCAAGGCCAGGAGGACACTTAAAACTTTGACAATGTTTTCAATCTATGGCATATCACATTGCGGTTAGAAATGGCCTTAAAATGCCAGTGGTTAATTTTAAGTTTGGTATAATACCTCCCTGGCATGGTTGAAAGATGGTTACAAAGGGTTTGGTTGATTATGTCATGGTGTAACCACTTAAGAGCTATCAGAAGTAGTTTATAAGTTATGCTCCAAACAGAAGTCCTGTGAATGTATTGGTCTTGCCTCTGCTTCCACCTGAGGTCTTTACTCATTAAAATATCACATTTTTTTTTTCCACAAACTTTTATAGTTAGACTCCTGAGGCCACAAAAATGAGTAAGAGTAAGTCACAGTCGAGTCAGGGAGATATGCTTGAGGACAAATAAAACACAGTACAGGATGAGTGCTCCAGAGAGGGATGCACATGGGACTGAGGAGGCGGGGAAATGAACCCCGTAGATTGGAGGAGGAGAGGACCTCATGCTTGGAGTGACATTTCCATGGGAAAAGTCATGATATTTCATTAAGGAATGCCCAAAGAATTAGAAGTCTTCTAAGCAGAGTAGACACTCCAGGAAGAAGGAACATCATTGGGATAGGCAGAATAATGCCCCCCACCAAAGGTGTCCACTTTGGAACTTGGCAGATGTGATTGAGTTAAGGGTCTTGCCATGGGGAGGTTATTCAGGATTATACAGGTGGGCCCAATGCACTTCTGTGGTGTGGGAGTTCAACGTGGGTCTTAGTGGGCAAAAGTCAGAGACTCTGCAGGGCCTTGTTCCTTTGGGAAGCCCTAGGGGAGAATCTGTTTCTTTGCCTTTGCCACCTTCTAGAGGCCACCCCCATTCCTTGTTTTGTAGCCCCATCCGTCTTCAAAGCTCAGAGCGGCCAGTCCAATCTTTCTCTTGGGGCATCACTCTGACGCTGACTTCTGCTTCCCTCTTTCACGTGAAAGAACCTTTGTGATTACATTGGGCCCACCTGAATGATGGCTCGTTAAGACCTGTTTGAACTTCCGTGCCCCAGAACTGCAAAATAAATTTATGTTAAATCCCTCAGTCTGTGGAAATCTGTTACAGGAACCATGGAAAGCAAATACAGCCATATCCACTGAAAGGTTTGGTGCAATGGACTAATAGGCAAGGGCAGGAGGAGGGGAACAAAGTGGTCCTTTTACTGTGATGAGCTCAGTGTCATGTGAAGGAGTTTGGATTCTGTCCTATTATAGAGAAAATATGGGAAACCAGAACATGAAATGGAACAGACCGATGCCAGATTTACTTCCTAAAAACACAATGGATAACTAAACCCCAGGTTTCACAGGGCAGCTTGATAAAGGAAGTCCAACAAGAGGTGGTCAGTGGCCAGTAGAGGTCTGGAACCAGCATGCTGTAATTCAGGTCTCTGGATTCATCTGAAATGGCAGCATTTGTATGCATGTATGAAATTAATAGCTTAAAACTTTTACTCACAATAAGAAGGACATCATAAAGCAGAAGAGGCAAGTCACATTTCACTTTGTTTCTGCTCATTGTCCTCTAACAGTAATCAGCTGTTCTGCTGTCTGCGTACCATGCACACGTGAGCAAGGAGCTGTGAAAGCTAAAATTTAACATAATTAACTTGAGAATGATGAGATTTCACATGGGCCAACTCTGACCAGTTGGTAATAGCTGCTTGCAATGTCATGGGCTTGTACTGGTTCAGCTGGGAAAGTGCCACAATCAATCACCAATGTTTGCGATGGGCTCCATATTTGACGTTGGTGTTGGGGGATGTGGGAGTTGACAGCTATAATACTACATAAACTAACTTTTGGGTTTGAATATTAGAAATCTAGTAATTCTTTTCAAACATATTCATTTAGTCTCTCTTATGTACAAGGCCTCAATATCTACCTTGCAAAAATGTGTTGTCTCTTGGTTAAATTGACATCTCTGTGTCCAGAAAACCTAAACTGAAGGATTCTTCTATCTTAGTGTTGTAAGAGTGGCTTTGAATTGAAACTGAACTGCATGTAAGAAAAACAAATTTTTCAGACAATGTGGTAAAAGAAGGCCTGGGTTAGCAGTATCTGACACTGGAAACAACAGTAAGACTTGACTAAAATTTATCCTAATAAAACAAAACTTTATATTGTATAGCTAGCATCCATTTGTATGACTTGATAAGATTTTTACCCAAATGTTCTCATAGAATGATGCAAAAAAAATTGTTTTCTATTGTAAAGTACTAGGTCAGTGTAAACCATTCCCTCGCTCTTAAATCTTAATAGGGAAAAACCAGGTTGTGGTAGCCAGATATTTAGGAGTGAGAACCACCAGGACTCAGTGGTAGAGTTGTACTCTATCTGTGGGCAGGGAAGGAAAGATGGCATTTTAAACAACTCCCATGTAATTAATTGGATTATCTGTGTCAGGCTCTACAGAAGTGCAGAGGGCCCACCTGCTGTGGCCTTTGGAATACTGTGCCCTTAGCTATTCCCAATATTTTTTTTATTGCTCTTTCTCCGAGAGCTTGTACTCTGCTTTCCCTGGGTTCTAACCCGGGTCTCTTGTCTTGCTTGTGGCCCTCTGTGTTCTTTCCGGGTGACTTATTTTTCCTCATGACTGCATCAGTCACCCATGCACCAGTGTCCAGCCTTTCTCAAGCCCATATTCCATCCATTCATTAATTCATTCAACAGGTAGTGACAACCTGAGATTTTAATCTAATGAAGGGTCAAATGTGCAAAAAGATAATTATAGCGAAAATAGGAAGTTATGAGTAAAGGGTGGTGAGAAAAGGAGTGTCTGGGGCTACCTTGGGAGTCTTGGAGGGCTTTTGAACCAAGACCTCAAAGCTAGGGGTTTGCCAGATGTGCAAGGTAAGGAAGGGAACGTGGCTGGAGGTGGTGCCGTGGGGAACTACTGGGAGTTGAGGAAAGAGAACTTGCTGGGGTTGGGGAGATGGGAGGAGGAGGCTCCAGAGATGCAGTCAGGGAGGGGAATGGGAGGAGGGAGGGGGGAGGGGGAGGCTCCAGAGATGCAGTCAGGGAGGTGGATGGGAGTCAGACTGTGAAGAATCACCTAGGTCCTGCGTAGGACTTGAGTTTCACACTGTTGACACAACGAAGACATGGAATATGTTTTAGATCTTTCAGAGTCAGCTGACTCTAGTAATGACATGGTATGTGGATTGGAGGCAGGCAAGACTAGAGGCAGGTCGGCAAGGAAGGAGTCCAGTAGAGATGATGAGCACATAACCCAGGGGAAACCCAGGATGTGGCAGCCCAATATTGAGGAGTGAGAATCATTAGAACTCAGTGATTGATATGTTTCTCAGGGCAGGGAAGGAAAGGGGACATTTTAAACAATGTCTTTATAGTGAACCAGATTCTGTCTCAGGTACAGCAGAAATGTGGAAGGCCCACCTGTCTCGAGGATAGTGGGGTCTGAGCATCTCTCAGGGGTCTTCCTACCAAAGGCAAGACTTTGCAGCACCAGAGAGACTAACTTCCACTGCCTGTGCTTAACCAAAAGGGACTTCAGGCCAGGGAGGAGCTGCAAAGCCCCACACACAGCACCACATGCGAGGGAAGAAGTCGGAACCTTATCACAGGGCACAGACTTTGTAAGAGATACATAAAAGAAGAAATTAACTCCCTGATGGACCCTCAGCTTTTGGACTGAAGCATTGGGGACTTGCTAATGAGACTGAAAGAAAGTTGTTGTGGGTTGGGCTTTCCTAATTCTGGATTGAGACTGTAACTTACTTAGAGGCTGTGCTGAAATTGACTCTAGTCAACAGGAAAGAGGAAAACTTGCTGAACAGATACTGAAGTATAATCCCAACCCCTTCCTTCCACTGAGGATTTGAGTTTGCTGATGGTGTGAGGAAGATCGTAAGGGAAGGGTTTGCTCCTTGAGGAAATAAATGGGTTAGAATAAAGTGCTCCAGAATTGTCCACTTCTGGGACCCACCCAGTTCAGGTGCAGGCTGAGACTAATTCAAATCATTCTCATCGGTTTACGAAAGCAGTACCTCTTAACAAGATAGGATCCATCTGTTCTCGAGTCTCTACCTTTCATATGTGTGTGTATATAGATGAGGTCTCGCTCTGTTGCCCAGGCTGGAGTACAGTGGCATGATCATGGCTCACTGTAGCCTCAAACTCCTGGGCTCAGGTGATCCTCCTACCTCAACCTCTGGAGTAGCTGGGATTACAGGTGCATGCCACCATGCTCAGCTAATTAATTTTTTTGTAGACATGAAGTCTTGCTATGTTGCCCAGGCTGGTCTCAAACTCCTGGCCTCAAGCTATCTCCAGACTCTGCCTCCCAAAGTGCTGGGATTACAGACATGAGCCATTGCACCAGGCTGTATCTGTACCTTTCTGTTCCTTCTTGAAATTAGCAAGGGCTCTATATTTGTGGCAGTAATGACCACCCTGAGGAGACCATCCAACTCCTTTCTTCTCCAAAGGCCAGACGCCCCTGCAAGAAAGTAGGTAGATAAACAGCGACTGTGCTTAAAGATTCAAAACCCGTTTTCCCTGGTCCTAGGCAAGGAAAGGTATTTGAGTGAAGACTAAGTTAGTGTTTGGCTCCCAGCACCTCCTGTTAGGTCTTTACTGCCCAGGATGGCTGTGGATAGCATAAACTCTTGAGTAACCAGTGAGCGTTCTTGCTTCTCAGCTGCTGTTATGAAGTTCATCTTGAAAATTGCTGCTTACCGCTAAAGCTAGGCACTGGGCTTCACTGCCCCACCCCCGGCCAGGCCTGCAGTTCTGTCTAATGACTCCCTGCCATTTCTGCTGGCAGCCCTACGTTGGCGGGAAGGTGTTTTTTTGTTGTTGTTGTCGTTTTGTTTTTCTTCAAGGTTTGGACAATCCTAGATTACTTGGTCTTTGAGTCCAGCTCTGGTTAGAACTTCTCAAAGGTAACCTGTTTTTCTCCATTTCAAAACATTTTTGAGGACCTTGAAATTCATTTCCAGAAAACATCTGAGTATTAACCATCCTTTGCCTTAATGGAGGCTGGTCATTTCTCATTGTGCCTCTGTACCCAGGACGTGCAGTGGACTTCTGATGTCTTCTTGCCTTTGGAAGGCATCTCATCACTACCTCCAAGTTATGGCCGCCTCTCCTCCTTTCACTGGGTTGTTAGTTCTTGTGCCTAAGTAGTGGATCAAATGTTCCAAAGTCCTCTTTATCATTTCTCCTAAGATGCCCCAGAGGCCCTCATCTGGAATAGAATTTCTGAAGGAGTTCCCTGCTGTCCCAGAGCTCTCCAGACAGCCTTGCACAGCAGATCCACTGCATGATGCTTGCAAAAACCAATGCCACCTAGGTTTTTATTACTTGCGTGCCGTGTTTCTTTCTACCCTTATTTGTCTAGACTAAACCATTACTCCTGCTAGGAGAACTGTCTGGTCTCCTTTTATTCATCCTTCAGGTCTTGGCCAACCCCAGGGAACATTCTGTTACCTTCCCAGCTTGGCCTCCTCTGAATTTCTGTGGCATTTACCTAGTTTAGCCCATAATTGCATATTGCTTTGTATGCAGGTGTCACCAAGATTCTAAGCACCTTTGGGGTAAAGGCCTGGTCTTAAACTGTTTTTAATCCCCATAGTAATTGGTACTAAGTGGATAATAGTGGCCTCATAAGTACTTTCAGTTTATTTAATTGATATGACTGGCTCCTAATTGTGTTTATCACTTAGATAAAGGTGACTACCCAGCGGAGAGATGGGAGAGATCACCTGGAAAGTGTGCTCAGCCTAACAGGGCCCCTTTCCATCAAAGCTGAGAGAAAAGCAAAGTGGAAACCACTGAATCCCTATTTTCAGCTTTCTTCTGGTGATTTTGTTTAATTGCAACAATTTGCCGTGTTGTGACACTGAAAAACACTTAGGTGGAAGACTGATCTTAACCACTAAAGTCAGGAAGATTATTAAGATGGAATAAAATTCTGAAAAATATTGCTTTTATGAACAAAATTTTAAAATAATTAGCTACAATGTTATGAGGGTTGCTGAAGCTTTGGTGGGCACTCAGTGACCACCGTGTGCAGGTAACAGGAGCCCTGGACTGAGAGAAGATGTGAGCTCTGCAAGGGACTTTTCCTGCAGTGTTGGTGGCTTGGCCCCAGATTCTTACGCTGTTGTGTGGGCAGAATCACAGGCCTGTCCCAGCCTTAGAGTGGTGCTGAGGCTCTGATGAGATAACATCTGTGGGGGTGTTTTGTAAACCATAAATGCTAGGTGAATTGTAAGGGGAGTTAGTTATCATAGCACTCTTAAGAATTAAATCCAGTAGGGTTTGAATTACAGGATCTCTTCTGATCTGTTTTTCACCGAGATCCAGTTCTTAGTGAAAGAGCCTATAATGACACTTTATGTGGGAGATTCAGGGAAGTGTTCACGATGCAATTCCAGTTTGTGATAATGGGCTGGTAAAGAGGAAGGAGGAAATGCTATTTAACTACCCTCTCCAGTTATTGAGTGCATCTTTTCAAACAGATGAAATTTTATCCTGATGAAAGAGGAAACCCTAGGTGATCTAGTTCCTACGCTGTGAATTTGAATGGTCTTAATCAAACAACCACAGACACAGGAATGAGGGACTGTGCGACATTTTGAAATATAAATTAAGTAGGTGATTGCTTTTCACTTCAACAATAACAAGAGCATACATTTCTGGCATCTCCGCCTCGTCTTCTGTGTTACCCTGAGCCTCTGTTCACAGGCCTGTCTTTATCACCAGCCTCTCAAATTCCACTGTAAGCAAATGATGCATTTCTGAGGACTGACTTAAAGAAATTTTGGGTTATACTTAGTTCTGTGGTTAAAGAACAGACATTTTCCAGAACTGTCTAAGAAATGAATTTGTACCAAAGGCGAGCAGTAAGTTAGTAATAGGTCTATCTTAGAGGGCATATAAGTAGAATAAATTCACTCCGCAGATATTCAAGTGTTTGCTTTGAGCAAAGTGTGTTTCTGAACAGTGGGGATACATCAGTAAACAGCGGCAACGACAGGAGCCCAGCCCTCTAGGAGCTCCCATCCTAATGGGAGCGCAGTATGTAAACACGTAGTAGTTAATGCTGTAAAGACAAAGGCAGGGTCGAGGTAGGTAGAGCATGATGGGGTGGGCACGGTTTCACATAGGTGACCAGGAAGGGCCTCGCTGGTTGAAGGCCTGAGGGTTCCAAAGGAAATGTTCCAGGTATCCCAGAACTCATTTCAGATGGTGGGAATAGTAAGTTCAAGGATGCCGGGGTTTACCCATTTCAGGATTAGCAGAGCCCAGGGAGGCTGATGGGGATTGAGCGAGCGTAGTGAGGTTGGATATGGAGGCTGTGAATCTGTCAGAGGCCTACTGTCAGGCCATAGCAAGGCTGCCTCTGGCTTTTACACTGAATGACGAACTGCTGGAAAAATGTACATTATAATAATTTAAGAATCTTAGCGTTTTATATTCATTATATTTTGAGACATTCTCCATGCACAGATTGTTACTAATCATTAAATAATAATAAAAGTAATGAATGCATGGTGCTAAGCACAATCAACAATATTTGAATACCAACTCTTTTTTTTAATGGGACAATTATGTTAATGATAAAAATTACATTCCCAAATTGCCATAGTAGACTCAAGGCCTCTCTGAATTATCAAGTGAAATGAAGGTTTCAAGGCCCAAAGACACGGGCCTTGGTCAGACCCCCTGTGGAACAGCTCGGATTTACACAACCAGCAGTTCTTGGTCTGAAGAGGAAAGGTTGGGTCCGTGGCATGGCTACAGGCACTAAGTTCACCACCCACTCTTAGTCCAGGTAACAGGGTAAAAGTAGTGAGGCTCAGGCTTCACTCCAGCCTGCTCTGGTGGTGAAGTTGGAGGGAGAAACCTGCAGCTGTGCCCAAGAGGACCGGCCCGTCTTCCATATAGGAAGTCCTGGAGGAATCTGGGCTGATTCACATCTGCAGTGAGATGAGGGCATCTGGAGAGGGTATGAATGGGGGGCGTCCTAATACTTTCAGAGCTTGAATCCATTTACTCCCTCATTTTATTGTCCAGAATGTAAGGGACACACAAGAAGTTGTCTTGCCTATGGAGAACAAGTTCTCACAGGCTGCGTGGCGCACAAGCTGTGTCTGTGGCCATCTGCCAAGTCACAAATGGCTTGGCCATCACAGTGCTTTGCCCCAGTTGTATTTACTGCAATGGAATTTTTAGCAGTGCACCAAGAACTCTCTTGTTCTTTCCCTTTTCTCTTTACCCCTCACCGTTTCTTCCCTTTTCCAACCCCAGTCTTACTCCTGGTTGTCATGATCATACTATGATAGATTTGGAAAGGACCTAAGAGATGGGTCTGAAGCTCGGAGAGATCAACTGACTCCCAGGCGTCATCTCCTAGTAAATAAAAAATGGAGGAAAGGAGTAAGTATCCTCACTCCCAGCTTGTGGGTCTTAATCCTAAAATTCTAAACTCATCTGCTCTTCACACATCACCCCAGAATTTCTGTTCTTGACCTTAACCTCAGAGCCCAACCCATCTCTTATCCCAGGCACCTGATCCTATCCATTTGCTGTATTAAAATCTCAGCTCCACGGCTGCAGGAGACCTGCAGTGAATTCTTCACACTGGCTGTTGCTAAGAACACTCGATGTGTTTCTGTTAGAAGTTATTCTGTGTCTCAGTTGGGTACTATTAATACTATCCTTCAGGCTCATCGTGAGTTGAGTAGCTTTATTATGAGCTGTCCCACCACAAAATAATTAACCACCCTTTGTAAGATTGTATGTGAAATTACCCTCCCAGTTCCAGAAAAGGGAGTTTTGTTTGGCCAGTTGGGAAGCTGTGTGTGCACAATCAAATGTGAGGGAGAGGTAGGAATTGAGAAGGGCTCTTTCATTATCAAGGCCTTGCGGGTTTGCAAACGATCCAGAATTAGCAAGAAAATGTAAACTCACAATTATTTCAGGTCCTGAGTCATATTAGGAAAGCATATTAAGAAGATTGCCCTCTGATTTATAGACAATGTGCTCTGTGGGCTGCAGAGAGGGCAGGGTTTGCTTCCTCCATCCAGGCAGAGCGCGCACAGCCTGGACTTGTGGGCAGGCAGCCAGGGATCAGCACCTCCATAAAGCACCTCCCTGATACATGGCATCTTCTAGCCATTTTTCTAGCCAAAAAAGAGTTCTGACTCACTGATGTGTCCAGGCTTCCAGACATCCATCAGCTCCTGCCTGGTTTCACTCTGAATGTAGGAGCTTCACACTAAATACATCAGGAACTTCTTGGAAAATGGGCTTGAGATCAAATAAAAACAATTGAAAGCTGGCAGAAGTAGTGCCATCTACAGATTAGCAGGTGACATAAATTCACTGGACTAGAATGAAAATTCGAATCTCTACATGCATACTCCAAATGAGTAGGAAGAATGTTTTGAAAGGACATAATTTTTTAAAGGGGGGAGATGTTGGAACAATATTCTAATGAAAAGAAAGACAGCAGCTAGAGATGCTTCTGTACCAGCTTAGGTTGAATATAGACTCTAATAAGGACGGTGTCAAAGATCAAAGAAAAATGTGAATACAGCATTGTAACCCTCTGATGTGCATTGTGATCCGTTTTAGGGATTGGCCTGGCAGCATAAAGGCCCCTGCATCAGTGTGTCTGTCCCATTTCTATTCAGTTTCCAGATTTGGCTAATTCCTTGGATCATCAGATTTCTGGAGAAATGTCTCTCTGATCAATTAAGAATGACCCAATTAATACGATGAGCCATGGTGGTGCCACTGCACTCCAGCCTGGGTAACAGTGAGATGCTATCTTAATATATGAATGAATGAATAAGAATAAGAATTTGACATTATGTGCTCAAACATCAATAAACTCTTCTAAATGATATACCTGTGATTAGAATAGCCTGCACTGCATGTTTCAAGTGCTAGAACAATTTAATAATTGGCTTTATGGAACCAAGAAAACAATCCCAGGTCTGATCTGAGGTTATTATTAGCAGTCATGGTCTTTTTATTTTTTTTCTAAGCCACTAAATTAATTGCATGACCGTATGCAATACCATACCTTCTCTAGGCCTCCATTTTTTAGAGTAAAGAAAAACCTTTATGAAAATACATCCAAGTTTTTCCAAGTCTAATGTTCTAGTTCTGAGAAGAGATGTGTAGACCTGTTTTTATCTTGCTTGATAATTATATATCTATAGAGAACAACCTTTAATGTAATTTTTTCCCTCCTCCTTTATAAGGGTTTGTGGTTCTTTTTCTCTTTAAAAGACTGTAGTAAAGGTCCCTTGAGTATCTCCCTTCTGATGATCAGGCTTAACCAACATTTATGTTTAGTAGGATATCAACAGTATCTCATCTCCATATTAGAGTGATTTTTTAAAATAATGATTTGATGACCCTGGGCAATTTAAACAGTATATTTCTGAGAGCTTTATTTTGTATTATTTTTACTTTTAATCAGAAAAACATACCATGTGAACAAAGTGTGGAGATTCAAGAATAGTTTCTTAATATTATGCCCCATTAAAAATAAAGTTTTATGAAGATGGCATCTCTGGGCCTATAGTTTGTTTTTAAGTTTGAAAAACAGTGATTTAACCCAGATCAGTTTTTGAAAAAGTACGTGCCTTCTGTGTATCAAAAAAAAAATAACAGCATAAAATAAAATTCTGTAGAGGCCGAACATTAGTGTAGTTGGAGTAATAATGTGGTACCCCTCTCAGTTGTTCCATGGGCTTAAACAGCTCATCTGGTGGCTGTTCACAGCAATCCAGCAAGTCTGGGTGTATATTTAGTTCTACCCATTAAGTAGCTGGAAATTATCCTAACACTACACAATTAATAAGTGCGTATTGTACCAAGAATGCCATGAGGTCTCTCCTGAGTCTCACTTTCCTCCTAAGGGCCAACTACTTTAAAAAGACAGGCTCTAATTCTTCTCATGGTGTGCTGCTGTATAGCTCTTAATTTGTGAGTTTTTATATGTAAATGTCATGACTGTGGTTTGTCATCACAACACCCTCCATCAGCCAGGGGTACAGAGAGAGAAGATGGTGAAGCTAGGAGGAGCAGTGAGGAACCAGGCAGGAGCGACCGTGTACTCTGCCAGGTCACTGCTAGCAGACAGGCCCTCATCCAAGAGTGGCAGCAGAGTGCAGAGTGCTGCCCAAGGGAGTGGTTTGTTGAATTTCTTAATTTGTGTATTCTACTGACAGTGCCAGCCATTGGTTTTTAGTAAATGAGACACTTGCTTCCTAAGAGCTGTCTTTATAATCATAGGTGCCACTGGTCAGGAGGTCTTGTACTACTTCAACCTGCTATCAGATAGTCATTCTGTACATTCTAATTCCTGTACCTCTTTGCATCTGCCAACTTCTTTCCTTCCCCACTGCTTTTGGTTCAGGCCCCCGTTCATTTCCTTCCTGGATATTGTATAATACTAGTCTCCTAGCCAGGTCTACATCGCAGCCATATGAGGATCAAGCTGATCTTTGTAAACACAGAACTAGCCCTGTCACTTCTCCTTTTCAAAACCTGTGAGTGCCCCCATCCTTGGCGTTGCATACTATCCGGTCATTTTCTGGGCCAGCCTGCCTTTCCAACCTACTTCCCCCTCCTCTGTTCTTGCACACACCACCTGGCCATCAGTGCCTAATTACAGACATTTCCCCAGGTTCTCTGTAATCGTTTCTTTCAATATTCTATTCCTCTTTTGGGTCAGCTTCTCTCCCCTGGTCCACTTGGGTACTTCTTTAAAGAATCACTTCCAGAAAATTCTTCCTGGCTCATCCAAACTATTAATACTTCCATCTCTTGTCTGGTGCCCCAGTGGATCTTTGACACCCTGTGATGGGCAGCTGTCACACTGTCCTGTAACTGTCGATATATGTTCCTGTGTCCCCTGCCGGATTCTGACAAGAGGGGAGAGTCCTGTGTCCCCTTCCGGATTCTGACAAGAGGGGGAAGGCCTCAACCCCTGGCAGTGCACCCAGCGCAGGTCATTTCTCAGGTAATGCATATCAATTTGGATTGAACTGATCCCCTTTAGATGCTTCTAAAACTAACCTAAAAGCAATGCCCTTTCATACTTTCCTGTGATTATCACATTTGCCATCTGAATTAGGTATTACCTTTGTGTGATTAGAGGCATCAAGAATCTCTGTACAGAAATAGACTCTAGAACATGGACAAGAAAGGGCAAGAAAGGGCAGTATGAATCTCTGTAATAGGACTTTGGGCATTGAGATAGGACTTAACTGATTTATCACTTAAATGATTTGACTCTGGACTGCAGTAATTGCTAAAGGAACATTTTTTTTCCACAGATTTCTTGGCCCTTGACTTTAGATTCCCATATGCGTCTGTTTGTTTTCATGCTGCTAATAAAGACATACCTGAGACTGGGTAATTTATAAAGCAAAGAAGTCTAATTGATTCACAGTTCCACATGGCTGGGGAGGCCTCAGAATCATGGTGGAAGGCAAAGGAGAAGCAAAGGCATGTCTTACACGGCAGCAGGCAAGAAAAGAGCTTGTGCAGGAGAACTCCCATTTATAAAACCGTTAGATCTCGTGAGACTTACTACCACAAGAACAATATGGTGGAAACCACCCCCATGATTCAATTATCTCCACTTGGCCCCACCCTTGACACATGGGGTTTATTACAATTCAAGGTGAGATTTGGGTGGGAACACAGCCAAACCATATCACCATAGTTTATATTCAGAGATCACCCTAATTATCTAAAATTCAGTATAGTTGATGCTTGAACAACATGGGTTAGGGGCACCCACCCCCCCGCAATGCAGTGGGAAATCTGTGTATAATTTTTGACTCCCCAGAACTTAACTACTAATAGCCGGTTGTTGACCAGAAGCCTTTCTGATGACATGAACAGCTCATTAACACATATTTTGTATGCTATGTGTATTATATACCATTTTCCTACAATAAAGTAAGCTAGAGAAAAGACTGTTATTAAGAAAATCTTAAGAAGGAGAAAATATATTTGCCGTTCACTAAGGGGAAGTGGATCATCGTAAATGTCTTCAGCCTCGCCATCTTCAAGTTGAGTAGACTGAGGAGGAGGGGGAGGGGCTGGTCTTGCTGTCTCATAGGTGGTGGATGTGGAAGAGGGGGAAGGAGAGGCAGGCACACTCAGTGTAACTTCTGTTAAAAAAGAAAAAACCTGCATGTAAGTGGACTGAGTGGTTCAGACCCATGCTGTTCAAGAGACTCTATGCTGATCCTGAAAGGTGTTAGGTGGGATAGAATGAGCCAGTGAGAATTTTGTTCTCATTTTTTTTAATCGCAAAAGAAAATATTTTTAATTTTTGTTTAAAAAAGACGTGGATATTTTGAATTCATTATGATATATGGGAAAGGAAGTGGCAGAAACATATTCATAACTGAAATGGCTTGAGTTGACTACCAGTTTTGAAAAGTTAGTATTCATGTCTTAATGAGTATTTTAGTGCCACTTTCCAATTCATATGAAATGGGGCTTCCCTCTCCATGCTTCATGAGTATAACCCTGTGAAGAATGTGTTTTCATCCAGAAGGTAGCTTATGTGCCTGTGGCATCATTCCCACGCAAATTAAAATAGGGGTAACTCTCAGTAGGTGTTGCAACAAAATCCAGTTGTATCACTCTACAAATTATTCATCAGAGTAGTTGGGGCAATACCCAAATTGACTCTGCCAAGAAAAAACAATAATATTCATTTAGTACAAAACACCCCTTACACAAGAGGTCCTTTTCCTTCTAGCTCCAGAAATACATGGGCAACAGTCTTATTGATTATAGGTGGAAAAAGAAGAAATAGGACTGAACAAAGCATTTTATTAAACATTTTTAGATAAAATCCAATGGCTGGGAGGTAGGGAAGGGGTCAAAATAAAGAACATTTGATATTTGCTAAATATTTCTCTTTTGTTCTATTTATAGAAAATAAAGTAGTCTATCAAAGTTTTCCCAAAGATTATGAGGTTTAACAACTTGTCCATTGTAGCTTTTGTTAAGCCCTGGTTTTGAAAGCTGTGGTCTTTGTTCTTGTATTTTGAAGGACTGCATTTTAAGCTGCTGGATTATAGTACTTAGGGTTTACTCTTTGCTGGCTCAAATCCCTTTCACAATGTTAGATTGTTATTTTACTCTTTGCTGGCTCAAATGTCTTTCACAATGTTAGATTGTTATCAACTAAACTTTTTTTTTTTTTTTTTTTTGAGACAGCGTCTTGCTCTGTCGCCCAGGCTGGAGTGCAGTGATGCCATCTCGGCTCACTGTAACCTCCGCCTCCTGGGTTCAAGTGATTCTCCTGCCCCAGCCTCCTGAGTAGCTGGGACTACAGGAGCACACCACCACGCCCGGCTAATTTTTGTATTTTTAGTAGAGATGGGGTTTCACCATATTGGCCAGGCTGGTCTCGAACTCCTGACCTCGTGATCCGCCTGCGTCAGCCTCCCAAAGTGCTAGGATTACAGGCGTGAGCCACCATGTCCAGCTCAACTAAACTTTTCATGGTGCTGTCTGTAAGATCCTAATCCAACAAGCTGAAAAGGTACATTTGCAGAATATTTTGCCAGCGTCCAGAGTCACGTGATATCTTATGTTCTTCAGGCAACACATTGTAATTTGTTCTTAAATAATTGCCGTTGGATTCCATATAAGCATGGCTTCATACAGCAAGTGTGTAAACGTGATTATGGGTGCCTAGCAATAAGGAAATCCTACTGAACTATATGTGCAAGTTTTTGCTATCCAGGAGCTGTCCTTGTAATCGAGAAGGAATTTACTCAAAACAGAAAAGTGCAAGATCATACACCAGGGAGCAGTGTCAAGTTTGGTAGGTGCACATGCGATGGGGTGATGAGAAGGACTAGAAGTTTCTACCCTGTGAGCCATGGGACTCACAGAAAGGGAAAGGCAGAAGAGGGCCTGGATGCTGGATGGGCAGTCAACAAACATCATCTCTAGGTGGCACCCAAGCTGTTCGGTGCCCCTCCTTCCTACCCAACTCCAAGCCCATAGCACCTAGAGAACATATTGAAGTTATCTGTATGTCTTTCCACTACTAGACTGTGAGTGGACATGGTCTGTGGTTTATTGAGCTTTGTGGCACTTCCCATCCCCTAAATCCTGGCAGTGTGCCCGGCACATAATAAATACCTTTTGAAAAATCTGAAGTGAAAGAGTAAATTGAAAGTAAATTCTTACTAAAACTATTAATTCATTAGTGTTAATTCAGTGCTTACTTTGAATCAGTTTTCACAGAATTTTAGAGCAAAACGCTGTGATACAAACAACCTGTAAATGATGCGTTATGTCTTCTGTACCTTAGTGACTTTTCCAGATGGGAGAGGATGGGAATAAAAATGAGGAAGAGGGAAAACATTTTGCTAACTGAAATCCCTGCATAAAACGAAAGTCTCTGCTTCTGTATCTCGTAAGGTCTCTAACGGAACTAGATTCCATTTCAGAACAGTTGGCTGTGTTTCTAGCCCAAAGCACCTACTGACATTATTAAAATATAATAGCACAGCAGTATCCCCTTCTCTTTACTCTGCTAGCACAATGTGTTTGAACGTAGAAAGCCAAATGTGGAGAGCCTCTGTTTGAAAACAGCTCTTGAGATACACACTTTAAAATTCAGTTTGATTTTCCATTTGTGGCATTTTCTTTAACTGGGGGGAAAAGTTATATTTACCACCCATATTTATTAGAACCCATCTCCCAACCTGCCTTGTCTCTGATTCTCCCCTGTGGTATTTAGCCAGGCATCTGCTATGGCTCGGGCACCAGGGAGTCAATAATGAGTGACCCAGCCCCTGCCCTCAACATGCTCACCACAGAATACACCTAAGGGGGCAGCTCATGCATTCTCAGACTTGAGCCCCTGCAAAGGACCCAGTGCTGAAAGTCATTTATAATTATTTATAATTTATAATAACGTTTTAAGCAAAACTCAAGATCTGGCTTTTAGAAGACATAAAAATAGATTGGAGAAGCATCATTTCAATAAAGGATGCTTTATACATTGTGCTAATAATTCTTGTTTATCAAGGCAGCAGTACATAGGTGTTTGGTATACATTTGATTGTGAATCCTTATAATTGTCTTGTACTTGCCCAAGACACACAGCCAGCGAAGGTGGTTATGTCCAGAATCCTGGCCTGGTCTCTCTCAAACCTGAGGCCATGCTCTTCACAGCTATTCTGTATCGAATAGGTCAGCTTTCCAACCACAAAGGAAACCACAAGTTTAGCCAAGTAAAGAAAGACATTTGCAAAGTCATGGCAGGGTGTCTATCATGCCATTGCAGTCTGTGCTATCTCCCTTCGCCACAGGGTTTCAGCTGGTGGCGTAATGTGTTGGCTTCCTAGGGCAGGAAAGCACTCCAGTTTAGTGGGGTTTATGGAAATCTATGGCAAAACAAAACTCTTTTCTTTCCTACTGAAAAAAAATATGATCTGAAGCTAATTTATCATCACCAGGTACCCCTTCAGTGTTGTTGTAGGCAGAATTGAAATAATAACTTCTGCCTTTGAAGAAGGCATGGCTATAGAATTAGAATGAAATGGAGGATAGAGGACTAGGTGAAGGTTAGATCTTTGGACATAGAAGTGCCGCCAACCGTAATGTCTGGTGATGTTCCCCAGCCTGTGGGAGGCAGATGAGATTGAAACCAGGGTGTACATGAGTGACCTGGAGCCCGTAAGTAACAGTAACACAGAGCAGAGAGCGCTAGATGAGGTGGAGCTCAGAGGAGCATGGGAAGTTGAATGAGACAGTAAGGAGCATTCTGGAAGCTATAATGGGTAGTTAGGAGAATGCCAGAGTGATTCTGATGCAGTCCTTCCAAATGCCGGCAGAGCCCAAGCTGTGACCAGTGACGCAGACTGGAAGTCCCGTTTACTGGGAGAGAAGAGGTTAAGGAACACCCAGGTGAACAATTAGGTCCTCCACAATGAAGACAGGTAATGTGGAGGAAAGAGAGCTTGTCATGGTAAGTGAAAGCAGCCTGAATCCATTTTTGCGCTCTATGAAGCAATATATAAATTTAATATAAGAAATATTTGTTCCTATAAAATCTATATGTTTTGATAGCAAAAAACAAAATTATGATTTCTGTGAAAAATATAATTCACATCCGGAACATCTTATGGTTGTGTTTTGTTTAAAAAGTATGTAGGTTTGGCCGGGTGCGGTGGCTCACGCCTGTAATCCCAGCACTTTGAGAGGCCGAGGTGGGTGGATCACCTGAGGTCAGGAGTTCGAGACCAGCCTGGCCAACACGGTGAAACCTCATCTCTACTAAAAATACAAAAATTAGCCAGACATGTTGGTGGGTGCCTGTAATCCCAGCTACTTGGTAGGCTGAGGCAGGAGAATCACTTAAACCTAGGAGGTGAAGGTTGCAGTGAGCCAAGATCGCCCCACTGCACTCTAGCCTGGGCAACAGAGCAAGACTCCCTCTCAAAAAAAAAAAAAAAGTATGTTGATGTTTGTATTTTAGCTGCATTGCTAACCGTTTATAGTGTTTTGAATGGATGAATGCTAATGTTTATGTGTATATATTTTTGTTTTCTTAAAAACAGGTTCTTGCTCAAGTACCAACTCTATGGACCCAGGACAGGTTTGTCCCATGACCTGCTGTGAACAGTGTGTTGTCTGATAGAAGATTCGGTTGGCAAACCATCTCTCTATTGCCTTACAGAGCAAGCAAAGAAGATGGATCGATTGAAGAGCCATCTGACTGTGTGCTTTCTACCTTCTGTGCCCTTTTTAATCCTAGTATCCACTCTAGCCACCGCTAAGAGTGTGACTAACAGCACTTTAAATGGCACTAACGTGGTCTTGGGCTCTGTGCCCGTAATCATTGCCAGAACTGACCATATCATAGTCAAGGAAGGGAACAGTGCCTTGATTAACTGTAGTGTTTATGGCATCCCTGACCCACAGTTCAAGTGGTATAATTCCATTGGCAAGCTGCTGAAAGAAGAAGAGGATGAGAAGGAGAGAGGAGGAGGTAGGCTTTAAAGTTGTATCAAATGTCATAATAAAATATAAACAGGAGCTTTGGAGCCAGCACCCGTGATGTTAGTTCTTCTCATGCAAATGATTTAAAGATCTCATCTTGTCTTGTTTTTCTAAGGCAGGAGAGAATATATATCCTTAAGGATTCAAAGAAGCAATTAATTCATTTTTTTCCCTCATTGACACAGAAGACAAAGGACAAACACAGAAGTCTTTTTAAAGGCTTCTTGGAATTTTGTAATATAATACATCCAATACATTATAGAGACAAATGTAAAATGGATTTTCCTAAATAATATATTCAATTTTTAAGGGAGTTTTGTTTTCTTTCATGGAGATGGCTGGAATAAACAATATAGCCATTGTTTATCATTAAATGTCCATTTAATTCATTGGCCGTGGATTTAAAGACCACACTTCTGAAAGAAACCTCAGTGCAAGTCTCAGCCACTGGCTGGGATTCCTGGAGACCTGGCTGCAGTTTCTAGGCTGAGGCAGGGAGGGAGGGAGGATGCAATAACAAGGAAGGATGTGGGACAACAGGAGACTGCTTGGTTTTTAATAAATGCATTTCTGACCAAAAAGTGTGAGTCACCTCACTCCGGGAAAGACTAGCCAGAGAGAGGATTGGGTCTTCGGGAATCGGTGCATTTCTTGTTTTAGATGCGAGAAGTAATTGTCTGAAAACCCAATCCTGGTCAGATTGACCAGAAGGAGTTAATCTGCTTTCCTAGGCATTTACTGTGTGAAGTAGAGGGGTTGGGGTGGGGGAGTGAAAAGAACATTGTTCTAAAGTAGCAGCTTATTAGTTTCTTCCATTCACATTGCCCTCCTGTTCCACAATTCTTTAACCAATGAGCAATCCCCAAAAGAGTTTCTGCTCCAGGAAAACCTACATTTTAAATCTCTTTCCCTCATTTTATCTTAATTGCCCTGAAAAAAGAATAGAGGCTAATGCTGTATATCTCCTTAGGAGCTAAGTGAATGGAGTTTTCTTGCAGTTGCCTACTTCTGGTTCACAGCTGTGTTCCGAATGGTTGAGGCTGCTAGCCGTCTAATTGGCCAGGATGTGGGGTTTGCTGTAGTGCTGTCACTTACATTGCTTTTGGTTAGCCAGTCAAGGTTGTAGAGCATTATAAAGCTTCTTCCTTTAAGTCAAAATATTACATATTATGAATCGCGTTTAACCTAGGAGAGTCGAACTTTTACCCACCAAGAGGAATTGTGGGACCATAGCAAAGTTAAATTAGAACTCACATTGAAGACATTATAGTTCAAATACCCATTTACTGAAATTTGCCCAAAGTCCTGCTATTATTAAGTGGCTATGACTAGGCCTGTAATCCCAGCACTTTGGGAGGCCAAGGCAGGCAGATCACCTGAGATCCAGAGTTTGAGACCAGCCTGGCCAACATGGTAAAACCCCATCTCTACTAAAAATACAAAAATTAGCCGGACATGGTGGCACGTGCCTGTAATTCCAGCTACTCAGGAGGCCGAGGCAGAATAATCTCTTGAACCCAGGAGGCAGGCGTTGCAGTGAGCAGAGATCACGCCACTGCACTACAGCCTGGGCGACAGAGTGAGACTCTGTCTCAATTTTAAAAAGTGGCTATAACAAGAACCTTCACTACTGACAGTGGAAAGGTGAGGGAACACAACCCCTAGCCCACACTGGTTTTGGTTCCTACAGCCACTTCCTCCAGGACAAGTCAGAAGGCAGTGATGTCACACTTGTGAATGGAGGGCAATAGCCATGGTAACAAAGACACTGCAGGCCAGGTACCTTAGCAGGTCTTTCTGCAGGGCTGAGCTATCGCTAGGGAACCCACGGTGACTGAATCAAAGGGAAGAAAGACCCAAGACCTGGATCTCCCTTTTACATGGACCCTAAAGCAAAGGTTATCCCTGGGTATTAAAAAGCTGGGTTGGGGCACTGAACTCCTCAGTCCTAGAGAGGAAGAGAACTGTGGGAATAGCATAGCACTGGGGCCTGAATTTCAGTTCCAACATTTCGAGGATTATCCCAAAGTGTAGTATCTTACTGCGTCTGAGATACATATGTGGTATCTTAGCGAAAAGGTCCTTGTAACTGCTGACTCAGCGTTGGCAAGCTGACTCTGCACCGTCCCTCCTTCATCTGTGTATTGAGGGCATTGAACTAGTTGGTAGTTATATTTGGCTCCATTTTCTTTTGTTTGTGGGTGCTAAGATGGACTATAGTAGTAGCCTGTCAGTAGACCCCAAGCTAGTGGCCGCCAGTCAAAAGCCTTTGCCACAGAGAACTGCTCCATCAGAATTCAGCACTCTGGTTTGTAGCCAGCAGCCTTGCTGATAAATCAGTTAGCTATTTTAAATCTCTTTAAAACTTTCAAGTTTTAAAAAGAACTCGTGATACTAGTACTTGATGTTCCAGCTCAGCTTTTGTAATTACAATGCATGATGGTAATTTCAGAGCATAAGCAACATGGGATAATATACAAAGCAGTGTACCTAACAACCAAGCAATACACAGAAAACAACAGAAACGAGAGATTCTTGCTCAAAAAATATCAGAATCTGAGAGCTGGAATGGCCTATTGGTAAACCCACAGTCTTTAACTTTTCATTTTTGAAGGGGGAAATGTCCATATTATAATATGGACATAGATTTCCATTTTCAAACCAATAGGCTAGAAGTTTATATGGAGCGGTGTTTTTTGTGTTTTGTTTTTTGTTTTTTTTTTTAAATAAAGAGGTGATTGAATATAGTATGAAAAATACTAGGCCAAGCGCGTGGCTCATGCCTGTAATCCCAGCACTTTGGGAGGCCGAGGTGGGTGGATCATGAGGTCAGGAGATTGAGACCATCCTGGCCAACATGGTGAAACCCTGTCTCTGCTAAAAATACAAAAATTAGCTGGGCGTGGCGGTGCATATCTGTAATCCCAGCTACTCAGGAGGCTGAGGCAGGAGAATCGCTTGAACCTGGGAGGCAGAGGTTGCAGTGAGCTGAGATCGCGCCACTGCACTCGAGCCTGGTGACAGAACGAGACTCTGTCTGAAAAAAACAAAAAAAAGAAAAATGATACTAATATCCTAGAACCTTACCTAGGTACACTAAGACTACTGTTAGAACCAAACTAACAAAATTATAATTTTCATTAACAACTGCTGCCATTTACTAAGTCGCTGCACCAAGTGACATATATTATTTCTAATCCTTATAATAAGCCCTACAGTGAAGTGTTATTAATCCTCATGTATACAGATGAGAAACCAGGTGAAACCAGAGGGTATGACACAACCAGAGTGTGGCCAGCGGGTATTCATTCTCCCTCTGTGCCCCACCACATCATCCTTTAGGTCCTGTAGGTGAAAAATGTTGAAGAGCCTCTCACTCAGACTGAGTGAATATGAGAAGAACTAGATGGAAAAGGCATCCTCACTACCGATAGCAAGGTCAGACAGTGTTAGGATTTGTGCCGGAACATGTGTGTGTACATGGCATGCACATGCACAAAAAGGCGTTCAAAAATCATCGGTGAGTCACTCAAGGAGCACACTGCCATTCACTTTGTGATTAGCCTGGAAAGGAGCAATTTCATGTCTCGTTTCTGCTGAAAAGGTGAGAGAGCTGTTATTCATGCCAGCCCCTCCAGGCCCAGAGAGAATGGGGCTATTTCCTGTCATTGGCAGGAGCAGCAGCTGGTTTGCTTTGCTTGCCTGGTGCTGTCACTTCAATTCCACAGGATCAGGAGAGGCTAATGTGTGATCTCTATCTGGAAGACTTTTGTTTTTGTAGTTCAGCAAAGAACCTGTTTGAGGTAGTCCACACACCATAAAGCAGACAACATGAATAACCACAAATGGCCACGAAATATACTGTTTTCAGTTTTCCTTTTGCTAGAAGTGAGTAGAAATGTATAGTAGCCAGGAATTAAGTCCTAACTATTTCAGGCACTAATTATCCAATGTGTTTTCACTGTTGCTTCTTACTGTGACTTTAAACCATTTACATTAACATTAGCACCTCTCTGAGATAAGTAACGAGGATTTCAAGAAAGTCAGCTGGTTTCAGCCCTTGTAAACATGTCTAGGTTTGTTAGAGATTAAGTTTGAAATTCTTCCATTAAGTTAGGTTTTTTACTTTTCCTGTGGATTTGTTTTCTGTGCTCTTGTAGTGTCTGGTTGCCAAAAACAATTAAGCACTGAGTCTACAATTGTCACAACTGCTACTATAGTGCTATGGAATTCATTATTATAAATTTTGCCTCTAGTTTACTTTGCTTTATTGTTTTTATCCCTCTACTTTTGCAGGTTTCTTTGAATAGATTGTAATATGCCTTTTAACTAGTTCTGCAAGGGACCATGACAAGCTGTGTCAGCCAGTGATAAGACTGTAGTTATCACCTCCCTACTTAATATTTATATATCAATAGGTCGGTGTCCACAGCATTAGATGTAAATTATCCTTTACCTCTAAGATCAGTGTGAAGTGGTGTATTAACCTGTTATACTGAATTCTTGTTTAGTATATTAAATACTTGAGATTTAAAACACTCATCAAGGCCATGTGCAGTGGCTCATGGCTATAATCCCAGCACTTTGGGAGGCCAAGATGGGAGGGTCACTTGAGCCCAGGAATTCAAGATCAGCCTGGGCAACATAGTGAGACCCTGTCTCTATGGAAAAAAAAAAAGTTAGCAGGGCTTGGTGGCACATACCTGTAGTCCCTGCTACTGGGGAGGCTGAGGTGGGACGATTGCATGAGCCTGGGAGTTTGAGGCTGCAGTGAGCCTTGATCACAATACTGCTTTCCAGCCTGGGCAATAGCAAGATCCTATCTCAACAGCAAACAGAACATCAAATGGTAGCAAACACAATTTATGATTTGTGAACATATGTACATATTATTGGAAAATATGTAATTATGAATATATGATTGGAAATTGAGAAGAATAACCCTATATAGTCTTTAAGGAAGTTCTTTGACTTTTCTCAACCACAGTCTTCTTGTCTGTGAAATAGAGATAATCCTTTTTTACTACAAGTGGGATTGTGAGTCTTAAATGCTTAGCAGAGGTACCTGGAATATAGCAAGCTCTCAGTAAGTGGCACTGCTATTATTATTGTTAATATTATACTATATCCTCACAATAATAGGTTTCAATTGCTAAAAATCCCTGTTTCTTAATATAGTGTGTTTTGTAAAGAAAGAGTTTTCTGGGTAATTTAATATCCTCTCTCTCAATTTCTCAACCTTTCCAAAACTCAGCAAATGCAAAAGAAATTCCTATCCCTTAAATGTTATTTGAAATTTCAAAATAATGTTCTGACTGCTATGACAGTGAGTTTGGGATTCTCTTCTCATCAGAGGCCTCCTTTCCTGGTGCATCACTTCTGCATACAAAGGGTCCTTTGATATCTAATGTGCTTCTACCTTGGAAGAAAGCAGTGTATGTGGAAATTACAAAGTATTATGCACCAGATGAATTTTGCATTTGCCTAACCCCGTGGTTCTCAGCTGGGAACTGTTTTCTCCACAGAGGACACGTGGCCAAGTCTGGAGACATTTTTGGTTGTCATAACCAGTAGGGTCAGGCTGGTTGTGCTCCTGGCTTCAAGTGGGTAGAGGCCAGAGATGCTGCTAAACAGCCTACATTGCACAGGACAGACCCCTACAATAAATAATTATCGAGCCCCAAATGTCAGTAGTACCCGAGTTGAGAAACCCTGCTGTAACCCAAAGGAGCAACCCCTTGGCTAACTAAAGAATCGTTCCAAAGTAGATCCCATAGAAGCAGTTTAATTTACTAAGGTTAATTTTCTGAATTGAGCCATATCAAATGCCAACCTGGTAACCGCCATTTGTGTGTTTCTTCAGTGAGTTGTGCTCCACTTGGGATGTGAGCCCAGATAGCTTTAGTCTTAGCAGTGAAAAGACCCTTCCAGATCCATTTCAGATATGGATGACAGCTAAGATTCCCAAAATGGAAGTGATTAATGTGAACTAAGTGTAGGGTGCTGTTATTTTGGAGGACCACCTGTAGCTACTCTCTAGAAAAGACTATTATGAGCCCATGTATTATGATTCCATGTTCTATGGAATTACATGCTTGGCACTCCTTTAAAAATTAAGATTACCAGACCAAATTAGCTAGAGGAACAGATGTTTCCTTTTCCAGGAAATAAAAAGACAGTAGGTTATTTTCAGATATTAGTACCTTGAAGTAGAACAGAACTACAGATTCTGAACAGCAAAATCCTTCCATCCCCACCTTCCTGAGTTGAAAGCTTGGCTAAGCCCATATTATCCCAGGCCACCTTCGCTCTACATGATGTAAGAATTAGCTTGTTAGAGCTGCCCTAGTCCTCTCTGAAGAGGTCTCTTGGGAGGGTTGTGAGTGGGGTTGGGGAGGCACAAGAGCACTTGCAGCTTCTGGGATTCATAACCTGATGCTGCAGTGGCTTCAAGGAGCTCTCATCTTCTGCAGATGCCTTGTAACAGGTGCAGCCATGCAGTGCTAAATTTGCTTTCAATTATGTTTGGTAAAAAGGCATGAATCCTATCTCTTCAGTAGCCTGTATTTCACAAAATATGTGCCACATTTATAGATACAAACACATATGCACGCATTTTGTGCTTCTTCAAAGGGTGCCGATTCTACGCAATCCTCGTTTGAATAAATGTTGTATTTCATTTATTGTTTGCATAAACATTTACTGGAACTCTCACTATCTGAATATTTTTAAATTAGTTTCAAGAAACTAACATACTCGTTTTGGCAGATTTAATTCTTCTCCTGGAAAAGCATGGGTGTGTGAGGCTTAAGAGCCAAAGTGTCTAAACAGGATCGTTAATACAGTTTTAATCTGTTTATACCACTCATTGGGAATGTAGACAAACCATACGTCCATCACTGTTTACACACACGCATTCATAAAAAGATTGGAAATTTTAAAAGCTTAGCATTTGGGTATAATTTTTTTTTTTCAGTCAGCTTTCTCAAGTTGAAAATGTTAATTTTTAACGCTCAGTGATCCTAAGGTAAACCTGGAAAGATTTAAGGTTTCAGTAGAAGTGGTGTTTGGAGAAAAGCTGTGATTACAGTACCTGTGGAGGTTGTGCTCTCACTTTCCCTGTGATTCTTCAGTTCAGAATGCGTTGCTCATTGCTGCTCCTTGCTGTACAGCAGTAATTTGCTCAGAAGTTGTTTGTGTGAGCGTTAGTTCTGATGTTGTCATCTGTTGGTTTCACACTAAGTCACAGTCACCCCTGTACCATAGAATCTCTTGTATTTACAGGTTTAATTGTAACCATAGGATGCTATTGATCTGTTCTCTCATTGCCAGATGGGCTACCTGGCACTGTCCTATTGAGGAGACATTGGGCCATACCACGTGGGCATGCCACCATGGCGAGCACCGTGGTCCCAGGTCAGCTGCCTTCCCGGTGTGGAACCCACCACAGTTATGGCTTCTCCCAGAGAAAGTGAGCTGGAGAGGAAAGCTCTGAACTATGTCCCTGGGAAGAAACACTGTTCTTAAAAAGATTTTTTTTATTATTATTACGTTGTTTGGTTTACATCATTGCTGTTTTTCCAGTCAACCTAGGCTTGCCTGATTTGAAGAATTTCAAGAAGTCTAAGAGTGGATCATAGGCTACCTTCATTTTAAGTTGTGATCAAATCATCCTTCCAACAGTGTTACCAGCCTGACAACTACCTGCAGTGCATGGGAGTGTCCCTTACCCTACATTCTCAGCAATATTAAAAAAAAAAAAAAAAGAATTAATGAAAGGAGGCCGAGCTGGGCAGGAGTCGGCCATCCAGGCTGCGGTGAGTTGTGTGTGATAGAAGGGCCGTGAGCTACCGGGCCTGCCCCTTATACCTACCCAGCCAGGCAGCCGTCACTTTCCACTGCCAACAATGTCACTAGCGACTCCCCTTTATTCTGGCAACCTGAGAGTTGAAAAAGTTGTTTTAAAAATGACTGTGATCTCTATAATCATAATTTACATATTAGTGATTTTCTACACATAGACACCATTCACATTTCTTGTTTTTGCCAATGATCTGTTCATAGCCTTTTCCCATTTTTTCTTTTGGGTTTGTCTTGACTTGCTTGATTTAGAGCTGTTCATTATGTTTTAGAGTCATTAAGTATTTGTCAAACATTCTAGAATTTTCTCCTGGCCCGTCATTTGCTTTTAACTTTAATATGGTGTATTTTATATTGAAAAAAATTAATTTAGGGGAAATCTGATCCACTGGTGTTTTCCTTTACAGCTTCTGAGGTGTTTGAAATGCTTAAAAAGGACTTCCTATTTCCAGGTTATAAAAATATTTTATATCCTCCATTAATTTTATACTTCTAATTTTATGTTTAGATCTTCGGAGTAGTTGGAATTTATTTTTATGTATCACATAAAGTAGGAATTTGCCTTTATTTTCTTGCAAATGAACAGTCATCTATCCCAATAGTCTTCCCTGCCCCTCCCCCCACAATTTGAAATGCTGTGGTCTTCATCTTTAAACTTCTCACGCTTGGCTGCATCTGGTTCTGGACTTTCAGGTTTCCTCCACTGATTTAATCAGAGTTCACACAAGGCTTTATTGGGAAATGGAGCAAGACTTGAGGATGGGGTCTTAACTGGGCTAAATGTGTGAGGCTGGGACTTGGGGTGGGGAGGAAGAAGTCCTTGCAGGCAGAGAGGGAGCATGAGGGAAGGTCCTGTGGCCCCTCTAAGAAATACAGTAAGGCAAACCTGTCAGGGGAAAAGTCATGTAAATGAGGTCGTGAAGCAGGCGGGGCTCCAGGTCTCCTGCAGGATAGATATAAAGCTCTTGCATATTTGGGGGTCCTCCTGTAATCCAGCCCTGCCTTCCTCCATCTGAGCCCTTCTCGGTTTTCTAGTGGTCAGCTCCAGCGGCTCACAGTGTTCTCTCTTGTGCTCATGTGCTCCCTGTGACCTCAAAAGTTCTTTCTCTTTTACTCGCATTCCTCTCCCTACCTGTGCCAGCGGATCTGGCTTAGCAGTGGCCTCCTCTAGGAAGCCCTTGCTCTCTGTCCCCTTCAGTCCCTCCCAGATGCCATTATACTTAACCACATGATGCTGTGGTTGTGTCTCGGAGTCTGTTTTTCTCTTGGAACTGGATGTTTTATTGCAGTCAGGGGTCGTGTCTAACTCATCTTTGTATTCCCATCATCTAGCTTGGAGCCTGGTACACAGTTTGCTCAATGATATTTGTTGACTGAATTAGTGAGCAAGATAAAAAAAGATCACTGCCCTTCTACAAATGTCAGCTTTGTTGTGTGGCATAACCCATGCCCTGCAGTACAGCTCAGAAACAACATCTGGGAGATTTTCACATTTAACTCGTGTGCCTGGAGTTTCTTGGGGAAGACTGTGACAGGTCCCTGGCAATTTCTGGTCTCCAGGAGATGTGAGATGCAGCAGCCTTTGTCCTGCAGCGTGTGTGAGCATTTTAGCCTAAAGCCTCAGGTGTGCATCACTTTCCAGAACAGGAGCTGAGAGAGAGGGGATGGAGGAAGGGTATTTCAGGGTGGGGGGTGGGGGGTGGCGGGGCTACAGTCTGCTCAAGGGACAGGAAGTGTGTAACTGAGCCCAAGTGCAGGAAGAACGTGAGAGTCTTTTCTATTCAGAAGGTTATGGCGAGATGGCTGCCTATGTTGTTTCTTCCAAAATCATTGCATGTAGAACTGACCTGGCATCTGCTACTGACATTTTGGGTTTTATTTGTGCTGAAGCAATGCAGCTTCATGAACATTCAGTGCATAAGCTTGACATACCCACTCAGTTACAGTTTAAAATACATGGGGACTGCACTGTGTATCCCCACTTCGCGTGTAAAGCCCCGAAGATCTGTGATAGTCACCGTGGGTGTTTGTATAACTTTCTGGAAGCTGAAGTCGGGACCCTTCTAGAATGAGATGCAGGGCCAGGTATTTATAGACCGATGCGAATGGTAATGTGCAGCAGCAAGAACGTTTTCGAGATGTTCCTGTCTGGACAAGTGCCGTGTGGATGGAGATTCTTCTTGAGCATGAGCCCAAAGCTGATGCGGGAGGAGCCTCCAAACAGAATTTGCACCATCTTTAGTTTTCAGAGCTGTACGTGGCAGTAGAATGTGCAGAAATCTTTATTTTTCACTAATGGAAGGGCAGGCTGAGGCTGAGAGGAAATATTTGGAGTCTTGGTTCCCAGAACGAATTAATATACTGGCCTTTACAAAAAAGGGGGTGGGGGAATACAGACGTACACAACCTTGGAGGCTACGGGACCTTAGTTCTCTTCTATGATAGTCTTAGAACTGTGTTGGCTTCCAAAGACTTGGACTCGCTTTGTGGTCTGGTAATAGTATGTTTTAATCCAGGTCACATACTCATTTTATCATATCTCACCCAGAATTCTAAGTGACATTAACATTACCTTAACCCATAAAATAAAGATGATGATTGTTTCCAGAGGAATCTAGTAATGGACTGAAAACGAAAGAGACGTTTTGGTATCCTTGTCTTCCATTGGAAACAGGAAATTGCTGGCAGAGAGAGCTGTGATGATCTCATTTAACTAGATGGTTACAGCTCATGCTATAGGTAATAACCCACCTGCTTTAGGATTATAATATATGCACTCACATTTGTCATAGTTTATAGTTAATATAGTCACTTCACAGATATATGACTGGGCTTAAAACTTTCAGAACAAATAAAATTAAATATTGGATAAAGTATATGAAAACCATTAGTCTGTGGACCCAATGTGCTGGGCTAAGAATCTGAATATACTCCTAAGTAATAATTTATCTGTTAGACATCTCACAGATTTCCCCAAAATGAACCACACATATCACCTAATTAGACTGCATTTGATTCCAAGCTATGCCCCTTTTAACAATGTCACAAGAAATGTTTGAAGTGCCTGTAAGTAGTTGTCTAAATTGAACTGCTTGGTTGTAGATTAGAGAAATACATATCAATACACAATTAAAATCATATCTGAAAACTCAAAGTTCACGTTCAGAAACATTTTTAAATATTCAATAGAGGAAAGCATTGGGATGTTGTAACTAGTATTTTCACATTTTATTTTTCTATAACAATTAGAACATAATGATCACTAAAGTTGTAACTTAGGTTTGGGGAAAAAGCTGTTGGTATTACCATCAGATGCCTGTCTTGTTAGTGTTCTCCTCTTCTGTACCCAGGTTCAGACTACTTTATCCTTATATTTACAGATAACTGTTCCAAAAAGTGGTACGGATGGGGAGGAGGTAAACAAACTGATCCTAACCATTCTTCACACAAATAACCTCACCTTCTCACCCTCCTCCACTCTATTTTCTGCTATATTTTCCAACAAAAGGAAGGTAAATATGAGAAACTACAAGCATAGCCTGTAAGTCTCTAGAACCCAATGTCTTCTCTATGGAATAAGCTTTCAATCAGTTAGACTTTTGTTCTGTTTTTGTCCATGCCTGCTGTAGTCTACTTTTATAAGACATGCAAATTATAAGAAAATAAATTGACAAGGTAACTTTCCTGGCCTCAGGTCATTGTATATTTGAAAAAATCTGCAGCTGAAATATCAAAATTTATGTTCATGGGATGAAAGTATTAGAAGCCTTGCCCATGTCCCATCTGAATTAGCGAGAATTTCACAGACCGAGTAGGTTGGTTTGTTCATACACATTCACAAGAAGCTGAAAATTCACTAGATTTTCCAAGCCAGTGTTTTCTACTCTTGGAGGAAATACACTGGCTGAATTGTTAGAAAAGGGTTACTCAGGGACACCAGAAACTGCTCTTCACAGATGTTCTTTCAGAAGGCACAGTCATGTGACAGCATCCACCGAGAGGCTCCCGCCAGATTCCCCCTGGCCAGTGGGCAGGAGGAACTGTAGAACCCCGGGAGGTACCTCATTGACACGTCCCGCTTCCTTAAGAAAGTTCCTTGGAGCAGAGGACACTGCGGGAAAACAGGCCCTGTGTTGCCTTATTCCGTAGTCCATTGGAACCCTGTATTAACAACAAAAAACAACAAAAAAGAGTTGCTTTTGGGAAATACCAGGCTTTCTATTAGAATTAAAACTCACTACCATAAGGAGAGCAAACAAATAATATACAGTGCAATAATAGATACTTGAAACTGCGTTCAGTTGCCCCAGCTCTCAGGAGAGGTTTCTCTAGTCGGCTCGGGGAACTAGAATGTTTTTATGGAGAAATATTTGCCTGTTCCTTAGAACTCCCCAAAAGCCTAACTGGGATCTTCATTTGCTCTATGGGACAGTCCAGGGAGGTAGTAGGGTTTCAGAAGGGCTCAGACCTAACACCCTGAAGCCACGTCTAGTATCATGTTTCACAGGGGTCTTTGACCTGCAGGTAGATGGGCAGGCTAAATTCAAACCAAAGTGTTTCACTGAATTCAAAATATCATTCCTGAGGCGATGCTAGATCCTTTCCAGAGAGGGTGGTGGGGGTAAGAAAACTCGCATTTATTATCAGTATGTGTTCTCCTTCGTGTCAAGCTTATTTTCAACTTGATGGGTCTGTAATTTATTTGCAAGGCTAAAACAAATTGATATTAATTCATATCCAGCCTCTGAATACTCACATTGTTAGCTTGTAACTTTAAATAGTATAGATAATTCACTGTGGAGTCTCAAAATGAATGATACAAATTATGTTTTAATTAACTGAGATCATACAAGGATTACTTCAATCTTAAATTTGAGAAACTCAGGTAAACAATTTAATTGCATTAACCTCCCCAGTGAACATATATTCAATGGAGGCATGCTCACTGGCAGGTTAGAGAACCAGTTGCTTTTAAAGTTAAGGAACTCTTCAATAAGAGCACAGTGTTTTCCAGATTGTTTCTCTCATTTTTCACTAGGATGTGGAGTTAGACAATATGGTTTGGTAGTTAAGAGTGCAGCCTCTGGAACTCAAGTTCATCTTCAGTTCTACGGCTTCCAAGCCGGTGCCCTTGGGAGTGTTGTCTAACCTGACTGTGCCTCAGTTTCCTCATCCTGTAAAACGGAGGCAGTGTCAGGGGCCACCTTGCAGAGTTATTGTGAGGATTAAATGAGCTGATGCATGTCACTGCCTGCCGCATAGTAAGCATGTGAAGTCGACGTTCATAGACTTCATAGATGTTCTTCATAGATGTTCATAGATGTTCTTAGAAACGTATCAGTTTGTAGTCATGGGAGCTCTGTGTCCTTGGTTGAATTCTCTTCTCTCCCTTCCGACAGGAAAATGGCAAATGCACGACAGCGGCCTCCTGAACATCACCAAGGTATCCTTCTCAGACCGAGGTAAATACACGTGTGTGGCTTCTAACATCTACGGCACCGTGAACAACACGGTGACCTTGCGCGTCATCTTCACTTCTGGAGACATGGGTGTCTACTACATGGTCGTGTGCCTGGTGGCCTTCACCATCGTCATGGTCCTCAATATCACCCGCCTGTGCATGATGAGCAGCCATCTAAAGAAGACTGAGAAGGCCATCAATGAGTTCTTTAGGACCGAAGGTGCAGAGAAGCTGCAGAAGGCATTTGAGATCGCCAAGCGCATCCCCATCATCACCTCCGCCAAAACTCTAGAGCTTGCCAAAGTCACCCAGTTCAAAACCATGGAGTTCGCCCGCTACATCGAAGAGCTTGCCAGGAGCGTGCCTCTGCCGCCTCTCATTATGAACTGCAGGACTATCATGGAGGAGATTATGGAGGTGGTTGGGCTGGAGGAGCAGGGGCAGAATTTTGTGAGGCATACTCCAGAGGGCCAGGAGGCCGCAGACAGGGATGAGGTCTACACAATCCCCAACTCTCTGAAGCGGAGCGACTCCCCTGCCGCTGACTCGGACGCCTCATCGCTGCACGAGCAACCTCAGCAAATTGCCATCAAGGTGTCAGTTCACCCGCAGTCCAAAAAAGAGCATGCAGATGACCAAGAGGGTGGACAGTTTGAAGTCAAAGATGTAGAGGAGACAGAACTGTCGGCGGAACATTCCCCCGAAACTGCAGAACCTTCTACCGATGTCACGTCCACCGAGCTAACATCTGAAGAGCCAACACCTGTTGAGGTACCAGATAAGGTACTGCCGCCAGCTTACCTGGAAGCCACAGAGCCAGCAGTGACACATGACAAAAACACCTGCATTATTTACGAAAGCCATGTCTAATACCAACCCCGAAAAGCTATGCATATCAAGAAAATCAGGGGCTGCTCCTTGTAATACAGATGTAGTACGCACTTGCCGCTAAGCCTTACCAGGAGACTCTCATCCCTTAGGTAGGAGTGATGCCACTTTAAAAGGAGAAACACCTGCCTGCAGTGAATGGGACTGGAATTTCCCCAGTAGAGAAGGGTGCGAGAAACATCAGGGTGCAGAATTGATACCAGACAGAAGGTGTCTATGTGATAATGAGTTTCAGAGGCTGATCTCTGCCAAATACCTTAATTGGTGATGCCTTCTTGGCAAAGAGTACACCACTGTAAGATATTCTGAGTTCAAGAACCCTGTCCAGTGCCCCCTGCATTGCTTTTCCTTTTAAAAAGTATAGGTCTGCTACAATAGCAAATGCACGTACGTGGGTTTTTTGCAGTTTCTTCTCAGTTTTAATTTTGCTTTTCCTTTATAATGGGGTCATTGTTATTAATACTAATTGTTCTTTCTGGTTTAGTCCTCATTGCCACTTTTGTCCTTATGTTTCCCTAGAACACGTACCTCAGAGACTTTGGTATCAGTCACCAGTACCAGGGCTGATATCTACAAGTCACATTACATTTGTCATGTTCCAAAGTAGTTACGAGGCTTGTTATTTTTTTTTCATTCCCCAGGCCTATTTCCATAGATAGCTTTTTTTGTTTGTTTCCAACGAAGCTGCTGTTAAACGAAACTGAGAAAAACTTTGCCCCGGAATAGCACTTTAATAGTCAAAAATGTGTTTACCTGTCTGATTGAGTGAGCCTTTTGGTGAGCTCAGCTGAGATGTAGAGGGAGATTGTAAAAGGTTAAATATACCCACACCACCCATGAAAGTCACTGTTTAAGTTACATCATCCTCCAAATAAAGACTGATTCTTTACCTGGAAAATATATTGCTTCCAAAGACATCAGATTCAGTGGATTCCTGTAGGTTATAGAATATTGGCTTCCAAACAGGCTTGCAGGGACCATATGCTGTTGGATGACATATAACCAGGTCCACTTTTATGAACTGCATAGCTGACTTGGTTGTCCTTAAAGAGGAAAGCGAAAGGTTAGGGTAATAGCAAAGGGAACTGTGCCATCAGATTTTATGCCAAAACTGTTGAATAATTATGCAGTCCTGCAAGAAAGTGGTTATATGTGAGGTGCGTGATGTTATGGAAAGAAGACAAAATTAGTCATCCAAAGGCTTAATACCCACTGTGCCAATAACCAGCTGCCTGGCTTTGGACAAGTCTGGACCTCAGGTCCCTTATCTGTAGAAGGGGCAGATGACATGAGCTCTGAGCACTGTTGAAATGGTATCACTGTCACACAGAACCAAACCAATATTCACATCCTTGCTCCTTTTCACAATGACTTTAAAGATTTTTGCTTTCATCTCTTGGTCCACCTAACATTTTCATGCTTCATTACTTAAATAAGAATGTTGGTTTTGAGAAATAGCATTTTAAACAAATTGTGGATCTTCTCCTTCCAAAAAAACCATTAGGACCACATCTGCAATTAAGATTTAATATTGGTGAGAATGAGTGGTTTTATTTAATTTTCCCTTAAAAGCAAAGGAGACAGTAATCTTAATAAATTCATAGGGGCCGTGGCCACATCAGGTAATGGGGTTATGATGTCCAAGATTGCATGGATCACATTGGTGATGAGAGCAGACCCAGATGTTTAGTCCTCACTCTGTCACCATCTGAGGAGGTGACCTTGGACAACTCCCTTCCTCTCTCTGGGATTTAATCTTTTTCATCTGTAAAATATGCAGGTAGTACTCGAGGGTCTACAGGATCCCTTCTAGTTGAAACATTTATAGTTCACAGAAAGTTTGCAGTCTTCCAGGATAACCAACCCCCGTTGCATGAGACAAGCAAAAAATGGGTCCATGAAATTGGATACTTTTGCCATCCAAACTTTACAACAAACATTATCTGGCTCTGTAATTGAGAGCAGTGGGCTTGGTTTTAAACCTAGCCTTGATTAGTTTGTTTATAGATAACTGTTGTGGAAGGTGATAGAACTAGTCATGGAGTTTGATGAGACATCTCTTGAAAAGGACTGAACTGTTGACTTCTGGTTAGAAGTGCTTTGGGCAGTCACATAAAGAAATGAGCAGTGAGAAATCAGGAGAAATTATGACTCCTGTTGGGCTTTCTGGACTAGCATTGTATGTTTTTGGGTTGCAGAAAAGTTTTAACACCACCTCTTAGAATATAAAAATTTTCCAGTTGTCATGGAGGTCCACAGATTCATTACCATGGGTTTATATGCCCAAAGCAACAACAGAGGACTTAAGTTCATTTTGTGATACTGTATGGATGTTACCCCATCCTATTCAGTTGTCATTCCACCCAAACCCATGTGTAGGTTTCCACATGGAAAGGAGAAGGCATCCATTCCACCTAGACATTGAATAGTGATAATAAGCTAAAAGTGGGCAGATTTTCAGTGGAGCAAGAGCAGAAATATGCGGCCAAAGAATGTTTCCTGATTGGTTTTGCTGCTTTAGACTGCAGTGGGGAGAGCTTATGTAGATTTTCAAAACTTTCTCCCTCTTTAAGGCATCATAATGCTCTCGGTTTTGATAACAACTGACATAAAGGGAGGTTGACTTAAAATGGGAATTTCTCCTTCCAAAAATGCTACACTCTTCCTATCCATCCTACAGCTTCTTTATGAAATGAGAGGCCCTCCTGCTAGAATATGAAATGCAGAAGACCTCATGACTTTCAGCTGATTTTTCAAAGATAAAGTGAACTGTTCAGCTTCATAGAAATTCATGCGAGTGTGACTGAACGTGTGTGCATACACACTCGTGCACATTGGACTCATTTGGGCAGTTTTAAAAGCTTCACACTAAATCCAAAGCCTCGTCCTTTGGGTCGTATGTAGTCGTTTGTAAAATCAATTTCTGGCTTCTGAGTCATCCTGGTCATATCTCTAGCAATGTTTTTCTTGAAATTCTGAAAATGATTCACATATGTGTGTACATTTAATTCACTTAGATGATCTGTAAACTTGGATGGTATTTATTCTAAATGGGGAAAACAATTTTATATGGAAAAATCTATGTAATTTATAATGGTTTTGTTTTATATATTATATTTTCATATCTCTAGGGCACATCTATCCTCATCTTTTTGTATACCATACTTAGCAAAAAGAAATACTAATACTTGACTAAAATCTCTAGGAACCAAACGTGATACATGTGATATATAGCTTCTAGAAATCGCTCTAAAAATCTCTGAATGTCTCATCCATCCCAAGCATTATTGTGCTGTGTCATTATGTCCAGAATGATTTGTCTTGGATGCTTATGAGCATTTGTTTTTCACAACTAAGGTTGAAAGACCTGACATCTCACACAATGGGGTTCTGGAATTCCCCTTTCCTCCTTTATCTGTTTTTATTGTTTGTTTCATTTTTAATTGCACCAGTCTATGTTGTCGAAACTTTGTTTTGAAGGGCAAATGTGAGATAACAAGAAAGCAATGTGATGGAAAGACTGGATGAATTTACCTATGGCTATGTAAATTATTTTAATGGACTGATAAGATGTTTCAAGTCTCATGCTTGGATCTTTATTTATTGGTGATCTAGGATCTGCTCAGCTCTTTAGCACATGAAGAAAATCAGGTACAAAGGACATTTGCATGTTTGGAACAGCATGCTCTAAGCCCCGTGCAGCCAACACAAATTAACTTGACTGTAGAAACACCAATTCCAGCTGCTGGAAGAAATGGTTTAGAAAGGCAAACCAGATACCTTTTATTCTGCCCTAGGAAATACAGTGTTGATCAGTGCTAAAACTCTTCAGTGGCAGTCACTGTGGTTCTTTTAACTGGGGATTTCCTTTCAGTGTTTCATTTGGTACCAAAACAGAACATTTACCTTACATTTCAGATACTCTGTTTTCTCAGCATTGTTCAGATACTTTCCTTTACCGCTCTTCACGTACCCTTTTGGCATTGAGTAATTCTATAAATGTTTCTATCCTTGGTTTTTAAACCAAGTTATTCATACTCTTAAAATATCTACCAAATCTCATTGTATTTTCACATATTTTGAGCATCAAGATACTGGTCATTTTAAAAAATCCTTCAGTAAATAGCACAGTTTATTTTCCTAATGACATTTTTAGGGTTTCTTCATTGATCAACCAGGTTTGGGTTACACAAATCAATTGTGGGGGAAAAATCAAATAAAACAATTGCTTATTATATTTTCCAAAGGACTGAGCATTTATCTTTTATTCACGAAGATATCATATGAGGATGATAATGATCTTTAACAGATTTTTTAGAGATAGAATTTATAAAGAGGCTGATACTAAGAATACTACAATCAAAATTGAAGCTAGAGAATGTAAAAATAGAAAGTAAATAGTTCTAAGAATATTCTGGCATAAATTATTTTTATTTAGCCAATAAAATAGCCTCCAAATGTATATCTCAGACACCATAGAGCTGCTAACAATGAGAATCAAGGAAGATGCTTGCACTTAGATTTCGTTTGTTGTATTTCAGTAGTTCTGGATGTCCTTTGTTAAAATTGGAAAATGGAAAAATGTCTCGACAGAAATGTCAATCTGGTGATTCTGTGAACTGTAAAATGTTCACTTTTAAAAATAAAGTTGTAAACAAGTTACTCATATAAGTTGGTATTACAGTAGCAAAAACAGAAAACCATGTGATCCATCCTGTATTTTGATTGATGCTTTAATAAAGGGTTTGCACAGCTGTGTGGAATGTGTGTTGTGTCCCACCTGAAGGGTGTGTAACTGTGGCTTGACTCATTCTTTCCAGTGGTATAAAACCTGCATTCAGCTCTTACCCCTACCCTTTGCATCTGCAGCATTTCTTGGGAAAAGAGAAAAATGAAGTAATTTGTATGTAAAACCTGCATAATTTCATCCCACTACAGAAGCCTAACTCTGTCCTGACAAATCGTATAGCAATCGATTTTAATCTATATCAAGAAATAATTTTTAGCACATCATATTGAGCTTGCTTTAGGGAATCCAAGAAAGAAACTCACATCCCTAAAACATTCCACAGGGAGAAGGCATCAGTAGCAGAAATGCCACAAAGCACCTAGACAACACCAAATCCAAGAACATGCTAAGTAGGTTTATTTGACAATCAGTAAACAGCAAAAATGAACTTCCTCTTGGTTGAGATGATTTTGTGAAGTGTGCATAAGTGAACCAAGAAAGGAGACTACCAAATGGAAAGTGCAACAAAAGAAACTGGCAGCAAATCAGTATTGTAGTGCAGGACAGAACAAACAGGCAAACAAAATAGCTGAGTGAGTTATCCAATAAGCTGTGCTTGCAGCCATCCACAGGTTTGCTCAAGTAAAAAAGGATTTAAGCGAATTACATTGGCATAAATGGAAGAATTAACAGCGTGTCATCACAAATGAGAAAACAGGAAACTTTTGTCCTAACTGGGAAATTTTGGCTGATCCTATTTTCAAGACCAGAACAAACTGCTAATTTTTTTTTCAGGTTTTGGAATGCCGTGTTCTGCATGGGTCTAAAGGGGATATATCAGTCAGGCTTAACATTAACAAATGATTTTCAAAGAAGCGTATAGTCACAGAGTTGGAAAATATGTGTGAGGGTATCTGATTTATTTCAAGATTTGTATTATACAAATTTATTCTACGATATCCCTGGCAAGTAGTAGTTGAGCTCTGTCTGAAAATCTCTGAGAAATGGGGAGCTTATGATCTCATGCATGTTCTGTTGTTAGGTGTTAAGTGTTGAGTCAAAAATCCTAATAGTAGTACCCCACCAGTCCTTGTTGAGCCATCTGGAGCTGGAAGCATGAGTTAGTCCTGCCACAATAAAATCATCTTTACTGTCAAGACAAAACTAAAATTATATATAAAAGAGATGATTACAAAAAAAGATTGGGTGCACCTGATACTACTACATTAGCTATATGCCATGTGGTGAACACCCTTTTGAGTAAATGGTTTCTGTCAACAGGGATGTTAAAGACAGAATCAGTTATACCCCCCACCCCCTGAGATGCCGTAAAGCTACAGCTCCTTAAAGAGTTGTTCAGTAACCAGGGAAGAAAATGAGTGAACCAGCAGATTAATTGCCTTGGTTGATTAGTATGTTTTTGAAGGACCATTAGAATTGACTCCCTGAAAGAAGGATGGATAGATAGATAGATAGATAGATAGATAGATAGATAGATAGATAGATGATTGATAGATAGATGATACAGCTACAGATAAATACGTTTATGAAGTGGCATATTGAGGTATTTTAAAATAGCAATTGAATTATAGCCGGCACCAATTGCATTTACACTATTAGATAAAATAAGGACACAAGGGGAAAATAATTTTCCCAAGATATGAAGTAACAAATATTACGTAATCTTTAAAAATGAAGGTTGATACAGTAATATGAATTTTTCAAAAAACAAATTGCTCACTACCAATGTATTTTCTACCTCTGGCCCAGTTCATTGAAAAAGGTGAATTGTTTTGGTGAGCCCTTGCAACTAACTAAACGAAGTGGATTTTCTTGCAATTCATTTGTGTTTTAAAGTTCATTATGGAATAGGAATCCCAGTGAACCATGCAAAAAATCACCTGAGCATAGAAATCCAACAAAATTAGGGGACTTTTTGCTGTTCAGCATAAATGCTGCACAGCATCTATTTCCTGAAAGTTTTCATGATTTATATGAAGCTGATGTACATTGGAGAATGCTTAAGTGATCAGTGCCTCTGATTTAAGTCAGATTTACTACTGTGTCTGCTGGTGCTGTAGACTTCTGTTTAGACAGTTGGTGAGATGGATGAACAAAGTCCCAGAGCTTTAAGAGGATTCATAATTCTGCAAACCACGAAAGTTTTTACACAAAATGGAAATAAAAACGTGTGTCTGAAGAAGGTAAAGTAATCCTGTAACAGCTGCATAGATTCCCTCATAGTTAGCTGGTGTTTTCTGTTTTCTTCCCTGCTAGCATTACCTCAGCTGTCTGACCAGCAGACCAGCTACTTATGCGTGATGTAAAATGCTTGGTTATAGAATAGATTCCAAGAGAAAACTCATCTGCCATGTAGCAGGCCCTTTGTCAGTTTAATGCTGTGTGTGTCTGAAATTATTTGAAACCATACAAAAACTAGGACCTGGCATCAAATTTATGGAAGTGTTTTCATCTAATAAGAAATTTGATCTGTGATGATTGTTGAGAGAAAAAAGAAAAATTTAAATAATAAATCTGAAAGTGTCGAAGACCTCAGAAAATTTAATTGCATAGTCTACATTCTATTTATAGGGAAAAAATGACAGTAAGAGGAATCTGTGATTGTTAGATTGTTTAATGTGCAGAACAACTTTCTGTATCAATTCAGCCTAAATTGTTTTCACAATAATAGTTGAGATACACTAATGATATTTCTGAACCCCAACAGATCCTGAAAAAAAAATCCAAATTTAAAAATAAATATTTTAGTATCATGTTGACTATTTTATTACCTTCTCTCATTCCATAATGAATTTGAGGTGATTGGATTAAAATATATTCGACTTTCTTTGAATCCCTTGAAATTGGTAATTGCTGTGTTTCATACAAGCTCACAAACTCTCAGTAACCTATTAGTCAAACATTTTATTCCCAATCATTTTGAATCAATGAGAGATTTATAGTATGATTATAAAAGCAGAGCAGGTGGGTGATCTATAAATGTTTCTTTATCTGAAGCTTGAAGATTTCTGCTATCACATAAGGATAATATATTGTTATGCTATGCTCACAAATGGGTCTATGTGGTGGGGAAAAGATTGCAAGAACCCATAAAACATTTAACACATTTCCTCCAAGTTCTTACATATGGAATTGAATTTGGCTTTTTAAACCTTTTTCTTTATATTTTTTAAAAATACTTCAATATAAAAATCAATACAAATATAGAGTTACAAACCTTCTTCTTTTTTTTTTTTTTTTTTTTTGAAATGGAATCTTGCTTTGTCACCCAGGCTGGAGTGCCGTGGCACAATCTTGACTCACTGCAACCTCTGCCCACCAGGTTCAAGCGATTCTCCCACTTCAGCCTCCTAAGTAGCTGGGATCACAGGTGCCCGCCACATTAAACAACTACATTCACCAGCATAGAGAATTTCTAATATAGTCATGATTTTCTTGTGCATGAGAGATCTAAAAAGGATGGTTATGCTTTATGATACCTAATTTAGATTCAGTCCATTGCCCAAACATAAAACTGTCTCACTCCAACAGGTAGCAAAATGTGTGTACTCACTGTGGTGGGCTGAACCCTGACAACTGTCGTGAACATGTGTGTTTGCTTATCTGTTGCATGTATGAATTTTATCTTTCTAAATACTCCAAGCCTGGGACATAGAACACTTTTTTTTTTTTTTTTTTTTGAAACAGAGTCTCACTTGGCCACCCAAGCTGCAGTGCAGTGGCGCAATCTTGGCTCACTGCAACCTCCACCTTGCAGATTCAAGCAATTCTCCTGCCTCAGCCTCCCAAGTAGCTGGAATTACAGGCACCCGCCACTACGCCTGGCAAATTTTTGTATATTTTAGTAGAGACAGGGTTTCACCCTGTTGGCCAGGCTGGTCTCGATCTCCTGACCTCAGGTGATCCGCCCATCTCGGCCTTCCAAAGTGCTGGGATTACAGATGTGAGCCACCGTGCCTGGCCAGAACACATATTTTTAAATTAGACTTTTTATTTTGAGATAATTGTAGATTCGCATGTAAGAAACAGTACAGAGAAGTCCTGCGTATCCTCTACCCAGTTTCTCTCAGTGATAACATCTCTAGTATCATTACCAGGATATTGACATTATACAGTTTTCAACTCTGACTCAGAATTACCCAGTTTTACATGTACCTATTTGTGTGTGTGTGTGTGTTCTATTCAATTTTATCGCATTGTAGGTTGTGTATCCACCACAATCAAGATATAGAACGTTTCCGTCACCACAAAGATCCTTCATAGTTCCATATATAAACACACCTCCATCCCTCCCACCCCCAGAACACACTTTTTAAAAAAATCAGTAAACTCTGCTTAATTAGATAACTGAAGCATGTCTGAAACCAATTGTAGTGAGTGTGTTTTTCCATAAAAATATGTGCCAATTTATCAGTTTCTTGGTGTCTGATTTCCTGTCACTTTAAAATAACTTGTACAATCAAGACAGAGACCTGGTTTGTGAACTGGGGACATCCATACACTAGAAGTCCTAGAAAACCCTTGAGAAGCAGGGCCACCTGTTACAGCTACCCTCAGGCAGCTGTAGGTCACAGTGGGGGACTCCTGGACGTCCAGTTCACACCCTAAAGTACCCTTGCAGCCAACAGATGTAGAACTCAGAAGAAAGATATGGTTTGAACATGGCTTTTAAAGTCTCAAAGAGAAGTACTCCCTCCATTATCAAAATGTCTAGTACTCACCATTGCTCCAGAAGGCCACAGAGTGGTAGAAAATCACAGGTAAAGGCTCAGACAGCCCCTGTGATATTGGTGGTCTTATCCTTACATTCTTCTCCCTTGGCTAAGACAGGACTTAATATGAAAAGTCCAGCACCCAGGCCACAATGAGCTATCTCCCAATTCAGATGTTATATTAAGAAAGGCTTAAAGAACTTGGTAAAACGCCTAATGCCAATTACCATCCCAAGTAGTGAAGTTAAAACAACTGGCCACAGTGTTGAGGGAAAAGAACCTTGGCCCAAACTCCAAGGAGGCTGCAGGAGGTAGATCGCTGGAACAGGGTCACAATGACACTGGAAGGGTTCTCATTCAAAGCCACTGAAATGTCACCATGAAAGATTTATTTCTTCAGTAGAACATTGTTCTTCTTATGCAAACACCCTAGACTTGTAATCACCATTAGCCCCTGTCAGGAATTATTAACTCATAGTATGAGCTGATTTAATCCTATGACTCTACCTAAGAACCCACTGAAATCAGAGAGCCTAGGAGGACAGGGGTGTTGAAGAGGGTAAAGAAGAGGGATGTTGATCACTGCAGGACTTCTGGGAGGGCTGGCCTGGCTGGAGGACCTGCACAGACAGAAAGCATCAGAAAGGCAGACCTCTTGGAAGCACAGGACACGAGTTGCCTAAGAGAAGCATAAGAAAACTGAAAAATAACTTCTACTTCATCCTGCTCCCCAGGATCAGCCATGGCCGGATAGCAATGAATTTTTAAAATACAGCAAATAATCTGTCTGCTTAATGTAAATTAATCCTTACAATCACAGAAAGTTATCCTCATTAACCTAATTTCTAGTCAAGATATCCCTTCAGTCTGAATCTTGGTTGTCTCCTCAATGATGCAAACCTCAATCCTTAAAGCATTTTGGTCTAAGCTATCTGGTGTCCTGTTATAAAAATTGACTTGTTGCTGGGCGCGGTGGCTCATGCCTGTAATCCCAGCACTTTGAGAGACTGAGGCAGGAGATTACTTGAGGCCAGGAGTTCAAGACCAGCCTGGCCAACATGGTGAAGCCCCATCTCTACTAAAAATATAAAAATTAGCCGGAAATCACTTTAACCCAGGAGGCAGAGGTTGCAGTTGAGCTGAGATCGTGCCACTGTACTCCAGCCTGGACAACAGAGCGAGACTCCATCTCAAATTAAATAAATAAATAAAATAAAAATACAAAAATTAGCCAGGCATGGTGGTAGGTACCTGTAATCCCAGCTACATGGGAGGCTGAGGCAGGAGAATCACTTGAACCCAGGAGGTGGAGGTTGCAGTGAGCTGAGAGCCAAGATCATGCCACTGTACTCCAGCCTGGATGACAGAGCAAGATTCTGTCTCCAAAAAAAAAAAAAAATTAACTCGTCAAATCATTTCCAAGAAATTATTCCCTGGGATAGTGGAGGGCCGCTTGTCAGTTAAGTAGCAACATTAAAGCATTCTTCAAATGCTTATTTATTTTGAGAGTGATAAACTAGGATACTTTATTTCCATTAAGCTCAAAAATGTTCTTTATACTTGTAGCATCAATAACATTGCTATACTGCATTTTCCACTCAAAACTCAGGACTAAGCACAGAAATCTCTAGTCCACACTCCAACTATGATGTTTAATTTTATTCAGTAATACCTAACTTTTGTTCTATTTTCTCTGCACATGATGTATTTCAGTTTTGCAAAATTGTTTATACTTATTTATCAACAGCAGGATGTAACATTTCCCATCATTTTTTTGGTATCAAAGAGTATTTAGATAAAGCCAGGTAAACTGTTAAGTCTTCGGTTTACCGTCTATAACAATATTCACTCTCCTTCCTCCTTGTCTTACAGGTAGTTTAGCTCAAATAATAGACAGTTCCATATTCTAAAGAATGAAAAGGTGAAGTAATTTTCCCAAGTCCATAATACATTCTGCAGCTACTGGCTATGAGCTCACATCCCTATCTCCACAATGCTTCCCAGGGAACTTTAAGGATTGCTGGCTTTAGCAACTGTTAATAAAATGAAAACAATATGTCCTCCAGCTAACTAGGATTTGGGGGGACTGGATTAAATGTGTTTATTCATAAGGCCCAGTGAAATGTTAAAAGTACGTTTTGAAGAACTTCTTTGGACCGAAAACCATGCTTGTCCAGACCCCTTTTCCCGGGATGGTTGCTCTGGTCTGGATGTCTGTGTCCCCCCAATGCAATAAATAGGTGGGGCCTTTAGGAGCAGATTAGGGCATGGAGGTGAAGCCTTCATAAGTAGGATTAATTCCTTTATGAAAGAGATCCCTTTCGTTTGCCCTTTCTACCATGTGAGAACAAAACAAGAAGGTATCATCTATGACAAAACGGGCCCTCACTATGTCAGCCAGCACCTTGATCAGAAACTTACTGCTCACAGTTCCAAGCAATAAATTGCTCACCTTGATCTCAAGATTGAGAAGGGAGCAGATATAGATATTACTGGCATGGCTTAAGCTGGTCAGTCCAAGCCCAGTGTTCCAGCCCAAGCCTTGGAACTGTAAGCAATAAATTTCTGTTGTTTATAATCCACTCAGGCTGTGTTATTACAGCAGCCCAGAGAGACTAAGACAATGGTTTCTCTGGGTAGATTTCTTTTTTTGAGAATAGAATGTAACTTTTACCCCCATTTTCTTTTCTTTGCTACTTGGACCTAATATTTGAAAGGGCTGTTTAAAAGGCTTTTGTCCACTCTAGTCTTGTCATGGTGAGATGATTTTCTACAATTAGAAATCTACAGTGAATTCAAGAGAAATAAATTGTGACACCGAAATTACTTTCATGTCATTACATGTCATGGTCTCTCCAAGCACTTGATAGTCACCGGAGGGTCCAGCAGAATAAAACCACATCCTTTCTGCAGTGCAGATATTGGCAGGGACGGTAAATGCACCACGACTCCAGGTTAACACATTCACTGTCCAGGGTGCCCTCCTGTGTTCTAGGTTTCTTTTTCCTCAAAAGAAACAAAGCAAAATTCTAGTGGAAAACAGAATTGGAGAATCCAGTTTCTAGAGCCTGTTCTGCCTTCTCTGCAATCCTCATCAAGCTAGACTGCCTTCAATAGAAAAGTAACCGGCCGGGTGCGGTGGTTCATGCCTGTAATCCCAGCACTTTGGAAAGCTGAGACGGGCAGATCACCCGAGGTCAGGAGCTCGAGACCAGCCTGGCCAACATGGTGAAACCCTGTCTCTACTAAAAAGACGAAAATTAGCCAGGCGTGTTTTTGGGCACCTGTAATCCCAGCTACTCAGGAGCCTGAGGCGGAAGAATTACTTGAACCCGGGAGGCGGAGGTTGCAGTGAGCTGAGATCCCGCCATCGCACCCCAGCCTGGACAACAGAGCGAGACTTTATCTCAAAAAAAAAAAAAAAGAAAAGAAAAAAGAAAAAAAGAAAAGAAAAAATAGAAAAGTAACCCATAAGCAGCTGATGAGTTTAAATTTTCCTTTCCTAAATGAGAAGGTGTCTGTCTTCCCTGATTTGCTTTCAGGCCGCAAACAGGGCAGCACTGGTGAATCTCATTGCTGCAAGAAGAGGAAAATACAGCTCGTTAAGCGAGGGAATTATTTGAAGACTGAGACAGGAGTAGATATAGACATAACTAGCATGATATGCCAATTTAAACATGTATTGACTCCAAAATCTCGAGCCTGTGCATTTTGAGATCGATCACATTTCGTTTTACCCAGCCAGTGCCTGTGGATGTTCAGGAGCACCGTTCACACCGCTCATGGAAAGAAGGACTTCTGTAGCTTGCTGCCGCTTCATTTTTCCAAGAAATTACCATTACCTCCTACTTCCTCAGAGAAGTCCAGTTTCTCCTTGTCTTTTTTAATTCTCAGATAATAATTGCACATATTCATGGGGGTACCATAGTGATGTTTTAATACATATAATGTGCTGTGATCAGATCAAGGTAACTAGCATATCCATTGTCTCAAACATTTATCTTTTTTTTTGTTTGTTTTTTGGAGATGGAGTCTCACTCTTTTGCCCAGGCTGGAGTGCAGTGGTGCGATCTCGGATCACTGCAACCTCCGCCCTCCAGGTTCAAGCGATTCTCCTGCCTCAGCCTTCTGAGTAGCTGGGATTACAGGCACCCACCACCGCACCCCACTAATTTTTGTATTTTTAATAGAGACAGGGTTTCACCATGTTGGCCAGGCTGGTTTCAAACTCCTGACCTGAGGTGATCCACCCATCTCAGCCTCCCAAAGTGCTGGGATTACAGGCGTGAGCCACTGCGCCTGGCCATTTATCATTTCTTTGTGTTGGGAACATTCAATATCCCCCTTCCAGCTATTTGAAAATATGTAAAAATAATTGTTAACTTTAGTCATCCTATAATGGTATAGAACACTGGAACTTATTCCTCCTATTTAGCTGTAATTTAGTATCCTTTTATCAAATATATCCCTATCTCTCCCTTACCTCCTTCGTCTTCCCTCTCTTCCTCTTCCCAGCCTCTAGTCTCCTCTGTAGCACTTATTACTTCTATGAGATCAGCTCTTTTAGCTTCCACATGTGAGTGAGAACATGCACTGTTTACCGTTCTGTTCCTGGATTATTTCACTTAACATAACATGGATGGAACTGGAGAACTATATTCCTGGTCTTCATATGCCTCCCTGTCTTGGTCTTCTTATGGGGAAAGGCTGGACCAGATCCCTGGCTTTGTCCTCAGCCTCCAGGGGGTAATGAATTCCTTTGTTTTCCTTCTGTCTTAAAGTTAGCCAGATACTCACAGATAGGCCAGTGCTTAAATTTACACAGGCAATTGCTGATATCCTCCAGGAAATATTGGCTTTTACTGGTTCTCATATTTCTGCCACAGTTATCTCTGGTCACCTCCAGACATTCTTGGTCACCATATGCACCCCCTAACACACATAAAAAATGTCCAAACATCCGTTTTCAATGCTGTGAGTTAATGTTTCCACATGTTTTATAGGGGGCTTTGAAGGATAAGCCAGTGTATCTCCTTAATTCCACCTCTCTTTCCAAACTTCAAGGTGATCAGGCCTAATTTATCTCCACTCACCTGACTCCTTCTTATTGTCCGGATTGCTGGACCTCATAGCTCATTTTAACTTTCCCCTTTCTGAGCCTCCACTGACCTGCACCCCGCTGCTGTCACCACCATGAGAACACTGCCTTTGTTCACCCTTGTTCTTCAGGACAAGTAAACTCATCTCAGAGGCCTCAAGCTATTGGGCCCTGAACTGCTTCCCTATGTGACAGACTGCTTACACACCCATGTGCCCCCTTCCCACCACACCTGCACGTGTTCATGTGTGCACGTGCACACACTTCACACACTTTCAACCCAGCACTTCGCTGGCAGCCAGAGGCAGGTAAGGAGGAGAAAAAAGTGCTAACAGGTTTGTGATTCATTATGATTATTCTCGGAAACAGTCACTATGTCAAGAGGGCTGATCTTACAATGGCAGAACCACATCAGCCTATGACACACATGAAATCTCCCTATCCCGTCTCACGTCCTGCATGGCACAGCAAGTGGACAGAAACACCCTCTCAACCAAAGACAGTTCTTTGTCTTGGTTCTGACATTCCTCTCCTCTGCTTAAGTTTAATGACATTCTAGAGGCAGTAGTGAGGGTGGGATTCAGAGCCAGATTCAAAACTTATTTCTGCTAGGGGCCATCTGCCGCCACTCTGTCACACTCTCCTAAATGGCTGAACTCTATAATCGCTGCACCAGGAGTCTGAGAGGGGCCTTGGATCCCTGAGCTCCTGGCTGACCTGGCATCTGGCAGTGTGCGTGGCTCAGTGGCTGCTTTCTTATGTAACATCAGCCCCGCCCAACCTCGCTGTAAATCCTCTTTCCCAGCATTTGCAGGGTCACAAGAGTCTGGACTCTAGGTATTATTTAACTAAATGGTAGAAATCCTTTTGAACTCTCTGTGTAAATCACTTCTTTCTACTTACTTGCTGTGCTTCTCTGAGTGCCTCGTGGCCTCTTTATCACCACCTGTTGAAGGAAATGTTAGATCCAGATATGGATGGAAGGTAGGCTCAGTTGTTTTTTACTTTTATGAGAATATTGTGCAAATAAAATCTTCCTTGTTCTTACTAAATACTCAGGAATTTAATTTCACCAATTATGAAAGTGCTTACTTTGTAATCTGTTCTTAAACTGAATGGGAACAAATCCTATTGTGGTATGGAGTTACATTCTCTTCTTACCCGGTAAGCAATCAGTCTGTAGAAATGAATAGGACATATTTACCCTGATCAGTTTCTCTGATCTAATAACCCTGGGTCTATTTCTACTTCATACTGTGTATTAAATTTAAGACAAATAGCTGGAAAAATGTGTAAGGATAAGAAAATGTGGACAGTGATTCCAAATATTTCTCATAATTCCCCCATGCGCGCCTGTGGGCTGTGTTGTTTTTCTGCAGACCAGCTGATTAGGGATTCCCGAAGTTCCACAAGATCTTCTTTATGTTAATTGGTAACTAGGTAATTGCGTGTCTCATCAGGATTCCTACAAGTGAAGAGCAGTGCACTAATTCTGATGAGTAGAAAAGTTGGCCAGGAAAAAAATAGATGTTTGTTTTTATAAAAATATCCCTCATCTTGATATTGGTACATCCTGACTCATCAGAAAGTGATGCTTCTCAACGAAGCAAAGCAATCATTCTTTTGTAAAGTTCAAGTAATAATCTTCAGATGAAAACCAAAAAATGCTTATAAATTTGGTGAATAATCCTGAAGCACTTATGTTATTAAAAGTGTCTTTCTGATTAAGACTATCTCTGAAACAGAAAACTAAGATATCCTATTTTGTATCTGACATAACTCTAAATTCATCACTCCTTAAAGAAGTCTTCCTCATGACTGATCAGCTGAATCAAATAATTTTCCTTTTTTCTTTATTACATTTTAATTAATCAGCTGATAAGGTTTGGACACCCAGAAGAAGCAGAAAGCCAGTCACTTTGCAGTAATTCAATTTTCTTTATTGGGGTTGCAATGGTCAAGGAAATAACATGCTCCAAAGATAACACAAAAGTGAACAAAAATGGTTCCTGTCCTGAAGAACTTCACCTTTTTGGAGACTGCATCAGATATGCAGTGAATAACTATTATAAATAGAAGAAAGTAGTAAATACCAGTAATAAATGCCTTCATTGATAAAGAGATAAAATCTTAGTGAAATTCAAGGGAGGGCATAGCATACTTCTGACTTGGAGGAATCAGGAGAACCTTGTGAAGAAAAAGATAATTTCAGATAATCTGTGAATGGTAGATAAGATTTGAACAGATAAATGTAAGGAAGAAAGACTTTCCAAGAAAGAGACTCAATGTCAAATAAGAGGGCATGGTCATAAGGGCAAGGCTGCACTTGACTGGACTCTGGAATATGATGCAGGTGGCATGAGGAAGAAGGTGGGCATCATCAGCTGCAGCTGACTCAGGGACCTTGAATGACCATGTGCAAGCTCTGGCCCTACCACTCGGACAGTGTGGACTCACTAAGAAGTGAGTGGGCCTGGCAAACCCCAGCTTTAGAACGATGAATGGAGAAAAAGTGGAGGCAAGAGGGCACTTCAGGAGGCTGCTGATGAGGTCTGACCTAGGTTAGTGGCAGTGAGGGTGGTTCACAAGGAAGGATTGTAAGAGACATTTCTAAGATGGCATCATCAGGGACCCTGCAACAGATGGTTTCCGGCACAAGAGAGAGGGAGGAGCCAGCCAGGTACAGTGGCTCATGCCTGTAATCCCAGCACTTTGGGAGAACGAAGTGGGTGGATCACAAGGTCAGGAGTTCGAGACCAGCCTGACCAGCATGGTGAAACCCCGTTTCTACTAAAAATACAAGAATTAGCTGGTCGTGGTGGCACGCACCTGTAATCCCAGCTACTCAGGAGGCGGAGGCAGGAGAATCACTTGAACCCAGGAGGCAGAGGTTGCAGTGAGCCAAGATCACGCCATTGCACTCCAGCCTGGGCGAAAGAGCAAGACTCCATCTCAAAAAAAAAAAAAAAAAGAGAGAGGGAGGAGCCAAAAATATATCAGAGATTTTAAGTGTGGATGACTAAGAGAATGATAGCACCAATAGCAGAAATAGGGAGGAGAACATAAAGGAAAGAGAATGTTTGGAACAATTATAAGTTATTCCTGTGATTTTAAAAAATCCATTTTAGCTACTTAAGAGTGACGTAGATGTATATATAAACATGGGATTTGACAGAAATATTTTCTTTCTCCCAGTACGTTTGGGATTATTAAATATCTTCTTGTCCTAGGATTTCCTCACATGGCAGGACTTTCAAAGCCTGCTGAAATAGAAAAATATGCAATGGCATTTTGTATAGTGAAAATACAATACAAAAACACTGAGTTTTCTAGCACTTAAAAATAGACTCAATAATTAGTCTTCTGTTGGAAATGGAGGCTCAACATCTTGATAACTTGACATAGTAATTACTAGAAAGTCTCATTGTTGTTCAGAAGTCCCCAAACCAGTGAAGAGAGGGGAATTAGAAAGACAGGTGGAGCAAACAAGGAGAAATGAAATGGTTTAGGATGCTTTGAGCTTAGCTGCCAGTAGGAGAAAACCCAACTCAAATGACTTAAACAATATTAGGATTTTTTTTCCTTCAATCTCACGTAACAAGAACTCTGGAGGTAAAGAGGTTTCCAGATTGGTGAACTTATCAGCACAATTAAGTACCAAGGTTTCCTCCAGCCTTCACAGTCTCATTTTCTCCTTGGTCTTTCAACTATGTTCCCCCATGGTGTCTAGATGGTAAAAGCACCTACAGGTGTTGTCTGATCACACCTGCCATTTGGAAATGAAAACAGAAAAGGACTATTTTTGCTTCTACTTGTTTGTTTGTCTCATTTTGTTTTAAGGAAGGGAAATTTTTCTCATAAATGTGCTAGGCAGACTTCCCCTCCCATCTCATTGATAAGCACTGAGTGAAATGCTCATCCCTAAGTCAGTCAATGGCTTACACCAATCATAGTAAATACCCTGTGGTTAGCGCCAATCTTCCCTGAAATCAATAGCAACTAAAAGGGGCAGGCTAAGTGCTCTGGCTCACTCCTGTAATCCCAGCACTTTGGGAGGCAGGTAGATCTCTTGAGGCCAGGAGTTTGAGACCAGCTGGGGCAACATAGCAAGACCCCCATCTCTACAGAAAACGCAAAATTTAGCTGGGCATGGTGGCATGTGCCTGTAGTCCCAGCTACTTGGCAGCTGAAATGGGAGGATCGCTTGAGCCCAGGAGGTCGAGGCTGTAGGGAGCCAAGACACAGAACAAGACTCTGTCAAAAAAAAAAAAAAAAAAGAGGGGCCAGGCACAGTGGCTCACACCTGCAATCCCAGCACTTTGGGAGGCTGAGGTGGGTGGATCACGAGGTCAAGAGATCCAGACCATCCTGGCTAACACGGTGAAACCCCATCTCTACTAAAAATACAAAAAAAAAAAAAATTAGCCGGGCATGGTGACAGGCGCCTGTTGTCCCAGCTACTTGGGAGGCTGAGGCAGGATAATAACGTGAACCCGGGAGGCGGAGCTTGCAGTGAGCCAAGATCGCACCACTGCACTCCAGGCTGGGCAACAGAGCGAGACTCCTTCTCAAATAAAAAAAAAAAAGAGGTTATATGAGGGGCTACATGAGGAAGGGGGACAGGAGGGATGAATGGCATTTGAGGAGCAACCAGTGATATTTCTACAATCCCAACAGTAGGCAAGAAAGAGAGAAAAAGAGCGTGAGCACAGGAGTGCACCAAAAGAGAAAATAATCACCTTGAGAGTGAATTTAGTGGTGCATTTTTTTTAACATTTCATATCAATGAATTCGGAAATTGAGAACAATCTGCTCTTATTTTCTGTCACTGTTTCAAGGGACTTTCGTAGCTATAGAAACGAGGACTGATTGGCACAAAGTTCCTGGGCTCTCCAGCCACAGTCGTCATTTGGAAGGGAATTCTAAGTCACCAGAGAGCTAACACTTATTCTTGGGAGAATGTAAGAGCAAATCCTCCTTACGCTGCCAAACTGGCACAGGATACTGCAGCCACTCTGCAAATGAACAGTGCACAATAAACAGGCCGAGAGAGAAAGCTTAAAGTTCTAAAAGCCCTCTTGAGGGAAGTGAGAAGGCAGTTCCTGGGAACAGTGAACAAATGCCGTCAGAAGGTGGAATCATTGATTTCAATCATGAATGACTAATGATCGTGATGGTGTGGTTTAGAACAGAAATGCAGCTTCTACAGCCTGAAGAACTACCAGCCTTCTCTCCTGTGATGTTCCATTTATACTTGCTTAATAAAAGCATCCCAATAAATTAGACCATCTCACGTTTGTTTAAATTTGTACATTTCTCATTCATGAAGTATCTACCCATGAATCCAGTTTTCATTTTCATTTGCCATGCCTCTAAGACTTTTTTTACTCAACTAAGGATGGCTGATACATGTATAAGGTTTGGGTAAGATAAATACTATGTATGCAGCTGAGCTGTTGGTATCTTCATGTCAAAGCGCCCAGTGACTTTTGGCATGCCTGTTTGATTGATTCACGCATTTGCTGTCACTAGGTAATACGAAAGCTTTGAAAAATTCTTGCTAAAGTATCCAAATCCAACTGAATGACTACCTGTCCTTGACCAGCAAGTTAATAGACCACCCTTTCCTGGATTCCCAACTCACTGGGCCATATACAAGCACTACCACAGCCAGGCAGTCAAGGACACCTTGGTCTATTTGTTGGCTATACCATTCTCCACTCTCTTCTATTCATGTTCTTGCAAATCAATAGGAATTATTTATTGGTATACCAAAATCAAAATATCCTACTATGGCAAATAATAATGGTGGTGATGATGAGGATGATTAAAATGATCATTCATTCAACAAATGTTATTGATCACCTTCTAATTTATATATGAGGTACTATTCTGGTTTCTGGAGATGCAGGAAGGAACAAAGCAAAGTCCCTACCCTTACGGAGCTTATGATCCAGTCAGCACTGCCAGTAAACACATAACCAATTGAGTAAGATAACTCTAGAAAGAAATAAGTAATGTGAATAAAATAAATCAGTACAGTGGTGTATAAAGTTACTATATACATAAAATGTTGTGTGTGTCTCTTTCCCCTCCATACATACACACACAACACACATACACTTGTTTAGAAATTATTACTAAAATTTATATTACAGACACACTTGCATCCATTCAGAAACCTTCTCTTCATTGGCCGCAGTTCAAGATTATTTTACAACAATAACAAGTTGCATCAGAACAAGGGCATCAAATCTAACAATTCTTTAATTCATTCAACAAATATTGACTAAGGGCCTGCAACATACCAGGCTGGCTCTGTTCTGGGCACTGGAGATATGGCCTCTAACAAAAGAAAATTCCTTTCCCCATGTAGCTAAAATTCTAGGGGGAGAAAACAGGCAATAAGGAAATACACAAGTCTGTAGTATATTGGATGGTAGTAAGCGCTAAGGTGAAAAATAGTGCAGGGTAAAGAGAAAAGGAAGTATGGCAGGTGGGGCCAAGTCTCTGTTTCATATGTAGGGGTCTTTGTATGAAGGCCTCAATAAGAACAAGTGTAAAATCCCTAGAGGGACAGTGCTTGGGTTTCTCTAGGAACAGCAAGGATCCAGTATAGTTGGTGAGTTGGGAGTCAAAGGAGCGAAGGCAGGGGAGTCGAGGCAGCGCTTGCAGGATCTCATCAGCAATATTAAGAACTGTGGCTCTAATTTGAGATGGGAAGCCTCTGGAGGATTTTGAGCATGTGAATACATGATCTAGGAAATATGCGAGATGGGAAACTTAAGTACTACCTTAAAGTCCAAGGATTAAACTGAAATTGCAGGGGGTAACAACCCTAAAGAATTGCCTTCATTCAGCTGGCCCCAGTAGGGGGTAGCACCTCCTTCTTGGAGCCTAGATGCTTTGTACCACAGCATCTTCAGCCTGTGTTCTCTGCAGAGTCTGACCAAGAGTAGTTTACTCTACCCATTTTCACACTTTGGCAATGCACCCTGGGGCGGATATTCTTTCAGGCAGCTCAGGCTCTAAACTCCTCTACTGTCTTTGAGGAATCTCCCACCCCATGAGACAGAGCCTGCCTCTCACTCTAGAAGCTGAAAAAGCTTAATACTCTACGAGCTTCCCTTGTAACAAACATATGGCTCCACAAATAAGATGATAACCTCCTTAGAGATCGAATAGGAGAGCAGGGGCCATGCAGCATCCATCCTTTTGAGGGGGGTCAGTGGTAGCACTCCAGTGCTCCAGGGCCAGCAGTGACAGAGACTCTGCCATCCATGCTGGCATATGTGATGATGGCGGTACAAGTTGCAGGTTGTATATGCAGCCACTGAGTCTGTGTGTTGTTCTGGTTATCTATTGCTGCACAACAAACCTTCCTTATACTCACAGATTCTGTGGGACAGGAATTTGGACAAAACACAGTAAGGATGACTTGTTTCATAATAGCTGGCTCCTTGGATGAAATTCTAAAATGTCTAGAGGTGACTCTAATGTCTGGGTATTAGAGTCATCTGGAGACTTCATATGTCTGGGGCTGGGCTGGGATGACTCAAACAACGAGAAACTCACTGAACATTTCTTTCTATCTGTAATCACAGGCCTTCTCCTTATTGTCTCTGTGCAAAACTGGGGGGAAGCTGGACCTTGTACGTGGTGACTCAGAGCTCTGAGAGCAAGTGACCTAGCCTGGAAGTCACATAGCATCATATCTGCTATAATCTATTTTTCAAAACTGTCACAATGCCTATCAAAATACCAATGACATTCTTTACAGAAATAGGAAAAACAATCCTAAAATCTCTGTGGAATTACAAAAGATAGAGCCAAGAAATCCTGAGGGAAAAGAACAAAGTTGCAGGTATCACATTAGCACGCCTCAAAATATACCATAAAGCTGTAGTAACCAAAACAGCATGTTACTGGAATAAACACAAACACATAGACCAATGGAACAGAATAGAGAACCCAGAAATTAACCTACATATCTGCAGCCAACTGATTTTTGACAAAGGTGCCGAGAACAATCATTGGGGAAAGGACACCCTCTTCAGTAAATGATGCTGGGAAAACTGGATAGTCATACTCAAAAGAATAAACCTAGACCCCCACCTCTTGCCCTATACAAAAATTAACCGAAAATGCATCTAAACCTAACTGTAAGACGAAAGACTATAAAACTACTAAAAGAAAACATAAGGGAAATGCTTCAGAACATTGGTTTGAGAAAGGATTTTATGAATAAGACCTCAAAGGCACTAACAACAAAAGCAACAATAAACAAATGGGAGTATATGAAACTAAAATGTTTCCATATAGCCAAGGAAACAATCGACAGAGTGAATAGACAACCTACAGAATGGGAGAAAATATTTGCAAACTACTCATCCAATGGGGGATTCACATCCAGAATGTATGAGGAACTCAAACATCTCAACAGCAAAAAACAATCCAATTTAACAATGAGCAAATGATCTGAACAGACATTTCTCAAAAGAAGATACACATAAGGCAAAGAAATATATGAAAGTGCTCGGCATCAATAATCGTCAAGGAAATGCAAATCAAAACCACAATGAAGTATCATCTCATTCCAGTTAGTATGGCTATTATAAAAAAGATAAAAAATAACAGATGCTGGCGAAGATGTAGAGAAAAGGGAATTTTATATACTGTAAGTGGAAATGTAAACTCATACATAGTACAACCACTATGGAGAACAGTGTGGAGGTTCCTCAAAAAACTACAAATACAACTACCATATGACCCAGCAATCCCACTACTGGACATTTATCCAAAAAAGGAAATCAGTATATGGAAGAGACAACTGCCTCCCAATGTTTATTGTAACACTGTTCACAATAGTCAAGAAATGGAATCAACCTAGGTATTCAACAACAGATGTATAGATAGAGAAAATGTGGTGAATATACTCAGCGGAGTACTATTCAGCCATAAAAAGAATTAAGTCCTGTCATTTATGGCAATATGGATGGAACTGGGGGACATTATGTTACGTGAAATAAGCCAGGAACAGAAAATTAAACTCTGCATGTTCTCACTCATATGTGGAAGCTAAAAAAAAGTTTATCCCATAGAAGTAAAAGTGCCTTATTAACTATTTATGTGATTATTTTTAATAAAATGTTTTATTTGTAAGTTTTACACCTATAGATTCATCAGTTTTTGTTTTTTTTTTTTCTTTTTTAAATTTGTGTGTGCTATTTTAGTCAGGATTTGGTATTATGGTTATTTGGTCTCCAAAATGGAGTAATACACCTAAATAAACTAGAAAAAGAAAAGCAAAAATAAAGCAAGCGGAAGGAAAGAAATAATAAAGTTTACCTGGGTATGGTGGCTCACACCTGTAATCCCAGCACTTTGGGAGGCTGAGGTGGGCGGATCAACTGAGCTTAGGAGTTCGAGACCACCCTGGGCAACATGATGAAACCCTGTCTCTACTAAAATACAAAAAATTGGCCGGGCATGGTGGTACGCTCCTGTAGTCCCCGCTACTTAGGAGGCTGAGGCACAAGAATCGTTTGAGTCCCAGGAGCGGAGGTTGCACTGAGCCAAGATCATGCCACTGCACTCCAGCTTGGGCTACAGAGTGAGACTCTATCTCAAAAAATAAGTAAATAAAATTTTTTAAAAAGTTTAGAGCAGAAATCAATGAAATTGAAATCAGAAAAATAGAGAAAATGAAGTAAATCAAACACTGATTCTTTAACAAGAAGGAGAGAGAAGACACAAATTACTGACATAAACAATGAAAGAGGGGGCCGGGCGCGGTGGCTCACACCTGTAATCCCAGCACTTTGGGAGGCCGAGGCAGGTGGATCACGAGGTCAGGAGATTGAGATGATCCTAGCTAACACAGTGAAACCCCGTCTCTACTAAAAATACAAAAAATTATCAGGGTGTGGTGGTGGGCGCCTGTAGTCCCAGCTACTCGGGAGGCTGAGGCAGGAGAATGGCGTGAACCCGGGAGGCGGAGCTTGCAGTGAGCCAAGATTGTGCCACTGCACTCCAGCCTGGGCGACAGAGCAAGACTCTGTCTCAAAAGTAAATAAATAAATAAAGTCAAATCACTGCAAGTGTCTTTATTAAACCATGTGCCATCCTTAGAAACTCTGTGAACTACTCAATATCCTTTAAGAACTCTTTCTCTGATTAAATTATACAGAGTTCATTTCTTTTACTTGCCTCTAATAATTCTGAGTGGCAAAAACACCAGCCTCACCTGAAGAATTATCCTGCCAGAAAATTCAATAAAAGATGATATATGCAAATGAACTAGAAGCTATGGATAATAATTCTGATTGGCTAAAACACCAGCCTCACCTGAAGAATTATCCTGCCAGAAAATTCAATAAAAGATGATATATGCAAATGAACTAGAATATATGGATCATAGCCAATCTCTTCATTCCTAGAAGGCAAGCGCTGGCATCAGGGCCAACTGCACACCTTCTACATATTGCTAAACTCAGCCCCCTCATTCTATTGCTATTACTGTTTCCCATCTTCATCCTTCATCTTCTCTTACTTCCCTGTGTATAATCTCATCCAAGTCAGCTAATCTGCCATGTTTGCCCTCTACTTGAAACTCTCCTTACTTGGCCAGCCATACAATGCTCTGGAGAACCTGTCACCTGCTCACCTCCTTCCCTATCCTTATCTCAGTCTCTCTAGTCATATCTCTCTTGCCCCAGCCATAAGTTTTCCACTCCTTATCTCTAGGTTTTTTGTTTGTTTGTTTTGTTTTGTTTTGTTTTGTTTTGTTTTGCTTCAAGAACAACAGACAGCTCAAATACTCTTGTGCTTCTTCCCTCTGTGTCTTTGCTCAGAGGAATCCCTCCATTTGCAATACCTTTCTTCCCCCCTTTCTTTTCCAACCTCCCCTTACAAATTTCTGGCTAATTCCTATTCATTCTGGATCACCTCTCTGGAATCCTTCCCTTCTGTCCTATGTGAGTTGGTGTCTCTCCTTTGAATATCTCTGGGGCTGCAGTTAGCATATTGTATCTGTTCACAAATCTGCTGCCCTTCATGCTTGTGCATCTATGAAGATAAGAGATGGACCTTGAGCATCTATGCATCCTCAGTATCACGATTAATATTAGCTCACTGTAAATAAATTTTGGCTAGATAAGTGAAAGAAATAGGCAGTGGGTTTTGTGTCTGATTGGATTTGCACTCATATCTCCAAAACTCTTTGATGTTTGAATGGACACAGATCACAATGAAACCATCAAAGCCCAAACGTCCATTGAGCCTTACTTGTTTTAACACGGAAAGACAGTATTTAATAAATAATAGCATAGAGAGAGTTTAGTAAATAATGGCATCTCCTTATACGGTAACACTTCTGCTACTTGGAGTATTTATAACATTTCACTGACTTTCCACCGTGCTCTTGAAAAGACTTGAATTCTCAAATCCAAAGCATTTCGGATTCCATTGTCATCCCTGAAATCGGTTCATGGTTTCTGTAACCATAGAACCTTGGGTCTATGAAAAGTGTGAGGTGTGTGTGTGTGTGTGTGTTGTCCCTTTTCTCTGATCCAGCATTTTGACTGTTTCAGTTACTGTTGGAGAGAAAAAGAAATTCTAGAAGTCCCTCCAAATTTGAAACCTCCATCCATCTTCAGTATGTCAGACTACATAAGCCTTACTAGAGCTGTCAAAGGATAATTTTTCAGACTGCTAAGTCTAAGGGTACACACATGGGCAACTCAGTTCAAACAACAGGGGAAAAAAAGGAAACTAAGAGTAGATGCTGCTGCCTATTTTGACTATTCATGAAATCTAAAATTTAAGAGTTTTCCATACACAAAACAACATTTGGCCAGACATGGTGGCTCACACCTGTAATCCCAGCATTTTGGGAGGCCGAGGCAAGCAGATTGCTTGAGCTCAGGAGTTTGAGGCTAGCCTAGGCAACATGGGGAAACCCTGTCTCTACAAAAAAATACAAAAATTAGTCAGGTGTGGTGGCATGCACCTGTGGTCCCAGCTACTCAGGAGGCTGAGCTGGGGGGATCGCTTGAGCCCAGGAAGCAGAGCTTGCAGTGAGTCGAGAGCGCACCACTGCTTTCTAGCCTGGGTGACAGAGCCAGACTCTGTCTCAACAAAAAAAAAGCAACATTTTACAGGGAGACTTAGGTGTTTAAATCTCACCTATCTACAGATTTATTATTTGTGAATAGCTTCCCACTTAGATGGCCCATCTTTTGTCTGGAAATAGCATCTTGCCATTACCTCATACGTCTCAAGAATATCTGTCTTAAGGATCAGTGAGCAAATACAACCATCAAACATCATGAGCTCCCCAGAATATTAGAGGTATAAAACGTCAAACTTGATGGTGGTCGTTAATATAAAATGCTGGGAAACCTGCTTCATTTGTTTGTGTCTTTGTGTGTTTGCTTTCCAGTGACATATGAACATCAAATATCAGGGGAGAAACATACTGATTCACCAGGTTTAAATCTTTCAGAGGCTAAAATACACTTCCAATATTTTCCCATGTAGCTATTTTAGACCATAGACTGGACTCGTGCCAAATCATACAATCAGATTGCTTCAACTACCCAGATACATGTGGGCAAAAATAGTAATTCCTCACCAAGTTATTATTAGTTTTTGCTGCCTGAATCATGGCTAAGACCTATTTGTTTTTAGAAGGGATATTGACATAATTAAATTATAACCAATTTGAATACTTCCTGCCTAGTTAGTGCCTCTATTAGCAGCTTCTAGTTGGAAATCCTCTCCTAAATGCAGTTTCCTTTCCTAAGCATTGTCAGTTTCTGTGTGAAACTTGAGACTTTAAGGAAACCTGACCTACCGTGTATGTTACATGAACATGCTTTCTATTATAAAAAACACTGGTATTGTAATAACTACTACTGTCTGTTATTTTAGAGCTTTAACGTTAAAGCCAATCACCCAGCAGAATAAGAGATTCTGCAGTGGTGAGAATTTCATATTACATAAAATGTTAGAATCAGAATAGTCAAGTTGATAGTGATAATGATGCCCTTTATCTAACAGGGAGCACAAGGGGATCGCTACATAAATATGAAGTGTGTGTGTGGAATTGGAGTGACCACTTGGGAAGTTTTATTTCACTTGGTTTGATACAATCTTCATGGCCTATTGTAACTATCCTAAGCCACCTAAAATCATTTCTATTAGTGGATGTAATATAACTGTATTAATTTGAAGAATAGCTATAATAACAAAAAGTCCTTCGTTATTTAGAGGGTATGAGTTGGGTGGTACTTTTAAAACAGCATTTAGTGTTTCCCCAGTTCAGGTTTAACATGAATTAGTGGCCCAATTAGCCCTTTGTTATGAAGTAGGTCTTTGTGAAAATCAGGCCAAATTTAAAATGTATGTGTGTGTGTGCACACGCAAGAGTGCCAGCGAAAATCATACAATTGAGTCAATCTCAGAGATTTCATGAGTTTTATTAAGCAAATACTATAAATACTTTGACCACATGAAGAGAAGAGTAATCATCTAGTTATTCTGGTTGCTGCTTCTGGTCTCAACTCACAGAATGTATTCTTGCAAGGGAGTCATCCAAGGCCCAGGAGGACTTGACTTTCCTCCTGCCCCTAAGGCACATCACTCACAGCCTGAGGACCAGACCTGCGGACAGCAGGGAGAGGAGGAGGTGAAATGGGTTATCCTTGGCTTTGTCAGTTTTTCATTTTCCTTTTATTCCCACCCACCCCCCGATTCCTAATCCCTCTATTTTCAGCAACTCCCTATCCTGTACCCCATTTCTTCTGGGTCTCATGCTTATCCAGCTGTTCAGCAAATCTCCAGTTAACTCTGAATCTGATAACTTATTAAGCAAGATCAAAGTAATGTCTCTGATGGTGGAATTTCAGGCAGATGGTGATGGGCAATTGGACTCAGGACAGGTGATTGGAGCTAATTTGAGAAAGGAGATTTGAGCCCTTATCCCTCCCAATCTATCTACCCTTAGGTTCTAAGAGTGAGAGGCCAAGAATGTTAGAAATATCCTATCATTCCTGTTTTTGCCCATCACAAACCTCACCAAATCAAACCCCACCCAATGCCCTTAAAATAGATAAGCCAGAGATACTGGCTTAATCTGATATATCATTCTCCTGTCAATAAAATATTTTTAATACCTATTAATAACTTAGAGCTCATTCTACAGTGGCAGATAAAAGTAACATTTTAAATCAGATCAGATAGAAGCACTGACAACATTTAATAAAATGTTTCTAAGCAACAGGGTAAAAAAATCAAAGAGTTTCAATAGCGCTGACATTAATAGAATAAAAAAGAATCCAAAAATAGCCTCTTTTTCTTATAAGCAATTCGCTCTGGAAGGTAAAACAAACTCCTTCCCGAAACTCAACCTATTGAATAATAACGTTTTTCCAAACATCCAACGTATAATCTAGCATGGAATGACCATGTAGTAGCCAAGGTTTAATGTGTATCAAAAACTTGGAGAGTAAACACTGGGAAATAGCGATAATTTAAATGCACTGGCCATATGACACGCCTTTCTTCAACCATTGGTTATTAGCATAACTTACAAATAAAAAGGAATGCTTAATATTCCTCTTTATGTATGTTTTGGGCCCATCCAAGTAGAACTTTTGATATTCCACTAGCTTTGTCAGCAGGATAGATAGATTTCTAAAGAGAAATGAGTGTCTGTAATAGACCCAAATAAGTACTTAAAAGATTCTAGTCTAGAGGAGAATATGTAATGTATTTGTGTCACCCTAATGCCCCAACACCCAAAGCCCTTTAATACTTGTAGATCATTTTTCTGATGGCCAGTGATGATGAGCATTTTTTCATGTGTTTTTTGGCTGCATAAATGTCTTCTTTTGAGAAGCGTCTATTCATGTCCTTTGCCCACTTTTTTTTTTTTTTTTTTTGAGACGGAGTTTCGCTCTGTCGCCCAGGCTGGAGTGCAGTGGCGCGATCTCGACTCACTGCAAGCTCCGCCTCCCGGGTTCACGCCATTCTCCTGCCTCAGCCTCCCGTGTAGCTGGGACTACAGGCGCGCGCCACCATGCCCGGCTAATTTTTGTATTTTTAGTAGAGACGGGGTTTCACCGTGTTAGCCAGGATGGTCTCGATCTCCTGACCTCGTGATCCGCCCGTCTCGGCCTCCCAATGCCCACTTTTTGATGGGGTTGTTTGTTTTTTTTCTTGTAAATTTGTTTGAGTTCATTGTAGATTCTGGATATTAGCCCTTTGTCAGATGAGTAGGTTGCGAAAATTTTCTCCCATTTTGTAGGTTGCCTGTTCACTCTGATGGTAGTTTCTTTTGCTGTGCAGAAGCTCTTTAATTTAATTAGATCCCATTTGTCAATTTTGTCTTTTGTTGCCCACATATACACCATGGAATACTATGCAGCCATAAAAAATGATGAGTTCATGTCCTTTGTAGGGACATGGATGAAATTGGAAATCATCATTCTCAGTAAACTATCGCAAGAACAAAAAACCAAACACCGCATATTCTCACTCATAGGTGGGAATTGAACAATGAGATCACATGGACACAGGAAGGGGAATATCACACTCTGGGGACTGTGGTGGGGTGGGGGGAGGGGGGAGGGATAGCACTGGGAGATATACCTAATGCTAGATGACGAGTTAGTGGGTGCAGTGCACCAGCATGGCACATGTATACATATGTAACTAACCTGCACAATGTGCACATGTACCCTAAAACTTAAAGTATAATTAAAAAAAAAATACTTGTAGATCAATTTTCCCACCACTGCCTCTTTGAAATTATAACTTAGAAATCAGTGAACAGTCTCATTAACTTATCCAAGAGATAAGGACAGTGTGTGTGAAGTCTGTAGAGAAGGCATGTAGCATACAGATGCATATTGTCTGCTCTGTTTTACTCTGCACGTCCGCAAAGACACACACACCCCCCCCACACACACACCCCACACACACACACAGGCTTAAGAAAGAAAAAAAGGAGGCCCCTGCGCTGGTCATTGGTCTGATTGACAAACCAGTATTGGTTACTTTGATTTCTCCATTCCTGCTGCCAGCTGGAGGCAGATGGAGAGTCAACGTAGGGGGCATGTGCATCATTTTATTGGAGAAAAAGAAGTTTGTGTGACATACATACATACATGCAGGAAACATTTTTTTTTGAGACAAAGTCTCGCTCCGTCACCCAGGTTGGAGTGCAGTGGTGCCAACTGTCTTCACTGTAACCTCTACCTCCTGGGTTCAAGCGATTCTCCTGCCTCAGCCTCCTGAGTAGCTGGGATTACAGGCGCCTCCCACCACGCGTGGCTAATTTTTGTATTTTTAGTAGAGACAGGGTTTCACCATGTTGGCCATGCTGGCCTCATATTCCTGACCTCAAACGATCTGCTGGCCTCAGCCTCCCAAAGTGCTGAGATTACAGGCATGAGCCACTGTGCTCAGCTGGAAGTATAATTTTAAGAGTTGTTTACTTAATGATTACCCGCTTTTTAGAAAACTCACCAATGTCTACCTATATCTCATCTCTATCTATCTCTATCTCTATCTCTATCTCTATCTCTATCTCTATCTCTATCTCTATCTCTATCTCTATCTCTATCTATTTATCTCGTATGTCCACTAAAGCTCACCAGAGATCGTTTATAAGATTAAGTGCTCAGGACTTTGTTCTGGCCCAAGTGATTGCACACCTCTGCCAAAATCAGCTTGATTTTTCTCCCGTGTTATGTCTTTATATACCCTATATACAAATTCTAGAACTATTGTTTTGCTCTTTTAAACCACCTTCAATGTTCAAGATGATCAAAAATTAATGCATTCGTCTGTTTCCACGTCTGCTTGGTGGACATTTCTGAGACCAGGGCTTGACGTCATGGTTTTCATTGTTTCCATTATTCCCATCACTTTCTACTGTATCTTAGTGAAAGTGTAAAGTCATCACAAAGTGAAATGTCTAAATTTATGGAAAATGATTAACACAAATTCCATTTAAAATTACTTCCACAAACCCCAAAATTAAGCTGCCAATTGCTCCTACCATTTTTATGAGGTAGCTATTATAGTGTGCCCCCAACTGTCCTTCAACCATCATGTATCTTAAGGTTCTATAATAACTACACAAGGAAGTCACAGATATGAGACTAAAATTGAATGCAAGGTTAATATTCTTTTTCTCAGCTTCCATCCCTAATACTCCATTTGCTGATCTAGCCATTTTTCACTTTGATAATGTAATGGTGTTTTCATTTAGACATATTGCCTCCATTAATGCTGTCCTGCCTGACGTCAGCATGTATATATAAAAGGCACTATACCATGCAGCAAAATATTAGGTCAGTCACAGCCCATGGCAGTAAAAAAAACAGTACTGAATGGATGGACAAATGAAACTGCTTCTAATTACATACTGTGCTTCATCACTGAGAGTCAAACTACAGAGGTATGTTTTGCATTGTCCTAGATTAGCCTTAAAACAACTACGTGGATAAGTCAACTAATTTGGCCTCACCTCGGAAGTACCCTGCAGATAAAATGGCAGAGCGTGAGTTACCTCCCTTGCTTGCTTCTTCAAGAGTCCAGCCTCTTAATTCATCATTTAAGAAGAGTCTCAGTAGTGGCACTGAACCATAAAATACTATCTCCAAGCACAGCGTTATAGAATAGTGAAGAATGTTGAACTAAAAAGCTAGAGACTTGTTTTCCTGTCTGGCTCAGCCAATAACTAGTTAGGTTAACACAATTTACATTACACGTACTGCCATTTCAGACGCCCTAAATGGCTCTCAATTGTCATACGGATCAAAGTCAAGCTCCCCATGTTGCCTTTAATTTCAGCCACTGTTCTCTCTAGTTGTCTGAGGGTGACCTGGCACAGTGGCGAGGTGCGCAGGCTGAGCCTGACAACCTGCATTTGAATCCTGGGTGTGCCACTGATCCACTGCGTGCCCTTGGGCAAGTTACTTAACCTCTTTGGGATTCAAGTTTTTAATCCGTAATTGAGAGAGAATAACAATAGCTACCTTTTAGGGCTGTGATGAGGATTAAGTGAGTTGAAATTGTCATGTCCTTAGTATGATACCTGAAGAATAGGTATTATGTGTTTGTTAAAGAGAAAGTAGTCCTTCCACTTTAAATTCCAACTTTAACCTATCTGCTCCACAGTTCTTTTCCAAATAAATAACTATGGTTTGGTTCTTTCCCAAACCCTATATATGGCTTAAGAATCAATGGACAATTATTGAGTTGAGTTAGCAGTTCAAACATGCTGATGTATTCAAGGTGTCTGGGAGCTATGAGACTGGTTTTCCTTTGATGCTTGATCCACTTCCTAGTTATCCCCTTGTACTCCTTCTTGTATTTCAGTATTTCCTGTGTACATGTAAGCCTAAAAGGTGCCATTCCCTATGAAGAATCATTTCTCTTTTCACCCCACTTCTCCTGGCAAACTTTTGTCCCTCTTTCAAGATGCATCCCAAACATCACCTCTTCAGTGAAGACTTCCCGATTCCCCAAATTACTAAGGCACTGTCTTTTCATAGCAGTTTTTTAAATGGCCACAAACTTATTTTACAGTCACCCCATTGAAAGTTAGATTCTATGCCCCTTCCCCTTGCACCTGGGTGGGCTTGAGGCTGCTTCACGCAATAGAGTATTGCAAAAGTGATCCTAGTGTTTTATGAGGCTGAGTCATAAGAAGTGATGTGGCTTTCGCCTTATTTGCTGGGATACACGCATTTGGAGCCTGAGGCTGCCATGCTGTGAGGAAGCCTGGCTCTGTGGGGAGTCATGTGCACACACTCCACTCAGCAGTTCTGCTCATTGTGTCTTCCCAGTTGGGGTCCCAGACATCATGAAACAGAAAAAAGTCATCTCTTCTCTGTCTCTTCTGTGCCCTCTCCAAATTCCTAACCCACCAAGTCTAGGAGAATAATAAAATAATTGCTTTATGCCAGTTAGTCTTGGGCTAATATGTTACACAGTGAAAGTAACTGGAACAATTTTCTATGATTCCAAAAGACTTTGTTTAGGCCGAGCACAGTGGCTTACGCCTGTAATTCCAGCTACTTGGGAGGCTGAGGCACAAGAATCACTTGAACCCAGAGACAGAGGTTACAGTGAGCTGAGATCATGCCACTGCACTGCAGCCTCAGCAACGGAGCAAGACCCTGTATCAAAAAAAAAAAAAAAAAGACTTGGTTTATGCCAACATTATAGCCCTTGATTACATTGCAGAATAATTTTATTTGTCCTGCTCAATGGATTGCAAGCTCCCCAAAGGCAGGAAGTCTGCTTTATTCATCTTTGTATACCTACTGCCAACCATGGTGCCTGGCACATGACAGATGCTTCATATATGTTTGTCAAATAAATATGTTTGTCATATATGTTTGTCTATATTTGAATATATAGATGTCAAATAATATTAGATGAAGTTATTTTAAAATTATAATATAACTTACATTGCCGGGCACAGTGGCTTCCTCCTGTAATCTCAGCATGTTGGGAGGCCAAGGCAGGTGGATGGCTAGAGCTCAGGAGTTCAAGACTAGGGTGGGCAACATGGTGAAACCCTGTCTCTACCAAAAAAAATACAAAAATTAGGTGGGTGTGGTGGTACACGCCTGTGGTCCCAGCTTCTCTAGAGGCTAAGGGGGAAAGATCGCTTGAGCCCAGGAGGCAGAGGTTGCAGTGAGCTGAGATCGTGCCACTGCACTCTGGCCTGGGCGATAGAGCCAGACTTTGTCTCAAAAAAATAAAAAATAGATTTAAAAAAATTTTTAAATTTTAAAATTGTAATTTAAACTTATAATCACTAGAAATTTTTATCCAGTGCCTCAAACTCCATGGATTCTCAAAAACCCATACAATGGCTGGCAGTGCTTGTATATCTGCATATACATTTAACACACGTCACGTGAGTGTGCACACGCATTTTGTGTGCATTTGTTCTCCCCAGACTCCTCACCCCAGCCTCACCAGCATCTACGTATTTATTGGACTAATCACTCAAAGAGATCCCCTAACTTGGGCTAGCTTACAGGAATCCCTTTATTCTTCCCTGCCACATAAATCATGCCTGAACATAAAACCCTCCTTGAAGTCATTCCTGTTGAATTAGCACAGAACATGACAGAGAGCTGGCCTCTGGCTTCCAAACCAAGCCAGCAGTAAGCCTGTAGGATTCTTAATAGGTTCTTTCATGGGATAGCCACACATCCTTTAACCAGCAGTGGCTTGCACATTCTTCCTTGATTGTTAAACACTATTTTTATGCAGTTTGAGTAAGCCAAGAAAGTAGAGTTTTTGTTTTCATTGCCAGCTTTAGCTGACTATATATAGATACATATTATATGCTCACACAGATATGTGACATATATATGTATATTCACACCAAGTTTTCTCCGTCGGGTTAGCAGCCTGATTTGGCTTCACTCTGGAGCTTAGAGCTCCTGGTGAGACTTCAGGGAATGCTGTTCACTTGCTCTTCCATGTGCTATAGAGGAAAAATCTGTGCCAGCCCTGCTAAATGCCAGGCAAAAGCTTCATTCTGTCTTCATTTATTTTGTTGGGTTTGAGGTGAATCTTGATTTAGTTTTCACATGCAAACCAATTATGCCACTTTTCAAGGGTCTAACTTTGTAAACAGCATTTCAAGAAGCCGCATAAATCAACAAGCCATGTAAAGGGGCCGAGATTAAAGTACACATGAAATTTACCCAGAACTGAAATCAAAGACTCAGATTAGGATTGGTGGAGGAATTTATATGTGAACCATATAAGTGGGAGATGGGATTTTTCTGGGATGAGAAGGTGCCTGGGAGACCACACGATGGATGGTGGTGGGCCAAGAAGAAACTGGTCATTAACCTGTCTGTAGGCTGTGACATAAGAAGAATTCAGCCAGGTGCAGTAGCTCACGCCTGTGTTCCCAGCACTTTGGAAGGCTGAGGCAGGCAGACCACTTGAGGTCGGGAGTTTGAGACCAGCTTCGCCAACATGGTGAGACCATGTCTGCACTAAAAATACAAAAATTAGCCGGGTGTGGTGGGGCATGTCTGTAATCCCAGCTACTTGGAAAGCTGAGGCAAGAGAATCAGTTGAGCCCAGGAGGCAGAGGTTGCAGTGAGCCAAGATCATGACACTCCACTCCAGCCTGGGTGACAGAGCAAGACTCTTTCTCAAAAACAAAACAAAACAAACAGTAAAGTGTCCAGAATAGGCAAACCCTCAGGGGCATCGTAGATTAGTCCTTTCCAGAGACTAGGGGGTGGGTAGGTGGGGGGTGACTGCTGCTGGCCAGGGGGTTTCATTTTTGGGAAGTGATAAAAATGTTCTTTTTTTTTTTTTTTTTTTGAGACAGAGTCTTGCTCTGTCACCAGGCTGGAGTGCAGTGGTGCAATCTCAGCTCACTGCCACCTCTGCCTTCCAGGTTCAAGTGATTCTCCTGTCTCATCTTGCCGAGTAGCTGGGACTACAGGTGCCCACCACCACACTCGGCTAACATTTATATTTTTAGTAGAGACGGGGTTTCACCATGTTGGCCAGAATGGTCTTAATCTCTTGACCTCGTGATCCACCCGCCTCGGCCTCCCAAAGTGTTGGAATTACAGGCGTGAGCCACGGCGACTGGTCAAGAATGTTCTTTAACTGAGAATGGTGATGGTTATAGCTCTGTATATTGTACACCTGAAAAAGATAAATTTTATAGTGTATGGATTACAGCTCAAAATACTTCATGGCTTCAAACAACAACTCACTGCTATTTCTCACAGTTTTTTGGATGATGGGGTTCAGCTGAGCAGTTCTCATCTGGGTTCTCTCTGAAGTTGCCGTCAGATGCTGGCTGGGGTGACAGTCACCCAAGGCTTTGACTGGGCTAGATGTCCAAGAGAGCTCGCTACATAGCTGGCAGTTGATGCTGGCAGTTGGGTGTTGACCAGGGCAACCACACATAGCCTCTCAATGTGACTGGGGCCTCTCACCAAAGTGGCAACTGGCTTGTCAGAGGGAACCAAGAGGCAGGAAGCTTCCAGGCCAGATGGCACAGCATCATTTCCACCATGTTGTGTTTGTTAAAGGAGTCACAGATCCTGCTCACATTCAAGGGAGACGTGACAAGGTCCCATTGCAGAAGACCACATGGTTTCGGAGATATTACCGTAGGTATCTTTGGAAAATACAATCTGCCATGCTATCCTAAACATCAAGTTGGAAATAATAAGATCTTCAGAGTGTCTGGTCTATTGCCATGTATAATAAAAAATTGGGGACCTATAATCATATTGGTGACAATCTCTGTGTGAATAACCTCTTCCCTATTGTATTTAGAAATAAACTCATCCAGAAACCTCAGTTGTCTCTGCAGGGCTCTGGAGCATGGAGAGATGATGGTTTCTGGGTTCCCCGTCTATGCAGGATTTAATGATATTGGGTCTGGGAAAAGGCACTCAACGTTATATCCCACCACAGGGTCAGCATCCTCAAGCACTGTGTTCTTACAGCTCCAAACATCTGCAGGTATTTCTATAAAACCTTTGCTCGCCATGCCTCTATGCAAGTTCTAATAGGTTATACTTCAAGAAATCTCTTTTTCTTTGCTTCCCGGATATTAGCAGGGAAGAAAGAAAGATCTACTAAGACTAATCTGAGTAGAATTCCAATTCAGTGAAGTAAGATACTTAGGGCCGCATCAACGTTCACCCCAAGTTTATTTTACTTGCAAAATCATAATGCTGGAGCTAAAAATACCCTAATAACATGCATAATGAATAAGGAAACTCAATATTGGTAGGCTTTGGTTGTTACAGTAAAACCCGTTTTCTCCTGTGAATCATTTATTCAAATGACCACCCTTCTTTACAGTCCATCTCCTAATCTATACACCAAAATTTTGGCCAGCCATGGCAGCTCACACCTCTAATCCCAGGACTTTAAGAGGCCAAGGCTAGAGGACCACTTGAGGCCAGGAGTTTGAGACCAGCCTGGGCAACATGGTGAGCCCCATCTTTACAAAAAACTTTTTAAAAATTAGCTAGGTGTGCTGGCAGGCACTTGTAATCCTAGATACTCAGGAGGATGAGACAGGAAGATCTCTTGAGTCAAGGAGTTTGAGGCTGCAATGAGCCAGGATCATACCACTGCACTCAAGCCTGCGTGACAGAGCCAGACCCTATCTTTAAAAATTAGATAGTTGGATAGATAGACAGACAGACAGACAGACAGATAGATAGAATAGATAAAACTTTGATTCTGATCCCACTGCTCAACTGAAACTGTACTCCATGTGGTCATCCAAACGGTGAGTATGCCAAAATATTTAAGAGTGCAGGAAGGGGCCCTCACAGGTGATCCTAGAGTGTGGGCCACTTCCTTTTGCATCTGCTCTTGCTCTGTCCCCTATATTCCAGCCACACTGAACTACGGTGAAATAAGCCCCAAACATCTTTCCTATCTGCAAGCCTGTGCTCATGGTGTCCCCTTCACCCGACATCCCCTTCCCATGTCCATCTACCTATTGAACTTGACCTTAAGGACCGGTGCCAATGTTACTTCCTTTTTGTACCTCTCCTAATCCATTTCTCCACCATTCCATCAATTGCTCCTTATCTATGTTCTCTGTATTTTATACACACCCTTATCATACCATTTATATCGCATCTTATGTATTTATCTGTATTCCTTCCTCTCACATTGCATCGCACGCAAAATGATCATGATTACTATTTGTTGAACTCATGCCTCCTAGTTTCCCTTAGAGTGAAAGTAACTGTCACCACTTTTTGTCCACCTCCTCTTACCCAATCTCAACAGGGAAGATAAACATGGCAGGGCAGAAATGCTAGGAGAAAGGCTGCTCTGCAGCTCAGCAGAAACCCAGACACTTAAAAGTGAACTGATCTCATGATTTCAGGAAGCCTAGCAAAAAATAAAATTAAAAAGTGAACTGAAGTTCATGCGAGTGATTGTGGTGAATGCAAAAAGGAAGTGGGATGATTTTTATAGCTTTTCTAGAAAAATAATGACAGAAACTTGAGACGTGGGATGGTGAATGGGGAAGTCAAAGAGGTAGGAGGCTCTCCTGCCCTGTTTCGAGTACTCTCTGGAATGGCGTTGACCAAATTGCATTGACCATAGAGCCTAGTTAGTGGCTGTTATGTTTTCTCAGTGTTCTCAAGATATGTTTTTTCTTCATGATTACTTTAAAAATGTAACTTCTAAGACTATCTCAGTAGTAGAAATCATTTTGGCAGAAAAGAGTAGAAAAATAATCTAAGTATGTATTGCCTGTGGTTACTAAAGTACTCATGCAAAAACCCAGCCCACTGAGGTTTTTAAACTTTGATATGTGTCAGGCTCACCTGAAGGGCTTGTGAAAACACTGATTGCAGTGCCTTACCCTGAACTTAGTAGATCTGAGTTGGGACCCCAAATTCACATTTCTCACAAGCATCATCCCAGGTGATGAGGATTTGCTTACCTGAGGACCTCACTTTGAGAACCAGTGCTCTCATTCATTCATGTCTTATGCTGTGACCTCCAGGCGGGGTCACACAGGTCTTCTTTCCCTGATCTGGACACCTCCTCCTAAACCCTCCCTTCCATCTCAGTCTAATGGGGTGTGAGCCCACGCAGTGAGTGTCAAAAGTGCCCAGGAGGCCGGGCACGGTGGCTCACACCTGTAATCCCAGCACTTTGGGAGGCCGAGGCTGGCGGATCACGAGATCAGGAGATCGAGACCATCCTGGTTAACACGCTGAAACCCCGTCTCTACTAAAAATACAAAAAAATTAGCCGGGCGTGGTGGCGGGCGCCTGTAGTCCCAGCTACTCAGGAGGCTGAGGCAGGAGAATGGCATGAACCCGGGAGGCGGAGCTTGCAGTGAGCCGAGATCGCGCCACGGCACTCCAGCCTGGGCGACAGAGCGAGACTCGTCTCAATAAAAAAAAAAAAAAGAGGGGGGGAGCCCAGGAACACTGCATCTAAAATAACAGAAATGGAGTTAGAAAGTAGAGAAGTGAGGAAAGGCACATATTTATTACTAACTGATTAAAAAAAAAAAAAACAGGCCAGGTGTGGTGGCTCATGCCTGTAATCCCAAGCACTTGGGGAGGCTGAGGCAGGAGGATCACTTGAGCCCAGGAGTTTGAGATTAACCTGGGCAATATGGCGAAACCACGTCTCTACCAAAAAATAGAAAAATTAGTAGGTATGGTGGCACGCACCTGTAGTCCCAGCTACTCGGGAGGCTGAGGTGGAAGGATCACCTGAGCCCAGGGAGGTCGAGGCTGCAGTGAGCTGTGATTGTGCCACTGTACTTCAGCCTGGGCAACAGAGTGAGACCCCATCTCAAAAAAAAAAAAAAAAAAAAACCCATGCATTCTACATTCTACAGAACCAAATTTTACATTCTGTCAAGGATAAGGTATTCTTTCCTTTGAGCTCTTCTGTAAAGACTTAAAATTATCTCATCCACAGTTCTGTTTGATTATTTTAAAAAATATATTGCCCTTACCCAAATGTTATGCTAATCCTCCCATCCCGTCCCTTCCATGTAGCTAAAAACAATGCAGAAAGGCTTGGATAAGAATATAATGATCTGGACTGATTCTTGATATCTGGGTTTTTAAAAAGAAGAATATACTGATAAAAATAATTACAGACATGCATTTGACTTTCTTAACTCCATATCTACTGGGGTCACTTTGTGCATTGAGATTCAAATAAAATTGGTTCAAATCCCCAGCTCATTTATTATGGGAAATCCTCCGACCTTCCCAGTGTGTCCAGGGACTTCACGGGCTTATGTTTTTGCCTAGTCACCTCTAGCTACTATGTTCTCTTCTCCTCAATTCTAAATCTCTCAGGCCAGGTGCAGTGGCTCATGCCTGTAATCCCAGCATTTTGGGAGGCTGAGGCGGGCGGATCACGAGGTCAGGAGTTTGAGACCAGCCTGAGCAACATGGTGAAACCCTGTCTCTACTAAAAACACAAAAATCCCAGCTACTTGGGAGGCTGAGGCAGGAGAATCACTTGAACCTGGGAGGTGGAGGTTGCAGTGAGCTGACATTGCGCCATTTCACTCCAGCCTGGGTGACAGGGCGAGACTCCGTCTCAAAAAAATCTGTCTTATTCCTTGCTTGTTGAATTTAACCCTTGACTTGCATGGTCCAATCACCAAGTGGGGCATATGGCTGTTGAACATATATTTCCTCCCAAACACTATTCCTTTAAATTTCTGTTCTATTGTGGGCCCTGCTAAAGATTTGTGGTTAACAGTAGGGGATTATGTAACCTCACAATGTAACTTAAAATTAAATATTACACTTCTTTTTTCTTTTTTATTTAATTTTATTATTTTTATTTATTTATTTATTTTGAGACGGGGTCTCACTTTTGTCACCCAGGCTAGAGTGCAGTGGTGCCATCTCGGCTTACTGCAGCCTCAACCTCCCGGGTTCAAGTGATGCTCCTGCTTCAGCCCCATAGGTAGCTGGGACTACAGGCCCATACCACCATGCCTGGCTAATTTTTGTATTTTCAGTGGAGGCAGGGTTTTACCATGTTGCTCAGGCTGATCTTGAACTCCTGAGCTCAAGTGATCTGCCTGCTTCAACCTCCCAAAGTGCTAGAATTACAGGTGTGGGCCACCGTGCCCCGCCTTAGACATCTATTTTTTAAACATGTAAAAAAGGTTGTCAACATAGAAAAAGCTAGGGAGAGGTGTGGAGCCACACACAGGTAGAGCCACTCCTTTGAACTCTATCCATATGTGGAATTGTTTTACCTTCAAGATTCACTCATTCATTCGGCAAATATTTATTGAGCATCTACTATGAACTGGGCACTGTGAAAGACAGTGCAAGTGTAGAAACTAATAAGACAGAGTTGTGTTGGAGACAGACAAATGAGAAGGTTAATACTGTAGACTGTGATGGGTTCATGTTCCCTAAGAGAGGCTGAACCTAGGATAGGGGAGGCTCCCCGGAAGCAATAATAACCTTAAGCTGATTCTTCAAGGGTGATTTGGAAGGAGCCAGGTAAAAAGGAAGGAATAGATAAGGATAGGCTGAAGAGTTAGACTAGGACCAGATAATGAGCATCCTGAAATAGCATGCTGATGGATTTGTACTTCTAAAATGTAAATTACATACAAAAATTAGCCGGGCTTGGTGGCATGCACCTGTAACAGCAGCTACTCAGGAGGCTGAGGCAGGAGAATCACTTGAACCCGGGAGGCAGAGGTTGCAGTGAGCTGAGATCATGCCACTGCTCTCCAGCCTGGGCAACAGAGCAAGACTCTGTTTCAAAAAAAAATAAAAATAAAAAGTAAATTATAGTGCCTGGCACAAAGTAAAGTTCTCAGCAAATGCTTGTTCTTTATTACTTATCCTATGGGCAATAGGACAGATTTTAAATGGTGTGTGTCCATGTGTCAGGGTGAGAGGGTGAGTGGGGAGGTGTGTTGACATAATAAGATTTGCAGGTTGCAAGATCCCTTTGGCTACAGGGAGGAAAATAGGTTGTAGGAATCAGTATTAGAAGTAGCAAGGCAGTGTAAGAGTCTGATAGAGTGATCTGGCAAAGTATGATGGAAGAGAGAGTAGAAGAATGGCCATAGAGAAGGGGAAAGAAAGTGGTAGAGTAGTATAGAGATAGGGATGGGGTGAGGGAAAGTTGGCATCAAGGATGACATGGAGTTTCCCAGCTGAGCAAATAAGTAGATGGTGGTGCCCTTCCCTGAGATAGAGAATTGCTGGAAGAAGAGGGGAGAGGGTGGTGGGGAGAAATAGTGCTTTCTATTTTTTGAAATGTCCAGCTTTAATGCCTGTGGGTCATGCAGACAGCTGGGCATAGACTGAAATTAATGAGGAAATCTGGACTAGAAACATAACTTTGGCAATTTGGCAGCCTTTAGAGAGTAATTAAATCCGTGGGAGTGGAGGAAATCACCCTGAAGCAGTCCTAGGGGAGAACCCTGATGGTCACCTTTAGCTGGAGGATGAACAGAGGAACTAGAGAGGCAGAACAAGACCAAGATTCCAGAGAAGCAGGAAAAACACAAAGCGCACAGGCTATGAAGCAAGGAGGAGAGCATTTCAACAAGACAGGGTAACACATTTTGCTGGAAATTCAAGTAAGATTAAGAATTTTTAAAATCCCCTTTACTATTCCCTCAGCCTTATTGAGGCTACAATCTGCCCTCATGGAAATCTTCTCTTTAAGCTCTGTTCTTACCACGTTTGCTTATTCTTGACCTCATTTGCCTTCTTACGTAGCTTAAATCCCATCATCAGCCCATATCTAAAATTGTTGGCCAGCAGTTCTAAAACGATTCATGTGAAACAACTTAAGCTGACTCTGTCTGCTGTTAATTATCCTTTTCTCTCCTTATTTTCACTTTAATCACCATCTATGGCATTTCCCATAGCATCTGTTTCAAATATTTTCCATTTTCCTCAAAGCATGAATCCCTCCTTAACTCTCAGACTCAGCAAATAATCCCATCTCCTACTTTATGGGGAAGATGGAGGTTCATTGATGTGAGCTTTCCTAGAAATTTCCCTTCTTTGTACTTCAAAACTTCTCTCATCTTCTCCTATTCTCTCCCTTTTCCTATATGTTGAAAACAAAAAAGTTCCCCTTTCCAAATCTAACTTACAGGTAACCTTAACCCCTGTCTACCAATTGTCCCCGACCTCTCTCTTGAGATTGGTTTTCTTTCTACTCTCGCCATTGCCTTCCAGACTATTATCAACTTTCAGCCTTCTGTGGTAGGCAGACTCTAAGATGGCCCCATAATTCCTGCCTCCTGGTGTTCCTGACCATGTACGTCCCCTCACAGGTAGGACCTGTGATTTGCTTCTAACAATTAGAATATGGCAAAGGTAACGGGATGTTACCTATACTGTTATATAGCCACACGCAGCTAATTCACCTGTATACCTAAAACAATCTTTCCCCAAAACTGTGCTCTCCAACATCCATTGTTCTTTTTTTCCCTTTGTTATAATATTTCTTTTCTTTTCTTTTCTTTTTTTCGACAGAATCTCCCAGGTTGGAGTGCAGAGGCACAATCTCAGCTCACTGCAACCTCCACCCCCGGGTTCAAGCGATTCTCCTGCCTCAGCCTCCAGAGTGGCTGGGACTACAGCTGCACGCCACCATGCCCAGCTAAATTTTTGTATTTTTAGTAGAGATGGGGTTTCAGCATGTTGGCCAGGCTGGTCTCGAACTCCTGACCTTAGGTGATCCACCTGCCTTGGCCTCCCAAAGTGCTGGGATTAAAGGTGTGAGCCACTGCATACAGCCTATATAATATTTACTGAAAGGAAAAGAATCTATATTAGCTACATCCACATTATTATCATCTATCCTGTGATGAATTTTCAATAGACTCAAATTTTTGGCTCCTCCCATTGAGAAGTGGAGTCTACTCCTCCACTGGGTTGACCTTGTGGCTTCCTTTTACTAACAGAGTGCGGTTGAAACAATACTATGTAACATCAGAGACAGACTTAAGAGATCAACTGCTTTATGGCCGGGCGAGGTGGTTCACACCTGTAATCCCAGCACTTTAGGAGGCCAAGGCGGGTGGGTCACGAGGTCAGGAGATCGAGACCATCCTGGCTGACACGGTGAAACCTCGTCTCTACTAAAAATACAAAAAAAAATTAGCCGGGCGCGGTGGCGGGTGCCTGTAGTCCCAGCTACTCTGGAGGCTGAGGCAGGAGAATCGCTTGAACCCGGGAGGCGGAGTTTGCAGTGAGCCGAGATCGCGCCACTGCACTCCAGCCTGGGCGATAGAGCGAGACTCTGTCTCAAAAAAATAGAGATCAACTGCTTTGACTTTTATGAACTTGGAACAGATCTTGCTGGAATCCCACCACCATGCTGTGAGAAACTCAACCTCATGCATAAACTGTGTGCAGGGGATAACTGAGGCTCTCTGGCCAACAGCCCCAGCTGGGTTCTCAGCCAACAGCCAGCACTGACAGCCAGTCAGGTGAATCAGCTATTTGGGATGTTTCTGTGCAATCAAGCCTCCAGATGACTGCAGCCTCCCAGCGCCCCAGCCAACACCATTTGGAGCTGAAGGATCACCCAGCTAAGCCTAGAGCCTAGTCAATGCTTGGAAATGTGAGAAACAATAAATGATGCTACTACTTTTTTTTTTGAGATGGAGTCTCGCTCTGTCGCCCAGGCTGGAGTTCAGTGGCACAATCTCGGCTCACCACAACCTCCGCCTCCCAGGTTCAAGCAATTCTCCTGCCCCAGCCTCCCGAGTAGCTGGGACTACAGGCGCATGCCACCATGCTAGGCTAATTTTTGTATTTTTAGTAGAGGTGGGTTTTCACTATGTTGGCCAGGCTGGTCTCAAACTCCTGACCTTGTGATCCTCCCACCTTGGCCTCCCAAACTGCTGGGATTACAGGCGTGAGCCACTGTGCCCGGCAAATGACGCTACTATTTTAAGTTGCTATTTCTGGGGTTGTTTGCTAAGCACCACTAGGTCACTAAACATTCACTTTTCATCCTTACCTCTCTGATGAAGCAGTTCCTTTCAAGAACAGTAATCCTGGTCTCAAAATTTAGTAATCTTTTTTGTTTGTTTTTCTTTCTTGACAGCTCCAAGGCATATGATACTAATGAAATTCTTTTACTTTCTTCATGCTTTCTTCTCCTTTCATTTCCGTAACATCCTCTGGGACTCCATTTCTTCCCCTCATCCCCTAGATTAAATGTTCCCCAAGGTACTGTACTTGGACATTTCTCTGTATGCCCTCTTGCTTGATAGTCTCATCCAATCTCATTGTTTTAAATATCACCTCTATGCAGGTAATGTTCAAATCCTTTAAGAGGCACAATGATTAGAAGCTCAAGGTCTGGAAATGGGCCAGACAGAGTTTTAATCCTGGATCTGCCAATTACTAGCCATGTGACAATGAACGAGTGGCTTAACCTCTCTAAACCTCCATTTTCTCTTCTCTTAAATCTGGATAATAATTGGATCTTGCTCATAGGAATATCACTTCAGCCTGCCACAGAGTAAGTGCTCAGTCAGTGCTTTTCAACATTTTAGTTTTCCATATTACTGCTTCCATTAGAAAAATGATAATGCCAGTATGCATTCTGGGATAAATGGAAGTGGCTGCTCAGGCTAAAGACAATTGGTCTGGGGGCTTTGGGCTCTCCAGCCCCTGCCCAGCCCCCACCCTAATGCATAATCAATATTTGGGCCCATCAGCTCATTACTGGCACACCGAAGGGAAGCTTTACAGGAAATGGTAGCAATTATCCTTATATCTGGCCCTGATCTCTCTCCAGGGCTCCAGGCCCACAATAATAACTCTCTGCTGGACACTATCCCCACCACCTTCACCCCTAAACCAGATGATGATTCTCAAAGTGAGGTCCAGGGTCAGTAGCGTCAGCACCACCTAAGAACTCTTTAGAAATGCAAATTCAAGCCCCAACCCAGACCAACTGAATCAGCAGCTCTACGGATGCGCCCAGCAATATGCATTTTAACAAACTCTCCATGTAATTCTGATGCAGGCAAAAGTTAGAGAACAAGTGACCTATAGTGATATCAACTCCGAGGACCAAGGATGCTCCTCCGGCTTTGCTTCCTACTTGGGTTAATTGGTTCCACTACCCTCCCAGCTACCTGGGCTCATAAACCTCCCATTCATTCTTGACTTTTCCATCCTGCCTCCCTGCTGTATCTAGTCAGTCACCAATCCTGTCTTTGCCTCTAACAAAGTTAGTCTTATTCACATATTTCTTTCTTTATATCTTTTTTTTTTTTTTTGAGACGGAGTTTCGCTCTTGTTGCCCAGGCTGGAGTGCAATGGCACGATCTTGGCTCACCGCAACCTCCGCCTTCTGGGTTCAGGCAATTCTCCTGCCTCAGCCTCCCAAGTAGTTGGGATTACAGGCACCCACCACCACGCCCGGCTAATTTTGTATTTTTAGTAGAGACCGGTTTCTCCATGTTGGTCAGGCTGGTCTCGAACTCTTGACCTCAGGTGATCCACCCACCTTGGCCTCCCAAAGTGCTGGGATTACAGGCATGAGCCACTGCGCCCGGCCTCACATATTTCTTTCTTGGCTCTGTTCCCACAACCACTCCCGAGGAAGTGCTGGCCAGTTTCTCTCAAACCAATTCATTTAAAAGCCAATTTGCCTGTGACCAATTTCACTTACAGCCAGTTAGGATAAAGTAAATTCATTTAAAAATTAATTTCATGCAGATAAATTGGCCCATTATTTTCTTTATGACTTCTACTACTTCTAAGTTTACTAAGTCTTTACCGCTCCAGATGTTATAAATATACAAATATCTAATTCTATTTGTCCAGTGTTTTACACTTTAATTTTTTTGCACTTGACTCTTGAATTGTCTGGAATGTGTTTTGGCTTCTGAGCATCAAGCGAAGGTCAAATTGCTTGCCTGCTTACCATGCATAGCAGAAAGCTCCTCATTTACAAGTCTAAGTTCTGAGCTCTCGGCCATTACAACTTTATTCCCCTCACAGCCAAGCAGAAAGATCAAAGACCATACCCAGGAAGGCTGAAGTGCTGCGATTGTTGTTTCACAAGGGCGTGATTGTCCCACTTTCCACATTTTGTAGCAGGACAAGCCGCAGACGAAACCCCTCAGACACCGAGTTAAAGAAGGAGGGGCTTTATTCGGCTGGGAGCTTCAGCAAGACTCACGTCTCCAACAACCGAGCTCCCCGAGCGAGCAATTCCTGTCCCTTTTAAGGGCTCACAACTCTAAGGGGGTCTGTGTGAGAGGGTCGTGATTGATTGAGCAAGCAGGGGGTACATGACTGGGGGCTGCATGCACCGGTAATTAGAACGGAACAGAAGAGGACAGGCATTTTCACAGTGCTTTTCTATACAATGTCTGTAATTTATAGATAACATAACCGAATAGGTCAGGGTCAGGGGTTGATATTTAACTACCAGGCCCAGGGTGTGGCCCGGGCTGTCTGCCTGTGGATTTCATTTCCGCCTTTTAGTTTTTACTTTTTCTTTGGAGGCAGAAATTGGGCATAAGACAATATGAGGGGTGGTCTCCTCCCTTAATTTGACTGACTTCCTGGGAAGAAACATACTTTCTTATTAGCATCTTGAAATGAGCTTACTTGCAAGAAAGTAAGGCAGAAGTGTCCCTGGACAAATTAGCTTTTAAAATCCTTAAATGTTCAAAAATTAGTGTAAGGAAACAACAGAACCAATGTGGGCGAGGTCTGGGTATGGTGGGCGGTGTCATCACCTCACCTCTATTTCTTTATCTTTTTAAAGAAATTGGCTGGACACGGTGGCTCACTCCTGTAATCCCTGCACTTTGGGAGGCCGAGGCGGGTGGATCACCTCAGGTCAGGAGTTCGTGACCATCCTGGCCAACAAGTGAAACCCCATCTCTACTAGAAAGACAAAAATTAGCTGGGCGTGGTGGCACACACCTATAATCCCAGCCACTCAGGAGGCTGAGGCAGCAGAATTGCTTGAACCCAGGAGGTGGAGGTTGCAGTGAGCCAAGATCGCACCACCGCACTCCAGCCTGGGCAATGAGAGCAAAACCCCATCTAAAAAACAACAACAAAATAATAATGTAAGGAATCTAAACTTTCTAGATATTCCCTTCCTCTGAGGCACTTTCTCTCCCTGCTTTTCAACTGCCATTGTGGCCAGAGGAAAGTCAGGACAGAGAAGGAGGAAATGGGGAAGGAGAAGTGACTGTCAGGTAAGAGATGGTGGGCCCACCCCTTCTGCCCCCAGAGGATGAGGCAGGGACTGGAAAGTATAGGTGAAAAAAGTAATATCTTTTCTCATTCAATGCTAGGCTCATGGCTAAGACTCAAATAACAAAAATCGGATTAACAAGAGAGTGCATACGGATTTATTTAATATAGGTATTATGTGACACGGGAACTTTCAGAAAATGAAGACCCAAAGGAACAGGAGATCTGTGGATTTTCATGGACAGTCATCTGTGGATTTTCAAGGACAGTCATGCAGAAGCATACTTGGAGAACAGGGATTATCTTGAGGTAATGAACTTGGGGGTGGGCATTTACCAAAGCCTGCTTGTTCACATTCCTCTTGGCCTTTGTGCATGACATTCCTTCCCTCTGGGCATAGGGCAGGACACCTGTCACGTGAGGATTTTCAGGGGAGGAGGGCAAGGTCGGACAGTGAACTTCCTAGGTTTTATGACTTGCTTCAGAGAAGAAGGGCAAGAAGAACGTGAGGTAGGCCGGGCGCAGTGGCTCACGCCTGTAATCCCAGCACTTTGGGAGGCCGAGGCGGGCGGATCATTTGAGGCCAGGAGTTCAAGGCCAGCCTGGTCAACATGGTGAAACCATGTCTCTACTAAAAATACAAAAATTAGCCACTTGTGGTGGTGGGCACCTGTAATCCCAGCTACTCAGGAGGCTGAGGCAGGAGAATCCCTTGAGCCTGGGAGGCAGAGGTTGCAATGAGCCACAATTGCACCATTGTACTCCAGCCTGGACAACAGAGCTAGACCCTGTTGAAAGAAAAAAAAAGAAAGAAAAAGAAAGAAAGAGAAAGAAAGAAAGAAAGAAAAAGAAAAAGGTGAAATAGCCTTCCTGCTTCTGCTTTTTCAATTTCCAAGGTGCCATATTTTGAGGCAGTGTTTCCTACACCACTTCAGGAGATAAGGGTTTGACACATTTGGGATGACGGCTCCCTTTCTGGTGTCTATCCAGAAGGGGTGTACAGTATCACAAAAAAGGAGGGGGAAAGCCAAAAACAGAGGGCTCCATGTGGGGAAGTCTCCTGTATGGGCTGGCTCCAGGCCACATGGGCAACTGTAGAACTACAACAGGTTTGTTGCCTGATGTACCCAGTAAGTCAATATTCTGAGACTCCAGGTTGCAGCAGAGAAAGAGGTGTAATCTCAGGTTCGCTGAGCAAGGAGATGGGAGGAAACCTCACATTCATCTCCCCAAGGAGTGTGGGCCTAGGGCTTTTTGGGGATTTGGAGTGGGGTGAAGTGTGGGGATCATTGTGTCACATGCGTCCGTGTGGAGAGACCACCAAACAGGCTTTGTGTGAGCAACAAGGCTGTTTATTTCACCTGGGTGCAGGCGGGCGGAGTCCGAAAATAGAGTCAGTGAAGGGAGATGGGGTGGGGCCATTTCACAGGATTTGGGTAGGTAGTGGAAAATTACAGTCAAAGGGGGTTGCTCTCTGGCGGACAGGGGTGGGGGGTCACAAGGTGCTCAGTGGAGGAGCTTCTGAGCCCAGATGAGCCAGGAGAAGGAATTTCACAAGGTAATGTCATCAGTTAAGGCAGGAACCGGCCAGTTTCACTTCTTTTGTGATTCCTCAGTTACTTCATGCCATCTGGATGTATACGTGCAGGCCTGGGCTCAGAGGCCTGACACATTGATTGGTTGAAGAACGCAGGGTGAAGTCATGGGACAGGGATATGAAGAAGCTGTATCCTTATGTGGATCCTGTTTCTCTGTAGGAGTTGTCAAACTGGTTGCTGGAATTCCGGGTCTGAAAAATATCTTAAGTGATCCTTAAGCCAAAGCCTTATGATTCTAATGTCAGAGATTCTATCTATAGAACAATGGGGGATGCAAATGGTCAGGATCTAGTGCCACATGATTTTCGGCAAAAAGGAAGTGCGCCAAAGAGCGGCCTGATTAATACTTATTATATTCCTGTCCAGAACCCTGCATGCAATTCTTGTCAACCTGGTAGGGACGGCTTCAGCTGCAGCAAAGGGAAAGGGACAGGAGAACCTGGTTAGACACAGAGAGTTTTGGGGACCTGTCCCAAGTTGCCCCCAGCTCCTGTGTGACATGAAGGAAAGTTTTTTCTCACCCCAGAATGGAGAGGAAGGCCACTGCACTGAGAGCAGCGGGCCCAGCCTGGGAGCAGTCATGGCCGGAGAAAAACACGTCCCTCCTAAAGAGGCCTCAGAGATTTGACAGAAATGCAGCTAAACTCAGAGCAATTTCTAGAACTCCTAGGATCCTGTGGGGTCGCATTAGCAGGGGAAAACCACCAGGGGCTGTTGTAGCCAAGAGCCAACCAGAAAGAAGTTTCTCACGTTTACCTCATGGACACTGGCCAAAGGCCCTGGGGCCAGCCCAGAGCAGCAGCCCCGCATGGACACCAGGAAGATCCAGAGGACAGTCAGAAGGTCTAGACGAGAGCCCTTTTCCCCTGAGGCCACCATGTCGCACTCCCAGGTCCCTACATCCAGAGAGGAAGAAAAAGGAGATTGAACATTTTCCTAAAATGACTGTTTAAACCTGTATTAGTCCATTCTCACGGTACTATAAAGAACTGCCTGAGACTGGGTAATTTACAAAGGAAAGAGGTTTAATTGACTCACAGTTCTGCAGGGCTGGGGAGGCCTCAGGAAACTTACAATCATGGCAGAAGGGGAAGGAAACGGGTCCTTTTTCATATGGCAGCAGGAGAGAGAAGAATGAGTGACCAGCAGAGAGGGAAGCTGCATATAAAAACATCAGATCTTGTGAAGAACAAACTCATTATCAGGAGAATAGGACAGGGGAAACCACCCCATGATCCAATTATATCCACCTGGTCCCTCCCATGATGCATGGGGATTATGGGAACTACAATTCAAGAGGAGATTTGGGTGGTGACACAGCCAAACCATATCAAAACCTATAGATACAGAGGGGCTGATTAAAAGGCTTGACTGTGCCCCCACCTCCACTGTCCATCACCACTCAGTCGAGTGAGGGAGGATGAGGAAGATTATATCATTATAGAAAATAAAGAAATACATTTTATTTGCGCTTCTTAGTAGATGTGTGCAAATAGCCCCCATTACATAATAAAAAGAAAATACAGTTAACCCTTGAACAACACAGGTTTGGCTGTGGGTGTTCACTTATACATGGATTTTCTTCCTCCTCTGCCACCCCTGAGAGAACAAAACCAACCCCTCCTCTTCCTCTTCCTCCTCCTCAGCCTACTCAATGTGAAGATGACAAGGGTGAAGATCTTTATCATCAGCCACTTGCACTTAATAAATAGTTAATATATTTTATCTTCCTTGTGTTTTTCTTCATAACATTTTCTTTTCTCTAGCTTACTTTCTTGTAAGAATACAGCATAAGATGCATATAACATGCAAAATATGTGTTGATCGATTGTTACCAGTAAGGATTCCAGTCAGCAGCAGGCTATTAATAGTTAGTGGGCAGTCATAAGTTATATATGGGCCAGATGTGGTGGCTCACACCTGTAATCCTAGCACTTTGGGAGGCCAAGGCAAATGGATTGCTTGAGCTCAGGAGTTCAAGACCAGCCTGGGGAACACGGTGAAACCCCAACTCTACAAAAAAATACAAAAATTAACCAGGCATGTTAGCACGTGCCTGTGGTCCCAGCTACTTGGGAGGCTGAGGTGGCTTGAGCCTGGGAGGTAGAGGTTGCAGTGAGCAAAAATTGCACCACTGCACTGAAGCCTGGGCAACAGAGTAAAACGCTGTCTCAAAAAAAAAAAAAAGAAGTTATATATGGATTTTCTAATGCAAGGATATTGGTACCCCTAACTCCTGCATTGTTCAAGGGTCAACTGTACATCCAAAAGCCTTAAAAACTCAAAAAGGTCTGGAAATTTCCTACCACAATTTTTTTTTTTTTTTTTTTGAGATGGAGTCTCGCTCTTTCGCCCAGGCTGGAGTGCAGTGGCGCGATCTCTGCTCACTGCAAGCTCCGCCTCCTGGGTTCACGCCATTCTCCTGCCTCAGCCACTGGAGTAGCTGAGACTACAGGCGTCCGCCGCCACGCCCAGCTAATTTTTTTTTTAGTATTTTTAGTAGAGACGGGGTTTCACCATCTTAGCCAGGATGGTCTCGATCTCCTGACCTCGTGATCCGCCCGCCTCAGCCTCCCAAAGTGTTGGGATTACAGCGTGAGCCACCGCGCCCGGCCATTTCCTACCATTCTCCCCACAAACAGGGCCAACTTGCATTACTTTTAAGTTTATTAAATATTTAATAAATGAAAACTAATATTTATTAAGCAATATATAACGTATGAAAAACAGGAATTTAACAAAAACCAAATACCCAAGGATCTGTTTGTAAAAAAGGGCACGCCCATAACCCTGAAGACCATCCCAGACCCTTTGTTTCTGCAGAGAAACTACCATCCTTGGTTTCGTATTCATCGTTGTCTTGTTTTCTCAATAGTTTTACTACATATTTTTGTTTCTCTAAACAATATGTCATTCAGCTTTGCAGGGTTGTTTTTTGTTTGTTTGTTTGAGATGGAGTCTCGGTCTTTTTGCCTAGGCTGGAATGCGATAGCACAATCTCAGCTCACTGCAACCTCCGCCTTCCAGGTTCAAGCGATCCTCCTGCCTCAGCCTCCCAAGTAGCTAGGATTACAGGCTGTTGGTTGTTGTTGTTGTTGTTGTTGTTGTTGTTTAAACTTTATATAGAGTCTTTGTTGTGTGTATTCTTTGGGGACTCTTCTTCTTTGGGTCAGCGTTGTGCTCCTCAGATGCTCCCATGTGGTTGTCAGCAACTCTAATTCATTCATTTTTCACTGATCAGTCTTCCAGTGACTAATTTAGTCACTCACGTTTGGAGTCTCCTATTGTTAGTTATTGCCAACAGTCCTGCTCTGAACATTCTTGTATGGACCCTGAACTGCACGACCCAAGAGTTTCTCTAAGGTAAATATCTAGGCAGGACCAGCTGATGCTATGAAACCTGTACAGACATATAGGTTCCCCATGCTTAGAAGGACCCTATGCTTTGGAACTCTACTGTCTCTTTCTTGAAATCTTAATTTTATTTTATTTTATTTATTTATTTATTTTTTTGGGACAGAGTCTCGCTCTGTTGCCCAGGCTGGAGTGCAGTGGCACAATCTTGGCTCACTGCAACCTCCACCTCCAGGGTTCAAGTGATTCTCCTGCCTCAGCCTCCTGAGTAGCTGGGACTACAGGCACCCACCACCACACCCGGCTATTTTTTTTTTTAATTTTTATTTTTGAGACAGAGTCTCGCTCTGTCGCCCAGGCTAGAGTGCAGTGGTGCGATCTCAGCTCACTGCAAGCTCCACCTCCCAGGTTCACGTCATTCTCCTCCCTCAGCCTCCTGAGTAGCTGGTACTACAGGCACCCGCCACCATGTCTGGCTAGTTTTTTGTATTTTTTTTTTTTAGTAGAGATGGGGTTTCACTGTGTTAGCCAGGATGGTCTCAATCTCCTGACCTCATGATCTGCCTGCCTTGGCCTCCCAAAGTGCTGGGATTACAGGCGTGAGCCACCGTGCCCGGCCATACCCAGCTAATTTTTGTATTTTTAGTAGACACGGGGTTTCACCATGTTGGCCAGGCTGGTCTCGAACTCCTAACCTCAGGTGATCTGCCTGCCTCAACCTCCCAAAATGCTGGGATTACAGGAGTGAGCCACTGGGCCCAGCCAAAATCTTAATTTTTTAAGCGACTCTGCATCTTCATTTTGCAGTGGCCCCCACAAACAATGTAGCTGGTCCTAACCTTAGAGTGGACTTTCTGGGTCACAGTGTCAACTTTAGTAGACCATTGTACTGTTGCAGACTTTGCAAATGGTTTTCCAAAGGTGTTACACCCGTTTATGTTTCCTACCAGCAGCAGATGAAAGTTCATATTGGTCCACATCCTTGCCCACACTTATTGTCCAACTTGAACACTTTTGTCAACCTGGTGGGTATGAAATACATTTTGTTGTATCGATTTTTTTTTGTTCTTTTTTTTAGACAGGGCCTCACTCTATCAACGCCTTGATTGGCTTTGTGAGACCCAGAGCAGGAAAATCAATCACGCCCACCCAGACTTCTGACCTAAAGAACTGTGAGATCATATATTTGTGTTGTTTTAAACCTCTAAGTTTGTCATCACTTGTTAGCGCAGCAATAGGAAACACAAGTGCCTGTCTGTGGGTAGAACGCTGAAGTCAGACAGGTGTGTTCAATCCTTTCGCTGTCACTTAAGAGCTTTTCAACCTCTCTAAGCTTCTGTATCCTCATTGTTGAAAAGAATAAACGGTGTAAATTCCTATTTAGCTTAGCTCACACAGGTTCTGGGGAAATTCAAAGTTATAACATACCAAATGCCTCATGTGCAATAGATTCACAAGGAATAACCTCCATACACAAGCCATGCTCCTGCATCCACGCCTTTGTCTTGCCTCTGATGCTCTAACTTCTTCACATCCACCTGCTGCCCATTCTCCAAGGCCCATCAACAATGTCACCTCTTAGGCAGAGCTTCTGCGACCCACCAAATACAAGTAATATCTTTCTCTTACGAATTCTTGTAGCATGCCATGTTTATCTCTCTCTTTCAGAGCAAGATTAAAGCTCAGGTCTCTTATTTCTGTCTAATATTAGGAAACAACAGAAAGGAAATGCAGAACATTAAAACTTCCTATGGCGCCCCGCTTATTGCACCACTGAGCTCTGGGAGCAGGTGCAGGTGGAAGGTAGCCCTCACCCTCCAAACCAGTAGTCTATGGATTCTCTGAATCCCAGTCATTGCCTCTCAGGATCAAAACTATGTACTAGGATCAGGAAGTGTTATGGGTTGAACTGTGTTCCCCCAAAATTCATATGCTGAAGCTCTAACCTCCAGTACCTGAAAATGTGACTATATCAGAAGCTAGGGCCTTTTTTTATTATTATTATTTTAATTTTTAATTTTTTTTTTTTTGAGACAGAGTCTTGCTGTGTTGCCCAGGCTGGAGTGCAGTGACATGATCTTGGCTCACTGCAAGCTCCGCCTCCTGGGTTCATGCCATTCTCCTGCCTCAGCCTCCCAAGTAGCTGGGACTACAGGCGCCCACCACCACGCCCAGCTAATTTTTTTGTATTTTTAGTAGAGATGGGGTTTCACCGTGTTAGTCAGGATGGTCTCGATCTCCTGACCTCGTGATTGATCAGCCTCGGCCTCCCAACGTGCTGGGATTACAGGCGTGAGCCACTGTGCCCGGCCTAGGGCCTTTAAAGAGGTGATTAATTAAAATGAAATAATTTCTTAACTATGCTAAAATCATTATTATGAATTTATTTACATACTATTTACCTCCTTGGAGAGATTACAACTTCCTGGGGCAGCAGCTGTGATCTCTTGATGACTGTTGAGCTCCAGCAATGAGTACAGGGCCTGGTGCTTAGCAAACAGTTAATGAATATGTGTTTAATGAATGAAGCCCAGTTCACAAGAAAAATAGCAACTGAGCTTCAGAGATGTGAACCCAAAATATCTGGAATCTGAGACGGGTCTCGATCAGTTTAGAAAGTTTGTTTAGAAAGGCGAAGGGCATACCCATGACACAACCTCAGGAGGTCCTGGCAACATGTGCCCACGGTGGTTGGGGTGCAGCATGCTTCTGTACATTCTAGGGCGACAGGGAGACATGAAACATCAATCAATATGTGTATGTGTAAGATGTACATTGCTTTGGTTCAGTCCAGAAAGGAGGGACAATTTGAAGAGTGGGGTAGTGGTTTCCAGGCCACACAGGCTAGACAAAAGAGACAAAAGGTTGCATTCTTTTGAGTCCTTGATCAGCCTTTCACTGAAAACACAATTTAGTCTGGCTCAGTGAATCTGCATTTTTACTTAAACAACAGGACAGAAGAAGCCATCAGATATGCATATGTCTCAGGTGAACCTCAGAGGGATGACTTTCTGTCTGGGGAGGTGAAGATAAGTTATCAGTTTACATTGCCAGGGTGAAATTCAACAGAATGGTTTTAGGATAAAGAGCTTGAGGCTCACAAGGAATTTCCTTGTGGGCCAATTGTGAGGGAGGTATGTGGCTTTTTTATCTTTGTAGCTATCTTACTTAGGAATAAGATGGGAGGCGGGTTTGCATGACACAGACCCCAGCTTCACTTTTCCCTTGGCTGAGTGATTTGAGGGTCGGTCCTGAGATTTATTTGCCTTTCATAGAGAGAAAAAGAATGTTTCAATAAATCACCTTCAATTCCACTAATTTGTTTCTGTAGGCCCAGTCTGAATTATTTTGGATTCTAAATATTTGAGCATCTTAAATAGGCATGGTTTGTGCAGAATCTGATTCAGTCTCTTCTTGACTTTCTAAGGCAAAATCTAGCCCAAACCAACACTTGTTCCCACCTCTTTTCTTTCATTCATGTGATAGTTTCCTGGCATTTAAAGGGCATTTGGTGTTAGCAGACATTTGCATGCATCCCATATATGTGTTTTCCTACATATGCATATATATTTGTATATACATATGTGCTTCTCTATTAATATTTTTAATACCCACCCCAAGTAAAAGAACCTTATTTAAAATATGTTGAGATTCTCAGGCCTGGTGCTGTGTCTTACATCTGAGAGGCCGAGGCAGGAGGATGGCTTGACCTCAGGAGTTTGAGACCAGCCTGATCAATGTGGCGAAACCCTGTCTCTACCAAAAATACAAAAGAATTAGCCAAGTGTGGTGGCATGTGCCTGTAGTCCCAGCTACTCAGGAGGCTGAGGTGGGAGGTTCACTTGAGCCTGGGAGGGGGAGGTTACAGTGAGCCAAGATTGTGCCACCGCACTCCAGCCTGGGCAACAGAGCAAGACCCCTTCTCAAAAAGTAAAAACAAAAAACAAAATAAATAAATAAAATATATTGAGATTCTCTTTATTTATGTTTCCTCAGGTTCTAGGGGCTAAGTGCATGTTTGAGTGAAAGCTGTAAGAGAGCTAATGAGCACAGAATCTAGAAAAAAAAATAGGTAAGTGTTCTCTCCCTCTCATGAGAAATGAATCAAAATCGAAGGTTTCCCCAAAGGAGGACAGCCTCCCTCAGCAAAAAGACTACTCCTGTTCTTTTCCTTATATCAGCAACTTATGCAGTGACTGTGCATTTTATCTGAAGAAACTAGAGATTTTTCTATTTAAAGGCCCGAGGAGAATATATTTGGCATGAATCCTTAGAGGAGTAGAAAGCTGTCTCTCTACTTGACCTCGCTTATCTGATTCTCCTCCCCAGAGTGGAACTTCTTATGGCCTGGAGGCTGATCCTCCAACTCGGTACCCAGAAGCCCTGCAAAGATTTAAAGGCTTTGCAAGACTAGTCTTTGTGGCTTAGCAAAACCCAGCCTGGTTTTGAACTAACTGTCCCAGTTGACTGAGATTTCTCTCCTTTTTCTGTTATCAATCACTGGTCCAAGTGTTTTATATCCTTTATTTCTCACTACATACGGCATTTTCCCCTCAGTATTTAAATTGTTGAGGATTTCAAAAGTGCCAATATTTAAGGTATAGATCCAAGAAGCCGCCCCCCACCCCAAGCCATCCTCCCCCAGGTCACTCTAACTGAAGTGCTTCTCTGTGCACGCCACTCAATTTTTTAGAGGCAATATGTGAGATCTTGTGTGACTTTCAAACTAAAGCTTAATTTAATGGAAGGAGATAAAAGAAAATTAAGAGCATTTCTGCGTTTGTGATTTTAATATTTACAATTCAGGATGGGTATAAAACAGAAGTCAAAGCAATGTGCTCACCCCTGGTTTTTTGGGTTTTGTTTTGGTTTTGGTTTTTTGAGACGGAGTCTCACTCTGTCGCCCAGGCTGGAGTGCAGTGGCACAATCTCGGCTCACTGCAACCTCCACCTCTCAGGTTCAAGCGATTATCCTGCCTCAGCCTCCAGAGTAGCTGAGATTATAGGCATGCACTACCACACCTAATTTTTGTATTTTTAGTAGAGACAGGGTTTCACCATGTTGGCCAGGTTGGTCTCGAACTTTTGACCTCAGGTGATCCACCCGTCTTGGCCTCCCCAAGTGCTGGGATTACAGGCATGAGCCACCATGCCTGGCCTCACCCCTGTTTTTTGTGAGTGTTTTACAGCTCATCAGGAGGCACTGGCATGTGCCGTCTTTTTCCTTTCCACCCTCTCAACTAAAAATAACTTCTCTTGAAGGTAGCCTTTCTTACAGGTGTTACACAGTGTTGTTTTTAATGTAATTTATGTGGAAGGATAATTTTGAAGTGGCTATCAACTTTGCTTCATGGCCATTTATCGTAACAGTATTTTGTGATGATAACGTGCCACTGGAGACATAGGGGGTTTCTATTTCAGTAAGGAAGAAAAACTGATGAAAGTTTCTTCCTGACTTTGATGAAGTGGAGGTCTAAATGCCATCCTAACAGAAATGCAGGCCACGTTTTTTAAAGCTACCCCAGGGGGAAGACACAACAAACACACAACAGTAACTGTTTTTTTAAATCTCAGCATTTAAGCTATAAATATTATCTTCTACTTGTCTAAGCACTTTACCATTACAACAAGATTTCTCATTCATTCTTTTGTGTATTTCCCACAATTACCTTGTGGTAACGGAAGAAAAGCTATTATTATGTCTATCTTCCTCATGGCAAAACCATAGTTCACAGGCTCAAGGTCACATAGTTGGTGAGCCGCAAAAGCTTAAACCTAGATCTAGAGCTTTCTCACCATATTAATAATGGACTGTCCTTCAAATATAAGTCCAAGGTCTTCGTGTTGCTTTTTCCAGTAATTGTGACAGGCAGTATGAACCATAAACATTCTGTAGCCCCAGCGTTTTATGTCCTGTGATGCACAATGCTTAAAAGCCTGGTCCCAGTTGGGGGCCCAGCCTATAAATGTGAAGTAGACCTATTATTTAATTGGCCTGTGTGGAGATGAAAACTGTGGTCCTAGTTATGTCAATGCCAGGCTTTAACCATAATATTTTTTCCAGATTGCTAAAATCACTTTATAGGTTATCTATTCACACTCCTGCTGTGATTCAAATTTTTAACAAGAACAAAAATACAATCTCTGATCAGAATGGAGAAGATGGCATTTCACTCATCACAGTAATTATGAAATATTTGTTATGTTCTGTTGAGATTGGGGCCTTAATGATACTACAACCTTCTCTGGTCATCATCCATATTAGCCAAAGAAGTATTTTACAACCGTTCTGCTCATCTGAATAATCTCCAAGGGGAGAACATATTGATTTGGAGTGCTTTTAAAAGGATGGTAATTAATGGATTTAGGATGAGCTATGCTCACCCAAATTACAGAGGAGAGATTTATTTCCCTAGATGGTACTTTTACAGTTTTCCAGTGTTGTGTATTTTGTCTCACCAGACAGGGTAACAGGTTATCATTTGCATTCTATTTTAACTCAGAATAATGTCTTCAATTTTCTTCTATTTCGTGTGTAGGATTTCTGTAATTTTGGTGTTTTTCTCTCATACTAGGGCTTGACCATTAGGGAGAAAACATATGGATCCAAATGATACCCTTGATACCAAGATTTCTTGGATCCATCATGAACATTCCAAAGCTTATGGAGGAGCTGTAGGTCACAGGATGGCTAGAGAAGGAGAAGAGAAGCTTATTGGATACAACTTCTGAATTAGAGACAGGCTTTATGTTCAGGCTCATTTCTCCTATCCATTTTGAAAATGGCTCAATTTAAAAAAAAATTATTTTTAAGTTCAGAAGTACGTTTGTACCAGGGGGATTTGTTGTGCAGACTATTTTGTCACCCAGTTATTAAGCCTAGTGCCCGTTAGTTATTTTTCATGATCCTTTCCCTCCTCCCACCCTCCACACTCCAATAGGCCCCAATGTCTATTGTTCCCCTCTATGAGTCCATGTGTTCTCATCATTTAGCTCCCACTTATAAGTGAGAACATGCAGTATTTGGTTTTCTGTTCCTGCTTTAGTTTGCTAAGGATAAAGGCCTCCAGCTCCATCCGTGTTCCTGCAAAGGACATGATCTTGTTCTTTTTCATAGCTGCATAGTATTCCATGATGTATATGTACCACATTTTCTTTATCCAATCTACTATTGATGGGCATTTAGGTTGAATATATGTCTCTTTTCTTGTGAACAGTGCTGCAGTGAAGATACATGTGCACATGTCTTTATGACAGAATGGTTTATATTCCTTTGGGTATATTCCTGTTCATGGAACTGCTGTGTGGAATGGTATTTCTGTTTTTAGGTCTCTGAGGAATCGCCACACTGTCTTCCACAATGACTGAACTAATTTACATTCCCACCAATAGTGTATAAGTGTTCCTTTTTCTCTGCAACCTCACCAGCATCTGTTATTTTTTGACTTTTTAATAATAGCCTGTAAGGAACATGGCTGTGGTTTGTTCAAGGATAGGCCAAGGTAAGATGTTTGCATTCTGCATGACTTGTGAGTTTAGAGTGCACACATATAACTCCACTTGTTATCACAGCCATGTAGCCATAACATGGGAAGGCCATGCCTTGCTCTAAGCCAGTATTGTTTGCAAAAGGTATAATTGTCCTGCTGACACTGTACAGGTGCGCTGGCACCCAAAGAGAGAGAGAGAGCCAGAGGGGTCTGTCTTTGTAGATAGACAGGAGGGAGCCAGGACACAGCTCAGCTCACTTGTGCCCAGAGAGAGAGAGTTAAGCTGCTGACCCTGAAGGCAAGGGAGGGCTGTCGGTGCAGCTGTGTGTTTGGGAGCTGCTGAACTAAGCAACTGAGACAGGGCAGACAGTGTGAGATAGCTAGTGTGAGAAAGCTGTTAATGAAAACTGCTGCTGAATAAAGCCATGTCTCATCTACCTGCTGTCTCTCGAGTGTTCTTCCAGCTCCCTGCCCCATGTCCACCCACTCCCCTCAGCCCTCAGCTGGGGCTGGAACCTGACCCTGAGCATGACATAGCCAGAAAGTGGCTCAATTTTCATAGTGATAAGGATAGGAGGACTGTGAGAAAAAAAAAATCTTTTCACAGAGAGAAAAGGTTTAATTTTAGAAAACTTTCAAAATACACTCCTTTGAACTGGGCATGCGGCTTTATACTGTTGTTCCCACAATGCTATGGACATCAGGAGGCCTATCAATGGTTCTAAAAGCCCACGTGCCTCACTCTTTCCCTAGAGCCCCACAACATTTACAGCAATGGAGAGATTTCCGGGGTGGAAACTCAATTCCATTTTCTTGATGGTATGGTAGTGGGAGAAAGAGAATAGGGAATTGTAGAGGAAGGAAAGAATTTGGTGACAAGGCTAAAAGACTCAGCAGCATTCTAAAGCATGCCAAGACCAAAGTTGCTGTTTCCTGATTCTGAATCTAGAAATAGGCCCAGGAAGCAATCAAAACATAACTTAATTCTTTCTATATTAATATTCATAATTATAGCTAACAACTACTGCACAAAGCACTTTACTTGAATTATTTAATTTAATCTGCACAAGAAGTCTTTTAGGTACCATTATTATCCTCATTTTACCAACAAGGAAAATGATATTTAAAAGAGGCTAAGTAACTTGCCCAAATTATACTTGTAGTACGTTTGACAGACTGTTACCAATCCCATATCTCCTTGATTCTGGAGTTTATACTCCCACTAGACTTCTGCCAGAGGATGTTTTGTGGAAGATGCTTCTGCTCTGTGGGGCTTTCCTAATTTGCCCCTAATACTAACGCAGGTTCCCAAGTCTTAACACTTCTCAGGGACTTAGATAAAGGGCAGCCGGTTGTAACAGAAAGAGGCTGAACTAAGAGTCAAAACCTTCCCCAGCAGCTGCACTTGCTAGTCACATGAACCTGTGCTACTCATTTGGCCTGTTGGAACCTCAGACATAGGGGAGGGATGATATTTTCTCTTCCAACCTGACATGGATGTTGAAAAGAGCAAATGTGAGAAAACTGTATAGATGAACAAGATTTGAAAACTATGAAGTGCTTTCTAAATGTATTAGTGTAAGAATCAGAGTGGATTTGAGGGGTGAAATCAATTTGGGTAATCTTACACATCTTACACATCACCCCTACCAGGTGGGTGGTTTCTAGGCATCTCAAGGGATTTAAAATAAAAGTTGCATAAGGGAACAGTCTCAGAACACTAACGTACCCATCGGCCGGGTGCGGTGGCTCATGCCTGTAATCCTAGCACTTTGGGAGGCTGAGGCGGGTGGATCACCTGAGGTCAGGAGTTCGAGACCAGCCTGACCAACATGGAGAAACCCTGTCTCTACTAAAAATACAAAAATTAGCCAGGCATGGTGGTGCATACCTGTAATCCCAGCTACTCTGGAGGCTGAGGCAGGAGAATCACTTGAACCCAGGAGACGGAGGTTGCGGTGAGCCAAGAACATGCCATTGCACTTCAGCCTGGGCAACAAGAGCAAAACTCTGGCTCAAAAATAAAAAAAAAAAAAAAAAGAACACTAACGTACCCAATTTATTTGTCTTCCTTCTTTTCCCTAATCTCTCCTTCATGAAAATTGGTTAAAACTATTAATGCTATATTGGACTGCTGTCTTGGGCTTCTCAGCCTCTCTCCTGATTTCCTTATCTGCCAAATAAACATGATGGTCTAGATCTGTGCTGTCAACACAGCACTGGCCATGTGTGGCTACTTAATGGAAATTAAGTTAAATTAAACATTTAATTCCTCAGTCACACCAGCTACATTTCAATTACTTACATGAAGCTAGTGGCTACTGCATTGGCAATACAGAGATAGAGCATTTCCATCATCTCAAAAAGTTGTACTGGAAGGCGCTGGTCGAGATAGTTTGTAAAAGCCAATCCATTTCCAACTCCTATTGAATTAACCTGGTTAATTGTTTCTTGTATGCTTTGAATGAAGCCCTTTTGCAATTGATATATGAATACCTGTGCACACCATGTCAAAGAAGATACTGGTTTAGTCAACAAAATATATAACAACCGTGGTACATTATATGTGTTGAATATTTTTAAAATTTCTAATTGAAACATTTCCCAAGACAATATATTTACATTAAAAGTCTAAAACAGAGCTGGGCACGGTGGCTCATGCCTGTAATCCCAGCACTTTGGGGGGCCGAGGTGGGTGGATCACCTGTGGTCAGGAGTTTGAGACCAGCCTGGGCAACATGGTGAAACCCTGTCTCTACTAAAAATACAAAAATTAGCCAGGTGTGGTGGTGCATGCCTGTAATCTCAGCTACTCAGGAGGCTGAGGCAGGAGAATTGCTTGAACCTGGGAGACGGAGGTTGCAGTGAGCCAAGATTGTGCTACAATACTCTAGCCTGGGTGACAGAGCAAGACCCTGCCAAAAAAAAAAAAAAAAAAAAAGATTGAAAAAAAGGGAGACTTTAATGTGCTTAAAAAGAGAATTCTTTTTTATACCAATTTTTTTCTCACTTCCTTTTGAACCTAGAAGGGGGTTTCTCTTATATATCTTTGTTGTTTGTGTGACCTAATTCTGTCTTAGACAAATAGAGAAAGTGGGCACCTCTGCCAAATAACCCTGCAACCTAAAACCTGGAGCAGTTCTCTGAGAAGCAGCCGCTTCATCCCTGAAGGTATCTGGCATTTCAAACCGTTACACTGAACAAAAAACGAATACATTCGTTTTTATTCCATTGTTTAAGATGCTGACACAAACACCACTCATTCATAAACTGAAAATAAGCACAAAAATCCTCTACTACTTCAAGACAAAAATGTCAAAGTTTAAAATTTTTCAAGACAGTTATACCAAGATTTTTTTTCTGTGACAATCTGGCAACACTTGAGAATATCTCATTCCATTTTTCTCCTTTTCTCTCTATCTCTCCTTATCCCACTCCTACCCCTGCTTCTTCTTCGCTCTCTCTCTCTCTTTGATTTTTAATCATAAAGTAGACTAGTTGTATTTATTTTTTCTCCCTGAGTCCTATGCTTTCAAAAATTCTTATAGGGATAATGACTCCACATTATGAGAGTGTGAAAAACAGGAAATGGTGGGGAAGAGAGCATCTATAACACCACCAGTTCTTCAGAATGGCTATTAGCACTGTCATCTATTTCAAGTTTTCTTACATAAATACTTTTAAAAATTTTTTACTATATAGGTATCTTTAAAATATACTTGCAACTGTACACTTTTTTTTGAGACAGGGTCTCACTCTGTCACCTAGGTTAGAGTGCAGTGGCGTGATCTCAGCTCACTGCAACCTCCACCTCCCAGGCTCAAGCGATCCTCCTACCTCAGCCTCTTGAGTAGCTGGGACCACAGGCATGCACCACCACACCTGGCTAATTTTTGTATTTTTTATATAGACGGGGTTTTGCTATGTTGTCCAGGATGGTCTCGAACTCCTGAGCTCAAGCAATCCTCTCACCGCGGCCTCCCAAAGTGCTAGGATTACAGGCATGAGCCACCATGCCTGGGAACTATACACTTAAAACAATTTTTTAAAATTTCTTACATTTACCAACATAAAATTCGTGCTTTAAATAGAGCACTTATTTATTTTGTTTACTCATTCCTCCTAAAACCAGCCCCGACGGTTAAGGGAGGAAACAAGAAGTACTGTCTCTCTATAAAAGTGGCATTAAGCCAGATAAGCCTGGTCAAGTTTCATGATGCCAAGTCATTAAATAAGCTCTCCACAAGGACACAGTGGGAACTTTCTGCACAGAAGAAGGTCTTATGGAAGTTGGGAATGGTTGGAAGAAAGCACAGCCATTCCCCACCCACCTCTAAGAAAACACAAGGTTGGTCTTAGACTATGTAACTATTTATTCAGATTCTCACTGGGATAATCCAAATCCCACAACCTCCTAAGGCATATGTGGGCTGCAACTCTGATTTTTAAGAATCCTTAAAATCCTCAGTGGATTTGATTTACAGTCCAAAGGAGGATAGTCCACTCCCCTGTCCTAAAGACTTACATAATAATTAAGGTTTTGGGGGGACCAAATAACAGAACCCACATCTGGCCAACTTAAGGAAAAAAGGAGTGAGATGTCATTGGAAAGATACTGGAGTAGCCCACGGAACTGAAGGATGAATTAAAGTACATGATCCTCTTCTTTAGAAAACTGCCGTCAATGTGACTCAGCTCTGAAAACTCCCAGACTCTCTGCCTTCAGGTCCAAATTTCCATTTCCAAGGCAAGAAATTGAAATAGTTCAGTTGAGTCAAGCATGTACCAACCAACAATATCACATGGAGCAGGCTTGGATGCCGGAAGCCCCTCAGTGACCCCAAGGCATCCACGGTTATCTAGACTCAAAGAGCTCCATCTTATTCTGAGCAACACATTTTCTATATATATATCTAACTTGATCTTTCTATTAGGCTAAATATAAATATTAGATTGGTGCAAAAGTAATTATTGTTTTTGCCATTGAAAGGAATGGGGTGGGTGGGAAATGGCTGTGGTTTCTTCTAACCGCTCCCAACTTCCATAAGACTTTCTTCTGTGCAGAAAGATCCTGCTCTGTCCTCTAGAGAGCTCATAATACAATAGGGGGATGAGGTCTGCCTTAAAGAGGAGAAAGCCTATGCGGAGAGGCTGGTGGGGAGGAAATGCCGTTGAGGAAGAATTCCTGAGGGAGACGTTCCTATGTCCCTCAAATTCAAATACCAACTAGAGTCACATTTAATCAGTAGAACAACCATCCTTTTCCCAATAGCAGCTATACTGAGAGCAGCACCAGCTCCCACTCACTGCCTGGCAATCTGACAGTGTGAAGCCTTCAGAGACTTTCTTTTTTGATTTTTTGTTTTGTTTTGTTTCGTTTTGTTTTCCGCCTCCTGGATTCAAGTGATTCTCCTGCCTCAGCCTCGCAAGTAGCTGGGATTAAAGATGCCCACCACCACGCCTGGCCAATTTTTTGTTTTTGTTTTTGTTTTTGAGACGGAGTCTTGCTCTGTCGCCCAGGCTGGAGTGCAGTGGCACCATCTCAGCTCACTGCAAGCTCCGCCTTCCCTGGTTCACGCCATTCTCCTGCCTCAGCCTCCCGAGTAGCTGGGACTACAGGCGCCCGCCACAACGCCCGGCTAACTTTTTGTATTTTTAGTAGAGACGGGGTTTCACCGTATTAGCCAGCATGGTCTCGATCTCCTGACCTCTGGCGATCCACCGGCCACGGCCTCCCAAAGTGCTGGGATTACAGGCGTGAGCCACTGCGCCCGGCCCTTCGGCTACATTCTTATACTGCAAAGTTTAGGAACAGAGAAAGCTGACAACACCAAGTTCAAATGCAGGTTCACCTGTGGAATCTTCCCTAGACATCCAGCGAAAACTGCTCTTCTTCCTCAAACTCCTGCAGGAGTGGTTACCTTCTGGGGCCTGGCATTACTATAAAGTGTTCTGTGAATCTACATGCTCCCCAATCATTATCACTAGGCCGAGTGATATATCTCACCCATATATTTCCCACTACTTTCAAATATGTATCATTGTTGTGATCAAGTAAAGCATTCCTAGGACGTATGCAGTGGCTCATACCTGTAATCCCAGCACTTTGGGATGCCGAGGAGGGTGGATCATCTGAGGTCAGAAGTTCGAGACCAGCCTGGCCAAAATGGCAAAACCCTGTCTCTAAAGAGGAAAAAGCCTACGGGGCTTTTCTCTACTAAAAATACAAAAATTAGCCGGGCGTGGTGGTGGGGGCCTATAATCCCAGCTACTGACGAGGCTGAGGCTGAGGCTGAGGATGAGGCTGAGGCAGGAGAATCGCTTGAAGGGCAGGGGCAGTGGGGAGGGTGCGGTGCGGGGAGGTGTGGAGGTTGCAGTGAGCCGAGATCGCACCACTTCACTCCCACCTGGGCAAAAGAGTGAAACTCCATCTCAAACAAACAAACACACAAGGGCCAGGCGTGGTGGCTCACGCCTGTAATCCCAGCACTTTGGGAGGCCAGAGGCGGGTGGATCACGAGGTCAGGAGATCGGGACCATCCTGGCTAACGCGGTGAAACCCCGCCTCTACTAAAAATACAAAATTAGCCGGGCATGGTGGCCGGCGTCTGTAGTTACTCGGGAGGCTGAGGCAGGAGAATTGCTTGAACCTGAGACATGGAGGTTGCAGTGAGCCGAGATCGCGCCACTGCACTCCAGCCTGGCGACAGAGCGAGACTCCGTCTCAAAAAACAAACAAACAAAACAAAAAACAAAAAAAGAAGAAAAGCATTCCTGACTTCACAGTAGTTTTATACATATATATATTTCCTCGGTCAACAAGTAATTCCAGTAACCATTACGTGGGGGGTTGTCTCAAAGTTTTGATGTTAAGAAAGGGCCACTCCAGATATGATGTGATGAGGAATAATATGGAAGATCAGCAAATGTCCTGGTATCGGCTGGATAAAAAGAATAGAGGAAACAGGGCCAAGGCAAATATGATTTTCTAGGCAACACCTGGCTGTGGCTTTAGTCAGGAGTAACTGGAACTAACTCTAAAGCCATTCTTCATAGTAATTGCACTTTGTGATATATAAAATTATGTCTTATAAAAGCTGTGTTTAAATTAATGGCATATTAAATAAACATGTATTTACATTGGGTTAACTTTAGTAATTAAAATTAATTAGTATGCTAACTTCATGAAGTTAAACTCAATAAAGTTAAACTTGCTAGGAAAACAAAAAAGTGGCTCATCCTAAAAAATGGTGGGAATCACTTTAGTCTTTGCCATTCCTGTGACAAATATGACCTCATAAGTGATCATTGTCTCTCTGAAAAAAAAAAAAATTCCATAAGGAAAGAAAAATCTAACAAGCCTATTGCTAATTACTTCACTTCAGATGTAACCAGACATAAAGGAAATTCAAATGAATTCGAGGTTGAAATTGGTCTAAGGAACAATATTTAGCTTTGAAGGTGAATTTCAGCATTGCCTTCCCTTTTGCTGAATTTGCAGTTTCCCATATGGTAAGTGATGCTGATTTGAAATTTGATTTTACTGTCATGTTTTTCTCTAGCAGTTCTCTTAATGGCTGGGTTCCAAATTTCACCTAAATGCTCCAATTGTTGAGCCATAAAGCTGGTACAGTTCTAAAGCTATTTTTCAGACAAATTACCATACAGAGCAATGTTTTAGTGTCACTGTCTGGAGCCTGCGTGGCAGGACAAGGAGTCTGAGGCAGAGGTGGGAGCTTTGCCAGCTGAAATACAGGCACCTAGATTGTGCAATTCTGCATCATGCCTTGTTCTCAGGGGATGCCACAGTCTCATTTCAGGAACAACTCAAGACTCCAACAGCAGCAGGAGCATCTTGTTTCCCGTTTCCTAACTCACAGCCTTGCAGTGCTAGTCAAGCCTTCATTTCCTTTTGTGCTTCAGGAGAAAAATTGTAGCTTGGTGTCAGCATGTTGATTACCTGGCCAAAATGGAATTATGCTATAGACTGGTAGAGCTGTACCTTCTCATTCCTTTTAACAATGATTTCAATCCCTTTTCTACCTTTCTATCACCCTGCATTCTCTTCAGTCTCTCTTTCTCCTTGCAGATAGATGATAGATAGATAGATAGATAGATAGATAGATAGATAGATAGATAAACAGATAGATAGATAGGTAGACAGACAGATCTCCATTTACATCTTTTATCTCTCCTCTCTTCCTAATACAATTCACACCAACAGGACCACAGGCTCCTAGGGCCTCAAGAATCCAAATAAATAGCTAACAGAGTTTTGCCACACCACTCAGAGTCAGGCAGATCTAATTGTAGGTAGCACCATCATTTTCCACCAAAGAAAAGAGAACAAATCCAGGAACAATCAGAGGGAAAATGAAACATTTTTTGTTATTGCTTTTCTTTGGGACTGTGAATAATGTTTTTAAATGTCTTTTTAGGTGCTTAATATTTTAGGTCTAAAACTACCTGCTTGTCCAATTGAAATATTAAGTCACCAGATCAATGATGATACAGTCTGCACTGTTACATTTTAATAAATAGTAATGATAATAGCAATTAACCTCCCCTATGCATTCTTTGTACAATGCACTGTGCACTGAAACTCTCCTCCCACACCCTGTAGTACATCTGCTGTTTCTCATGCTGCCTGGAGAGCAAACATATTTTCACTCCATCCTACTCCATCCTGTAACATGGTTATCAGGTGCTGGGGGAGGAGACGAGGGAAAGGATGAGAGAAGGGGTGAATGATAAACAGAGAAAGACAAAAAGGGCACAGAGAAGCAGAGAGAACTGTATATATACACATACATTCTGGACTTCAGGAGGAAGAGATGTACTGCCTAACTGTTCTCTCCCTGACACATTCTCTAAGGCATCCAGGTATACACACAGCTGCATCGTGTCACTGCAAGCGGCTCCCAGAGTTGTTCCTGTTCATCCAGGAAGAAAGAAAATCCCGCCAAAGATTGAGAGAGATCAATAAATGTATTTCCAAAGAACCTGAAAGAAGATGTTTCCATTTGGCTGTCTTACCCTCTATCCAAGCTCAGAGGGAAATGCATTCAAGAACGTTAACGGCCAGCACAAATTCCATTCCAAGCCATGGAGCGGGAAGGGCACATGATACCAAGTGTCCCACCAGACGGCCATCTTGCTAACTAATACACCTCGGGATTACATTTGCATTTACACAAAATGTGAGCTTTGGGAGCCAGACGTATTATTTTGGTTAATAGTTTGGCACGTTCTCAGCTTGGAAGCCTGAGCATATGTGATGGGTCAGTAACACAATAAAAGTAACGGGGAAGCATTTCTTTCCCCAGTGGTGAATTTCTACCCTATTCAGGAAACAGACTTCCCAACTCAGCCATTACAGCTGTCTGGATCGTTCATACCATTTGCTGTTAAATATACCCAAGTAGGAAAAACAGTGTCTTTGTATTTGCTGTTAAATGTAATCAGAGACAATCTTTACGGTCATTCGGGATCATTACTATCAGCATAATTACTGCTTTAGAGAACAATAATCATACATATGTGTGGTATAGATATGCGGGGAGTCCAATGCAGAAATGCAGAAGAGACAAAAGTGCCTGTTAATATTTTACGAAAGCTGTAATTTTATTGAAAATTAACTAATTTACCTAAAGGAACAACTTCGTATAGGATTTTTTAGCTCAATGTGTTCAACAAAGTAGAAAAAATTACAGGGGGGAAAAGAAACCCTTACCCAGTACATTGATGCCTGACATGACGTGATTAGAAGTAATCTATATTTTGCAAGTTTAAGAACTATCTCTAGTTAAGATGTAATACCTTTATATGAGAATGTGCAGCGACTCCTCGAGTCAATAACTGTGTAAGTGTCTGTGTGTGTCCATTTATTTTGTAAAAGAGAGATGATATGTTAAAACATGTCCTCTTTCTTTTTTCTTCCTCACTTGCTTGCATATGACATTCCAGAGGATTCCACCTGCCTCCGGGAGAATTAGAATTACTGCAGAAATGCAAAGAGAAAGAAAGTTTTTGACTGCCAGCATAGGATTTTGAAACCCATAGAAACAACAGTCTTGAAAGCCTATAAATTTGAGAGAGAAAAGGGATTTCTAAAGCCTCAAAAATTTCCTTTACATCTAACAAGCAAAACTAGCAGGACTGATCATAAATTCACACTAAGCCATTGCCAGGAAGAATTTAGAATGTGCCATAAAGTTTCAACCACAGAAATAAAACTGAAAAAGGCAACAAAAAAGCCAATATAAATAAAAAATAAACAGACCAAAACAAACAAACAAAAAAACCAAAACTACAAAACAATAAGTTCCAACCAGAAAGAAAAGGTTGCACTCAAAGGGTTTTTTTGCAATCATAAGTTTGTGACTGTCACGCACGTCTGTGTGAAGAGACCACCAAACAGGCTTTGTGTGAGCAACAAGGCTGTTTATTTCACCTAGGTGCAGGCAGGCTGAGTCCGAAAAGAGAGTCAGCAAAGGGAGATAGGGGTGGGGCACTTTTATAGGATTTGGGTGAGTAGTGGAAAATTACAGTCAAAGGGGGTTGTTCTCTTGCGGGCAGGGGCGGGGGTCACAAGGTGCTCAGTGGGGGAGGTTCTGAGTCAGGAAAAGGAATTTCACAAGGTTAATCGCTCAGTTAAGGTGGGGCAGGAACAAATCACAATGGTGAAATGTCATCAGTTAATGCAAGAACTGGCCATTTTCACTTCTTTTGTGATTCTTCACTTGCTTCAGGCCATCTGGATGCATACATGCAGGTCACAGGGGATATGATGGCTTAGGTTGGGCTCAACGGCCCGACAGTGACAAGGGAGTTGTGAGAATGAATGGGATAATATGCCTGAAGCACTTAGCACAATTATTGTCGCTGAAAAGAGTCAAGCTGTAAAATATTTGAAAAGATTTATTCTGAGCCAAATATGAGTGACCATGGCCTCTGGCACATCCATCAGGAGATCCTGAGAACATGTACCCAAGGTGGTCAGGAAGTCATGAGACATCAATCAGATACATTAAGAAATATATTGGCTTGGTCCAGAACAGCGGGACAACTCGTGGGGTGGGGCAGGCTTCCAGGCTATAGGTCAATTTCATGTTCAGGTTAAGATTCTGGAGACCAAGGTTCTTTTGAAGTCTCATAGTGGCTGCCCTTAGAGACAACAGAAGACAAACGTTTCCTATTCAGACCTTTAAAAGGTGCTAGACTCTCCGTTAACCTCTTCAGGACTGGGAGGGCCTGGAAGAAAAAGATCTAGCTATGTTAATAGAGTTTCTTTACAGATGCAAATTTTCTGCCACAAAGGACAGCTTTGCACGGCCATTTCAAAATACAGCAAAGAAACATGTTTTGGGATAAAATATTTTTATTTTCTTGTTTGTCACATAATGTTATGCAAGAGTCAGATTGGAAAGTAAATCACGATATATAGGCTTAAATAAAACCCATCTGATGAGAATTTATGGTTTGTAGGGCATGACTCTCCAGACCCCTTTAGATAGGAATTTGGCTAAGATAAGAAAAAAATCAGAGCTTAGTCCTCAATTCCCAGCATTTGATAAATACTCTCATGTTTATAAAAAACGTTACTACAGTTAACACATTACCTGGTAAATATTACCTCTCTACTTGTCTGCTCCCATCCCACTAGACTCAAATGGATTGAGGGCAGGGATTCCACTTTATTCATTCCTTCATCCTTAGCTCCTATCACAGAGCTTGGTACTTGATAAATTTTTGTGGAGCAAATGAACCTCACTGGTTCTCTGAGACAAAGAAGGCATGCAGTAAGAAGGTCGAGTGGTCCCTGCTCTTTGTTGTTCATTTACAAGACACCATCATCATAAGCACCAGTTTGTGGCTGGTTGTGTAAAAGAAAATAAAAACCTAACCAATCTGAGTTTTAGATTGGGTAAGGATGAGATTTTTTTAACCTTCTGATGATAAAATAATCAGATGGGCTACCCCAAAATGTGGAGGACTCTTTATGCTTAATGAGCTTTTTGAGATGTCAACAATATCTGTCCTGGATGATTTAGACATTCCCTTGCCTGCAGAGAGAGAGCTGGGCCGGATCATCTCTGAAAGTGCCTTCAGCTCTCTATTATCACTACATGATTCTATTAACCAGTTAATATTTTTCCTGTAATTTGCCCTTAGCAACTGCCTAACAACATTACAGGTCCTTCCATAGGATGCAATGATGTGACATTAATCTAATATCACGTCCCCTCTCTGCCTGTTTCACCAACACCTCTCATTCCTTGACCCTGAATAATGATTCAAGGACATCTTCTTTCCTTTTCTTCAACTAAACTAAGACCACCCTTAGGGCTTTAAACCAGTACCCATCATAGGCTCCGTGCTTACTAAAAATCTACCTGGAGGTTCAGATACTTCATTCACCAGGCCTTAAGTTCTTCTGTTGGTTACAGTGAGTTCTAGATTTCTCTTCAAAGAATCAATATGTCAGTATGTTCAGTTTTTTGTCCCCCATTTTAAAGTTAGGCTGGGCGCGGTGGCTCACGCCTGTAATCCCAGCACTTTGGGAGGCCGAGGCAGGTGGATCACCTGAGGTCAAGAGATCGAGAGCATCCTGGCTAACACGGTGAAACCCTGTCTCTACTAAAAATACAAAAAATTAGCCGGGCACGGCAGTGGGCACCTGTAGTCCCAGCTACTCGGGAGGCTGAGGCAGGAGAATGGGGTGAGCCCAGGGGGCGGAGCTTGCAGTGAGCCGAGATAGTGCCACTGCAGTCAGGCCTGGGCGAAAGAGCAAGACTCCGTCTCAAATAAATAAATAAATAAATAAATAAATAAATAAATAAATAATAAAATTTAACTTCCTCGTGGTTTCAGTAAACAACCTTTTTCACCAGTTTTAATCAGTAGTTCACATCTGTTCCCCTGGTCCCCTGCTCCGTCCTGACTCATCCCGGTCACCTGCTTTGACCTGCCTGCGTCACCCCGGTCACCTGCTCTGACCTAAGTCACCTTTAATTACCTGGACCTAACCATCCTTCCTACCAAACTACTGACCCCGCCACTCTGGCTTATACCCCTGCTCTCTTTAAAATAGCCAGTTGGAATTAGCTTATACTGTGCGGTCCAACCCTAGCCAATAGGGGAACGACACAGCAGTAGGGGCCACCTGTGTCAGGAATAAGAACCCCTTCCCCTCCCTTGTTCAGGTGCGCTCTCGCCATTACTCCATTTGTGAGTCGTACCCTTCTATAGAAGTAAAAATTGCCTTGCTGAGAAAATTAAATTTATGTTCATGTGCTATTTCTTTGCAGCACCAAGGAACAAGCATTTTGTTTCTAACACTTCTGTTTCCTTCTTTCATCCCATCCAAACTATATTCTTTTTTTGCTGTTATAAACTAAAACCAATTGCTAACCATAAAAATTGGATTCAGAATCTGGATGCCCTTACATTTAAAAACATCTGAAAATGCCCAAACTCACCATAAGCTTGTGTCTATCTTTGCTGGGTAGTACCAGCTGACATCTGTCCACTCACAAAGACAGACTGGAGAAGAGAATCCAAGGGTCAGAGGATCAGGATAACATGGTAGCTCATTTCCTTCTCACCTTCCAACCTTTCTACCATAGGACAGAGATTAGAACTGTTTATTTAAAAGGATTTACTGACACAATAGCTGTTATAGCTTCACAAAATAGCTGACTTGTCCCTAAGGAGAATTTGAATCTGTGTAGCTTCACGAGGCCTTGAGCCAAAGGTAGCTCTTTCCCCGCCAACAACTTACACACAGTTCAACCTTGCCTCTGCTGGGCATGTCTTCTTTATGCTTGGTTAATCAAGTGAACGGGATTCAGTGATAGCAATAACTGCCCTCTACTGAGTTCCTAATAGGTACCAGGCCCCCTAGCCAGGCAGTGCCATGCACACAGTGGTCTGCATGGATGGCAGCCCTGGAACCATGAGATGCTGCAGCCAGGCCCACCCTACAATCATATAATTCAATTGTAACCACACAGGGTAGAATTATCATTCCCATTCCAAATGAAGAAAAAGGCTTATGAAGGTAACTAAACTGACCAGGGTCACATGAATAGTAAAGAATAGAGCTGGATTTGAAACTCAAGTCTGGTAACCCAAGACCCTGCTATTGTCAGAAATTCTGCTCCATGCTGTGGAATTCAAAAATAAGCAAGTGGGGCTGGGTGCAGTGGAGGTGAGAGGATCGCTTGAGGCCAGGAGTTCAAGACCAGCTTAGACAACATAACAAGATTCTGTCTCTGCAAAAATTATTTTCTTATTTTTTTTAAATTAAAAATTAACAAGTGGACCGGACTTTAAAGACCCCGAAATGCAGTTTGAGAAAACAAGACACATTCATGTAAAATTAAATAGCAATGAGGCCAGGTGCGGTGGCTCATGCCTGTAATCCCAGCACTTTGGGAGGCCGAAGCAGGCAGATCACAAGGTCAAGAGATTGAGACCATCCTAGTCAACATGGTGAAATTCCGTCTCTACTAAAAATACAAAAAATTAGCTTGGTGTGGTGGCTCAAACCTGTAGTCCCAGCTACTCGGGAGGCAGAGGCAAGAGAATCGCTTGAACCTGGGAGGTGGAGGTTGCAGTGAGCCAAGAAGACACCACTACACTCCAGCCTGAGTGACAGAGCAAGACTCCATCTCAAAAAAAAAAAAAAAATTAAATTAAATAACAATGAAATGTTGAAATAATGGCTCAGGTCAAGAGAGAAAATGTGTCACGGGGCAGACCATGATTCATTGCTAAATGGACCATGTAGCAATAATCGTTACAACCGTTTAGAGAACACAGGTTTACAAATATTTACAAGTTTTGGTGAACATAGTCCATGTACTGGGAATTTCTAAGTAAGGTCCTAAAACTGGCGGCAACACAAAGGCAAATAATAAAAGAAAGACATGACCTTGTTTCTACTGCAAAAAGTCCTCGTAGAAGGGAAGCCACCAGGCACTTGTAGGGAAGGAAAAAGATAAAGGGTCTATGGCAAAACTTTCAGAACTCTGTGAGAATGATTAACGTGACTTTTTTTTTTTTTTGAAAGTTTTGACTTCAGATTTAGCTTATGGTCTCGGGAGCTCAGGTTTCAAATGTGTAAATTATATTATTTGAAGTGAAAATGTGATACATGCTTTGGGTTTTATTTTATAATTTAATATAAAATAAGCTTTAAAAGCTATGGTTTTTACAAAGAAAACTTGAAGGATTTTGTTTTTTAAGACTGATAAGTAGGAGTTGCGCTGGCAAAATCTAAATAGTAACTTCCAATTTAATTCTAATGTTGATGGATATGACAACTAAAGTATTGTGTTCTTCATGTTCCGATCCTGTGAGTAAAGGAGATGCTGATAAATGCTACTGTTCTCTCTTTCAAATCTGCATCGCAGATAGTAGTCATGTGCACTTTTGACTAAGACCAAGTAGACGAGAGTTTATAAGAAGCCTAGGAACTGAATGCCAAATTTAGACTTGGGTTTTGAATCCTTCCTATGCCAGAATGATGATGCTTTCCTTAAATAGTTAACCAACTGGTTTGTTAAGCAAAGCATGTTACAGTAATAAAACTAAGGGGGCAGAGATAAGTATGCCTCTACATAGTTATATATGACTAGAGAAGAAAGACTAGTATTTTATACACCAGGGGTGTTTCTTCCCAAACACTAGTCCCATAAGGCAGGGGTCTCCACCCCCGCTGCCACAGACCGGCCCTGTTAGGAACTGGGCCACACAGCAGGAGGTGACTGGCAAGTGAGTGTTACCGCCCAAGCTCTGCCCCCTGCCAGGTCAGCAGCAGCATTAGATTCTCATAGGATCGTGAACCCTATTGTGAACTGTACATGTGAGGAATCTAGGTTGTGTGCTCCTTATAAGAATCTAATGCCTGATGATCTGAGGTGAAACAGTTTCATCCTGAAACCATCCCCTTTCCCCTCCTACCCATCCTTCCATTCCCCTCCCATCTCCCATCACCCCACCATCCATGGAAAAATTGTCTTCCATGAAACCAGTTCCTGGTGCCCAAAAAGGTTGGGACCGCTGTTATCAACCTTAATATGCAAATCACTTTCACATGTGCGTAACCTTGGAAACCACCTCTGGGATAAACATTATTATTGGCTCCATTTTATAGATGAGAAGTTGACCTTAATGGAGTTAAATGATTTGCAGAACCATACTTAAACACAGATTTCTGGCCAGGCGCGGTGGCTCACGCCTGTAATCCCAGCACTTTGGGAGGCTGAGGCGGGTGGATCACGAGGTCAGGAGATCAAGACCATCCTGGCTAACACGGTGCAACCCGTCTCTACTAAAAAAAAATACAGAAAATTAGCCAGGCGTGGTGGCAGGCGCCTGTAGTCCCAGCTACTCGGGAGGCTGAGGCAGGAGAATGGCATGAACCCGGGAGGCGGAGCTTGCAGTGAGTGGAGATCACGCCACTGCACTCCAGCCTGGGCCACAGAGCGAGACTCCATCTCAGAAAGAAAAACAAAAAACAAAAAAAAACCCCACAGATTTCTTAATTCTGACTCCAAGAATTCAAAAAAAAAAAAAAACCGTTGAAAGTGACTTATTCTATTAGAAATATGGGATAAGTGCCCTTCTTTATTTTCATTTACTGCTATGGGAAACTTGATTACCCCTTCTAAGCCAATATGTCTTCAACATCAAGACACACAAGGTTTCAAAATGTAATTGCATTCTGATACACATAAAGAGTAAAAAAAAAGAATGAAATTAGAGACAGGTCATTCATGGTTAAAAACACTGGCTTTGGAGTCAGACTGGCATCAGACTCAGCTTCCAGTTTTTACTAGTAATGTGAGAGCTTCAGGAAGTTGTTTGACTTCTCTGGGCCTCAGTTTCCTCGTTTGTAAAATAAAAGTAACAAGATCTAACTCATAGGGTGGCTCTAATCATTAAAGAAGATATTACATTCCGAGAGCTTAGTTAATATGTGCTCAATAAATGTTTAAGTCTACTGCTATCATTTATTCAAAAAGCATTACATTGAGTGTGTATTAGATGGTGGGAATATGGAAGGAGAGAATATGGCGCTTGCCCTCATAAATTTTGTATTTTAACCCCAGTTGCCTCCAAAATTTTTATCATAAAGTGCATTATTAAAAAATTTCTGAGCATTATTCCCAAAACATGTATGTATATGTTAATTTATAAATTATATGTATCTATTACTATACTAAAAATTATGTGCATTATAAAACATAAGCAATAAATGAATGCAAAAGAATAAATAATTAAGAACCTACTGAATTATCTTGCACAATCTTTGGAATGTACATACCACACTTTGGAGACCATTGTTTTAGCCCAGGGATTAGCACATTTTTCTGTAAAGGACTGGATAGTAAATAGTTTTGCAGACCACACGAAGTCTCTGCTGCCCAATCTTCTTAGCTTTTTTTTAAAAAAAATTTTTAAGCAACCCTTTTAAAATGTAAAGCAATACTTACCTCCAGAGCTTTGCAAAAACAAAGCTTGCGCTGTAGTTTGACCATCCTGGCTTTACATCGTAGACTGCTCTAGGGTAAACGATTCCAGACAGTGAACTAGTAAACACATAATTACTATAGTAAGTTCTAGATGAAAGAAACTGTTTAGCTCAATGGAGATTAAGGGAGAGGAGGCCAACTTCAGCTAAGATGGTCAGAGAAGATCACATCTCAAGTGAGGCCGGAAGGTGGGGAAGGAGCCAGGCACAGAAGACAGAAGAAAGCCTTCCAGGCAGACGGAAGAACAGGCAAGGACAAGGTCCTCAGGTGGACGAGAACTTGCTTGACCAAGAACTGACAGGAAGTCTGTGTGCCTGGAACTGGTGAAAGAGGGGAAAAGAGCAACATGTGAGATGAGGTTTGTGAGTTGGGCAGAAGCCAGCTTTGGGGAGTCTGGAAGATGATTCCCACCAAGTAAAGCCTCTGAAGCAGAAATGTAGTTAGAGAAGATAAAATCAGCCGATTGTATGTCCCCGGAATGTGAACAAAGTGAAATAATAACCAGAAGGTGGTGGATCAAGGACAGGTTCCTGGGGCAGAAATAAGACTTAAAGAGAAGTCAGTTGTTTTGATTATGTCCTCAAGCTATTGAAGACAATTATTAAACTTATAAATCTTTTATTGTTATTCAACCTTGAAATAAAGTCATGCTGTTCTGACTTTCATGAACCAAACAAACCAACGGAGTTTAGAACAAAGCCCTTCTATTCCCACGTACACATTTTTTTAAGTTGTTCTCTTCAAATTAAAACTGCACTAAAACGTCTTCCTTGGAAGACCACACAGAAGCAGGTAACACTGGCTGCCTCCAGGGAAGGAAACTGGGCATCGGTAGCACAGACGAGGGAGGGGGACAATACACCATGTATCTTATTGTGTTTCCAGATTTTGAACCAGGTCACTCTAATACCTAGTCAAAACGCAAATAAATAAAATTAAATTTAAATTAAAACTTTTAAACCACATTAATTTTGTGCAACCTCAGAAGAACGAAACAGTTCTCTAAAGATTCATTTGACTGAGACAAACAGGCACTCTTGCCATTCGAATAAATATTAACAAAACGTGATTAAGGTAACAATTTTGCAAAGTGGGTGTGTACATGTAACAGCATGATACATAGAAAACGTATAAATTAATGATAAAATTCACTTTAACAGAGAATGGAAGCAGTACAGGTAAATTTTTTTTTTTTTGAGACGGAGTCTCACTCTGTCACCAGGTTGGGGTGCAGTGGTGCGATCTCGGCTCACTGCAACCTCCACCTCCCAGGTTCAAGCAATTCTCCTGCCTCAGCCTGCCGAGTAGCTGGGATTACAGGCGTGTGCCACCATGCCCAGCTAATTTTTGTATTTTTAGTAGAGACAGGGTTTCACCATGTTGCCAAGGATGGTCTCGATCTCTTGACCTCATGATCCACTAGCCTCGGCCTCTCAAAGTGCTGTAATTACAGATGTGAGCCACTGTGCCCAACCCAGTACAGGTAATATTTTAAAAGCCAATTTATACATTGGAAAACAGGGTTGGCAGTTCCTCAAAAAGTTAGAATTACCTTATGACTCAGGAATTCTAGCTGAGGTATATTCTACCTAGGTATATTCCCCAAAGAATATGGAAACATATGTGCCCATAAAAACTTGTGTACAAATGTTTATACTAGCTTATTGATAATAGCCAGGAAAGTAAAAACAATCCAGTTGTCTATCAACTGATGAATGGATGAATAATATGTAGCATATTCATGCAATAGAATATTTTCTGCAATAAAAGGAAGTGCTGATAAATGCTACAACATAGATGAATTTGAAACCTTATGCTAAGAGAAAAAAAAGCTAATGACAAAAGACCACCGATTTTATGATTCCATTTATGTGAAATATCCAGAATAGTCATAGTCACAGAAACAGAAAGGAGATTAGTGGTGGCCTAGGGCTGATGGAGGAAAAGGAGGATGGAGAGTGACTGCTGGTAGGTACTAGGCTTTGTTAGGGGGCATAAAGATATCCTAAAACTAAACCGTGGTGATGATTGCATAGCCCTATGCATATTTAGTGAGTATACTAAAACCCATTAAATTTTACACTTTAAATGATAAATTGTATAATATGTGAATTATATCTCAATAAAGTTGTTTTGGGTTTTTTTGTTTGTTTTGAGACAGGACCTCTCGCTGTAGACCAGGCTGGAGTGCAGTGGCGTGATTTTGGCTCACAGCAACCTCTGCCTCCGGGGCTCAAGCTATCCTCCCACCTCAGCCTCCCAAGCAGCTGGGACTACAGGCGCACACCACCATGCCAGGCTAATTTTTTATTGTATTTTTCATAGAGATGGGGTTTTGCCGTGTTACCCAGACTGGTCCCAAACTCCTGGGTTGAAGCCAACCACCCACCTCGGTCTCCCAAAGGGCTGGAATTATCAGTGTGAGCCACTGAGCCAGGCCTGTTTTGTTTTGTTTTTTTAAGTCAACTTACAAAGGGCTATTCAAGCACCACATTGTAATGTAAAATATAGGTGAACTGCCACCGAAAACAAAGGAATAACAAGGTCAATATATGAACACTTGGATTTATAAAAGTGGAAACCAATAAGACTTCTTTTGTTACCAAAAAAATCAGTTTGGGTTTCGTATTGCACAGAAAGTACGATCTCTGTGGAGTTATTTATTCTGAAACACATCAAGTTGCCTGCAGCAATCCTCTTTCCTAAGTGCCCTTGATTGCACAAGGTGCAGGCTAAAGAGGTGAAAATATTACAAAAATATTAAAAGTCCAGAAATCAATGAGAATGGCCTTTAGGAACCACTTTGATACACACAGACATTCAACTTGTGTGCATCAGGACTGAATTCCCTTCTGCCTATGAGAGAACACAGGTCATGAAACTACAGGAAATCTGCAAATAGATCATCTACTTGTGAATAATAAAGAGTTGGTGCACTGTACACGTATGGCTGATTCCTATAAATCACCCTCTATTGCTAACAGGTTGTTATACTGACAAAGCTGGCAGTAGTTTCTTTCGTTTTGTAAAACATTCCTATTTTGCTTTATAAAGTTTTGTTTTGCCAATTTTGAAAACTCCTATTAAGGGAGGAGACAACCCCTCATATTGTCTTATGCCCAATTTCTGTCTCCAAAAAAAGAAGAACTAAAAGGCAGAAATGGAATCCACAGGCAGATAGCCCAGCACTGCTCCCCAGGGCTGGTAGTTAAAAATCAACCCCTGACCTAACTGCTTGTGTTATCTACAGATTTCAGACATTGTATGGAAAAGCATCGTGAAAATCCCCGTCCTGTTCTCTTCCATTCTCATTACCAGTGCACCCAGTCGCAAGTCACATAACCCGTGCTTGCTCAATTGATCATGACCCTCTCACATAGTTCTCCTGAAAGTTGTAAGCCCTTAAAAGGGACAGGAATTGTTCACTAGGGGAGCTCGGTTTTTGAGACGTGAGTCTTGCCGACGCTTCTGGCCGAATAAAGCCCTTCCTTCTTTAACTTGGTGTCTGAGGGATTTTGTCTGTGGCTCTTCCTGCTACACTATAATCAGTGTTTGAGAGATTCATATAGTAATTGATGATATTATATACTATTTACAGTAAATCTCATTCTTGCCACATAAAATAATTCCAGTGAGTTATCATATACAGTCACATTCAAGTTCCCTACGTAAAAATTCAATGGCTAGAGAGAGGTCTATTTACTCTTTTCTCTAAAACTAAATTTTTAAAGACTTGTCTTAGTCTTAATTTTATAATTTTATAAGAGCAAATTATTTCAGGAATGATGTGTTCAAAGTATTTTTCAAACTTTTCCAAGGCAGAATGACAAGCTAAAACAAATTTATTTATTCAGTTTGTATTACAAGATAGAAAAGTATATAATAGGGAAGAACTTATTACAAATATTGGATAAAAATTATGTATTTGCCAACATTGTCATCCATTAAAGGACAAATTATGGCTTATGGTAGCTCTCCTAAAGTAATATAATTTATATCTTCAGTCTGGACATGTTTCTCCCCTGTAGACTCATATATCCAGCTGCCTATGTGACAGCTCCACATGAATGTTTAATAGACATCTCAACCTTAACACGTCCAAAATATAGCTGCTGATCTTTGACCCCCAAACCAACTCCTCCTGAAATCCTCCCTACCTCAGTTAAGGACAACTCGATGCTTCTAGTTGCTTAGGCCAAAAACTTTGGTAGCAATCTTAATTCTAATTTTTCTCTTAAATGCCACATCCAGTCAGTAGCAAATCCTTCCAGCTCTATTTTCAAAATATATACAGAATTTAAACACAGACTTTCCTCGACTTCCACTGCCACTTCCTAAACCAAGCTACCATCATTTCTTACCTGAATGTTGGCAACAGATTCCTAATAGGCTCACTCGTTACTAATAGGCCTACCATTAACTCATACAGCAGCTTTGTGCAAATTAGAAAAAGATGATCTTCCCCAAGAACACCTGCAAGAACACTGTAGAAATAAATAGTTCACAAAACTCTGATGTCAACACTGTCACGGCCCCCCCCTCCAGATTGTGGTACACTTGTGCAATGCACAACCTGCCTAAGTGTACAAAACTGCCTTGCTTGTTAGTGTGGTATATTTCTATTTATTTTTCTTATTTATTGTCTATTTCTCCCAATAGCATTCACTCTTTGTGAGGGCCAGGATTTCAGTGTCTTGTTCACAGTTGTAGACCCAGCACCTAAACCATACCTGATACATGATATACACTCAATCAATAGATGTTGACCAAAAATGTACAAAGAACAAGGGTCACATCACCAAAGACCCTGGGCATGAGCTGCCAGCAGGTTAACCTAAATATTCTTCTGAAATCACTTGATTAGATGTACATCCTCAAGTACTGTTGATGTGGAAAGAGGATTTGAAAACAGGATCTCTTTGGATGATTAGTTTCCATTGTAACAAACATTGCCATGAAGAAAATCCTTAGTAATGTGTAAGCCCCAGCTGCAGGCAGCAAAGTATAACTGAAAACAAAGTGGATTGGGAGGTCAACAACAGGCCCTCCAAGTCCAGAGTGCGACAAAGCATGGAGACCTGAAAGAATGCACTGTGCTGGGTGGGAATCCAATTGCTTCTATGTGGAGAGGAGCAATTGGAAAGAGGAAGATAGATAGATGGGGCCTTTGCCATCTCTTCTCTGGCCTTGAGATGAGTCATCATACCTAACCATGACCTTTAACAAAACTTTACAGAAGATTGGAAGGTTAAGGACAAATTAACAGATTTATTTACAACAGCTAATAGAAAGAATTGACCTTGGAGCCCAATGGCCCAACCCAATCCTTTAATCCCAACCAAGCTCTCAGCAGGCTGGTTCAACCTCCACCAAAGGGATGCCCCCTAAATGGCCATGTATTTGTTTAGGTCCAACTCTGACAGCACCCCCCCCGCCCAAATAAAAACTTTCTCTACTGATTTAAATGCCTATTTTTGAATTTCCTTCTCCAAAATGATTGACAGTGGGAATAGTCAGCCCCTACAAATAATATCCCATTGTTTGCTCTCAAAACTAGTAAAACTAGTTGGGCATGGTGGCACAGCTACAGTCCCAGCTACTTGGGAGGCTGAGGAGGGAGGATCACTAGAGCCCAGGAGTTATGGGCTATAGTGTGCTATGACTGCACCTGTGACTAGCCACTGCACCCCAGCCTGGGCAACACAGCAAGATCCCATGTCTTAAAAAAACCAATACAAATAAATTTAATTTTTTTAATTTAAAAGAATATGAAATAAGATGAATCAAATAAGACAAACATACTATTTACAGGATACTCCTCAATATCTGAGTTATTCATCCTTATGTAATACCAATGTAGGACACCAATATCCTAGTCCCCACTGCACTGTACTTTTTCAGTTCTTCCTCCAGAGTGAGTTGAAGAGACTAAGGCAGCACATTCCTCTAGCCATGCTCTAGCTTCAAATTCCACACCCCACATGCAAATGCTTAGTAAAAGAAGCCATGAGACATCCAGATTTGGTAGGTGGGAAGGATGTTTCTAATTCTGTAGGGCTTAGCCCTGCTTATGCAATGGAGGCTCTATCACACAGTGCTTGAGAGTGAGGACTCTGGAGCTAGACGTGTTGGATTCCAATCTGAATTCTACTGGTTACTTATCTGTGTGTCCTTGGGCATACTATTGAACCCCTCTGTGTCTCCATTTCATCAATAGCAAGGGATTGTAACAGAATTACTATCAGCCATTACATTAATACAAATAAAAAGCTTACAAGAGTACCTGGCACATAGAATCTGGCTCAACAAATTTTAGTTATAAGTATTGCATTATTAAAGAGGGTATTTAGCATCCCATTTTGAGCATTTTCACTGGGACCCTTGTCAATTTCAGCCAGCCACAAGAATAATATTTAAATCCTCCTACTACTTCTGCATAACCAAAGGTGACTAGCAGAATGGTCTCTTTCTGAACATAGTCTGAACAAAAATAAATTCCAGTCTCTATTCATAGAAGGCAAAAACAAACAAACAAACAAACAAAAACCCTGCTTGTAACTCTTCCAATGACAATATTTTGCAAGTTCAAACAATTTTTTCAAGACCAGTCTTCATTAGGCACCTAGTTAAGAAATCTGGACTTTAGACTGATGGCAATGAGGAGGCAATGAAGAATTTTCTTGTTTTGTTCTTTTTTTTTTTTTTTTGAGGCAGAGTCTCCCTCTGTTGCCCAAGCAGAAGGGCAATGGTGCAATCTCAGCTTACTGCAACCTCAAACTCCCAGGCTCAAGCGATCCTCCCACCTCACCCTCCCGAGTAGCTAGGACTACAGGCATTGTGCCACCACACCCAGCCCAGAATTTTAAATGAAACATTACTTGATCAAACTTGTGTTTTGAGAAGAGCACTCTGGCAACAATGTGAGAGCAGATGAAGGGCTATTGAGAAGGAAGTCCAAGTGCAGGCCACTTCAATTACCTAGACAGGAAATAAGAAGGACCAAACCCAAGGCAACAGGTGGAGGGATTATGCCAAAAGATCTTCCATGACCATCACATCTCCAGAATATCAAATTTAGTAATCACCTATTTTTCAGCTTAATCTTGTATGATGTTAAAAAGTGGTGGGTGCGGCCAGGCACGGTGGCTCAGGCCTGTAATCCCAGCACTTTGGGAGGCCAAGGCTGGCGGATCATGAGGTCAAGAGATCGAGACCATCCTGGCCAACATGGTGAAACCCCATCTCTACTAAAACTACAAAAATTAGCCAGGTGTGCTGGCGCATGCCTGTAGTCCCAGCTACTCGGGAGGCTGAGGCAGGAGAATCGCTTGAACCCGGGACTCGGAGGTTGCAGTGAGCTGAGATCACGCCACTGCACTCCAGCCTGTTGACAGAGCGAGATTCCATCTGAAAAAAAAAAAAAGTTGTGGGGGAGTGGGTGCATGCTTAAACACTTGGCTTCCAGATCTCATACAGGAAAACATGAGCAAATGTCATCTATGAATTTATAGTATGCTTCCTATTAGTGAATGGCTTTGCCTTTCCACAATGATGATTACCCGATAATAAAATTCAGCATTTAAAATAGAAAATTATTAGACTTGGATAATGGCACCCTTTTCTCTGAAAACTTCCAGGACCTGGGCAGGAGGCAGAAAGGGCATGAGGCTCTTCTGGGAATCAGCACACATTCTCCAATAGGCCAGCAGAGTGAGGGGCTTGGAAGGCCAAAGGCCTCTGTCAGAAAGAACCATTGGTGCCGGATCCATGGCACCTCTTTATTTTCTGCGGGCTCTAAGGATGAGCCTGGCAGCTACACTTTTATTGTAGAACAGAATTCAATTTTCAGTTCTTTCTCTTAATCTTTTCCCCTAGAACAGACACAAAAGCAAGAATTATTTCTTCAATAATATGGCGCATCAGCATCTTTATTTTCTCAGCTGCACAAATGCTTTTTAGTATATCATTTGGTCAGCATTATCTTATTCCTATAGAACAAATAATAGAAGCACAGAGAATAACAGTGGGTTACCCAGTGTCACACAGCTAATCAGCTTCCAAGCTGTATGTCATAAAGGTAATCAGCTTCCAAGCTGTAACACTCAATGTTATCCCTACTACATTAGTAGACACCTAGTGAGTCCTTGAATTTCAATCCAGGGCTCCACTCAGATATTGTTTTTGTAAGCAAAAGATAAATTAATCCTACCTTTTGAGAGATAGGATTTAGAAGAAACAAGAAAAGAAATGTTAAGATTAGATAATCTAAGTGAGAAAAGTAAAATAATTAATAATTTTAATCAGTGCCAGAAAAACATTTTCAGCAAATAATGGTCTCACTGATATTTTATAAAACATGAATCCCCATACACGGTATTTCTCTAGTTTCAAGAAGCACTGTAGATGAATTATTTAAAAGGTCATGTTTTCTTCAGCAAGCCTTCCCCTCTTACTTTGTTTTTGTTTTTTTAGAACTACATCTCTAAAGATTTTTTAAATTTTTTATGCTAAAAGAAAATAGTAACTCCTGTGACTGATGTTCCAGTATCCCAAGATACACATTGTCAGATAAGCAAACTATGCAACACTGCATGATATAAAACAGTTTTCAGGAAAAAAATATTAATTTTATCTGGCATATCTGGCATATTTGGGGCCATAAGATTTGCTTTACTCACCGTTAGAATTTCTTCGTGAGTCTTTTCTAAAAAATAGACAAATGATGGTTTAAATTAACAAACTAGGTCTCTACAACCACAATTTCAAGCATTGTCTGTCTCTCCAGAAGTACACTAAGATTGATCTAGTTCTTTCTATTCTTAGATTTCTTCCTTTTATACTTCCCAACTGTCATCATCCTCCAACACGATCAAAAATCAGGTTAAGACAGAAATAAATGTATGTTCCAAGCGCATTTACCTGGGAAGAGTTTTGTTCTCAGAAGGACAAAGTGTATCATAGATCCAGCATCCCTCAGAGGCTGATCGGAGGTGAGTTTACAATTCATACACACACTCACATGTTTTTTCCATAAACTGAAATAATACGGAAGGTCATAACATCTCTCCCACAAGGAAAAGATAGATAGTATGTTATTCTTAAGAAAAGTCAAACGTTTGTGATTTTTTTTTTTGTTCTTTATGCATCTCACTAAAACATATTTCCATCACACTTGTGAATCAGTGATTCACCACCACCCTACACTCCTGGCTCAAGAAAAAGTACAGAACAGGATTTGGGCTGGAAATCTCTTCAGATCTGTAGCTAACAAAGAGCAAATTATTTAAAATATAAACCAAGCTGAAATCACAGCCTTTATTGGGCACTGACTATGCACTAGGCACAGGCAGGCTTGCGTGTGCTGTATCCTTACCACAGTCTATTGAGAAATGTATAATCAACTTAGTTTACAAATGAGCAAAGTCAGGTTAGGAAGATTAAGTAATTTTCCAACATAATACAACCAATACATAGCCAGGCCTGGATTCAAAACCATATCTGCTTTAGTCACTTGTCCCACGAACATTTTACTAAGATGCTGTGAGCCAGGTATTGTTCTAGGACCTGGAAATATAGCAGGGAGCTGACATTCTAGTAGGGGGAAAAAGCAATAAACAAATGCGCGCGTGTGTGTGTATAGATATAGATATACAGTAGATGTAAAGTCAGAGAGTGAGGATTATCACAGAGAAAAATAAAGCAACTGAGAGGAGGATAGAAAGAGAAGAAAAGAGGGTGTGGTTTGGATGGGGTGTCCAGGGAAGACCTCTGGGAAGGTGAATCTGGGCGGGGCTTGGATGGAGTGAGTGAAAAGCAGTGTCAGTATCTAGGGAAAGAGGCTTCCCGGCAGAGGGGGCATCAGGGGCAAAGGCTGAGAGATGGTAGTGATTCTGCAGCATGGTTGAGCAATAGCACCGAGATCCATGTGGCTGGAACTGCAGGCAAGAGGAAACAGAACAGGAGATGAGGCTGGAGGCGCAGCCAGTCAGAAGAACTTTGGGTCCTTGCATAAGGAGATGACAAGAAGTTGGGGGTGTCTGGGGCAGAGGGCTAGATGATCGGTTTCACTCCACGCCACTGTCCTCTGTACGTCACTTCCATCCCCGTAGTACCCAATGTCCCCTCTTGCTTGACCAAAGCCTGAGTTTCTGAAACCTGTTCTAAGACCCATACTGCCCTCACCTGTTTCTCTGATCATAGTTGCAGTTACGTGGCCACTGGTGGCTTGTTACTGTTATCTGTCCTTCTACCCTATGGAAATTATGGACCTCCTAGCTCATCCACTCAGGGCAGCTTTCTGAGTGCTGCCTGGAAAACATCAACCCATGAAGACTGTCATAGACTTTCCAAGGCACAGACCCATCACTTCTGCTTCTCTGTGTTAAAAACATCCCCACGGATTTTATGCCTTGATTTTCTCCTCATGGCACAAGATTCATCCAGATTCACAGCCACAGCCACATCTTCCAGATGGAAGGACAAACATGAGCCCTGATTTTGCTCCAAAAACTGCTAGAAGTTGGGGAAACAGCAACAAACAAGATACAGCCACTCCCCACATGGAGCTCACATTCTCTGCATCCAGGTCACACTCCTCAGTCAGAAAATGGGAGGCGATAGAGAGGGGAATCTTCGTAGTTTGATGAAGTGAACGAAATAAAATTTTTGCATTGTTCTTAGTTGCAACTTTTTTATTTTAAAACATCAGATAACATTAAAGGAAGGCATGTTTTATGTTGGCCAAGAAAAAAATAGGCTTTAAAAGGCTGAAAAACAGTGGAATTGAGGGCTTTAGCAATGACCTTATTTTCATTATCTAGACTGAAGTAGTCCTCCGAGGGGAGAATTTCAAATGTTAGAACAGGAGAGGAAGTGTCATGAAATATGGCTACAGGAGATGATTTGAGGACAGCAGAATCTCCTCAAATTACTCACAGACTGCTCTACATTTGCAAGGGCTGGCCGCATCCAAACATAGGATTTGCAGTCCTATCAGTGCGTTTGAGCGTCCCTAACTCAGCGGTTACATCTCTGTTCTTACTGTCTCTATTTCCCTGACCAGGACTATTTGATGTCCTAGTAAGGTTCTACTCAGCCTCTTTTCTTTATTAAAAACTAATTCTAGCTGGATGCGGTGGCTCACGCCTGTAATCCCAGAACTTTTGGAGGCCGAGGCAGGCAGATCACCTGAGGTCAGGAGTTCCAGATCTGGCCAGCATGGTGAAACCCCATATCTACTAAAAATACAAAAATTAGCCGGGCATGGTGGCGGGTGCCTGTAATACCAGCTACTCAGGAGGCTGAGACAGGAGAATTGCTTGAACCCAGGAGGCGGAGGCTGTAGTGAGCTGAGATCGTGACACTGCACTCCAGCCTGGGCAACAGAGCAAGACTCCGCCTCAAAAAAAAAAAAAAAAAAAAAGGCAGCTAATTCTAAGGCAGGGCAATCTGGACACCTGTCCCTTTATATTTACCCTTCAGGGCACATAACAATGTAGATCACCCAGCAGAGTCCTTGAAACTGATTGACTGATTGACTTCCTCATTTCCTACTTGTCAATTGCCTGTAGGCCTGTGTGTGTGGTAGATCACATCATATATATAATGTGTCAATTATCTATACATGTGTATATAAATATGTATACATACATCTCTGTGTCTTACATTTAGTAACCGCTCATTTTTGGGTTAACAATTTTTTTTTCATCAGGGCTAAAATTTATTTCATTTTCTCACATTTCTCACAACAAAGATTCTCACAGATTTTGTGCTGGAATTTTTTGTTTCATCATGGGAGAAAGATTCATTCAGATTCAGTTGTATCCACTTCTTCTAAGACAAATACTCAGACCACTGTTTCTGAGCCTTATTTTCTCTAGGAGGACAAAGTATCTCCTGGATAGTGACTCCAAATTTTTCTGTCTTGCTTTCTTTCAGAAACAAAGCACTGTCAAGAAATGCTTCCCAGTCTCTAAAAATGCTGAGAGGAGTTGGGGTGGGGGGGTGAAGGGGGTCTCTTATCTTGGCCTTTAGAAGGACTTCCATATAGAACCACTTCTCCATGCCCACACAGTCTTCTCAACACGTCCCCCGTAGGGGCTCCTTCTGTTCTGGTGCACAAGTGGCCCCCGTATCCTACACCTGGAATAACTAAGTCCAAGAGAAGGGCAGCCCAAATGACCAGATTGATGCCTGAGAAAGAGCTCTAAACTGAGATATTTTTACCCTTCAGCTGTTAGACGTGGAAACAGATACACATTCCGCTGTCCTCCAAAACAGGTGAAGACATTTCACAAGCAAATGGTCAGTTGGGTAGCCTTAAGCTGAGTTTCCCCACCCCTCCTACAGTCCTGCTTTTCCTTTCTCTTCTTTCTGGCAATAAATTTCTAGCTCTAATTGTTCTCTATGACTCACACCTTTGACCGATATTTACCCAAGAACCCACTGTGTGCTACTCTGTGCTTGCCGCCACGTGGCTATAGAAGACATTTACTAAAGATATAATCCCACAATTGGAATTGCTGGTGTTTCAGGTGGAACACAAAAACATTCAGGAAACATATATGGAATCTGTGTAGCAGTGACAGAAGGAAGTCCAGATGTGTGGGTTGGCAGGCTTTATGGAAGACAGAGACCCAAGCTGAACTTGGCAGGTTTACACACTGATGTACCAGTGGCTCAGATGGCCATTCCCAGCCAGGCAAAAGCCAAGTGAGAGCAAGATGAGTGGGAAGATCCATGAACATATGTGCTGAGTCCATCCCAGTTACAGCAGCGATGTTCTTGTGTGCTTGTCCAATTTAAAATGCCTAAATATTATTATTATTATTATTTGAGACAGGGTCTCACTCTGTCACCCAGGCTGGAGTGCAGTGGCACAATCTTGGCTCACTGCAACCTCCGCCTCCTGGGTTCAAGTGATTCTCCTGCCACAGCCTCCTGAGTAGCTGGGATTACAGGCGAGCACCACCACACCCTGCCAATTTTTGTATTTTTAGTATAGATGGGGTTTCACCATGTTGGCCAATCTGGTCTCGAACTCCTGACCTCAGGTGATCCGCCCGCCTCAGCCTCCCAAAGTGCTGTAATTACAGGCATGAGCCACTGTGCCTGGCCTAAATATTATTTTTTAATTCCTCTCAAGTTATGGAAAAAGACAGTGCAGAGTTATTCATGTCTTCTCAAGAAGGACCTGGAAGAGTTCAACACAGAGAGAGATCCCAAACCAGTACTATCACTCTCCCAGAGAAAACCACAGAAACTCCTCAAAGCAAAAGACAAATGGAACTAGAAGTCTAATTGTAACCCCCAATGGCTTATAACCCCATCTGAGCCTGTATCCTTGAATGTCACTCTGCCCACAAAACAACCAGAGGAAATTCCCGAAATGTACATAGTTTTTCCTCTCTCCTCTCTTTCTCCCACATTCACTGGAAAAAATGTTTGACTGCTCTCTGTACCCCCTCTTGCTTTCTGCTTTTGTATACCACCTGTTCCTGTGGTGTTTTAATGAATACGCATAAGCCCTGACTCATAAGATTAAAATGAGCACCATTCCAAAATTCTGATTGTGCCATGGAGATCACAGCCAGGATATGTAGGCTGAGCTGAAAGCAAGAACTGGTTTCCTTTGTGATCTTCTTTAACACCTACAACTTCTCACTCTATAATGGACCATTGTGTTTCTCTGGGCTGCTCTATGACTCACCAGTCTATCATACAGATAGATGGAATTTGTTCATTTCCAAGGGATTTTTTTAGGGGGTATATTAGTCCATTCTCACACTGCTATAAAGAAATACCCAAGACTGGATAATTTATAAAGGAAAGAGGTTTAATTGACTCACAGTTCCGCATGGCTAGGGAGGCCTCAGGAAACTTAAAATCATGGCAGAAGGGGAAGCAGGCACGTCTTACATGGCAACATGAGAGACAGAGAAAGAGAAAGAGAGAAAGCGAGAGAGAGTGCCAAGGGGGAAGAGCCCCTTATAAAACAATTAGATGTTGGTAGGGCACGGTGGCTCAAGCCTGTAATCCCAGCACTTTCAGAGGCTGAGGCAGGCGGATCACAAGGTCAGGAGATCGAGACCATTCTGGCCAACATGGGGAAAGCCCGTCTCTACTAAAAATACAAAAATTAGCTGGGTGTGGTGGTGTGTGCCTGTAATCCCAGCTACTGGGGAGGCTGAGGCACGAGAATTGTTTGAATCCAGGAGGCGGAGGTTGCAGTAAGCCGAGATCACACCACTGTACTACAGCCTGGCGACAGAGCGAGACTCCATCTTAAAAAACAACAACAACAAAAAAAAAATTAGATGTCATGAGAACCCACTCACTATCACAAGAACAGCATGGAGGAAACCGCCCCCATGATCCAGTCACCTCCAACCAGGTCCCTCCCTCGTCAAGTGGGGATGATGGGGATTACAATTCAAAATGAGATTTGGGTGGGGACACAAAGACAAACCATATCAAGGGGGTCTGGAAATCTCAGACAGCAAGGAAGTGCTAAAGCTATATGATTTTCTGGTAAAAGAGCAGCTGCCCCTAAAGTATTTCATTCTAAAATTTGGCTGATGGCAGAATTGCACTGATTTTTAACCACTTTGTTTGGCTAGCAGATGATGGCTGGATCAGCTGTGGCCTAAACCTCCTTCACTGTAATCAGTCCTAGGCTATGAGGAGGAATTGTGCTTGACAGGTAGTTAAGAAAACTGACAGGAAATAGCATTTGGCCTCTTTAAAGGTAAACTACAATCTGTAAGAGATAATCCAAATCTAATTTATCAAAATTCCAGATGGCAAAGCTATGAGTAACATAGCCTCTGCCTGAGGTTTATATTAAATTATGACTTATTTACCTTTTACTGTTCTTTAAATTTTAACTTTCACATAAAAGGGAAGGACTAAAATTCTGCATACCCTGAATTTGGAGCACAGCAGTTTCTACGCCACTGTTGAATACAGGATGTAGATGCATTGATTGGGAATGCAGACTGCCCAGGCTGGAGTTGAGACCAACTTGACCAATGTCAAAACAGTGTGAGTGTTCATTCATGATGCTGAAGAACGAAGGAAAAGCAATATGCATTCAGATTTAAGCATAAGGAATGAAATCTGTTTTAGGGCCAGGCATGGTGGCTCACATGTGTAATCTCCGCACTTTAGGAGGCCAAGATGGGAGGATCACTTGAGCTCTGGAGTTCCAGATGAGCCTGCACAGCATAGAGAGACCACCATCTCCACAAAAAATAAAAATAAATTGTAAAATAATAGCAAATAAAAAGAAGTCTGTTTTAGGAATTTACCTTCATCTCAATAAAAGGGAAAAAAACAAATTATTGATCCCATCTGCAAACTCCTGTGGAGAATTGTTTTATGCTTTTACTACTATGGTGGAAGAAAAGCATTTCATTTTTCTACATGTGGGAAGAGTTACTTCTCAAAAGTTTGGTCTCTATTTAAGTACAGGGACACATGGCTCGGATCTTCTGGAAAAGTATCAATTTCAAATATTCAGGTTGGGTCCAGGCTAGGAGTGGGAAAAAGTTGTCCAGTAAGTACTATCATTGAAAACCAGTCTTCCCCTACTCCCGAAGCACAATCTGGACCTTTTTTTTTGTTACAACCTGCTTTCCACCCATGGGAATGGTCTTTTTTCCCCGTGCAGTGTCCAGGAGAGACTTATCATTTGAGATTCTTGGGAGTTAAGGACGGAGTTCAACTCTGTACTGCCTGCCCTTTGCTTGAGTCAGCAAAGACAAGAGGGGAGAATTTCCACCATAATTCCTGAGACCTTTGGGAGTTATTTCCTAGCAAATAGGGAGGAAAAAAAACAATTAACATCTCACATCTTTTTCACTTTCCATTCCAGGAATTTTATGCTAAACCCAATAAATCAACATTGTGCTGCTAATCTAGGAAAAATTATCTGTTGTAACCAAGAGGACAGCTGCACATTGCAAAGGGCCAGCTTTATGGAAATCAATTTTTTTCTTCCTTTGGACATCTTTGTGGGAGGGCCAGATGTCAGGATTTTGGAGGTGGCCTTTCAAGTTTGCATTTCTATATTACTCTTTGAAAGCAGTAAGTCTGGTGATGTTTCTCCACTGTAATGTGATGATGGGAGCCATCCATCTGTAACCTTTCCTTTATTCCCTTAAGAAGATGGAGGAGTATGGGATGTTAAGGTTAAGCCCGGCAGCAAAGCCAAGCTCAGATACCTCAAGGGTCCACTCCTCCAAACCCATGGCCTCTTCATAAAAAAAGAAAACAGATCTACAGGAGAAAAAAAGCCAAGAGCAAACCCAAAACACTTCTACTCCACCTCCACTGCATTGTGGAAGGTCTATGCCATGTTCTCTGCTCCTCTGATGGCCATGCCCAGACTGCCTTTCCTTTCCCCTTTCCCCTTTCCTTTCCTTCTTTTTCGTTTCTTTCTTTCAAGACTGAGTCTTGCTCTCTTGTCCAGGCTGGAGTGCAGTGGCACCATCTTGGCTCACTGCAACCTCTGCCTCCTGGGTTCAAGTGATTCTCCTGCCTCAGCCTCTGGAGTAGCTGAGACTAGGGGCGCTTACCACCTAATTTTTTGTATTTTAGTAGAGACGGGGTTTCATTCAGTCTGCCCAGGCTGGTCTCAGACTCCTGAGCTCAGACAATCTGCCCGCCTCCACCTCCCAAAGTGCTGGGATTACAGGCAGGCTTGAGTCACCGCACCTGGACGAGACTTTTCTTTTTTTTTTTTTTTTTGTGACGGAGTTCCAGTCTTGTTGCTCAGGCTGGAGTGCAATGGCTCTCAGCTTACCGCAGCCTCCGCCTCCTGGGTTCAAGTGATTCTCCTGCCTCAGCCTCCCAAGTAGCTGGGATTATAGGTATGCACCACCACACCCAGCTAATTTTGTATTTGTAGTAGAGACGGGGTTTCTCCACGTTGATCAGGCTGGTCTCGAACTCCCGACCTCAGGTGATCCGCCCATCTCAGCCTCCCAAAGTGCTGGGATTACAGGCCTGAGCCACTGCACCTGGCCCAGACTTTTCTTTAAAAGTACGTGGTATGTGGGGTTTCCTTACCCCAGAATATGATACCATGTGACCAATATTATCAACTGTGACAGTACCAGTAAAGCTCCAATTTTTTTAAAAATTGAATTGATTGAATCAAATTAAATTGAAACTCATTTCAGAGTTTTTTTTAAAATTTGGAACCCCCTGGAAAGATGATACCTTAAATTATCATCAGCAACGGCCTTACATACCAGTGAAGGCATCAGCAGGCAAGGAGACCAGACTGCTAAAAGTAAGGGACTATGACAAAAAGAAGGGTGTTGGAAAGTGAAGAAAGTGACTTGGAGCCTAGAGGAAGGTAAGAAGCCCTAACACCAGGCATAGAAGACTCATTCTTCCCATTCAATAAGGAGACGCAAACTCAGAACCAGGCAACTGGAAAGTTGTGATCATGTATCTGTATATATTATCACCATATATATTTATATATATTATATAAATATGATATATAAATAAGTATATTTATATATTATCACCATATATATTTATACATATATAAATACATAAATATTATGTATAAATATGTATTTATATATTTGATGATACTATATACAGTATATTATATATCTGTATAGACTATAAAATTTATATATGTAAATATATTTATATATAAATGTATGTAAATATGTATTTTTTTTCTTTTTTTTTTTTTTGAGACGGAGTCTCTCTCTGTCGCCCAGGCTGGAGTGCAGTGACATCATCTCAGCTCACTGCAAGCTCCGCCTCCTGGGTTCACGCCATTCTCCTGCCTCAGCCTCCCGAGTAGCTGGGACTACAGGCACCTGCCACCACGCCCGGCTAATTTTTTCGTATTTTTATTAGAGATGGGGTTTCACTGTGTTAGCCAGGATGGTGTCGATCTCCTGACCTCATGATCCGCCCACCTCGGCCTCCCAAAGTGCTGGGATTACAGGCTTGAGCCACCACACCTGGCCTATATTTTTGTAAATATATTATAGCATTATATATTTGTATATATTACATATTATATTACTTTTTTATTATTTATATATTTGTATTTTAATTTTTATTATAAAATATAGATTTATATTTATATGTATATGTTATATTTGAGACAGGGTCTTGCTCTGTCACCCAGGCTGGAGTGCAGTGGTGTGATCACAGCTCACTGAAGCCTCTACCTCCTGGCCTGGGCTAAAGCAATCCTCCCACCTCAGCCTCCTGAGTAGCTGGGACCACAGGTGTGCATCACCACACTCGGCTTATTTTTTAAACTTTCTGTAGAGATGATGTCTTACCACGTTGCTCAGGCTGGTTTCAAACTCCTGGGCTCGTGCAATCCTTCCACCTTGTCTTCCCAAAGTGCTGAGATTACAGATGTGAGCCACTGCTCCTGGCCAAGTGATAATATTAACAGTACTTGCTTACAAAATTGTTGTGAGGCAGGAATGGAATAATGCCTATTTTGAGCACTTTTAATTGACAAATGTTCTATCTGTATTGGTTTAATTCTGTTAATTCTAAGACTAGCCTTTGCTCTGAGACTTCGACTGATCTCCCTTTTTTTGGTTGTCAGCCTTTAACTCTTTGGAAGAAAGGTGGTGTGTAAATCTAAGTACTTAGGATTTATATGTTGAAATATATTATCTTAGCACACAATCCCTTGGACTAAATTTTAATCTAATTGTTATTAACTTGGGATATGGGATGATAAAACATTTAACTATTTCTTGTCTAAACATTGTCTTTTTGTACTTAGATCGATGCAAAAATGGCAATTCATTATATTCAGGATATTTTCACCAACCGTTAATAAGGCATCCGGACAATTCCACTCTAATGGATGGCCGACTTTCATCTTGTACAATCTTTCTTCTGCATCATATCTGTTGGTCATTGGCTTTGCATCATAGGCAATAGCACTCACCTGGTTTCTATATGAAGAGACTGGCCTGTGGAAACCCTGTAGCCCTCGCTACACTCTGATTCTTCTTGTATGTCTTTTATTTTCTCTCAGAAATTAATGACTCCAAACATCACAAACATTCCTGCTTCCCTGACAATTCTCCCAACATCTCTCCTTTATGAAGCCCCGTGTCTTACTCCTTATTGCTTTTACAATGAAAAGAGCATGAGCTTTAGATTTCAGACAAAACTAGGTTCAAATCCCAGCAGGTTCACAAGTTACATCTATGACTTCAGACAAATTACTTGACTCCTCTGAGCCTTTGTGTCCTCACCTGTAAGATGAAGCGACCATGAGATAAAAGAAATAAGAGAAATAAAAGAGAGAACAAAACTCTGGGTAACAGGCCTGGCCAACAGAAAACACTTAATACACCTGAATTCTCTCATGTCCTCTGCTGCAGCCCAGAAACTTTCCCTTACTGCTCAAGCCTTAGGGATCTCGCTCCCTTCTGAACTCCTCTATCGTACACCATCGATCTCCTCGATTCCATTCTAAGCACTCTGAGGAAAAAGAAATATGTCTCGCAGTTCTTCAGGACTTGATTTGGTGGCTTACCTGTAGTAAATGATCAACAACTGGCTTTTGTTCTTCTTAATGTACTAAATGCCATCACTGGCCCTTCTGTCCACACTGTACAAAAGGCCATCTCTTTCATGACATCTATTCCCCAGAAGTTCTACGTAAAAGTTGGACCAGTGAGAGTCATGGCAGGAAACAGAATTCAACTCACATATTAAAAATGAAGAATCTTTAGCCAAGGACTGCGTTTCGAGGTGTGGGTAGAGCTAAGAGCACAGCTGTGTGTTGAGGCACCTAGAGACTGGAAGTAGCAGGAGGCCACCCACACCAGAGCTGAGAGGACACAATGAGCTGTGGTCCTGAAGGTGCACAGCCCCTGCCAAGGACACGGGCCTAAAGCAAAGCAGTGAGGGACCCAGGGGAATGAATTCCTTGACTTTCCTCGCCTTCCACACTTTCATCTCTTGCTGGTATTTTCTATCTGCTGAATCTAGGAAGCTAGGAGCAGAGAAGGCCAAGGGAGGCAGTTTCCTAGCAATCAGCCTCCCAGGGTACAAAATGCAGCAAAGAAGGGGAGAGAATAGATCTGGAGCAGGGAGGGCAGTGGCAGATAAAGAGTGAAGACAGGGCCAACTTCAATTTATGTGTCTTTAAGAGTCTCAGAAGTTATTTTGGGCTGCGCGCCATGGCTCACGCCTGTAATCCCAACACTTCGGGAGGCCGAGGTGGGTGGATCACCTGAGGTCAGGGGTTCGAGACCAGCCTGACCAATATGGTGAAACCCCATCTCTACTAAATACAAAAAATTGGCTGGACACGGTGACACATGCCTGTAATCCCAGCTATTTGGGAGGCTGAGGCAGGAGAATTGCTTGAACCTGGAAGGCCAAGGTTACAGTGGGCAGAGATTGAGCCATTGCACTTCAGCCTGGGCAACAAGAACAAAACTCCATCTCAAAAAAAAAAAAAAAGAAAAGAAGAAGTTATTTTGTCTCAAAATCACAGAAAAGAAGTAGGATTTCAAAAAGCTAGGCAGAGCTAACATCACCAATATTGGAGTAGACCAAACTCATGTGCCTCCTGACATGCTGATGAAGGAGGACACAGCATCACTTTCATGATCCTCCTCCCAAAAATCATAACCTACGTCTTATCAGACAAACCCAAACAGAGGAACGTTCTACAAAATATTCTTCAAAATTGTCAAGGTCATGAGAGATGAAGTATGACAGAGGAACTGTCCCAAATCAAAGGAGATTAAAGAGACCCAAAAACCAAGTGCAACAGGCTATCCTCGATTGGATCCTGGATCAGAAAAAAAAAAAATGTAATTTTTCTTTTTCTCCAGAGGACATTAGTCAGATAAGTGAAAAATTTGAATAAGGGCCAGGCACCATGGCTCACACCTGTAATCCCAGCACTTTGGGAGGCCAAGGCGGGCAGATCGCTTGAGTCTAGGAGTTCAAGACCAGCCTGGGCAATATGGTGAAACCTCATCTCTACAAAAAACTAAAAAAATTAGGCAGGTGTGCCTGTAGTCCCAGCTACTCAGGAGGCTGAGGTAGGAGTATCACTTGAGCCCAGGAGGGGCTTCAGGCTGGAATGCAGTGGTGATCACTGCAGTGAGCTGTGATCATCACTGCACTCTAGCCTGGACAATAGAGCAAGACTCTGTCTCAAAAATAAATAAATAAATAAATAAGAGCTATAGATTAGAAAAAAGATAGTTTCATTGTTAATTTTCCTGATTTGATAATTGTATTGGGATTATGTAAGCAGATTCTTTTCTGTTCAAAGGAAATACACCTGAAAGTATTTTACGGTAAAGGGACAAAATAACTTCTCAAATGGCTAAAAAAATAAAAATGTGAGTCTGTGTGTGTGTGTGTGTGTGTGTGTGTGTGGAGAGAGAGAGAAAGAGAGAGAGAGAAAGAATGATAAAGCAAGCAAATAGAAAGAAATACTAACAATTTGGTAGGTTTGGATAAAGGGCACTCCATTTCTTTTTATTATTTTGACTGTTCTGTAAGCATGAAGTTATGCTTTAAAAAAGAAAGAGAGAAAGGAGAGGAGTTCACCAAAGGATGAGGACAATGCTGATGGGAACCGCTCATTTGCATTGAGAGAATGGCTAGGTCCCCACGGTTTTACCAGAACCTCATTAAATGTATGCTTCTCAGACTACTCTGGGCACCCGGTGACTTCTCTCATTACAGAGCTCCTATAGGGAATTTTATTCCTTTCATTAGGATTTGTTCTGTTTTTATTTGTAATGGTCTGGGCTCAATGTTTCAACATTGGAACTGCCTTTAATTCCTTTTCCCTTTAGTATAGGAAGAAACCAGGTAAAGCAAAAAGCCATGCCACATCGTCATTAGAGCACTTGGCATGAAATTACAGACTCTCCTGCGCCCTCTGTAAGGAAGTGAGAGAGTGATGAGCATAATGCTTATGCTAACTTTGAAACTGGATTGTTTTCCTCCTCCAAAATAGAGCCACTAATATAACATTAACTTTCTGGGAGAATGGTAGCAATTTGCTCATTTCCTCACTGCCTCATCCTGTCCCCGAGCAGTTGTTTGAAAAAGTTCTGATGACTACATATATGGCACACACATACATCTTTCTAGATGTCTTAGAGAAAACCAATAACTGCAATGGCTTTTAGTATAGAGATGGCACAACTAAACCTATTGCAACTCCAAGGAAAGTTAGAAGATGGTTCCAGTTTTAAAATCCTGATATTAATTTGTGTACTTGTTTTTGGTGGTGATTTTTTGTTGTTGTTGTTTACTTGGGGAGTTTGAACATAAAAACCATGTCCATGTTTTTGAGCATGCTGTCAATTTCAGTCCAACTAATGTTACCGCAGGACTTTAAGAAAAATGTCACAACGTCATTCTTCAATGTCACAACGTCAAAGTGAAAAAAGGAAACCCCAGTACCAAATATCAGTATGAATCTTTTTAAGATTTAGACTACCAGACAAGTATTATCAGTTCAAGTATTATTTTTTTTTACAACACAAGAATTTCACTGTTATTAATTCAAGAAACATGTATTAGGTGCCTACTGTGTGCCAGGCACCATGAGAAACAAAGTGAAATAAGCCTTGATTCTGCCTTCATGTTGCTTTCCCAGTCCACAATTTTCTTTTGCCAGCAAAATTGATGGCTATGTAAATACATAAATACAGTATTATACCCTGGAGAATGTAAGTTTCTATCAATATAGTACTTCTCCTGAGAGTTACACTTAGGGAAGAAACACTTCAAGATACTCACTGGGCAGGTGGCTGGGGGCGGGGGACCCATTCAGAGCCCAAAGAGCAGAAATCTCTGAATCAGTAATGTTCACCCATAGTTGAACACCCATAGTTCATTCATGTGATGATTAATTTGACTAAGAAATATCATTTTGTTAAGCTTTAGTTGGGTGTCAAAATACATTTTTAAATAATACATCTGGTCTGGTATTGCAAATGGAGCAGCAGCAGAACAAGAATAAATCCAACATATGTTCTTGTCTTAGCATTTTTGGGCTGCTGTAACAAAATGGTGATTTATAAATAACAGAAAGTTCTTTCTTACAGTTCTAAAGGCTGGGAAGTCTAACATCAAGTCGTCAGGAGGTTTAGTGTCTGGTGAGGGCCTGTTTTCTGCATCCAAGATGGTGCCTCATTGCTCTGTCCTCACATAGTAGAAGAGACAGGAAAAGGAGATTCACACCATGTTACCACATGGCAGAAGAGGTGGAAAGAGGCAAACCCCCTCCCACAAGCCCTGTTGTAATGGCCCTGATCCCATCCGTGAATGCTCCATTCTCATGACTTAAGCACCGCATGAGACAATGACATAGACAAGTTTCAACATATGAATTTTGGGGAACACCCTCAGACTACAGCAATTCTACTTGCTAACATAACTGCCTCATATCATCTTTGAGTTTATTAAAAATACTACGCTGCAACAGTCCAGTCCTAATTTCAAAAAGGAACCCCAGGCTTGTCTGTGACAACAGCCTGACATCTCTAGAATAAGTTCATAGGTTCCCAAGGTGAGCTGTTTGAAAGACAGCACTGATTTGGAGGAATGGACAAATTCTGGTGTGTTTGTTGAAAAAATAGCCTCATAACTTTATAATACCCCTTTGTACATGAATTTGAAGGCCTATAACAATATAATGCAATCACTGAAATAATGTAGGAAATGTTTTTACAATGTGGTAAAATACTCATGGTAGAGTGTTATCTCATCGCCAGCCTCCAAGATGGCCCCCAACATCTGCTGCTTCCTGGTATTCACATGCTTGTGTAGGGATCTCCTACACTGTGTCAGGTTTAGCCTGTATGACAAATGGAATATAGCAGAAATGATATGTCACTTTCAAGACTAGGTTATAAAGGACTGCACATTCTGTCTTCTCTCCCTCTCTGTCTATCTTTCTCTCATCACTTCCTCTGGGAGAAGGCAGCTTTCATATTATGTGAGCTCAATGAAGAGGCTTACCTGCTGAGGGCCTGAAGCCTCTTTATCAACAGCTACATGAATGAAGTTGGACACTAATTCCCCAGCTCTCAACTGACTGCTATCGTAGCTACGACTTAACTACAACCTCATAAGAAACTTTGATTCAGAACCACTCAGCTGAGTCACTCCCAGATTCTTGACCTTCAGATACTGTGTAAAATAATGTTTATTGTTTTAAACAGCTAACTTTCAGGGTAATTTGCAACACACAACAAACAACTCACACTGCTAAATGAAAAACATATGATGGAAATTTGCCAACATGTTAACAGTGATTATCACTGACTGATGAGTTATAAGTAATTTTCATTTTTCATTAGACTTATTGTATTCTTTCCTAATTTTACATATTAATTACGTATCACTTTTTAAAATAGAAAAAACAAAGGCAGGGAGTTTTGTTCATATGTTTTAATACAAAGTGTGATTTACAATGGATTTTTCATTCATTTTATTACCATGTGTGGGCCACAGGATTCTGCAGGGACAGTGATTAGCACCGAAAGAGGAATTACAATGCCAGGCAATATAATTTGGCCAAGTTTGAATCAAGTACTAAACAGAGATAACCAATCCAGGTAATTCTGTCTAATAAGTGTACACACCACCACACCAGTTAGTGCTTTGAAAAAGCCTTTTTAATTTTGAAATAATTTCACACATATAGAAAAGTTGCAAGAATAGTACCAAGAATTTCTGTACACCATTATTTCTATATAGCAATATATTCTAATTATGAATGTCTTACATTTGCTTTATCATTCCAGATGGACAGACAATAGATACGGATACATAATGTGTGCATCTCCTCTTCATAGCACTTATCACTATTATAGTTTTACATTTATTTGTATAATTATTTGATTAATTTTGTCTTTTCAGCTAGACTGTAATTTTCATGACTTTTGTTTGCCATTTTGTCCTGATGGTTAAAACTGGCTCATAGCAAATGCTAAATATTTTGTTACCTGAATGAAGAAATGAAAGGAATGGGAAATGAAGAGAGAGTATATGCTGGAAATCTTACATAATGTTATTCTTCTGTCCCTTCTTCTTTTTTTTTTTTTTTTGAGACAGAGTCTCAGTCTGTCTCCCAGGCTGGAGTGCAGTGGTGTGCAATCTCGGCTCACTGCAAGCTCTGCCTCCTGGGTTCATGCCATTCTCCTGCCTCAGCCTCCTGAGCAGCTGGGACTACAGGTGCCTGCTACCACGCCCAGCTAATTTTTTGTATTTTTAGTAGAGACAGGGTTTTGCTGTGTTAGCCAGGATGGTCTCAATCTCCTGACCCTGTGATCCGCCAGCCTCGGCCTCCCAAAGTGCTGGGATTACAGGCGTGAGCCACCATACCCAGCCTCTTCTGTCCCATTTTCTCTGATACTTTCCCACCAGATCTTTTCACCCTTTTATTTTTCTTCTTGGAATTTTTTTTTTTTTTTTTTTGAGACGGAGTCTCGCTGTCGCCCAGGCTGGAGTGCAGTGGCGCAATCTCGGCTCACTGCAGGCTCCGCCCCCTGGGGTTCACGCCATTCTCCTGCCTCAGCCTCCCGAGTAGCTGGGACTACAGGCGCCCGCCACCTCGCCCGGCTAATTTTTTGTATTTTTAGTAGAGACGGGGTTTCACCGTGTTAGCCAGGATGGTCTCGATCTCCTGACCTCGTGATCCGCCCGCCTCGGCCTCCCAAAGTGCTGGGATTCTTGGAAATTTTTTAAGTTATTTTTTAAATTATACATGTTTTTGAAGTCACGGTATCTGAAGAAAAAATGAAAATAAATAATTTTTTAAAAAGTATACATGTTTTTATTTGTGCCTATCAGTTGGGTAAGGCAGTAAGATTCAAGACGTAATGCTGTTAGCTCTTTGAGGAATTGCCACACTGCTTTCCACAATAGTTCAACTAATTTACACTCCCACCAACAGTGAATAAATGTTCCTTTTTCTCTGCAACCTCACCAGCATCTGTTATTTTTTGACTTTTTAATAAGCTTACTACCTGGGTGGCAAAATAATCTGCACAACAAACTCCTGTGACATGAGTTTACCTATATAACAAACCTGTACATGTACCCCGAACCTAAAACAAAAGTTTAAAAAAAATTTTTTTAAAGATGTAATGCTGAAGTAAAGCCCAAAACTGGTGGAGGATCATAAGAAACAAGAAAGAGACTGAGATGTCAGAGAGGAAGAATGAGAAATGGCAGCTGGGAACAGCGGCTCACGCCTGTAATCCCAGCACTTTGGAAGGCCAAGTTGGGCGGATCACTTGAGCCAGGAGGTCAAGACCAGCCTGGCCAACACAGTGAAACCACGTCTCTACTAAAAATACAAAAAAATTAGCTGGGCGTGGTGGTACACGCCTATAATCCCAGCTACTCAGGAGGCTGAGGTATGAGAATCGCTTGAACCCAGGAAGCGGAGGTTACAATGAGCCAAGATCATGCAACTATACTCCAACCTGGGCAGCAGAGTGAGACTCTGTCTCAAAAAAAAGGAAGAAAAGAATGGTATTCGAAGCAAGAGATTAGATAAAGTTTCCCATTGGAGTAGGCTGTTTAAGCTCTATATATTGGTTTGGGTGGGCTAGGTTATACTGCAATAACAAACTATCCCAAATCTCTGTGTCTTAAAGCAAGAAAGATTTATTTCTAGTACACAATGTGTGATCAATATATGATCCCTGGTGCTTAGCTGGGAACTCTAATCTCTATCATACTCGCTGCAGGACCCAGGCTTATGGAGCAGCCACCAGAGGACCCCTGCTAGTCATCACGCCAGAAGAAAAAGGAACTCTGAGAAGTCTCTTATCACTGGTAAGATTTGGTGAATAGCACTATAACTGCTAGCTTCAAAGCAGCCATTGCATTTCCTGCTCAGCAATCTCTACTACAAATTGAGTTTTATAGAGTGGATGAACAGGAAATGAGAATTTTATAGACACTCAATATCAAATCATTGCATATATGTATCCAAGCACAAGTGTTTCCTAGTCTTTCCAAACTTTCACCTTCCTCTTCCATTTCTTCAGTGTGATCCCCTTTCATCCCAGGAAGATTTCATAGCTATAAGCAAAGCCTAACTAATCACTCATTTGAACTCTTTTTAGTATTTATTTATATTCATCTATGCCTACATTCAGTAAATTTATAACACTCCTAACATGTACTAATAGAATAAAACTTTTTCATTGTTAAAATTAGTTATAGCAGCTTATAACTTCGACTCTGTTTCTTTAAGCAAGATTATGGTGTGGTAAAGCAAAAACAGCAGTGTGGGGAACCCAGGTTTCTAGCCTTCACTATATGCTCCAGGCATAATATCTGAAGAAAGTGGCCTTACTATTGGCATTAGATTTCTGAGAGTAACTTCCATTGCCAAGCCTGATTAGGTCAGCCAAACCAAATCATATTAAACCAAATCTCTAACAAAAACAGATTAGTTTACAATTGTAATCTTGATATCTGTTGAATCATATTTACAAAGTACAACAAAAGCAGCATTCGATACTCTTTGGCTGTGACTAGGCAGTAAACAGAAATAAGAACTGGAGAGTAATTTAAATAATGTCAAACAGAGGACAGGAGTTCTACCAGATACTCCAGGAACTTTGTGAACTTCATTAAGTCAGCTGAATAATTCAGCTGTCCAATATGCTAGAGTTCCTTGAACTTCATTCTGTGTGTATCCATTTGCCCTCTTGCAAGTGTGCAGGGGTTGGGGGGTGGGGTGTTACTTTACTTCTAACCAAAAGCCTTGAGGTGGACCAGAAGAATGGTTGGATAGTTAGCAAATTGAATAGGAAGAGGAGGACTGATCACATGGAAAATATTTGGAAAATCTTAGAAAGAGGAAAAGCAGCTCCTGGTATTTCTCCTTCATTCATTCAGCTTCTCCTATGAGCTAGGCACTATTATTGGAGCCAAAGATAGAGTAGAAAATCATACAGCAGAGGCGTTCATGGAGTTTACATTCCAGTTGTGAAGGGAAGACAATCAGCACAAATAAATAAATGTGATAATATCAGACCATAATAAACACTCCTGAAGACAATAAAACAGGATAATGAATGTGATAGATGATGACAATGATTAGGAGATGTTTTAGATATGGTGGTCATAAAACGACTTGATGGATTTGAAGTGAGGGCTAATGGTGGGAAGGAGGCAGCCTTGCAGTATCAGGGAAGATCATTCTGAAAAGAAGGAAGAGCTAGTGCAAGACCTCCAAGGCAGGAACAAGGTTGGCACAGTGAAGGAAATTCTAATAGAGGAAAACACATACCAAGTGGTATGCTGATGAAAAATGTTAATTCAAAGGATGCATAGAAACTTCTATAAGGTTCAGAATAAACAGGTCATTTCATAGAAGAGATGCTGGAGCTGACACTGAAGTGGGTGTTTGCTACATAAATGCTGAGAGAGATGGTGGGACAACATTTACAGCTTCTGAGGTAAAGGCTCACTCTTCTGTGAGGACAAAGAAACCCGCTTCAGCACTGGAGGACAAGAAAGCCTCTCTCTTAACACTCTTTATGAAGAAAACTATTCCAGGAAGTAGTCTGCTGAAATAACAAATGAATCAGAATAAAGATCTCAAGAAATCGAAACATGTAGTCTAGACGAAATAGCAGTGAGCTGTGAAACCTGTAAGATTTACTGTTAAGTGATAATGTATTTGTAACGTTTAAAATAATTGTTAAGGAAGTATTCTTGGCTGGGCATAGTGGCTCAGGCCTGTAATCACAGCACTTTGGGAGGCCAAGGTGGGAGGATCACGAGTTCAGGACATCAAGACCATCCTGGCTAACATGGTGAAATCCCGCCTCTACTAAAAATACAAAAAATTGGCCAGGCATGGTGGCACGTGACTGTAGTCCCAGCTACTCAGGAGGCTGAGGAAGGAGAATCACTTGAACCCGGGAGGCAGAGGTTGCAGTGAGCCAAGATCGCACCACTGCACTCCAGCCTGGGCGACAGAGTGAGACTCTGTCTCAAAAAAAAAAAAAAAAAAAAAAGATGTAACAAAATTCACCTATATGTTTATAAGATATAACTAAATCAAATGAGATAGATATATTACTGTAAGGGCATAGATAAAAAATATACCAAACTAATGCAAAGAGAAAAAAGCTGAAGTGATTACATTAATATCAAAGTAAAGACTTCAAGAAAAAACATTGTTTTAAAGGGATAGTGATTGGTAAGTGTTATAATCCACCCATTTTAGTCTTTTTTTTTTTTTTGCTTAAAAGAAAATACCTATAACTGGATAATTTATAAAGAAAATGAATTTATTTATTACAGGTCTGGGGGCTGAGAAATCCAGGGTCAAGGGACTGCATCTGGGGAGAACCTTCTTGCTCCTTGCTAGTGGGACCCTCTGCAGAGTCCTGAGGGGGCACAGGGCATCACATGGCAGTGGGGCTGAGTGTCTAGCATGCTTGTTCAGCCTCTCTTCTTCTTCTTATAAAGCCACCAGTTTCCCTCCAGTGAAAACCCATTAATCAACTAATCCATTAATCCATGAATAGATTGAGGGGTGAGCCCTCATGATCCAATCACCTCTTAAAGACCCACCTCTCAATACTGCCACATTGGGGGTTAAATTTCAATGTGAGTTTTGGAGGGGACAAATATTCAAACCATAGCATTCCACTCCTGGCCCCACAAAACTCATATCCTTCTCACATATAAATACATTCATTCCATCCCCATAGCCCCAAAGTCTTAACTCAGTCCAGCACCAACTCTAAAGTCCAAAGTCCAAGTCTCATCTGTAAGCCTGTGAAATCAAAACATATTATCTATATATAAGCATAGGGTACACATTCCCATTCCAAAAGGCAGAAATAGGCAAAAATGGGCCAGGCACGGTGGCTCATGCCTATAATCCCAGCACTTTGCGAGGCTAAGGAGAGGTGATCTCCTGAGGTCAAGAGTTCGAGACACTTTGACTCAGTGTCCTGCATCCTAGGTACACTGGAGAAGGGGCTGGGCCCCAAGATCTCAGGAGGCCCTGCCCCTGTGGCTTTGCTGGGTGCAAGGCACATCACAGCACTCCCAAGCTGGTTTGCATGCTGGTGGCCCTACAGTTAGGTGGTCTCTTTGGTGGGCCTGCTCCCATGGCTCACATGGTGAAACCCCATTTCTACTAAAAATGCAAAAAAAAAAAAAAAAAAAAAGCAACAACAACAACAAAAAAAAAAATTAGCCAGGCATGGTGGTATGGTGGTGGGCACCTGTAATCCCAGCTACTCAGTAGGCTGAGGCAGGAGAATTGCTGGAACCCAGGAGGCAAAGGTTGCAGTGAGCTGAGATTGCACCACTACACTCCAGCCTGCATGACAGAGGAGACTCCATCCCCACCCCCAAAAAGAAATAGGCAAAATGAAAGGAGTAGCAGGTCCCAAGTAAGTCCAAAACCCAACAGGGAAAACAACAGTAAGTCTTCAAGTTAGAGAATAATTTCCTTAGACTCAGTGTCCTGCATCCTAGGGACATTGGAGTAGTGGCTTGGCCCCAAGGTCTCCGGAAGCCCTGCCCCAGTGGCTTTGCTGGGTGCAAGCCACATCACAGGTCTGCCAGGCTAGTTTGCATGCTGGTGGCCCTACAGTTAGGTGGTCTCCTTGGTGGTCCTGCTTCCATGGTTTCATTAGGCATTGCCCTTGCTGGGGCTCTCTGTGGTGGCTCCAACCCTACATTTCTGCTGGGAATTTACCTAATAGAGGCTCTCTGTGGCAGCTCCACCCCTGTGGCAGGTTTCTGCTTAGGCTTCCAGTACAAGTCGTTCTTTGAAACATAGGTGGAGACAGTCATATCCCCATAGCTCTTGTATTCTGAAACCCCATAGACAACAGCACATGGATGCCACCATGGCTTACAACTTATACTTCCTGGAGCTGTGGATCAAGATGCACCTGGGGCTGCTTGAGCCATGGATGGGGCACTGAGGAGCACTGTCTTGAAATGCAGGGAACACAGACCCGAAGTGATCCTGGGCAGCAGCCTATCCCCAAAACCACTCTGCCCTCCTATACCTCTGGTCCTGTAATGGGAGGGGCAGCCTCAAAGATCTCTGAAATGCCTTCAGGGGTTTTCTCCCATTGTCATAACAAAGAGCCTCTGGCTTTCTTCCATTCATTCTAATTCTGTCATTAATTGGTTACTTGTTCACATCCTTGGTTTCCTCTCTTGAAAATGCTCTTTCATTCTCTACCACATGGCCAGGCTGTGAATTTTCCAAAATTTTTCCCCTCTGTTTCTTCTCTCATCTTACTATAAACAGCCAAAAGTGGTCATGCAGCGGCCTGAATGCTTTGCTGTTGAAATATTTCTTCTGCCATATATTCCAGTTCATCACTCTTAAGTTCTGCCTTTCATAAAGTCCTCAGGCATGGACACAGTTCAGCCAAGTTCTTTGCTGCTTTATAACAAGGATGGTCTTTACTCCAGTTTCCAATACTCTGTTCCTCATTTCCATCTGAGACTTCATTGGAATGGTCTTACTGTCCATATTTCGACCAACATTCTGATTGTAACAGTACCTCTATTTTTCTTTCTTTTTTTTTTTTTTCTTTTTTTTGAGATGGAGTCTTGCTCGGTCGCCCAGGCTGGAGTGCAGTGGCACCATCTCAGCTCACTGCAAGCTCCACCTCCCAGGTTCACGCCATCTTCCTGCCTCAGCCTCCCGAGCAGCTGGGACCACAGGCGCCTGCCACAACGCCCAGCTAATTTTTTGCATTTTTAGTAGAGACGGGGTTTCACTGTGTTAGCCAGGATGGTCTCGATCTCCTGACCTCATGATCTGCCTGCCTTGGCCTCCCAAAGTGCTGGGATTACAGGCGTGAGCCACCGTGCTCGGCCTGTACCTCTATTTTTCTAAGAGAAAGATAATACATTTTTTTTATTACTTTTTTCTTTTCTCTTTCCTCTTCTTCCCCTGTTTCCCACTTCCTACTTAGGTCCTTACCAATGCAATTATAACCTTTTACCTTCCCTTCACCAGACACTCCCTACAGGGCAAGCTTCTCTATGTGCTTAGAAGCTCCAGAGCCAAGAACCTCTCCAACCAGGGGATTGTCTCGGGAGACAACACTCAATTTACAACCTAAAATATGCCCTGTAGAAAACTCTCTCCTACCTGGAGAGGACCCCAAGACAATGCACTTTACAGCCTAGTTCTGCCCATGATGGCACCGCTCAGCTACCCAGTCCAGAAGGCACTGAAGCAAGTCACCAAAACCCCACTGGCTCACTCACTCCCCTGCATGCCATTCATGCCAAGTCCCCCTTTATAAATCCCTGCTTTCTGCCCTACAAGTAAAGCAGTGCCCTTCAGGCAGAAAGCCTGTACTCCTTCCTGTAAGCTAGTTTTTGAATAAAAATTCACTTTCTTCACACCAGACCTCGCTGTTGTTAGTTGGATTCTGCACGTGGCAAGCAACTGAATCTGCATTTTGGTTACATGATCACAACCACTTAAGTAATCTCTAAGAAGATGCAGACTTTCCCTAGTCTTCTCTTCTGAGCCCTCACCAGGATCACCCCCTAATGCTCCATTCACACCTAAACAGTTTTTTCTAGCCTGCTCCTCCAAACTCTTTCGGCACCCACCCATTACAAAGTCCCAAGGCTGCTCCCACGTTTTCAGGTATTTGTATAGCAACAACCCTACTTCTCAGTACTAATTTTCTGATTTAGTCCATTTTCTGTTGCTTATAACAGAATACCTGAAACTTATAAAGAAAAGGTCATTTATAAAGAAAAGGAGTTTCTTTCTTACAGTTCTGGAGGCTGAGAAGTTCAAAGGGCCACATCTGCTGACAGCCTTCCTGTTGTCACTGGTAAACCGAATTCTTTCTCCACTTTGTATATATTGCACAGAAAGAACATTCAATTGGAAAAGGCAATCAGGTTTTTATTCACTGGCCAGGGAATGGAGAAGGCAAGCTCTCACTCTAAATGCACCTTCTCTCTGAACGGTGCATGGGTTTTTAAGGACTAGGTTCAGGGTAGAAGAGGAATGTTAGCATGTGCGGAGCGGCCCTCCAGACATGCAGGCTCAATTCATATGCATATGACTTCATACATCACATAATCATTATATATATAATCAGAATAGACTGATTATATTTGTTCATTTTTTAAATCTTAAACATTTAAAGTTTCACAGCAACAGCTTATATTCAGGGTATGCAATTTATAGGTAGCTAATGCATGAAAAATATGATTACAGTTTTGTATTACCCATTATTTTTCTCTTGTCAACCACAAAGAATTTCATTATTATCTAATCTGTGGCCCAGATGCTGCCTGTCTTTGTTTCATCTATAACAGCATTTCCTATCATGTGGCTACAGGATAATAATTGTGATTACAAAAAGAAAAAAGTACAGGAACTCACAGGTGAAACAGAGCTGAACACAACTTTTACAGAACTCATCAGCTCCTCACTGTAAATCTCCTAGATTGGACTCTCATGTACCTTTTTTTTTTTCCTTTTTTCCTTGAAACATTTGCTGCTCTTTTTAGAAATCACAAACAGGGTTTCAAAAGTTATTTAAAAAAAAAAAGCCTGAAGAAAGAATCCAAAATTTGAGACCATACCTACTCTAAGAAGTGGTGAAAACCACATGGAAAAATATCAAGTAGTTTGTGTCTAATGCTTTCAGAATTCCCTCTTGTACTTCACTCAGAGGAGAAGTTATAGGAACCCCTACAGGAATTACAATGACAGGGCCAGACCCAGGAACAGCCTGCACACTCGAGTTTTGAAGTTTTAACTCATTCTCTCTCCAGCTGTCTCACACTTGTTGTTTGTTGTTTTGTTCGTTTCTTTCTAATTTAGAAAAAAAAAAAGTAGTAGTCAGGGAGTCTAGTCAAATACATCGGAGTTGGGGGGAATTATTAGATACCCAAATCTTAGTGATGCATTTGACTATTTTTCGGGATGAAAAGCATATATGGGTAGACATTGGCTTGGAGGGGAAATGGTGACACAGGAGAGATGAAGGAGCAGCACTTTGAAGTTGATTTTTGAAGAAAAACCATTAGTTTTCATCATTGTATAAGGACATCACTCTATGAATCATAGCAATAGGCAATTTGCAATTTAAAAAATAAATAAAAAGGCATCCTTGTGGCTAAATGGCAGTTTAGATCACAGTTCCTAAGGCCCACTGAAAATCATAAGCTACTGTCTTTCCTGAGCACATAAATGAATTTTTCTTCCATTTTGACAGCTCTATCCCTCCAGGTCATCCAGCTATTTTATCCCTTAATATTGGCTACTCTTCCTCTTCTCTCAGACGTCTCACTTTTTGCACCCGGCCCCCAAACACACTAAAAGATTAAACTCAAGCAGCCTTCCCTATTGGGAAGCCTTTTTTTTTTTTTGAGACAGAGTCTTTGCTCTGTCGCTCAGGCTGGAGTGCGGTGGTGCCATCAATCTCGGCTCACTGCGACCTCTGCCTCCCGGCTTCAAGCGATTCTCCTGCCTCAGCCTCCTGAGTAGCTGGGATTACAGGGACACACCACCATGCCTGGCTAATTTTTGTATTTTTAGTAGAGACTGGGTTTCACCATGTTGGCCAGGCTAGTCTCGAACTCCTGGGCTCAAGTGATCCACCTGCCTCAGCCTCCCAAAAGTGCTGGGATTACAGGTGTGAGCCACTGTGCCCAGCCTCCTACTGGAGACTTTTGATGGGCATTTTTATTTATCTGAATTACGGAAAAGGAAAGTAACAAAAATGAACTGTGCAGATAGAGACTCTCCTCATATAGGAGTTGTCAGATCAAATCCTGCTTCCAAAATAAAGAAATAAAGAGGTGAAATGAAGACAGGGTTGAGCTGAAGAAAATTTCATGCAGTTAGCACTAGGGGAAGTGGGAGAACATAGATGGAAGCAGCACCTACTGGATGTGCTCTTTTGTGAAAGGTGCTTAATGGCTGCTCACTTTGGAGATGACTGAGTCCAAACTGCCTCATCTAATTCTTCAAGTCATCTTCCATCTGCCTGTTAAGCAGTAACAGGCCTCCTGAGATTATTCCCTTATGCCAAAATGGGATGTCATGTTAATCCACACCATGACCGTTTTGTATCTTTCTTCCCTTTGTTTCCCGGTTTATAACACTTTCCACCTCTACCTCTCATTCTGGAAAATTCTCCCGTGCTCTAGACTTGAATCTCTGATACTTCACCTCCCACTTATATGAACTTGGGCGTGTTACTTGATATTGCTATGCTTCAATTTTCTTATGTGTAACTGCAGATAATAATAGTCCCTACCTCATAAAGTTGTTACAGAGATTAAGTAATAATATGCATGTAAAACATCGATTGAGCTATTATTACACAGCCTTTAAGATTCAAGTTCAAATCCCCCTTCCAGGCCGGGTGCAGTTGCTCACCTCTGTAATCTCAGCACTTTGGGAGGCCAAGGTGGGCGGATTACCTGAGGTCAGGAGATCGAGACCATCCTGGCTAACACGGTGAAACCCCGTCTCTACTAAAAATACAAAAAATTAGCTGGGCTTGGTGGCGGACGCCTGTAGTCCCAGCAACTCGGGAGGCTGAGGCACGAGAATGGCGTGAATGCGGGAGGCGGAGCTTGCAGGGAGCTGAGATCCGGCCACTGCACTCCAGCCTGGGTGACAGAGTGAGACTCCGTCTCAAAAAAAAAGAAACAGCACCAGGGGCAAAGTGAACCCAAGTGCCAAGCTCAAATTCTGCACTCTCTTCCTCTCATTCTTCATCATCTTCTTAGCTTTTTGAAGCTTTTAAGAAGAGGGTTTTTAAAAAAATTCTTTTAAATTTATTTTAATTTTTATTTTTAAATAGAGACAATGTCTCACTATGTTGCCCAGGCTGGTCTCGAACTTCTGAGCTTAAGTGATCCTCCCGCCTCGGCCTCCCAAAGTGCTGGGATTACAGGCATGAGCTACCATTCCTACCCAACACAGATTTTTTAATTTGTCACCAGAAAGAGGATTGATCTAAATGATCTCATCTGAAACTCCTAGAAGCAGAAGTCTTACTCTATTCTTCACCATTTTTCCAGAAACTCTGACCAAAGAAAGACAACAAAATATTTATAAAATATTTATGAAATATATATAAAATATTATAGTTGTTTGAAAACAAGCAAAAAAGCCCCACTCTTAAATACAATAAAAGAACATAGGTGTGAGTTACAAAAAACATTTTTTAATCACTTGTTTTTCTATGGAAAATAAGTTATCAGAAAATATAAGGAAAAATTTAGAAGAAAGAACAAAAACACAAAATACAAATGTTATGGTCTTTTTGATGTAGCAACGTGACTAAATTAATATGCCCAGTATTGAATCTAACACTAATCCAGGTGTTGCGCTGAAGGTATTTTGTAGATTAACATCCATAATTGATTGACTTTAAGTAATGATGATTATCCTTGATAATTTTGGTGGGCCTCATTCGATTCACTGAAAGCCTTAAAAGCAGAATGGGGCCGGGTGCGGTGGCTCACGCCTGTAATCCCAGCACTTTGGGAGGCCGAGGTGGGCGGATCACCTGAGGTCAGGAGTTCGAGACCAGCTTGGCCAACATGGTAAAACCCCGTCTCTACTGAAAATACAAAAATTAGCTGGGTGTGGTGGCAGGCGCCTGTAATTCCAGCTACTCGGGAAGCTGAGGCAGGAGAATTGCTTGAGCCCAGGAGGCGGAGGTTGCAGTGAGCCAAGATCGTGCCACTGCATTCCAGCCTGGCCAACAGAGAGAGACTCTGTCTCAAAAAAGAAAAAAGAAAAAACAAAAAAAGAAAAGCAGAACTGAGGCTTCCAGGAGGAAGGAATTTCATCTCTGGATAGTGGCTTCAGCTGATGTCCAAGAGTTACAGTCTGCCCTTCCCGATGGCCTGACAGATCTAGACTGTCCTCTCTAGCCCCCCAAATCCCATCATTGTTACACAATTATTGGCAACAAATATTTCAATATGTACCTCCTGTTGGTTTTGCCTTTCAGGTTAAACCCTGACTGATAAAATAGGTAATAAACTAAACAAGAATTTATGTGGAACTTTTTTGAAGAAAAATGTAAAATGCTGCTGAAGAATATAAGAGCAGATAAAGAAACTTATCCAATTTCTGTACTGAAAATGCAAAATATTACAAAACTTAATGCAATTTGAAATTAAATCCCAACAAGACATTTTGGGGAACTTGACAAATTTCTTCTAAAAAAAAAAATTGTCATGGCTATGGGGTGGTGGAATTAACCTACCAAATAGTAAAACATGCCATAAAGCTACAGTAATTTTAAGTGTGGTGTTAGAAGGGGAAGAAATAAATAGATCAAAGAAACAAAATAAGGAACTCAGAAATAGACACGTGTATAAGTGGGAATTTAGTGTATGATAAATACGACTTTCAAATCAGTACAGGTAAGCTGGATGTACTAGTTATCTTTTATTGTGTGACACACCACTCAGAACCTCAGTCAATTGAAATAAGAACCATTTACATTTATTTAGTTCATAATTCTGTGGCATGGCAATTGGGCTAGAGTAAGCCAGGTGGATTTGGGATCTGACCAGACTTGGTTGATCTTGGCTGAGCCTGCTCATGTGTCTGTAGTCAGCTGGTTGGCCAGTGGAGCTGACTAGTTTTAAATGGTCTCACTCACACATCTCATGATTGTCTGGGAGAAACGGGTGAATGGGCCACATGTCTCTTACCATCCGTCAGGCTAACCTGGGCTTGTTTAGATAGTGGCAGAGTTCTAAGAGCAGAGAACAGGTAAGCCCCAATGTATAATCACTTTTCAAGTGCTCTTTTGTATCATATTTGCTACTGTCCCATCAGCCTAAACAAGTCAATACCAAGCATAGAATCCATGGGGGAGGGCACTACCAAAGGTCATGGTTACAAGGAGGAGTAAGCAAATTGAGGTCATTACTGCAACTGATCTAACACAATGAATTATTCAATAAATGGCGCCAGGAAAATTATTAAAATGTTGGGGGAACAAAGTAGGTTAAACTCCTATTTACGTCAAGGTAAATATCAGATGTATTAAAAATTAAATGTAAAAATTACCATATTTCAATAACAAAGTTGACAAACAACAATGTTGAGGAAATATTTGCAACATATATGGCAATAGAATAAGGTCCATAATATATGAAGAGAGGTTAGAAATAAGTAAGAAAAAGCTAAAGCAGTGGGGAAAAGATATAAATTCTTGGAAGAAATACAAACGGACTTTAAACAAAGGAAAATATGCTTAACATCAGCAACTATCAAAGAAATGCAAATGAAAACAAAATATTTGCCAGTTTGACAAAATGGTGTGTTCATGTCAAGTGCTATAAAGTGGGTGGTAAATAGGTACCTTCACATCATGTTTGTTAAAATATAAGTTGGCAATGTATTTCTGGAGGGCAAACTAACACTATGTATCAAAAATGTTAATGTGCCTACCCTTTGATTCATCAGTCTAATTTCTGGTAATTTATTTAAGAGTTAAGTGTGAAAAGGTATAGATAAAATATATGTTATGTAAAATAATATTTATTATTGCCCTTTTTTAAGAAGCTAAAATTAGGGAAAAAAATCAAACTTTCCATCAATAGAATTATCATGATGTATACGTACAATGAAACATCATGCAGTATTTATTCCAGTGATCTGGTGGAGTCGTAAAACCAAATTTTAAAAAAGAAAAACAGAAATATTATGCAGTATTCAAATGCATAAAACAGATCCTCATGTATTGCTACAGAAAGATACTCATGATAGATTCTTGACAGGCATATGTAGGTTAATAAAATATATGGCCTCTCCTATGTATACATTTTTGTCATCGGCACAAACAATTATAGGGAATGTTTACCAAATTGTAAAAAGGATTGAAGGATTTGTTTTTACACTTTTGCTATTCTGTTCAGCTTTTTAAAACAGTAATAAACTGCAATGGAATTGCTTTTATGTTGCAATGAAGTTAACTCTATTAGTGTGCTTCTTTAAAAATCACCCTAGGTCGGATGTGGTGGCTGATGCCTTGTAATCCCAGCACTTTGGGAGCCAGAGGCAGAAGGATAACCTGAGCCCAGGAGTTCGAGACCAGCCTGGGCAACATAGAGAGATCCTGTCTCTATTTTCTTTTTTAAAAAATTTATTTAAACAATAAAATTTTAAAATTACTTCAAAGAATTCTTTGACAACCAGTATTTTGATGCCATAGCATTCTGATAATTTTTAACAATGTATTTTGAACCTTTATGAATTCTTCAGATAGAAAGTGCAATCATGGACTAATGCAAAATGCTGCTCCTGGTAACAATGAGAAGATGAATTTCTAAAAGTCTCGAAGAAGAGAGTGACTCCATTAAAAGAAGAGAAATTTAAAACAGAGTATAAACCAAAGTCCCATGAAACTCCATTGGCTCCCAGAGCAGGATCAACTTGTTATTAGTGAATGAAACTAAAGGATTCAAAGGTGGTTAAGATAAGGAAATAAAGAAGAGACATTATTTAGAATCCCATCTTTCAGTGAAGTCTGTCTATATTCTGTAAGCCTCTGTGGCATCTTTGGGCCTCAAGTTTCCATCCATCTCTAATTAGTATTGGCAATTAAGGGTTACATATGTGAGCTAAACAAAAATTTACAGTCCTAAATAATTACTTAAAGTCATTCAGCACCTCCATTAATGCCAGAGCTGATTTGAGCACCAGTGAAATATGTCTTCTGTCTGTTATCAGGAAGAGAGAAGGTGCAAAGTCATAGGGAGGTGAGGGTTTTCAGCAGAGGCCAAGAACAACATTTGTCTAATTGCTTAGGCGCAGGTACACATTGACCAGATTGTTAATTCATAAATTTGTAAATAATTGCCTTGAAGAAATAAACACCTCATAAGTCACATTAACAAAGGGCCAAATTCAAGGACATTTATTAAACATGAAAGAGATTTATAGATAAGGAAGGTGTGCTGCTTGGCCATCAGGATGAACTGATAGTAACCTCAAATGGCTATTTCATTTTGAAAATGCATATGATTCCTTATGCTTCTATCTTACCATCTATCAAGTGAGGGCACTGTTGACTTTCAATCTGTATGACAGATTTAGGGAGAGCTAGCTCACCTTTTAAGGCTTTCACAGAGAAAATGTGTAGCAAAAAAAAAAAAAAAAAAAAAAAAGCACAAGTTTTCGAATCTGGAGCTGCACCCCAGTTTCCTCTTCTGAAAAATGGGCAAAATACGGTTCACTTCCTAGGGTGCTATGAGGATTAAATGAGACAATATACGCATAAGGTCTGGAATATCATTAATACTCAGTGAATGTTTTTCTCATCCTTTCCTCTGGCCATCCCACCTCCTTGTGATGCTGTCCAGGCTCTTCTTAAGTGGGTCACATCCACCTCATCCTTCCACATCACTCAAAACTCACCTCCTACACAGAGTTACTTTCTCTTCTCATTTAATATCTACATCACAAGGGTAGATATTAGAGGGTGGGGAGAAATTCTTTGGTTCACTTAATAATTAGGGCTGGGTGCAGTGGCTCACGCCTATAATCCCAGAACTTTGGGAGGCCAAGGTGGGTGGATCACCTGAGGTCAGGAGTTTGAGATCACCCCGGCCCACATGGCGAATCCTGCCTCTACTAAAAATACAAAAATTAGCCGGGCGTGGTGGCGGGCGTCTATAGTTCCAGCTACTCAGGAGGCAGAGGCAGGAGAATCGCTTGAATCCGGGAGGTGGAGGTTGCAGTGAGCTGAGATCGCTCCACTGTACTCCGACCTGGGTAACAAGATGAGGACTCTGTTTCAAAATAAATAAATAAATAAATAAATAAATAAATAAATAAATAATAATTAGGCAATGAGCTCCTATTCTGCTGTCAGGCATGGACTTAGCTCTTCAACTAGATTAGAAGTTCCCTGTGTTTTGGGGCATTATCTTAAACTTCTTGATTTCCCCCATAGCACCCATCATGTAGTAACATTTACTGCTTAATTATTAGTTTACATTACTTGATTGACTGAGAGATTTTCTGAGGCACCTAAAATATTTGGGTAAACTTTTTTACAAGAGACTTGCTCTGTCAACCGGGCTGGAGTGCAATGGTCTGATCATAGGTCACTGCAGCCTCGAATTACTGGGCACAAACCATCTTCCTGCCTTGGCCTCCCAAAGTGTTGGGATTACAGGTGTGAGCCACCACATCCAGCATGTTTAGGTAAGTATTTTAAAGGTGATTTGGTACATCAATAATGCCAATGTCAATCGCAAGCACCATAGCTATATGGACAGTTTGTGAAAGAAGAAAGAAGCCAGTTTTCAATCTGTTCTTAAAAAAAAATGACATTCATATCATGATCTTCCAAAGTTCTCTCCTTTTTTCAATATAGTTAAACATTTCTCAAAAAATCTCCTATGTGTTTCTGAAGTTTGAACCCCAGTTCCATAAAGTTTACACAAAAGCTCAATATGGTAATACTTTCAGGTGATACGTTGGATAAAATGGTTTTTAATAATTGAATATCTGTTTTTGAACATGCATCAACACTTTTGACTTTTAAAAAAAATGCTTGACCGGGCACAGGGGCTCACAACTGTAATCCCAGCACTTTGGGAGGCCAAGGCAGGTGGATCACCTGAGGTCAGGAGTTTGAGACCAGGCTGGCCAACATGTTGAAACCCTGTCTCTAATAAAAACACAAAAAATTAGCCGGGCATGGTGGCAGGTGCCTGTAATTCTAGCTACTTGGGAGGCTGAGGCAGGAGAATTGCTTGAACCCGGGAGGCAGAGGTTGCAGTGAGCCGAGATCATGCCATTGCACTCCAGCCTGGGTGACAGAGTGAGACTCTGTCTCAAAAAATAGAAAAATAAAAGAATGTTTGATCCAGGACAATAAAAAATTGTTTTAATCCACTTTCAGAAATTACATTTTGTATGCAAATTTATCAACCAGAAATTTTCATGTTTTCCATTAACCTAATGAAAAATACATAAACAGCAATCTAGGCATTGTATCAACATTTTAATAATCATTATACAATAGCTATGCCTCACTGAGAAACAGGTTTTCTTCCTTGGCAATAGAATGCTTTAAAAATTGCTTTTCATTACTTAGATATTTTATTATATAATTTTTAGTTTTACATTTCCTATTTATACCATGAATGATTAAGAGTGGATACCACCAAAGACCACTCCAGAACATTTAATGTTGACCAGCCCTTACTCAGCAGGATACTGACGAGTAAGCAGCCATTCCAGATAAGTAAGTGAGTGGCTTTCTGTTATGTAAGCAGTGGGGACGTTTACTGAAAGCAGCACTGAGAAAATGGGCAGCCGCAGATCCTGTTGGAGAAGCAAAGAGCTGAGAGCAGGTGGGAGTGGAAGAATATATTGGGAAAGTAGTGCAATGATGCAAACCCACTCATCATTAATAGTTTCAGCATTTATGTTCAAAAAGAGAAATGTATAGAGCAGGTGAGCAGTCAGAAACCAGATTAGCTCAGTTCAGATGGAGTATCCCGGGGAACAGCAAAGATTCAGACAATGGAAAGAAGAAATACTTAAAAACACACCCATAGAAAAACAAATGGAATACAGTTGAAATAACCTAGACTTGGCATCAAAAACAAAACAAAACAAAACAAAACAATTAGGCTCAAGGCCTAGCTCTGGTCTTGATAACTTCTCTGAGGCTTATTTTCTTCCTTTGCAAAATGAGGGAAATAGTATCTGCAGCCTTGAATTAAGAGGAGTAAATGGATCCTTGGGGAAACCCTTTATAAACTCTAACATGTCACATGCAGTGTTATTGTTATTTTCTAAAGTTATGTCCAGGCTCCTACGTTCTCTTCCTGCCGCCTTCCTCCCTCTTCCAAGGTTGAGTCAGGGTTAATGGCAAGAGCATGTTATTGGCCCTGGTGCTAAGAGGTAGAGCTTTCCCTGTGAGTAGCTGAAGGACTAAAGCTGGATCAGCATGAGTACAGTGAAATAATTTCCTCCGTTGATCTGGACACAATAATTCCAATTATGCACCTGAAATTTTCATTAGCTTAAGTAGTCAAATCAGCTTAATAGCTTGTATCGAACTCACATTCATATAAAATTGTGAAGACTTCCCTTTTTCTAAAAATAATTAATCCTTATTCGATGCTTGTGCTGTTGATATTTAAAACCAATGTGCAACATTTTTATTCCTGCTAAATTGTATCCGGCTGACTGGCCCCTTGAGTGCAGCCAGCTGAGATCAGGCATCCTAAGTATTAGCCTGCTCTCCCACATTTACATCATCCATGAGAAGCAGCGTCTCCCTGGAGAAGCTGTGACGTCAAATTAAATAAAGTGGTACACGAAGTTTGCTACACATTCCATGCTGGATAGATCATCTTGGAGATTTACAATGTCCATTACCATACTGGGGCCTCTGATAGTCTATAGTAAGGAATCCTAGTTAACTGTGTTTAACCTTGTATTTCCCAATTTTTTTTTGACCATGGAACACACCTTAGGAAATTTTGGTATTAGAAAATGAAATACTGTGTTGCCATGAAAAGAATGAGGTAGATCTACTTGAACTGACATGCAAACATCTTTAAATATTACAGGAGAAAAAGCAAGTATAAAACAACAAGCATAGTCTAACTGCCTTTTAAATTAAATGAATAAATGAATCCAGTACATATGTAGGTACATGTACAGAAATCCCTAAGCACATGTATAAAAGGCTGGAATGATAAATATCTTTCTGCTTTTGGTGACTATCCCTGGAGATCAGTATAAGTTCTAATGGAATGGTGATGAACGGAGACCTTTGTATTTCAATCTACGTGTTGCATAGTATCTGAATCTTTACACTGAGAATGTATGATAAATTATTTGTTTAGTAAATACAATTTTTAAGTTATAGGATTGTAGGGTGAAGTGGGCCAATATTTTAGCCAGTGATTATGTATAACTACATTTTTAGATAGTAACTAGCCAACTGGAATAAAAGAAATCAAATAAATATGCAAAATCAAAACAAATGAAAAATTGTACTTCCTGCCCAGATTCTGAAAGTCAGTAAATAAGACTTTGCAAGACAAGTTAAGCAGATTTTAAAACCTTTGGTGGAAAATATTTTCCACACAGTTTATTTGGATTAAAAACTGAGGACTATGTAGTATAATTATTACAACCTGCCTTGCCTGAGGATGATGTTAAACAAAGACCGAATCTCAAAATATTATTAAAGATTAAAATAAGAACTCTTGTAGAGCAGGCAAAGATTAGATGGTTCTGGGTTCAAATCTAGAATTCTATGCTTTCTTTTAAAGCCTTGGTTTCCTCATCTGCAAAACATAGTTGTTTAAGACTTAACTGAGGGAAGGGTAGTGGGAATGGGGACAAAGTGGGGATGATCAATAGGTACAAAAATAGATAGAAGGAATCAGATCTAGTATTTGATAGCACAACAGGGTGATGATAGTCAACAATTATTTATTGTATATTTTAAAATAACTAAAAGAGCAGAATCGGAATGTTCCTAAGACAAAGAAATAAATGCTTTGGGTGATGGATACCCTAATTACCCTGATTTGATTATTACACACGGCATGCCTGTGTCAAAACATCACATGTACCCCATAAATATATATACCTCTTATGTACCTACAATAGTTAAAATTTGTTTTTTAATTTAAAAAGACTTAACTGAAAAATATAGGGTAAATTATCTGGCTCAAAATTTACATTAACACTTTTTCCATGCAACAATGTCATGTATTACTTTTGAGAGCAGGCTAGAAGTCTGAGAAAAATTAGAGCTCTGTCAGAAATGAAACCAAAAGATGGACTTGGAATCCAAGAAAAGCCATTTAGGTTTCCTTCTAAGCAAGTATTCATACTCACAACTCGGTGTTTACTACTGAGGCATGACTGGGGGTCCTGATTGTGTGACTCAAAGCTGTGTTCTGCATTCCTGGGTATAACCACGGGGTCCTGACAAACGCCATTGAGCTGTTTTGTCCCCAGAAATGTTCATCCCAGTTCGAGTGAAATGAGAGCCCAAAATTTCAGACCCAGAGCAGCTACACAAAGGTGCATTTATGAGAAAAGCATGTCTTAAAGGATTCTTAATCGATACACACTATCTTTGTCAGGCTTTTAGGAACATAATGAGATGAGTCACTATATTAGAAGGGTGGGAAAGAATCGGAGAGGAGAAAAGACTGGAGTTTATGAATGACCTAAAGCATCCGGGCAATGAAAAGCAGTGCAAAATGGTCATAGGTTTGTGACTTAAAGAGGTAAAAGCCAACAATCGTCAGAAAAAAAATTAAGATTTTAGGAAAGTGAATAAGAATGGATTTTTAAGTGCTACGTTTTTAAAAGCAATGGATTCATCTCAATTAGCATCAACTTAAAGGATAATGTCTCAAGATGGACAGACTTTACCTTTTTGTGTTTTTTAAATCAGCCCCCTGAATCCTACTGTAAATTCCTTTAAAAACGTAACCCTGTGAGGATGAAGAGTATCACGTCAAGGTATTCTGTAAATTGCATGTAATTTCTCCTCACGCGGACGATGGACTGGAAAACTTGTGTTCTTCTGAGCTGTGGAAGTGGAGCCACGTTGCCAGGGAGACAGAGTGGTACCCGGAAGAGCCCCTCACCATCAACCTCCGCAAGTGCCTCTTATGATGAGGCGGCTGCGCGGCCAGCAGCAGCAATTCCAGCCAGGTAATCTGGGTGTAAATTACTCAAGTCGAGAATTTTTCATAGCAAATTTTTAAGCAGTCGAATCCCTCTTACACACACTTAGTCAGCAATACTGAGGAGAAATGTCTTGCTCCCTCCTGGTTTCCATGGGGAGGGATTTTTCCCAAGCCTCTCCCCACCGCTACTCCCTCCACCCTAGGGGAACTGGAGGAACTTAACTGATTGGTAAACTTGGGAAATGCAATGATCAATATCCACTCCATGATCTTGGATAAACTTGGGAAATCCAATGATCAATATCATAGCTTCACTCCTCAGAAGGAGCATAGCCTGCAGGAACTTCTCTTCCCCGCCTTAGTATTACCCTGGCAGAATTCGCAGAGACAACAGCCCTGGACCAGACTACCAGAGTCTGCGCTGGTGAATCAGACTAATCCTGAGATCTAGTTAGGACAGCCATTTTGCTTTCCGTTAAGATACATCCTCCAACTTGACCTCAATTTTGATATTTGAAAAGAATTTCATTTTCAATTCTGTTCATATTTGAACATAATTCATTTTTTAGACACTGCACATTTTTAAAATTTTATTAAATTATTGAGAGACGGGATGGAAAGGAGGGGTGATACTCATTGGGGGCCTCCTCGTATACCCTAACAAGGGTGCTCAAATATGATGAACTCTAAGCCAAATACCACATAAGTCAAAGAATCTTAACTCGATGTATTTGGTTGGGCCCCAAGAAGTCCCTGAACTCCCCGGAAATGTATGGAAATCTTTGCATGTAGTGAATTTTTCTTTCCCTAAGAAAAGTTTTAAAATGTCCACCTAATTGTTGACAGCAAAAAATGAAAATGCAAATGAATCACAATGCCAGGCATTTTCAGCAAACCTAACATTTTAGATTAATCTCATTATTTCAAAGGTTCAAACATATATGTAAAATAAATAATTGACTTAGCAGTGTTTATGAATGTAAGGCTTAGCTAAATGCCCCATGCAAGAAAGACTTTCTTATTATAATCAGCCTATAATGGTCGGTTTGTCTGATTTTATTTTTTTATGATGGCTCCTTGGCCAATTTATTACCATCATCAGGATAAATAAAATAGGGAGTTTTTTTTCTTAAATTCTGAGAGTTTAGGGAATGGTGTCTTGTGAGGAAAAGCCAAATATTGAACAGTTGGCTGCATACAAACATTTTACCAGGCAGACATGAAGAATAAAAAACTCCAAATCCTGCAAACTCTTGAATAGAACAAACACAGAGCCTATCTCCTTATGATTATTTCAAAAATTAGGTAAAACATAACTACATGTATATGCATGTACATAAAGTGCAAACGAAGTTCAAAGAGTGTCCTGTAAAACACTGCCGGCTTGCACCATGGGTAGGTCTAGATTGTACTGTTGAGAAATTAATACAAAAAGTTACCTCAAACCAGTGACAATCCAAGTGGAACCATTAGAAGAAAATCCCACATCACTCTGTAAGCCCAAATAAAAAACAAAATTAGCTAAAAAATAATAATAATAAGCCAGACATGAAAAAATGACAAACCTTACAAAGAAGCAATCCACCTTAAGGGAGAGACAGCAGATGTGACCAATGGGAAGAGTAATACCTCCAAGAATGCAAGGTAATAGGACAACCTGAGAAAGACTATGCAATCAGTATGTTTGAAATTATTCAAGGAAGGATAATAATAGCTGACGTTTATTTAGTGCTTGACTTGTAAAAATATAATCACTGACATTAATAGATTAAATGGCTCAGCTTTGAAGAAATTAACTAGAATTCAGCACAATGAATATGTAAGACAATATTAAAGAAGAGTTTAATTATGGAATATAGAATGAGAAATTCATATATGTATATTTGAGTTTCAAGGGAAAAATGTACTCAGAATTGAATAAAAAATCTAAGTCCTCAGATTTAAAGTGCTCTGAGTACGGAACAGGATAAATAAGAGTAAACCCACACCTGGACAAATGGGAGTGAAACTGAAGCTCAATATAAATAAAGAGAAAACCTTAAAAGTAAACACACAGCAAAAGACAGATTACCAGCAATGGTACAATAATTAGTTTCCAACTGCAATTTTCACAGTATCTTCAAAGTGCTAAAATTCTAGACCCAGTTAAGGTATCATTCAAGAATTAGATACAATAATAAAAATTTTCAGACAAACAAAATTGAAAGAAGTTATCATTTACAGATCCTTACAGAAAGAATTGGAGGCTGAAGAAAACTGGAGTAAAAAGAAAGAATTGGGCTGGGTGCGGTGGCTCACGCCTGTAATCCCAGCATTTGGGGAGGCTGAGGCTGGTGGATCACCTGAGGTCAGAGGTTCAAGACCAGCCTAGCCAACATGGTGAAACCCCATCTCCACTAAAAATACAAAAATTAGCCTGGCATGGTGGCTCATGCCTGTAGTCCCGCTACTTGGGAGGCTGAGGCAGAAGAATCACTTGAACCTGGGAGGCAGAGGTTGCAGTGAGCCGGGATTGTACCACTGCACTCCAGCCTGGGCAACAGAGTGAGACCCTGTCTCAAAAAAAATAAAAAATAAATAAATAAAAAGAAAGGATTGAGCTGAAGAAAATATGAGCATAGTAGTCGGTAAACATAAGGTAAATGTAGGTAAGTATTTTTTTTCTTTTCTTTTCTTTTTTTGTGAGACAGAGTCTCACTCTCTCACCCAGGCTGGAGTGCAGTGGCACGATCTTGGCTTACTACAACCTCCGCCTCCCGGGTTCAGGCAATTATCTTGCCTCAGCCTCCCAAGAAGCTAGGATTACAGGCATGCACCACCACGCCCGGCTAATTTTTTGTATTTTTAGTAGAGACAAGATTTCACCATGTTGGTCAGGCTGGCCTTGAACTCCTGACCTCAAGTGATCCACCCGCCTTGGCCTCCCAAAATGCTGGGATTATAGGCATGAGCCACCGTGCCTGGCAGGTAAGTATTTCCTGAAAGAAAAAAAAAAAGAAAAAACTTTGAAGAGAGGGCTAAAAATGAGGAAGACCTAAACTACTGCACATTTATCACACTGAAAATGGGATAGAGAAGGTAGAATTAAAGCACTAAGTTTGCCAGAAGGGATATTATTTTGGACTTTGTTAAGTCAATCATATGTATTTAAAATTTAAATATTAGCATAAAAATAGAAACAGAATGTATAACTTCAAAACCATAAAAAAGGAAAGAATAAAGGGAAGTAAGGAAAAAAGAAACAAAAATAAGCCAGGAAGAAGGTAAAATGGAAGCACAAGGTAGGTAATACAAATAAAACAAAATATATCAGTACTCCTAATAAATGAATGGATAAATTAATTCAGCAGTTCAAAGTAAGAATTTTTTTACTGATTTTTTTCAATCAGCTATATCTCAAAGGAGACACATCAAAAACATATGAATACAGAAAGGTTGAAAACAAGTTGATGGTCAAAGTACACTATGGCTTCTCCCAGAAATCACCAAAGGCTAAAGATTGTAGATGAGGCTGGGGTGGTGGCTCGCACCTGTAATCCCAGCACTTTAGGAGGCTGAGGCAGGAGGATCCCTTGAGTTTAGGAGTTCAAGGTCAGCCTGGGCAACATAGTGAGACCCCATCTCTATATTAAAAAAAAAAGACTGCAGATTATTTTGGCGGTAAGGACAAGCAGAGAGGGCAAGGATAGAGATAGGAATTGTTCTTGGACACCAAGCTGGGCCATCTGATTAAGGAACATGAAGGTCAAGTTCCTGAAAGAAATCTCTCGTTTGCTTCCCTGATTTCCTCCTGGACAAGGTCCTAAAGGTGGCATCCTTTCAGAGACATAAAAGGGGTAACTAGCCAGTTTCAAGGTATCTTTGGCTCTTGTGAATAATGACTTATTCATCCAGATATTGGGCACTCCAAGGAAGTAGCTACTGTCATTCATAATGCCATCGTCTCAGCAAGACATCATCTCTTTGAGGCAAGACTACTGGGGAAACAATGAGCAAAGTGGGTGCTGTGGCTCAGCTTGTGCATCTGATTCCTTCCCTTCTGTAGTGGTTGTCTCTGTCCTCCTGCCCAACAGGCTGCTGCTAGTGGACGGTATTGATTGCTGCCACTCTGGGTAGCTTGGCTGAAGCTACCTTGAACGTCATCTCTAAGGCACAACTTTTTCACTCTGATCTCTGCAAAGAGACTCAGTTTCCCAATCAGAAATTTCATGATCATCTTAAAGATCCAAGAATGACTGGAGTTTCATTGCAGAAAACTCAGGACCCTGCCATACCCACCATAGTGTTTTTATTACACCAGCAAAATTAAATACATTAAACCTAAATGGGTGGAAACTAGATATACCAGGCAAGTGTTAAACAATATAGACTTTCAGATTAAAAAAAAAAAAAGAGTAGGAAAGGGAAGGCTAAAATCATAATGATAAAGAGGAAAGTTTTACAAGAAAGATAAAACAACTTTGAGCCTATATGCATCTAAGATGTAGCTTCAAATTTTTCAAAACAAAAATTGGCAGAATTACAAAGAGAAATTGATCCATAGTCTCATAGAAATTTAACACACCTCTCTCAACAACAGATAAAACAAGCAGTTAATAACATAAATTATATATAAGAATTGGAAAACACTAAACCAGCAACTCACAAATAATCCCCTGAGAAGAATAGGCTAAGTTCTCCCCTTGTCTTATAAGAGAGAATTCAGAAATTGCTCGACTCCACGGGGACCAACCAAATGAGGCCAGAGCCTGGCTTGACCCTCAGAAGAAAAAACGGAAACCACAACACTTCAGCTAAGTTCCCAGACTCCAGGGAGCTGGTTCCAGACCCTCCAAAGAGCATGATACCTGCAGGTGAGGGCAGTGAGCCTCGCATTGACCAGTCTTGTCCTGTAGAAGTTGATGAGAAGGGCTGTATTGAGTGATTTTGATGTCCAAGCCAGACCCTGGTTGGTCACCTGAGTAGAGTGAATACTTCTGGGAAAGGAAAGCTTAGAATTTCTGCAGATCAGACTGAAGGGTTCTTTCCCATTTCTTTCCTCGAACCAGGATTACAGGGAACACTACACTCTCACAAGGTGTGAATTTGACTACTTAACACACCATAGCCTTCTTTCCTGATTCAGTCCACCCAGCCTCCCACAATACCTCATCCATAACCAGGAAGACGCTAATGAGCTCTGAGAACAGTCTCTAAACACATGTTGAAATTAACAGCTAATGTGGGTTAGTTCTGTTAAGGATCCCACAGATGCAGAGAAATGTACTCAGTTTTCAGACAGAAGGCATGAGAGGAATTGAGTTTGGATGCTCTACTCCTACACACACAAAGGTGAGCATCTATCTCCAAACTCAGGTTATAGGAAATTAGGACAGAGAGAGATTTAATGTCTGGGTGAGCCAGGGAGCTGCACAGCCAAGATTAGAACTCCAGGCTCCCAAAGCCATCTCCTCCCCGTTACACTGCTGCCTTTTCCTGTTTTTCCACTCAGGCTAATCATTACATGAAATTTGAGAACCAGTCACCAGGCTGAAGGTTATAAAGCCTTCAGGTAACTAAGGACCCTGTTTATAAAGAGCCAAGAGGATGCAATCTATACTTAAAATACTTCCCCATATGTGAAATACACAGATGTGAGCTCCAGCAGTTTGGATTAATAGTCTGATTCATCTTGTGTCTAGCTGATAACTTCATCAAAATGACACATATTGTGAGAGAAGCATGCTGAAGGTTTTTAAAATTTGTTTTTAGCTTTTAACTCTTCAACAAAAGTCACTGCTTAAAATGGCAAGAAATGAATCAATCAATCAACAAACCAGTTCAAAACCTACATATGCAGAGTCTTAAAATAGGTATTTATTTATAATTTTGAGAACATGTAATGGAAAAAAGATATCTTTTGTAAGAACTAAGGCACTTATCCTTCCTGTAAAGGGCTAGGCTAAGGACATGTTCATTATAGCAGTTGGTTTGTTCTGCTAGATACTCACGTGTTGCATGTTCATTTCTGCTATTTGTTCTTTTGATGCACTGCCGCAGCAATTTCTATAACTTCTTCTATAAAGGGCCAGTTAGGAAATATTTTCAGCTTTATGGACCATACAATCTCCATGGCAATTACTCAGCTTTGCCACAGTAGCGAGGAAGCAGCCATGGTGTCTGAACAAATGAGCATGGCCAGATTTGGCTTGCCACATCTCTGCTCTACAGGACAAACCGCATTGTATGGCAGCAGGGGATAGCTGGCTGGATGCAGTATATAGTCCAGACCAGTTGACTGATATTTTTGTTTGCAAGTAAATGGAATCTCTTTTTTGTGTGTTTGTTTTGCTCTGTTTTTTTGACAGAGTCTCTCTCCATTGCCCCGGCTGGAGTGCGGTGACACGATCATGGCTCATTGCAGCCTCAATCTTCTGGGCTCAAGTAATTCTCTCACCTCAGCCTCTTGAATAGCTGGGAGTACAGGTGCACACCACCATGCTCAGCTAATTTTTTTTAATTTTTTTATTTTTTATAGAGACTGGATCTCCCTATGTTGCCCAGGCTGGTCTCAAACCCCTGGCCTCAAGCAATCCTCCTGACTCAGGCCCCCAAATTGCTGGGATTATACAAGTGAACCATCATGCCCTGCCTAAGTCTCTTTTCTGTATAACTTATTTGTATGCCCTGTTTCACCAAGAAGAGTGTGAGCTCCTGGATGAGGGGGACAATATTAATTTAATACTCTCCCAGAAGTTCATACCAGACGATATGCTCTGGAGGAAGATGCGTGAGCCTAACTGTGAAACAGATCAGAATTCAAGTCCTGGTCTTGCCGTTCATTCGCTGTGTGACACTGGACAAGTTATGCACCCTGAGCCTCCATTTCCTCATCTGTTAAAAGGGAGATCATATCTACTTCGTAGAATTGTTGTGAGGCTGACATAAGGTGAAGCACCTAGTAACTGAGTTGTCCAGTTCCAGGCCAAAGCCCTACGTGTGGCCTTTCGAGCCTGACCATGGGCCGGTACAAGGTTTTACGGGCAAGGCCCCTGGCAGAGAGCTGCCCACTGCACACAGACTCGGTGCACTGCCAGTGCCGTGCAATTTTCTGGAGGGAGTCAAAGTTGAGGACAGAGGATCCCACACCCCTCCCACCGGCCTCCTCTGGGCCAGCGGTGCTCACTGTGACATCATTCTAGGTGCCTCCGTTCAGAGGCCTCCTTGCTTCCCAGGAGCTTCCACTGAGACCTTCTTATCCAGAGGCTTTGGCTGAGGCACATTCCTCCACTTGGAATCAGCACTTTCCCACTGCTGGCCCTTCCCCCGCTCCCCTCTCCTGGCCCTCCTGGGTCCACAAGAAGCTTTTGACTGAGGACTCATGGGCAGTCAGTCATACAACTCCCCTCATCTGGGCTGTGTGCCACCTGACCCTCACCCCGTGCTGTTCCGTGGGGGGAAATGGAACACCGGGAGCCAGCACTTTCTTTTTGCCTCTTTCTTTAGCAGTTGCAGTCCGTGAAAAAAAAAAAAAATGGATATCACTTTCAGTTTGGCTCATTGTATTCATTGACCACAATGACCCCTGAAAGTATCTGAAAAAATAATAATAATAATAATTCCCAACAGTATTGCTCTTAGAAATGGGGAAGAGGGGCCCTGCATGCCATCAACATATAAACAACAGTGAGGTGGTGCCGTAGCTCCTGCTCAGGGCACTCATTAAAGATGTCTTAAACAGCACCTGGCTGGGCGTGGTGCCCACGCCTGTAATCCCGGCACTCAGGAGGCCGAGGTGGGCAGATCACTTGAGTCCAGGAGTTGGAGATCAGCCTGGCCAACATGGTGAAATCCCATCTCTACTGAAAAAAAAAAAAAAAAAAGGAAAAAAAGAAAATTAGTTTGGCTTGGTGGCATGCACCTGTAGTCCCTGCTACTCGGGAGGATGAGGCAGGAGAATCACTTGAACCCGGAAGGCAGAGGTTGCAGTGAGCCGAGATCACACCACTGCACTCCAGCCTGGGCGACAGAGCGAGACTCTGTCTCAAAAATAAATAAATGAATAAATAAACAGCATCTGATGACGGTTGAAAAATTACCTATCAGGTACAGTAATCACTATTTGGGTACTGAGTACACTAGAAATCCAGTTCCCACAGCATGCAATATACCGTGTAACAAACAAGCACATGTACCCCTTGAATCTAAAATTTTTTTAAATAATAATTTTTTAAAAAGAGTGCCTGACATCTCTGTCTCTCAGCACCTGTTGGCACAGTGTGACCTGTAACTCTGAACTTCCACTCTCATTTTTGCATAAACATAAATCTGCGGACTTCGAAATATTGTGTCCATTTTCTTCTCTTTGTGTTCCAAATTATGAGATCAGAGGAATACATGAATTAATATGGTATGTGTGTCAGGTGCACACAGAGGCTACGGGACATCTGCCGTATCAAAAAATGTATATTACTCTTACATTTGTATATACAGAATACACATAAATGAAACACACATGAAGGATGATACAGATTCTTGATATTACTATGTGTTTCTACATACTGGTTTGAGAGACAGTGAAAACCACAGTGCAAATGATAGCAGCATAACCGTTGAATTTAAAATGTTTTATAATGTTTTTTGTGCTAATGATAATGTATTGTATGTGACCCTATTATAATATCTGAACAAGAAAGGTAAAATTCATGGTTTATTTCCAAATCCAAGTGTTTACTGTTGAAGAGTTTTATTACAAATCCTAGTTACTATCATTTCAGCAAGGTTTATCTAAACTGAATAAAAATTAAAGGATGAAAAATGAATTTAAAATTAATGTAGTAATAAAGACCACCTGAGAATAGAAATTAAATAATGAAAAATTGAGTAAAAAATAAATGAAAAAGACTACCCAAGAGGCTGGGCGCAGTGGCTCACACCCATCATTCCCATACTTTGGGAACCTGAGGCAGGAGGATTGCTTGAGACCAGTAGTTCTAGACTAGCCTGGGCAACATAATGAGACCCATCTCTATAAAAAGTATTAAAAATTAGCTGGGTATGATGGTACACTTCTGTGGTCCAAGCTATTTGGGAGGATGAGGTGGGAGGATTGCTTGAGTCCAAGGGGTTGAGACTGCAGTTAGCCATTATCGTACCACTGCACTCCAGTCTCAGTGACAGAGAAAGACCTTGTCTCAAAAAACAAACGAACAAATAAAAAAAAAAAAAACTACCTAAGAACCAAAGTGATTGAGAAAGTTTGTCTAATTTCAATGTCAACTGAATTATATAAAAGTCTTCATTAAAACAAAATAATCAGTGATTTTGCTGAAATGATAGAAGAAATAAATAAGTTATGTGAGATAGGTAATAGTTTATCAGTTGGGAATGTCTTTATTCTTCATCCAGACTTCTAAACATAGCCAGTCAAGAGAATATCCACACATAATTCCAGTATCTTTGAAACTTTGCTGGCTTCAAGTCCTATAAAAGTATAAATGTGCAAGCATTTTTAAAATTATTTTAAAAGTAAAGATGAGGCCTTACTACATTGCCCAGACTGGTTTCAAACTCCTGAGCTCAAACAATCCTCCTGTCTCAGCCTCCCAAAGTGCTAGGATTACAGGTATGAGCCACCATGCCAGGCTGCAAGCATTTTTAAATTTTGTTATTACAAATGTATATTTGTAAAAACAGTAAGATAGCACTTTTTGAAACTGTGGTAAAAGACACATAATATGAAATTTACCATCTTACCCATTTTTAAGTGTACAGTTCAGTCATGGTAACTATATTCACGTGGTTGTGCAACCAGTCTGTAGAATTCTTTTCATCTCACAAAACTAAAACTCTCTACTCACTAAACAACTCCCCACCTCCCCCTCCTCCCAGCCCCTGGCAACCACCATGCTACTGTGAAAGGAAAATAAATCTTGAAACCCCGAAATCACTAAGCCAACTGGAAAAGTCAAGCTGGGAACTGTGTAGGGCAGGGATCCCCAGCCCCCCAAACCACAGACTGGTACCAGTCCATGGCCTGTTAGGAACTGGGTGGCACCACTGGAGGTGAGCCGTGGGTAAAATATTAATTACCACCTGAGCTCCACCTCCTGTCAGATCAGCCAAGGCATTAAATTCTCACAGGATCACGAAGCTTATGGTGAACTGCACATGCAAGGGATCTAGGTTGCACACTCCTTATGAGAATCTCATGCCTGATGATCTGAGGTAGAACAGTTTCATCCTGAAACCAATCTCCTCCCACCCATGAAACTGGTTCCTGGTGCCAAAAAGGTTGGGGACCACTGGCATAAGGCAAACCTGCCTCCCAGTCTATTCCTCAGTAAGACAGCTACAAAGATTTAAAAAGCTATACACCTCCCTCAAAAAGCTATGTACCTTGTGGACAAAGGATGGGCAGAACTCCAAGTCATCCCTCTGCTCATGTGAGACAAATGCATATTTGATGCTTCCTTTGCTTTGTTGTTTCACTGTGCCAGACTAAGGCATAAGTGACTATTCCAGCAAATTGTGCACTCAGTGAAAGGCTAATCAGAAACTCAAAAGAATGCAACTGTTGTCTCTTATCTATCTGTGACCTGGAAGCCCCCTCCCCGCTTTGAGTTGTCCCACCTTTCCCAACTGAACTCATGTACATCTTACATATATTGATTGATGTCTCATGTCTCCCTAAAATGTATAAAACCAAGTCGTGCCCCAACCACCTTGGGCACATGTTGTCAGGACCTCGGGAGGCTCAGTCAACTTTCTAAATTGATTGAGACCTGTCTCAGATACTTTTTGGTTTACACTACTTTCTTTCTCTCTATAAATCAGACTACTCTAGGTACCGCATGTAAGTGGAATCCTACAGTATTTGTCTTTCCATGACTGACTTCTTCATTTAGCATAAGACCGCCAAGTTCATCCACATTGAAGCATGCGACAGAATCGTTCCTTTTTCAGGCTGAATAATATTCTGTTGTAAATCACATTTTGTTTATCCATTCATCTATCCACAGACATTTGGGTAGTTTTCACCTTTTGGCTATTGTGAATAATGCTGTTAAGGAACATGAATAGACAAATATCATTTAAAGACTCTGCTTTCAGTTCTTTGGGGTACAGAAGTAGATTATTGGATAATATGGTAATTCTATTTTAATTTTATAGCAGCACACCATTTTACATGCTCACCAACAATGCACAAGGGTTCCAGTTTCTCCACATCCTTCCCAGCACTTGCTATTTTCTGCTTTTTTGTTTGTTTTCTTTTTTGTTAGTAGCCGTCCTAATGGGTATGAAGTGATATTTTATGTGGCTTTGATTTGCATTATCTTAATGATTTGTGATGCTGAGCATCTTTCCATGTGCTTGTTGGGAATAGCACATATTTTATTTAAATTTGTCAATTTGATTTATAACTTTTACATATTTAGACATACAACATATGGGCCTCCATTTGAAATCTTGCCTTGAACCCTGCCAATGTTAGGCGCAGGCCTGATAACCAACCCTTCCCAGAGCCTTTTATTACCCAGTAAAATATTAATTAACCACATAAAGTACAGTCATCCCTTGGTATCCTTGGGAGACTGGTGCCAGGACCCCCCATCCCATCCCCATGTATGACAAAATTCATACATACTCAAGTTCTGAAGTCAGCCCTGCAGAACCTCACTCTATTTTCATCTGTGCATTAATTGGACCCTTGAAGTTCAAACCCAATTTGTTCAAGGGTCATTTGTAGTTCGGGTAGAAAGAAGCATTAGACAGAGGCAGCTGATTCTACTAAAAATTTTTTATTTCAGGTCAGGCACAGTGGCTCATGCCTATAATCCCAACATTTTGGGAGGCCAAGGCAGAAGGATTGCTTGAGCCCAGGAGTTCAAGACCAGCCTGGGCAACATAGTAAGACCTCATCTCTACAAATAATTTAAAAATAGCAACTAATGATGGTGCACACCTGTAGTCCTAGCTACTCAGTAGGCTGAGGCAGGAGGATCGCTTGAGCCCGGGAGTTCAATGCTACAGTGCACGGTGATCATGCCATTGCACTCCAACCTGGGTGATAGAAGGAGACCCTATCTCAAAAAAACAAAAACAAAAACATTTTAACCAAAGAAGATAAAACTAAGAATAGTCTGCTTCTATGACTTTGCTATTCCACATGTGGTCGCTGGACCAGCAAGAAGTGTAACAGAAATGCAGAATTTCCAGCCCCACTGTACATGTACTGAATCAGGATGTACATTTTAACAAGCTCACCAGGTGATTTGTATGAGCTCTGAAGTTCAAGAGGCACTAGTCTGTGTATTCATACAGGTAGCTGCAGGCCTAAAACCAAACAACTTAAATAACAGTATAAGTCACATTTATTGAGCACTTACTATGCATCAAGACTCAGGCTAAAGGCTTACCACATATTACTTGATCTTTACAACAAAAGTATAAGGTGAGTGAGAAAACTGGCACTCAGAAAGGTTACTTGCACAGTGTCATAGCTAGTAAGTGGTAGAACTAGGATTTAAATTCAGGCAGTCTGAAAATAGGGTCAGATGAACATCACGTGATATTTCTTCTAAAAGAATAAATGGCACCAGCTGTGTACCATTGTGTCCCCTGATACGATACCTACAAAGCACATTGCCACTACCTATTGGTGGTCTCCTATGTCAGGCACTTTACAATATTATTTTTCATCTTAAAAAAGAAAAAGATTAGAAGAGAGTCTTTTTATTTTCCTTTTACAGAGAGGTTAAATTATTTGTAGATGTCCCATAATTAGAAGCTGGAGCCCAAATTCGAACCCAGATTAACTCCAAACTCTGCTTGTTCCATCAAGCTGTTTCCCCTGCCGCCTTCTCATTACTGAGTCCCTCAGGTCTCAGGGAAACACTCAGCTTCCTTTCACAGTCTCCCCCCATCAGGCTGGTAGGAGTATGGTTAAAATGTTGAACTGACAGGACAGCTATGAGACAGCAAGGTCTGGAGAGAACCCAGAACAAAGCTTGCAACCTGGCAGGTGGCCAGGTGCACCGTGAGGAGTGGAATTCCTTTATTTGTACCTTAGCCTTGAAAGCGGCTGTTGAGCCCTGGAGCCACCAACCAGGGAGACACATTCTGATGGCTTCATCTCCTAATTCTATGTGTGCTGCCTCTGTGCTTCTCAACCTGAGTTTCTGCATTGATATTTTCAGGAGAAAGAAGGTTCCAAAAGAATGTTTCTAACTCTGTATTTTCATGTTTATGATAACTTTAAAATTTTCGTATAAGCATAGGCTGGATCGTTAGGATAAGTGCATTATAGTCAAGCAATCCATGAGATTTTTCAGGGTTGTGTGTGCATTCACAGTCCCATTTGTGTTGCTAGGTGGTCATCAAGTGGCAACATTTAGGGCTAAATGCACTGCTTCTCAAGCACTGTGGACATGTGTTCTCAGGGGTCTTCAAGTTCTCACATAAGCCCCTCAGTTTTCTTCTCTACCTGTAGGCAGGAATACTAACTCCATTCTTCCCTTAGAAGCATTATATAGAGCATCATCAGAATTCAAAAGCATTCTGTAAGATAGTAGAAATATAGTGGTACTGTCTTCCTACATCATATTGTTAACCAAGAAGTGACTGTTTCAGTCCATTCTTGCACTACTGTAGAGAAATACCTGAGACGGGGTAATTTATAAAGAAAACAGTTTTAATTCACTCATGGTTCTACAGGCTATACAGGAAGCATAGCAGCTTCTGCTTCTGGGGAGTCCTCAGGAAATTTCCAATCAAGGTGGAAGGCAAAGGGGGAGTGAGGCACTTCACATGGTCAGAGCAGGAGGAAGAGGGGCTGGGGAGGTGCTAAACACTTTTAAACAACAAGATCTCACAGGAACAGCACCACAGGTATGGGGCTTAACCATTCATGAAGAATCCACCCCTATGATCCAATTACCTCCCACCAGGCCTCCTGCAACTGTGGGGATTACAATTGAACATGAGATTTGGTGGGGACACAGATCCCAACCATATCAGTGACTGAGACACACAATAGAGGTTTATTTAGCCAAAGTTTGAGGGAGCACCTGGGAGAAACACAAGTCACAGGAACCTCTGTGACCTGTGCTTTTTCCAAAGGGGGTTTTTGGAACTTCAACATTTAAAGGAGAAAGAGTAAGCAGGAGGGGAAAAAGAGAGGAAGGGTAGGCAGTGAGGCAAACTCTTGGGAGGCTCTGGTTAGCCTCGATAAATCTACATTTTACATGTGGAAAGAGAGGGTAGAAGAAAAAGTCAATTGTATTTTGTCTTCTGCTCAGTAAATCTACCTTTTACACAAGAAAAAGTAAACATGTGCATTCATTTCAGGTTGGGTGGAGGGATGATTTCTGGTCTTGTCCTATACCTGTGAAGATAAGTTGGTAATTGACATCGTCAGGTGCTATTGAACCGAGATCCAATAGAACTTGGTTTGAGGGCTAGTTTATAAGGGGGATATATCTCCTGAAAGATTGAGGGGCTCACAAGGAATTTCCTTGTGGGCAGTTTGTGAGGGAGGCCATCTGAGGAGATATGTGGCCTTCCCACATTGTGGGAACCTGGCTTTTATGGATGAGGCTGTGACACAGGGTTGTGAAATCACAGTTATCTGTTTGGGAACAAAAGGAAGGCAGTGTGTGTGACTCAGTTCCTAAGCTTAACTTTCCATTTGGCATAGTGAGTTTGGGGTCCTGAGATTCTATTCTCTTTCACAATATGCATTCTGTATTCCAACACTATAGGAATATTTTAACTGGGAAAATGTAGAAGTTCAAAAGGTGACAATTTAACTGCCATGAATCTAAATCTTACCTAAAAGAGTTAACCACTGAGGAGGGATGGAGGTGAATTTTTCTCCAGTTCTGAGACTTTCCTGTAAGTGGAGAGCAGAGGGAGCTCCCTAGGGGAAACACTCCTGGCCCCTTCTGCTGGTGTGGAAGGATCAGCCAGTGAGGCACAGCCCTGGCACGGCCCACCTCTCCACACTCCCAGCTCCAGCCTGACTTCAGAGAGCTTGCCTTGTGTTCTGTTCCTCTTTGTGGGAAATTTTACAGGGTTAGGCTCCGGACTGGGTGGTTTGGTCTGATCATCATGGGGTTCAGTATTCCATCAAGCCCACTTTTCATGGACATAGGCTACATTCCCCAGTATCAGTTGATATTTGGAACTCCCATTTGCCTTACTCTTTTGCTATATTTCCCTATTGTTTCCAAAGTTGGTCTGAGAAGCGGGATACATTTTTTCAGGCCCCTCACTCCCGATTTTAATTTACAATAATATTTATTGAAAATAGTTTTTATTAATACCTATTTAAATAATTTAGATATATTTAAATAGTATTTATTTTGAAAATAGGTAATATATTTATTTTAAATAATGTTTTCAATTAATACATATTTAATATAATATAGATTAATCATTTTAATAAAATTTAAAGATATCAAGAAAAGAATCCTAAATCGGTGAATCAGTTGATGGAAGGCCTTAAGATTTTCTCCACACAGCTCTGCTAAGGACAATGGCTGAGAAAGGATTCCAGTATCTGGTTACAAAATATGGCAGCACAGCTCCCCTCAGCTCCCCTCATCTTAAGCTATGTTATCACATATAGTGGTGGTAACTCTCCACTCACATCCACGCAAGGCATTTGTTGGCTTGCTAAGAGGGTATAACAGATACAACTTTGACTTTTGTCAAAGTAAATGACTTGTTCAACATAGGCTACAAAGTTATAACCAATATATGTGGAGTGCACCTGCTTCACAATCCAGTGATGGGGGGAAGCTTGTTCTATGGTAATTACTGTGATTTTCAGGGTGTCTCAAGTGTATGGTACAGAGTTTATAAACCCAGTATGACAAGGCAGAAAGCAAGCAATGGTTTGTCAAAACAATGTTCCAGGTTTTATTTGTATGCTTGCTGATTACTAAGATTAAAGGGCATTATGTAACTAGTATTTTTTCCAATTAAAGAAAACAATGTGTCTTTCAATATCTAAAGCATGAAGATATGTTAGTTTGGTTAGGATAAGGATGATCTGAAGACTGAGGGCCATATAGCTGAGATCAGAGGTCACACTGCCAAGAAGCAAAAGGCAAGACATTAAAAGCCTGCTTGATCAATGAAAACACTCTGCCACGGTTTCATTTTTCTCTCGGATGTTATGGAAAAGATAAGGTGAAATTGAGAAAGCTGAAACTTCTGGTGTCTATGGCAGAGATGCAATATGCTATATAACATTAGGGGACACACTCATATCTTCGCAATTTGTGAGCAGTCGGGGAAAAAACTTATTTTGGTGCTGCTAAGATGACAGAGTGCATGAGAAGTGGGAGAAAGACTAAAAGTAAGCAATGAACACTTAAGGAAAAAGGTTTCCAAAGGATTTCTCTTTTACAGATAATCAATTTGAGGGGAAAGGAGGTCATTCTCACTGTAGCTGAAGTCCCTCAACTCATTTATTCCCAAATGACTCAGAAAGCTTCTGGGCTCTCACGCCTACCAAACGGGCCATCAGAGATTGCTGAGAATGACAAGCTAATTCCAATATTAGCCAGAGTGATAGGTAATTAGCAAGGTAAATCAGCTTGAAGAATGATGTACAATGCATTCTCCATCAAATATAAATGATTTTTCAAATATACATAACACATTTTTCCTTTTGCCAGCTCTAGCTTCAAGCTTCCAATCCTTATATAAATACTGCTTGTGTCAGAGATCTACACGTAGATAAGGATACCTAGTTTTTATTGAATATGTTGGCACTTCTATTTATCTCATTTCATCCTTATCACAATTGCTTAAGGTAGATTTTATGTCCACTTAACAAGTGAGGAAAGTGAGCCTCTGAGAGATTTGGAAAGCTGACTAAAGACAAGTTAAGTAGTAAATAGAACCAGGGTTCAAGCCCAAGGCTACTGAGGCCAAAGTTTATGCACTTTCAACTCTGTCACAAGCAACTGTAATGTTGGCTAGTGATGGCTCTACTGTCTGTCACTAAATGATGTTGACTTCCTGATAGGAAATATACAACAGGTAAATTGCCTATCAGCTACATATTGACTCCTGCTCAAAAGAGGATTTCAGTCTCAAATTAAAAAAATTGTAGAAGAAATGCTTGAATACACTGCATGTGTGAAACGCATAAAACTCGGGAAAAATGGAAACCAAGGGACTGGTTTTCTTGTGCTGTTCTTTCCTTAGCAGAATTAGGACAATAACTTGATTTCCTCCCCACCATGCAGAGCCTTCTTTCAACCTCTGGCCATAGAAGAGTCTCCAGCACAGATAGACCAGCTGTCTTCAAAGAATCAGTTCTACTGAGTCTCCTCAGTTTCCCCAGAAGTTCCTCAACCCCTGTTTAGGGCAGAGTTTCCATTCAGAAAGAGCTTAGGGGCAGCAGTCTTATCTGAAAGAGGGGACTGAGTCTTCAGGATCATAGCACTTTACATAAGATGGAAAAGGATCACTGTATATATCAGAAAGAAGGGTTTGGAGACCCTGGGTCTCCTTCCTGTGAGGGCCTTAGCTCTCACCTCTGCTCCCCTTCCTTTACTTGCTGCTGCCTGTCCTCCACTCAGGGCCTGACTTGTTTTTCTTGCTCAAGTATTTATGTTCCCAGGCTTGTTCAGACATTGAGAGAAAACGAGGTCAGAGTGTATGTGGCTGGCTCCAGGCCCCACCCTAGACTTGGTTTTCTGTTCTTTTTCAAAAACAGGTAGCTCAGCCTGCAGGGACTGACAACGCCTAGAGAAAGAGTCACTTTTCCATTCACTTCTTTCCACACTTTAGGGTTATTTTAAATCTTGATTATCACTGATCTGCCTATTTTTATTATGAGACAGTTGCTTTCACACACTAAGAACACTGAGGCTGTCCTCCTAGCACGATGTGTCAAAAGACCAAAGTCTTCTTCTCTTACAGCTGCCACCACCGATGCCCTCTTTCTTCTGTCTTCAGCTTGTACCTGATCATGTGAAAGGCTGTGGGTCAGACCTCTCTTCCAGCACACGCATGACAGGGGTCTACATGGGACCCCACTACCAGCCAGCCACTACTGAGCTATCACGTGGCCTTGGCCAAGCCGCTGACCTCCTTTAGGGCTCAGTGGCCCCATCTGTCAAATGGACATATTAATAGTTCTCATCTTACAGAGTCGTTATGAGGATGACATGAAGGAATCCATGTAAGATACTTAGCTCAGTACCTGGAATTTGCATGTGTTCAATAAATGACCATTGCACTGCTATCATCACTCCCACATGGCTTTTTTCTAGTCTCTTCTTGCAAAAGACCTGAGAGCTACAGCGTTCAGAGCTTAATGAATGTTCAATAATAACGCATGTCTTCTATGAAAAGAGCTCGGTGAGCACGAGCTAGTTTCCCATGAAATGAGGCTTTCTACTGGGGCTCCTTAGGGACATGTTGTAATGAGGGGCCACAGTCACACAGAGATGAGTGTCTTTAGTTCTGTCAAGATCTCCAGCCCTGTGAAAGTCAATCTTTGACCTACTCTGATCCCTAAAATCCCTTTACACAAGGGCAAAGTCCTTCATCCTTTCCTTGAAGATAATGCTTAAGTTGTAAAAGTTCTCTTTCTGCACACACCTCTTTGCCACAGCATCATGAACACAGGTGACATTTTTCTTTCTCCTAAAATTCATCTCGGCACCACCAAGTAAATATAGACACAGTGGGAGCCCTGAGAGGGGAAAATTATATATTGCACTTTATCTGTCTGAATATTTAAACAAAGAGGGTTGCATCTCTCTTCCCCGATGTTCCCTCTACACGTGATGGCAGAATGTCCTGCACTTTTCTAGTCAGGGTTAACCCCACAGGAACATAAACAAGGAGAGAGGTTGACAGTTCTATGAGGGTCATGCAAGGAGGAAAATGTTGTCTCACAAAAAGATACAAGGTATTCTCCCAGCCAACCCTGAAGATCTCTGTATTAGTGACCCAATGTTGAACGAAGCGGAGATTCAAAGCAGAAGGAAGCTGAGGCCCACAGAATGAAGTGAGCCAGCTAGGGCAGGCATGGCAGGGTGGGGCACCCAAGGGCAGAGCAAACAACGGGAACAGGGAAACAGGAGGGGGAAAATGGGAGACTCCTGGGACCTATGAGCTCTGCACCATTCAGATTGTCACATAATCCCAAGCCCTGTGAGTACACAGATTTGCACACGTTATTGCAAGCCCTTCCCTGGGAAACTTGTACCAGGACACCTTGGCAGGGTCTGATAAAACTCGTCACAAAAGTAGCTCACCTATATTAGGTTGGTGCAAAATTAATTGTGGTTTTGCCATTGTAATGCCAACCTAATATAAAAATTAATTTTCTATATTAATTACTTAATATAGAACTACTTTTGCACCAACCTAATATAGAAATTGATTCTATGAGGCTGATGTAAAAGTAATTCCATATGAAGTAATTAATATAGAAAATTTTGCATCAACCTAATAGAATCTTAATTTCCCCTCAAAAGCCAGAACTCTTGGAAACTAGAGATGATCAGTTTAAAGATGTTAAGGAACCAGAACAACTAAGGGAAACATTATGTATTTTTCATGTATTTTTCCTAACAGCTTCTAACGAGGATTTCACCTACTGGTAAAACTCTAGACACCATCTTGACAGTGGCCATGAGGTTTAAACTTTAATGGGAGAGTGCTGTTCTCCACCTTTACCCAGGGCAGGCGTTTCTGAATCTACTTTTTTTTTGGAGGGGGGGAAAGGGGCGGGCTGTAAATAAATGCATCCTGCACAGATAAAGGAATGTCCAGTGTTAAATAACAGGAAAAAGTAACAATTCTGAAGCATTTGCTGGTGCAGTATAAATTTAATTAGCAGGACCTCGAACCTACAGTGCTAATTTTAGCTACTTCCTTCTGTTCTCTTATTGCCGCCCCCTTGCACTGCCCTTCACCATTTTTTTCCCCATAGTAAAGATTGCAAGGAACAGCTGTTTTAGAATAAGAAGCCCTTTATCCCACTTATTAGCTCTACTTTGCCATGTGTTAAAAATAATGATGTAATATCAAGGTTCTTTTTTTTTAATGAAAGTATATTTAAATTCATTTATCTTTAGATTTTAGTAATACCCTTTGAGATGACTTTTTTTCAATCAAACCATTTTGGGAATTACTGATAGAATTAATATTTGTTGGATATTTTCCCAAATTTCTTCTAAAAGAGGAATTCTTGCAGAGAATCATTGTTACAGTTCTATAATTCCTCATCCACAATTCCAAAACCCAAAAAGTTCTGAAAAAGAGAAAGTTTTCTGCAGCACAATTGGCAGAAAAACCTGATCTGTGCTTCAGTCATTTGAAGGCAAAACTTAACCTGAACTGTCATAAGCCTATTTATAGTTTTTATTTATTCCACAATGTAGTGCAGATATAAATACACTTTTCTGCAGAAATATTAATGTGCTTTTTCCCATGATGTGGCCCTAGGCCCCAAGCTACACCCCAGTATACCAGGGGTCTCTGCCCTAGTATAGCTTTACATGCTATGTGCTACATTACCACTCTAAAATCTGAAGAAAATCTGAATTCTGAACACATCAGGCCTCAAGAATTTCCAATTAGGAACTGTGACCCAATAAATATGTATTAAATAAACAAATGAACTAAGGACTTAATAAGTACATTTCTACTAGGCTAACCCCAGGTCAGCTCTGACTTTAGATTCTTTAGCAATGCCTGTGGCTCCCTCTGTAATCTCTTAGCCATTCATCCAAAGAGAGAGGAGCTCTGAGTCTTTGGCCTTGCTTCCAGCTACCTCGAGACTTTCTGTGGTAGACAGTGATGAATGGAGGCTGAGCCCTGGGCGCACACTGGATGGTTATCCACATCATCCATTTACCTGCTCACTCCCCTATTCATTCCCCAAACATTTATTAAGTGTTACTACCAGGCACTATGTTAGCACAATAAATACAAAGATGAATGAGGGCCTCTTCCCTCTAAAAACTCCTGTTTGTGATATGAATATTATAAAACAGAATGTTAGAAATCTGAAGTTTTCTTCTTTATAAAATAGTTACCCATTATTTCTAGCACATGTTATTAAATTCTACACTGTGCCGGGCACTAAGGATACAAAAATGAATAGAACTTGTTAGGGTGCAAGGTCTAGTAAGGGAGGCTGAGGCCCAGGGAAAATGTATCTTCTGGTAGCCATCCTTACATGGGGTGAGAAAACGCCAGTCTCTGGCTGAGAAGGTCAAACAGCCTTCCCAAAGACAGTGATGCTTGAACTAACATGGGCACTTCTTTAGGGAGAACATCAGAGAAATATTCTAGGGAGAAGGTGCAGCTATGCAAGGCATTGAGACCAGGAATAGCCTGGCACCTAGAGTCAGAGTCTGTTTGGAATGACTGGAGTCCAGGATGCATGTGGAAATGGAACATTTACAAAGTAGAGGAGAGCCAGGTCACAAAAGGACCATGTGGCTGGGCACAGTGGCTCACGCCTGTAATCCCAGCTCTTTGGGAAGCCAAGGCAGGCAGATCACCTCAGGTCAGGAGTTTGAGACCAGCCTGACCAACATGGTGAAGCTCTGTCTTTACTAAAAATACAAAAATTAGCTGGACATGGTGGTAGGCACCTGTAATCCCTGCTACTTGGGAGGCTGAGGCAGGAGAATTGTTTGAACCCAGGAGAAGGAGGTTACAGTGAGCTGAGATCATGCCACTGTACTCCAGACTGGGCTATAGAACAAGACTCCATCCCAAAAATAATAAAATTTAAAAAAATAAAATAAATAAAAGCACTGTGTTCCAAGCTAAGGGGAAGCATACACCTGTCCTCTAGACAGTGAGGAATACCAGAAGAATTTTAAAGGAGCTGATTGACCTGATCAGATTTTTACATGAGGAGGATCTCTTGGATAGGGAATTGTTTGGATGAAAACAGAGAAGAAATGAATTTTTTTTCAGCAAAATATTCTTAGAATATGCAAGTAAGAAATGCTTGTATCTTGCAGGACTGGCCCTAGGGGAAAGCTGTGAGGCCCCAAGTGAAACCAGGAAGAAAGCAAATGGATTTTCACCACTGTTCCCCATGTCTCATTTTCCCATAGAGGTCCCCAAGTACCCCTGTGATGTCCAAACTGCATTGAGAAAAAAATGGCGTTATTTTATTTTATTTATTTTTGAGACACAGTCTCGCTGTGTTGCCCAGACTGCAGTGCAGTGGTGCAATCTCAACTCACTGCAAACTCCGCCTCCTGGGCTTAAGCGATTCTCCTGCCTCAGCCTCCCAAGTAGCTGGAACGACAGGCACCTGCCACCGTAACTGGCTAAATTTTTTTGTAATTTTAGTAGAGGCGGGGTTTCACCATGTTGGCCAGGCTGGTCTCGAACCCCTGACCTCAAATGGTCAACCCGCCTCGGCCTCCCAAAGTGCTGGGATTACAGGTGTGAGCCACTGTGCCCGGCCACATCTCTTTTGAATAGGAGAGTAATGCAGTAGTAAATAATTTCCCCTTCAAATATTTTTTGCACCAAAGGAAGAGTAGATAACTCATAGAACGAAACATCATACTCTCCATCCTTCTTCCTAAGTATCTGTGTTACGTTTCAGACACTGAAAGGTAAGGGCATTTCAAGAAATGAAGCCGTAACTACAGATTGTTCATACGCAGTCCCTGGAGTCAGCATGATGTGGCAGACATCGCTTGTGGATTCTGGTTTAAATAATAAAATCTGAGTAAAGGCAAGAGGGTAACAATACAAAACAAAATTGCCTGTAGGTTCCTTTATTATAAATGTAGAGCAGATGTGTGCTATGTCTTTTTTATCATATATATCTAAGGTGTACAATATGGTGTTTTGATAAACAGTGGAATGACTACTACTCTTAAGTAGAGCTCAGGGGAAGCAAATGTATATTTTCAGCCTTCGATAGGACAGTATTTAGCAATAAGTATTATTCCTTTAGCCTGGACGCACTCCTCTGTGGCCACAAAAAGGATGGGTGAGTGATTTGATTAACAAGGTCTTTCGTGTCACTTAGTATGGCTACAGTCACACACACATCTTAATAAACGAGGTGAGGATACTGATATGCTTTGATCTGAGATGCTTTTCTAAATTATCTCCTTCATCTGTGTAGCATTTAGCTCTGCTGAAAATAGTGTTGCCTTCTTTAGCTGTCCTCTTTTAAAATTTAAATACCTTCGAAGCCTATTCAGGCTTCCTTCTGAGATGATAATCAGACAATAGAAAGTGTGTGGAGGAAAGCCAGGCACGGTAGCACGCCTGTAATCCCAGCACTTTGGGAGGCAATCAGATGGATTGCCTGAGCTTAGGAGTTGGAGACCAGCCTGGGCAACATGTCAAAACCCCATCTCTACCAAAAATACAAAAATTAGCCAGGCATGGTGGCATGCACCTGTAGTCCCAGCTACTTGGAAGGCTGAGGCAGGAGAATCACTTGAACCCTGGAGGCAGAGGTTGCAGTGAGCCAAGATTGCGCCACTGCACTCCAGCCTGGATGACAGAGTGAGACGAAGGAAGGAAGGAAGGAAGGAAAGAAGGAAGGAAGGAAGGAAGGAAGGAAGGAAGGAAGGAAGGAAGGAAGGAAAAGGAAGGAAGGAAGGAAGGAAGGGAGGAAGGGAGGGAGAAAGGAAGGGAGGGAGGGAGGGAGGGAGGGAGGGAAGGCCAGGTGTGGTGGCTCTTGCCTGTAATCCCAGAACTTTGGGAGGCCGAGGCAGGTGGATCACCTGAGTTCAGGAGTTTGAGACTAGCCTGGCCAACATGGTGAAACCCCGTCTCTACTAAATATTTACAAAAATTAGCCAGGTGTGGTGATGCATGCCTGTAATCCCAGCTACTTGGGAGGCTGAGGCAGGAGAATCTCTTGAACCCAGGAGGCGGCGGTTGCAGTGAGCCGAGATTGTGCCATTGCACTCCAGCCTGGGTGACAAAAGCGAAACTCCATCTCAAAAAAAAAAAAAAAAAAAAAAAAAGGAAGAAAGGGAGAGAGGGAGGGAGGCTGAATAGGAAGATGTTTTAAGACTGAAAGTTATACAAAACTGCTCAATTGAGAGAATACTTATTAAGTGCTTCAAGTTGAATGCTAAGCAGTATTAGACATGACACTTATTCTCATAGACCTTAAAACTACATGTCAATAGCATGAGTACATTTCATCCGAGTCCTAGTTGGAAATCCTTCACTATCCAGAGATAACCTGGGAAACTCATTCAGCTCACCAAGACTCAGTTCCCCTACTGGCAAAAACAAAGCAAAAAAAGATGGAATAAACCTGTCTCTGTCAATTTTTCAGAATGATTACATGGTTTAGATCAGGCAAATTATAGCCTGTAGACTAAATCTGGCTGACCACCTGTTTTGTAAATTAAGCTTTCTTGGAGCACAGCCACACCCATTTGTTTATGTATTGTCTATAGCTGCTTTCATGCAGAGCTGACTAGTTGACACAGAGATCATACGACCCGCAAAGCACAAAGTGTAGACTATCTGGTCCTTTACAGAAGAATAGATGATTGTGGTATGTGTGCAGGAGTTTGAAATATGGCACATATAAGTTACACCTTGTGCAGGACAGACATCCGGTTGGTCAGAGGACTAGATCTACTAGAGTTTGGGACATCTAAAGAACTAACCTTTGATTCACCCAGCTGTGTGGTAAACACTCAAGATTATGTTAGGGCCATTGATAGTGGTTCCCTCACCAGGCTACTCAAGGGTGTGTGTCTGCTGCCTGAACCCTAAATGTTTATTCCAGTGAGCCAAGGCCATGGTGCCCAGCCAAGGAGCCGATGTCCCTGAAAACTCAAACATCTCAGAGAGTATCTGAGAACCTACCAAGGAAAACAGCCTCAGTGCTCAAACACAGTGGCCAAAGAGCCAGAAGATTAACTTAAAAGTAGTTTAGAGGCCGGGCGCGGTGGCTCACACCTGTAATCCCAGCACTTTGGGAGGCCAAGGCAGGTGGATCACCTGAGGTCAGGAGTTCACGAACAGCCTGGCCAATATGGTGAAACCCCATCTCTACTAAAAATACAAAATTAGCTGGGTGTGGTGGCACATATCTAATCCGAGCTACTTGGGAGGCTGAGGCAGGAGAATTGCTTGAACCCAGGAGACAGAGGTTGCAGTGAGCCGAGATGACACCATTGCACTCCAGCCTGGGCAACAAGAGAGAAACTCCATCTCAAAAAAAAAAAAAAAAAAAAAAAAGCAGTTTAGAGACGGAACCTGGTGTGGAACTCTTGAGCCATCCTGCTGCTGCCAAGGAGTGCCCTGTATGCATGTCCTAATAAACTCATCTACTCACCAAGCTGGACTTGTCTGAGTCATTCTTTAGTCTCTTGGCACCTTCTGAGTTTGCCGGGGGTAGGGCAGTGGGAGCAGACAGCCTCAAGTTTTTCTCACAGCAGCCATCACCCTAGATCTGGTGGGGGTGGGTCTCTTACACCACTTACACCTGGTGAGCATCCAAAACATCAAGGGGGACCAGGAAGGCATCAAATAAAAATAAATACATCTTTAAAGGCAAACTCGAAACCAGTAGAGTGTGTCTTATAGAATCTGACACAGCCCCTCCCCTAGTAGCCTATGGGAATTGGGGGCCATTAGAGCAAGCACTGCAGATGGGGAGCATGCCGCTAAATTGCTGGCTCAGAGAAGTCATCCATGCTCATCTATGCCTGGATAAATACTTTAAGGTTACAATAAGGTGTACAACTTTCAAGTACACTTCAATTAATTTGTATGTGCATATATACATGGGCAAACAATACCTAAATCAAGACAGAGAACATTTCCAATAACCCTAAATGCTCCCTGGAACCCCCATTCAGTTGATAACTCCTTAAAGATACCAAATATTCTGATATCTCCATAAATTGGTTTTGCCTGGGATTTGAACAGCACGTAAATGGAATCTGACAGTAGATTTTTGTGTGCCTGTTTTTTGTTTTTTTTTTTTTTTTATAAACAAGCCATAAGAACTCAAGATCAGTCTGTCCGTTTCTTGGCTGGCAAGGCAGAAAAAAAAAACCAGAACAGAACAGAAAAACAGAAATTGGGGCAGGAATCCCACAGCGCTTACCTAGATCTGATGCTGTTGGTTAAAGGCAAAAAATCTCACTTAGTTCTCTTTAGCTTGTGCAAAAATCAGCTGCATTGCAGTTTTAAAACAGTAAATATTACTCTGCTCCCTGACAGCTAAAGACCATAAGGGAAGACTCTTCCCTATAATCAAGCACTTGCTTCAGCCTTGCCGGCTCAGAATAAAACTCACACCTGCAGCAGTCTGCTCTCAGATCCCTGCAGATTCGTGGAAGGTCTGAGCCTCAGCTGAGACCCTGGTGCCTGCACTTCTGCCCCTAGAGAAACACAACCACTCTTATGAAAACAGCCCCTTGCCTGTGGACACAGTGACCCACCTTGGTAAAAATCTAATGCGTTTTGCACCAAGTACAGGATCACCAGAGCTAAAAGCACCCTCCAAGCCACAAACCTCAATCTCCATGTGATGCTTATCTCACAAACTGTGCTTCTTATTAACGCCTCAAGACTCAGCCCAGTGGCTCAGAGCAGTTTGGGTCTGTGAGGTGTTCTGATAACTGAGGCCTCCCCTCCCCACTGAGGCCTGAACCAATTGGGAAACAAGACAAAAAAAGGCAGCTGATGGAGAGCCAAATTATCCCATGTGGTACTGATGAAGGCTCGGTTGAAGGACATGGATTATTCCTGCAGCAAACCCTAGAATGAGACACCCGTCCAGTCACAAACCTCAGACTCATCCTGACCACGTGGAAAAGCTGAGGAAAATGTTTGCTCTCCGTGGGCCACTCTCTCCCCTGAGGAAGAAGCCGGGTTACAGGTGTCCAGTTCACCAAACGGATTTATTCTTTCTTCCTTCCTGGAGAGAAGCAAATGAGAAGGTGGAGAGAAGCTAGGAGTTTTATAATAATCGGAGTTTCCTCACGTAGAAGGTAACTTCAGAAGAGAACTATGCCTTCAACAGAAATGTAAACTACCAACAAACTATAAGTATTATTAGCAATTGTTAACACTTAAACATGTTAAGCCACACTTACAACAGGTGGTAAATATTAGCCAAAATGTTATTAATTGAAAACTGCTTTCACTGACCACAGAGGTATGAAATTTATAATTGTAAGTTTACTGACATACACTTGTAATCCCAGTACTTTGGCAGGCTGAGGCAGGAGGATTGCTTGAGGCCCAGAGTTCAAGACCAGCCTGGGCAACACAGACAGATCTGTCTCTATAAAAATTGTTTTTAAAATTATCTGGGCATGGTGGCACACACTTGTAGTCTCAGCTACTCTGGAGACTGAGGTGGGAAGATCACTTGAGCCCAGAAGTCCGTGGCTACAATGATCTATGATCATGCCACTGTACTCTAGCTTGAGCGAGACCCCCATCTCTCTAAAAAAAATTTAAAAGTTTATAATTTTTGCCAATGGCATTAGATGTCAGAACAACAAAATCACTTATAGATAGGGCATCTGTATTTTAAACAGGATATACTCATTTTATGGATCTTCTTTATAAGTAAGTATTATGAAATAGGATGCAGAGGCTTCATCACAGGGAGAATTCAAAGAACTGTAAACCATAAAAACCCTAGAAGAAAACCTAGGCATTACCATTCAGGACATAGGCATGGGCAAGGACTTCATGTCTAAAACACCAAAAGCAATGGCAACAAAAGCCAAAATGGACAAATGGGATCTAATTAAACTAAAGAGCTTCTGCACAGCAAAAGAAACTACCATCAGAGTGAACAGGCAACCTACAAAATGGGAGAAAATTTTCGCAACCTACTCATCTGACAAAGGGCTAATATCCAGAATCTACAATGAACTCAAACAAATTTACAAGAACAAAACAAACAACCCCATCAAAAAGTGGGTGAAGGACATGAACAGACACTTCTCAAAAGAAGACATTTATGCAGCCAAAAAACACATGAAAAAATGCTCACCATCACTGGCCATCAGAGAAATGCAAATCAAAACCACAGTGAGATACCATCTCACACCAGTTAGAATGGCAATCATTAAAAAGTCAGGAAACAACAGGTGCTGGAGAGGATGTGGAGAAATAGGAATATTTTTACAGTGTTGGTGGGACTGTAAACTAGGTCAACCATTGTGGAAGTCAGTGTGGTGATTCCTCAGGGATCTAGAACTAGAAATACCATTTGACCCAGCCATCCCATTACTGGGTATATACCCAAAGGACTATAAATCATGCTGCTATAAAGACACATGCACACATATGTTTATTGTGGCATTATTCACAATAGCAAAGACTTGGAACCAACCCAAATGTCCAACAATGATAGACTGGATTAAGAAAATGTGGCACATATACACCATGGAATACTATGCAGCCATAAAAAATGATGAGTTCATGTCCTTTGTAGGGACATGGATGAAACTGGAAATCATAATTCTCAGTAAACTGTCGCAAGAACAAAAAACCAAACACCGCATATTCTCACTCATAGGTGGGAATTGAACAATGAGAACACATGGACACAGGAAGGGGAACATCACACTCTGGGGACTGTTGTGGGGTGGGGGGAGGGGGGAGGGATGGCATTGGGAGATATACCTAATGCTAGATGATGAGTTAGTGGGTGCAGCACACCAGCATGGCACATGTATACATATGTAACTAACCTGCACATTGTGCACATGTACCCTAAAACTTAAAGTATAATAATAATAAATAAATAAAATAAAAAAATAAAAAATAAAATAAAATTAACATAAGCAGTGCAATTAGTGAAAAAAAGACAAAGAACTGAATTTACTATTTAAATCTTTTAATCACCTACTATTACCTTCTGCTAATATATTTCTATCACCTATTAATTCAGGCCAGAAATAAAGCTGCTCTATTTAATCAAAATATCCTTTAGAGCAAAGTGCTATTTCAGCCGGTCTGCACTCCTTATCACAGTCTAACCTAAACACATTCAAGAGACCTGTGATGATATAGTCCCTAAGCTATTACTTCACTTCCAGGATACTGATTATGTAAATAGTACTTATAAGACATGAATTTCCTTTGTTCAACAGCAGTCTTAAAAAGTAAATTTTAGGAACAGAGAAGAGGGAAAAAAATAGCAAAATTTCTAAAATGAGGCTTCATGGTCAAGGGACAACTAACTGTGACTCCAGCTCTGCCACTAAGCAGTTGTGTGATTTTAGGCAAGTTGCAGTTTCTTCTGGTCCCCGTGTCCTCACCAGTACCATGAAGTCACATGATTAAGTCATCTTCAAATCCCTTTCTGTTCTCTGCCATGGCAGAACCAGTGAAGTATAGTGGAGTCGGACTTAGTTTTGAGTCCCAGCTCGGCCAATTAGCTGCCGATGTGCCTTCATGCAAGCAATTAAACCACTATACCATTAGTTTCAATACCACTAATACGGTGGTTGATATAGTTTGGATATTTTTCTTGACCCAAATCTCATGAATTATAATCCCCAGTATTGGAGGTGGAGACTGGTGGGAAGTGTTTGTATCATGGGGGCGGATCCCTCATGAATGGCTTGGGCCTTGGTGATAAGTGAGCTCTTGCTCTGAGTTTATACAAGATCTGGTCATTTAAAAGTGACAACCCCCTCCCCTGACACATATTCTTTCTCTTTCTCTCGTGCCTGCTCTGGTCATGTGACATCCCTGCTCCCCTTTCACCTTCTGCCATGACTGTAAGCTTCCTGAGGCCTCCCCAGAAGCCGAGCAGATGCCAACACCACACTTCCTGTACAGCCTGCAGAATCATAAGCCAATTAAACCTCTTCTCTTTATAAATCACCCAGTCACAGGGTTTTTTTGTTTGTTTGTTTGTTTGTTTGAGACAGAGTCTTACTCTGTCCCCCAGGCTGGAGTGCAGTAGCACAATCTCAGCTTACTGCAGCCTCTGCCTCCCGGGTTCAAGCAATTCCCCCACATCAGCCTCCCGAGTAGCTGGGATTACAGGTGTGTGCCACCATGCCTGGCTAATTTTTGCATTTTTAGTAGAGACGGGGTTTCACCTTGTTGGCCAGGCTGGTCTCAAACTCCTGACCTCAGGTGATCTGCCCGCCTCGGCCTTCCAAAGTGCTGGGATTACAGGTGTGAGCCAGTGCTCCCAGCCAGTCACAGGTATTTCTTTACAACAATGCAAGAACTGCCTAATACAGTGGTGTATAAATGTATTACACATGATATGGAGATATATCATAGGGTTATAAAGGCATAGAATATAGAGATATAAAGATATTTTCCAAACTGAGTTCTTTAGAAGATAAAATGAGTTATATGATGATAGTTATTTACACTCTGATTTCTCTTTTTAGTCAATGCTTATTTGTCATAAAATTGATTTTCCGTTCTGTGGATTATCTAAGGAAATTCAGCACTCTGTGTTCCTACTGCACAATTCAGCATGAGTCACCAACAGAAACATTAAATTAGTAAGTTAGTATGGGGAATGGGAAGTGCTATGAAAAAGCATATACTTATTGGGAGGGGGGGCTCTCACTAATTGTTTAAACCTAATAAAAATCATTTTTGAATTATGTTATTTTATCTTTAGGTACAGGGTCTCACTCTGTCATCCACGCTGGTGTGCAGTGGCACAATCGGACCATAGCTCACTATAGCCTCAAACTCCTGGGCTCAAGCCATCCTCCCACCTCAGCCTCCAGCACATGCCACCACACCTGGCTAATTTTTTTTATTTTTTGTAGAGATGAGTCTAATTATGTTGCCCAGGCTAATCTCGAACTCATGGCCTCAAACAATCCTCCCACCTAAGCCTCTCTAAGTGCTGGGATTACAGGCGTGAGCCACCATACCCTGCTGGTTATTTTAGATTTTCCTTGTCTTTATCCTTTTATTTTGTTGTGAACGATTACATGTTTGCAAGCTTGTCTAATTTCTCTAACTACTATATTAGGAATGATTCATTTTTCAAGCCTTTATTCTGGGTTCCATGCCAGATATTGGACATGAAGAACTCATGCTTCTCTGGAGTTTCTCCTCATAAGCTCCTCCAAGAGCTCACAGCCTATACTGCTGGTGGTCACGGCACATAATTATGAAAAGCTTAATTCTCTCATTCAAAGACTCAAAATGGTATTAAAAATTAACAGCACAATTTTCATGTCTACAGAAAAGCTGCACAAGGGAGTTTGAACTAAATGATCTCCAGATCCCTTCTAACTTTAAAGTTGGATTCTGTGATTCAGCCCACAGATCAAATATCAAAAAATAACTTCAAAATCTGGAGCAGAATAAACTAATCTTAAAATTCACTAACTGGCTTTCCTGAAAGCTGCTGTTGGAAAAATACATTTCATTTGCTCTTGTGGCAGAAAAGAGAGAGAAAGCTATTGTAATGGACGACAGGCTTCCAAGTGGAAAAGGTTTTCATTTGGAGGATACCATTTATTGATTGACATTTGAGAGACTTAAGAAGACATTGAAGGGGTCTCTCAACAATTTTCTCCTTGACCTATTTGTCATTCACAAACTTCAAGGACTTCCTGAATGGCAAGCTTGATGGTTCTTATCACCCAGCGTTAGAACTCTAAGCAGAGGTATTTTTTCAATGCTGGTTCTATAAATTATACCCTCTTAATACCAATTACCATCAATTAAATAAGGCTGTTAAGGACTCTGCTTCATGCTAGAAAATTATTCCTTGATGAATTGGAGAATTAATCATTCTTCTGAGAAACTGTCTCTCTCTCTCTACATATATATATTATATATATATATCAAATGTGTATATATAATTTTTAATGTACTATAATATAATGTATTATATGTAATGTGTAATATATAACATTATATATTATGTATACTATATGTAATATAGTATATGAGAGAGACACACACTCCCCCCACACACATATTTATCCACTCCCACACACAGAGTCTCACCCACTCACACATACACACACACCCTTACACACACACACAGACACACACATCTAAAGAGAGGAACATATACACAGGCATGTATTCTTTGCTGTGATGATATACTGTTTGTAAGCTGCAGATACAACTTCTGCTAATATAAATTGGACTTGAATTCTATAAAAGTTACTCTATTCAATAGCAGGTAAAAACAGGAAAAAAGTTACTGTAAAAAGTCTAGAAGTAGATAGAATTATTACCATTTTATAGATTAGAAAACTGAATTCAGAAAGGCTCGGAGGTCCAAGGTCACCCATTTCACAGAGCCATGTCTCAGGACCTAGGTCTGTCAAGCTCCAGAGCTCTTGCCTCTGCCACTCTACCAAACTGCTCCTTCCTTGAAGGTACAGATGGTATCATGTATTGTTCTCATTTGTATAAAAAGCCAGGCCCTGATGCAAAGAACATGCATACAATGGGCAGATCATTCATTCATTCATTGAACAGTTTCAATGAGAGCCCACCATGAGTCAGGCACTAATCTAGGCAATGGGCATAAACAGTTGAATAATAGACAAGGAACTTATTCTCTGGAGCTTACAATTCAGTGAGGAATGTTAGGCACTGAACTAGGAAACAAATACATGAACACAATCACTTTAATTAGTGGTAAGTACCTTGAAGAAAACAAAAAGAGGTCAGCTAGGCACGATGGCTCAGGCCTGTAATTCTACCACTTTGGGAAGTCAAGGTGGGATCACTCGAGGCCAGGAGTTCAAGACCAGCCTAGGGCAACATAGGAAGACTCAGTCTCTACAAAAAACTTAAAAATCAGCCAGGTGCAATGGTGTGTGCCTGTAGTCCTAGCTACTTGGGAGGCCGAAGCAGGAGGATCACTTGAGCCCAGGAGTTCAAGGCTGCAGTGAGCTGTGATCTCCCCACCGCACTCCAGTCTGGGCAACAGAGTGAGACCCTGTCCCTAAAAAAATTGTTTTTAAATAGTTTTTCTGCGAGGGTAGATTTGACATTAATCTAAATAACAAGGGCCCAAATACTTCAAGGTACAGGGATGAGAAAACAGGAAGTGTGAAAGTCAGAGAGGTGGGCCAGGACAGCTAATGGAAGGCCTTGGAGGCCGTGGTGAGGAGCTTGTGACGGGAAGTCATTGGAGAATTTTCAGCAGAGGAGGCAGGGCCATGATCTGATTTACACTTTTAAAAAGATCACTCTGCCATATAGAAGATGAATTTTAGGGGCAAGAGTGAAAGCAAGGAAAGCAATTTATAAGTTACTGCAAGAAACTAAGCAGGAGTTGGCCAGGCACAGTAGCTCATGCTTATAATTCCAACACATGGGAGGCAGAATTGGGAGGATCAGTTGAGGCCAGGAGTTCAAGACCAGCCCGGGAAGTACAGCGAGGCCCTGTCTCTACCAAAATAAATAAATAAATGTTAAAAAAAAAATAAAAAGAATCTGAGCAGGAGCTGATGATGTACAGGTATGAGATATATTTTGAATATAGACTGAATAGCACTTGATGATGGAGTGACTATGGGGAATCAGGAAAAAAGAGAAACCAAGGATTGTCCCTAGGTTGGGGGCTTGAGTAACAGGAAGGATTGTGGCACCTTCTGCTGAAATGGGGTCGGTAGGGGAAATTACAGGTTCTGTATAGGACATATTAAGTTTGAACTGCCCACTAGTTATCTAAGTGGGCATGTCACGTAGGCAATTGGGTATCCATGTCTAAAACTCAGTGAAGTGGTCAGGCCAGAAAGTATTAGTCTGGGAATTATTCGCATGTTAATGGGTTTTTAAACCATGAGCTGTCTTGAGAGAGAGTATACAGAGAAGAAAAAATTGGCCCCATGATCTCCAATGTTTTGTTAGATTTACCAACTTCCTCAAGGAATTTCCTATTTGTTCCTGATTTATAAGATGTACCTATATCTGAAAGCCACAGAGGAGGCCAATCTTAAACCTGCATAAATCATTTTCAGTGATCAACATCTGCATCCTCAAACTGTCCAGCAACTGTTGGTGTGGTATCCACCTCCATCCCAGCTTCATCATCTCCTATTGAGTCTTCTGTCCTGACCCCAACCATATGATACTGGCAGCTTACAGACTGAGAAAGCGTTCCTTCTAATCTCCAACATGTTTGGCCCTCTGCCGTTAGATGAGATAAATCCTTCCTCACAGGTGTAAAATGTAGGGATGTCCCCATGTCCTTGTTCTTGCGCTTCCACATCATATTCTTCTCCATCGTAAGCATCTGAATCTTCATCTTCAGCATCTGGATGCAAGTACTGGCATTCACACATTGCAGTGAATGTTGCCTCCAATGTTGATTTATCACTAGGCACAAATCTAAATTCAGTAATAGTTCCACATCATTATCACTATTTTCCTCTTCTTCGTCAGCAACAAATTCTTTTGATCCTTCTTCAAATTTGGCTTTCACCATAACATACAAATGCTCTCCTAGATAGTCACTTTGGTCCCTGGACAATGCATGTAAACAAATGGTGGGGCATTCCAGTGAGAATCTTAATCCAGAGCCATCTAACCAAGACAGGTGGCTCTCAGCAATATAAAGGGTACCAGTGCTGAGGCCCTTCCCATTCACCACAGCCTTGGTGTCTGGCTGCTGCTACAGGAGCCCCTCCACTGGCCCAGACAGTGGGAAACTTTTGAAGAAGCTCATAGCAGTAGGGAGTGTGGCAACACAGGCCCAGAGGAGCTGGAGCACAGCAATGCCTGCACTCTGCGGCCCATTCTGGAAGAGACAGTCACTCTGGAAGATCAACTTAGTCTGCCCCCATCTTGAGTTAATTTTTGTGTATGGTATAAGGAAGGGGTCCAATTTCAGTCTTCTGCATGTGGCTAGCCAGTTATTCCAGCACCATTTATTGAATAAGGAGTCCTTTCCCAATGCTTGTTTTTGTCAACTTTGTCGAAGATCAGATGGTTATATGTGTGTGGCTTTATTTCTGGGCTGTCTATTCTGTTCCATTGATCTGTGTGTCTGTTTTTCTACCAGTGCCATGCTATTTTGGTTACTGTAGCCTTGTAATATAGTTTGAAGTCAGGTAATGTGATGCCTTCGGCTTCATTCTTTTTGCTTTAGGATTGCTTTGGTTATTTGGGCTCTTGTTTAGTTTCATATGAATTTTAAAATAGTTTTTTTTTCTAGTTCTGTGAAGAATGTCATTGGTAGTTTGATAGGAATAGCCTTGAATCTGTACATTGCTTTGGGCAGTATGGCCATTTTTAATAATATTGATTCTTCCTTTCCATGACCATGGGATGTTTTCCCATTTGCTTGTGTCATCTCTGATTTATTTGAGCAGTGTTTTGTAATTCTCATTGTAGAGATCTTTCACCTCCCTGGTTAGCTGTATTCCTAGGCATTTTATTCCTTTTGTGGTTATTGTGAATGAGATTGTGTTCTGATTTGGCTGTCAGCTTCAACATTGTTGGTATATAGAAATACTACTGAGTTTTGTACGTTGATTTTGTATCCTAAAACTTTGCTGAAGTTGTTTATCTAGGAGCTTTTGGGCAGAGACTATGGGGTTTTCTAGGTATAGCATCATATCATCTGTGAAGAAAGACAGTTTGACTTCCTCTCTTCCTATTTGGATGCCTTTTTTTCTGTCTCTTGCCTGATTGCTCTGACTAGGACTTCCAGGACTAGGTTGATTAGGAGTCGTGAGAGTGGGTATCCTTGTTTTGTTCTGGCTCTCAGAGGGAATGCTTCCAGCTTTTGCCTACTCAGTATTATGTTGGCTGTGGGGTTTTTCATAGATGGCTCTTATTATTTTGAGGTATGTTCCTTCAATGCCTAATTTGTTGGGAGTTTTTAATACGAAGTTTTGAATTTTACTGAAAGCCTTTTCTATATCTGTTGAGATGGTCATCTGTGGTTTTTGTATTTAGTTCTGCTTATATGATGGATCACATTTATTGATTTGTGTATGTTGAACCAAACTTGCATCCCAAGAATAAACCCTACTTGATCCTGGTGGATTCCCTTTTTTAAGTGCTGCTGGATTCAGTTTGCTAGTATTTTGCTGAGGATTTTTGCACCTGTGTTCATCAAGAATGTTGGCCTGAAGTTTTCTTTTTTTGTTGTGTCTCTGCCAGGTTTGGGTATCAAAATGATGCTGGCCTCATAGAATGAGTTAGGGAGGAGTCTCTCCTCCTCAATTTTTAAAAATAGCTTCAGTAGGAGTGGCACCAGCTTTATAAATCTGGGAGAATTTGACTATGAATCTATCTAGTCCTGAGATTTTTCTGGTTAGAAGACTTCTTATTACAGAGTCAATTTCAGAACTCATTTTTGGTCTGTTCAGGGATTGTATTTCTTCCTGGTTCAATCTTGGGAGGTTGTATGTTTCCAAGATTTATCTATTTCTTCTAGGTTTTCTAGTTTGTGTGTTTGTAGTAGTCTCTGGGGGTTATCTGTATTTCTGTGGGGTCAGTGGTAATGTCCCCTTTGACATTTTTGATAGAGTTTATTTGGATATTCTCTTTTTTCTTTATTAGTCTAGCTAGTGGTCTGTCAATCTTATTAAGGTTTTCAAAGAACAAACTCCTGGATTCATTGATCTTTTGTATGATTTTTCACATCTCTATTTCCTTCAGTTCAGCTCTGATTTTGGTTATTTCTTGTCTTCTGCTAGCTCTGGGGTTGGTTTGCTCTTGTTTCTTTAGTTCCTCCAGGTGAGTTGTTAGGTTGTTAATTTGAGATCTTTATAATTTTTTCGATGTGTGTCTCTAGTGCTATAAACTTTCCTCTTAACACCACTTTAGCTGTGTCCCAGAGATTCTGGTATGTTATATCTTTGTTCTAATTAGTTTCAAAGGGTTTCTTGATTTCTGTCTTTACTTCATTATGTACTCAAAAGTCATTCAGGAGCAGGTTGTTTAATTTCCATGTAACTATATGATTTTGAGTGCTTTTCTTAGTATTGATTTCTAGTTTTATTGCACTGTGTTCTGAGAGTGTGTTTGGTATGACAGGTTGGGTTTTTTTTTTAATTTTCTGAGGATTGTTTTATGTCCAATTGTGTGGTCAATTTTAGAGTATGTGCCATGTGCAGATAAGAAGAATGTATATTCTGTTGTTTTGGGGTGGAGAGTTCTGTAAATATCTATTAGGCCCATTTGGTGAAGTATCAAGCTCAGGTTCCAAATTTCTTTGCCAGTTTTCTGCCTTGATGATCTGTCTAATACTGTAGATGGGGTGTTGAAATCTCCCACTATGATTGTGTGGGAGTCTAAGTTTTTTCATGGGTCTCTAAGAGCTTGCTTTATGAATCTGGGTGATCCTGTGTTGGGTGCATATATATTTAGGATAGTTAGGTCATCTTATTGAACTGAACCCTTTCCCATTATTTAATGCCCTCCTTTTTCTTTTTTAATTGTTGTTGGTTTAAAGTGTGTTTTTTCTGATATTAGAGTAGCAACCCCTGCTTTTTTCTGTTTTCCATTTCCTTGTTAGATTTTTCTTCATCCCTTTACTTTGAGCCTATGGGAATCATTACATATGAGATAGGTCTCTTGAAGACAGTGTACAATTGGGTCTTGCTTCTTTATCCAACTTGCCACTCTGTCCCTTTTAATTGGGGGCATTTAGCCCATTGACATTCAAGGATAATATTAATATGTGTGGGTTTGATCCTATCATCATGTTGTTAACTGGTTATTACGCAAACTTGATTGTGTGGCTGCTTCATAGTGTCAATGGTCTATGTACTTCAGTATTTTTTTGTGATGGCTGGTAATGATCTTTGCTTTTCATATTTTGCATTCTCTTAAGGACCTCTTATAAGGCAGGACTGGTAGTAACAAATTTTTCCTTAGCATTTGCTTGTTTGAAACAGATCTTATTTCTTCTTCACTTATGAAACTTAGTTTGGCTAGATATGAAATTCTTGGTTGGAATTTCTTTTCTTTAAGAATGTTGAACATGGGCCCCAATCTCTTCTGGCATGTAGAGTTTCCACTGAGACATCTGCTACTAGTCTGATAGGTTCCCTTTGAAGGTGATCTGCCCCTTACTTCCAGCTGCCTTTGACATGTTTTCTTTTCTTTTCTTTTTTTTTTTTTTTTTTTTTTTTTTTTTTAGTATTTATTGATCATTCTTGGGTGTTTCTCGCAGAGGGGGATTTGGCAGGGTCATAGGACAATAGTGGAGGGAAGGTCAGCAGATAAACATGTGAACAAGGGTCTCTGGTTTTCCTAGACAGAGGACCCTGCGGCCTTCTGCAGTGTTTGTGTCCCTGGGTACTTGAGATTAGGGAGTGGTGATGACTCTTAATGAGCATGCTGCCTTCAAGCATCTGTTTAACAAAGCACATCTTGCACCTCCCTTAATCCATTTAACCCTGAGTGGACACAGCACATGTTTCAGAGAGCATGGGGTTGGGGGTAAGGTTATAGATTAACAGCATCCCAGGGCAGAAGAATTTTTCTTAGTACAGAACAAAACGGAGTCTCCCATGTCTACTTCTTTCTACACAGACACAGTAACAATCTGATCTCTCTTTCTTTTCCCCATATTTCCCCCTTTTCTATTCGACAAAACCGCCATCGTCATCATGGCCCGTTCTCAATGAGCTGTTGGGTACACATCCCAGACAGGGTGGCGGCCCGGCAGAGGGTCTCCTCACTTCCCAGATGGGGCGGCCGGGCAGAGGCGCCCCCCACCTCCCAGACGGGGCAGTGGCCAGGCGGAGACGCCCCCCCACCTCCCTCCTGGACGGGGCGGCTGGCCCGGTGGGGGCTGGCCCCCCACCTCCCTCCCGGATGGGGCAGCTGGCGGGGCGGGGGCTGCCCCCCACCTCCTGGACGGGGCGGCTGCCAGGCAGAGGGGCTCCTCACTTCGCAGACGGGGCGGCTGCCGGGCGGAGAGGCTCCTCACTTCCCAGACGGGGCGGCTGCCAGGCGGAGGAGCTCCTCACTTCTCAGACAGGGCGGCCAGGCAGAGACGCTCCTCACTTCCTACAGGCGATGGCGGCCGGGAAGAGGCACTCCTCATTTCCCAGACTGGGCGGCCAGTCAGAGGGGCTCTTCACATCCCAGATGGTGGGCAGCCAGGCAGAGACGCTCCTCACTTCCCAGACGGGTGGCGGCCGGGCAGAGGCTGCAATCTCGGCACTTTGGGAGGCCAAGGCAGGCGGCTGGCAGGTGGAGGTTGTAGCGAGCCGAGATCACGCCACTGCACTCCAGCCTGGGCAACATTGAGCACTGAGTGAGCGAGACTCCGTCTGCAATCCCGGCACCTCGGGAGGCCGAGGCAGGCAGATCACTCGCGGTCAGGAGCTGGAGACCAGCCCCGCCAACACGGCGAAACCCCGTCTCCACCAAAAAATGCAAAAACCAGTCAGGTGTGGCGGCGTGCGCCTGCAATCCCAGGCACTCTGCAGGCTGAGGCAGGAGAATCAGGCAGGGAGGTTGCAGTGAGCCCAGATGGCGGCAGTACAGTCCAGCCTCGGCTTTCACAACTTTGGTGGCATCAGAGGGAGACCGGGGAGAGGGAGAGGGAGAGGGAGACGAGGGAGAGGGAGAGGGAGAGGGAGAAGGAGAGGGAGAGGGACATGTTTTCTTTCATTCTGACTTTGAAGAATGTGATGACTATGTGTCTTGGGGATGGTCATCCTGTATAGTATCTCATAGGGGTTCTCTGCATTTCCTGAATTTGAATGTTGGCCTTGCTATTACAGTTGAGGAAATTTTCATGGATTATATCCTCAAAAATGTTTTCCAAGTTGCTTGCTTTCTGTCTTTCTCTTTCAGGGACAACAATGAGTCATAGATTTGGTCTCTTTACATAATCCCATATTTCTAAGAGGTTTTTTTTTCATTCTTTATTGGTTTTGCTTTGTTTTTGTCTGACTGAATTATTTCAGAAAACTAATCTTTAAGCTCTGAGATTCTTTTCCTCAGTTTGACCACTTATTCTGTTAATACTTGTGACTGTATTATGAAATTCTTGAAGTAAGTTTTTCAGCTCTATCAGATCAGTTTTCTTCTTTCTTAAAATGGCCATTTTGTCTTTTACATCCTGTATCATTTTCTCTTGTTCCTTAGATTCCTTGGATTGGGTTTCAGTTTTCTCCTGAATCTTGATGATCTTCATTCTGATCCACATTCTCAATTCTATTTCTGTCATTTCAGCCATTTCAGCCTTGTTAAGAACCATTACTGTGGAACTAGTGAGGTCATTTGGAGGTAAAAAGACGCTCTGGTTTTTTGAGTTGCCAGAGTTCTTGCACTGGTTCTTTCTCATCTGTGTGGGCTGGTTTTCCTCTAGCTGTGGTGTAATTTGTGTGTGGTCAGTTGCATTTGTTTCTGGGTGTTTTCAGAGGCCCAAGGCTTTGTTCACGGTCTTTATTTGAATTCTTGTCCTTGGTTTCACGTGGGTATATTAGCAAAGTATTTTTGGCATTGCAATTGGGCTGTGATCCAGTAAATGGTGCTTAAGCGTCATGGCTGATAGGCAGGCTTGTGCTCAGCCACATGGCTCCTCTGTATTTCCTCACATTTGCAGCTCTGCTCCCTCTTTGTGCTCTGAGAGTATGAGCTCCTCTCCTACCTGAGTGCTGGCTGCAGATCTAGACTTGGCACTCCTGGGCTGCACATTGCAGCCCTGGGGTGAGCTCAGGCTTTACGTTCCCTACCCAGCTTCGGGTCAGGGACCTTGACACAATGGCAGAGGGCCTTTCACTTGTCTCTTGAAGCTCCAATCCAGAGAAATGCAGAGCCGTGACCAATCAGTGCAATTGGCCCAGACTCCAGTGGCTGCCTTGTGGGCCTAAGCCAGGAGGCTCTGCCTGGAGACAAACAGCAGGAACAAGGCTCACAGAGAAGACAGACTGCCCTCTTTCCTTAGGGCAGCTGCAGCTGATGGTATAAGTAAAGCCCTCAGGCTCTTTGTCCTTTTCCTTAGTATAAGGGCAGCAAGGGCAGAACCACTGCAGTGGTAGTGGCAGAGGGGCTGTCAGTTGCCTCTGGAAGATCCATCCCAGAGAAACTCAGAGCCACCACCAGTGGAAATGCTCACTTGGGAGTGGGAAGCTGCTCTATGGGCCCAGGCTGAGGGCCCTGCCTGGTGAAGGGTAGAAGGTGCTTCCCTGGGACAGAGCTCCTAGAGGGAGCAGGCAGGCCCACAAGTTTTGCTGCCTTAGGAAAAGTGGCCACACTGTTTTCCACGTGGGTACCTTTCCCTACTACTCCTCACTGGGCAGAGCCTCCCAATGTGGGACCTCAGCCATCCCATCTCCATCTGGGCTCTCAGGCCAACAGCTACTCTGCACTTCCCTGGGACGGAGCTCCCAGTAGTAGCAAGCAAGCCACTACCTTTGCTGCTTTGCAGCTTTCTCCTCCTCTGTTCCCTTCAGGCTTGGGAGGGAGTGAAAAAATTAAGGACTTAGTCGATCCCCAGCACAGCATGGCTGCCTGATGGAAAAGTGGCCAGACTGTTTTCCGCATGTCCCTGCTTCTGTTATACCTCACTGGGCAGGGCCTCTCAAACTGGGCTCCTAGCACAACCACCCTGCCTCTGCCTGAACACTTCAGTCGGTGGAGGCTTTACATTTTCTGGGGAAGAAATCCTAGAGACAAACCATAGCCCCTCTCCCATTGCAACTGCAGCAGTACAGATACTGCCTTTACTGTCCTTGGGCTGGGGAAGGAGCAAGGGGCCTAGTCATGTCACAGGCACCTCCAGCATACTGCAGCCACCATACAGAGAGGAGCTCATTCTCTCTTCCCTGTGAGCCATCACCAGTCATCTGTTGATGGACACTTGGGTTGGTTCCTAAGAAATCTTGGCCACTGTGACTAATGCTGCAGTGAACATGAGATGCAGATAGCTCTTTGACATACTGATTTTATTTCCTTTGGAAATAGGTCCAGTAATAGGATTGCTGGATCATGTGGTAATTCTATTTTTAATTTTTTGAAGAACCTCCATAATGTTTTTAATAGCATAAGGATTTTTAATACACTTTTATCCAATCATCTCCCTGAAACTTTTATTTATTTATTTTTAACAGCTTTATTGAGTTATAGCTGACATTCAATAAACAAGAAATTGCTTAAAGGATATAATTTCATGTGTGTGTGCACCCATAAAATAATGATTAGAATAAAGGAAATGGGCTGGGCACTGTGGCTCCCGTCTGTAATCTCAGCACTTTGGGAGGCCAAGGCGGGTGGATTGCTTGAGGTTGGGAGTTTGAGACCAGTCTGACCAACATGGTGAAACCCCATCTCTACCACAAATACAAAAATTAGCCAGGTATAGGGGTGCATGTCTATAATCCCAGCTACTTTGAGGCTGAGGCAGAAGAATCTCTTGAACCCAGGAGGCCAGAGGTTGCACTGAGTCGAGATCATGCCACTATACTCCAGCCTGGGGGACAGAGCAAGATTCCGTCTCAAAAAAAAAAAAAAAAAAGTATAAAGGAAATGAACATACCCAGCCCATACAAAGTCCTCTTGTGCTCCCACCTGCCAACCCATCCCTGAGTTTATATCACTATGGATTACTCTGCATGTCATAGAATGTTATATACATTCAACTATACAATATGTTTAGTTTTTTGTATGACTTCTTTCAGTCAGCATAATTATTTGAGATTTCTCCATTGTGTAGAGCATATCGATAGTTTGCTCCTTTCCATTGCTGAGTACTGTTCCATTGTATGGATATATCATCATTTGTTTATTCATTCTGAAAAATTTAAATACTACAATTTACATTCCATTCAGTGGAAAAGAAAAACAAGAGGAATTAGAGTCAACTCTTCCAGGAAACATGGTAAGACAGCCAAGAAATTAATCCAGGATAGCGGTCCCCAAATTCCTAGGCCCCACTCCTAGAGATTCTGATTCATGCTATTTTAACAATGTCTCCCAGTAACCCTGATGCTGAGCCAAGTTTCAGAACCATTAGTCTAGGTCAGGGCTGTCCAATCTTTTGGCCTCCTTTCCTGCCCACATTGGAAGAATTGTCTTGGGCCACACATAAAATACAGAAACACTAATATACTAATGATAGCTGATGAGAAAAAAAATCACAAAAAATCTTATAACGTTTTAAGAAAGTTTATAAATTTGTGTTGGGCCACATTCAAAGCCATCCTGGGCTGCATGCAACCCACAGGCTGCGTGTTGGAGAAGTTTGGTCTAGGTTATAACTGGGGCAGTTGTCACAGCAGACAATGTCACGGCCACAACAGGCACAGGTTAGGTGAGGTATAGAGGTCAGGAAAGGCTAGGCCAGGCATAGGTCAGACCAGGTCAAGCAGGATGGAACTTGGTTCAGGCAATCAGGGCTGGCTCCTTTCCGACAAAATGGCACGTGTCACTGCCAGGAGAGCAGCTACACGCTACCCGGTCAGCAAGTGCTGATGGAAGAGGCCAGTACCTTGGATAGCTCCCTGTTGGCAAAATTGCTTCATTCAAGCCCCAGGTCTTTCATTCTCAGACGCCTGGGCTTATGTGATAAGCTCCAACCCCAGGACACCTAGTTTGGCCAGTAAGAGAGCTTCATATGTATGCTGAACATACTTCCTGTAGCGTAAGAGAATTATGCTTATTTCCGCACTACCACCACTACCACCACCTGAGCTTTTGATCTCTCTAGCAAACAGGAAAGACTCACAGGATGCCAGTGGGGTGGCCATGACCCTGGGAATTCAACAGGACAGGTTTTGTGGCAGAGGACATGGTGAATTTATTCTTTCCAAATTGTCGAATGCCACACCCTGCTAGATCATCTCGTCAGTGATTTTTAACACTATCTGAAATATTGAAAACAGCTACTAACCAAAAGATCAATATAGATAAACTGATACCTGAACACTTTTAACTGAGGATAATCATTGATCATGACCAGTGACATCTTCATTTCCACGACAAGTCTGCAACTAAATAAAAGATATCATGGTATTGAAAAGACTCTTAATGGAATATAAGGAATATTTTCACTTAGCCTGGTGTGGTGGTGTGCGCATGTATTCCCAGCTACTCAGGAGGCTGAGGTGGGAGAATCACTTGAGCCTGGGAGGTTGAGGCTGCAGTGAGCCATGATCACACCAGTGCACTCCAGCTTAGGTAACAGAGCAAGACCCTGTCTCGAAAAAAAAAAAAATTCACTATCTTATAAAAAAAAAAAAAAAAAAAAAGGTACTGTCTTGGGCGTTGATATGGAAGTCCAAGAAAAGAAAAGAAGAGCCAATGTTTTAGAAGCAACTGTGTTATTTAAGAATCTGAAGCCTCAAACACAAAAGTAAAATAAAGATATTCACAATGACAATTTAAACACATCTTTAATGCCATTTTTGTTCTTCCAACTGGTTTTAACTCAACCCACAACTAGCAGGCGACACAGAATGAATTGGATGCAGAGTCCAAGAACAGGATTATTAGTACTAAGAACTGTCAAACCTGGTAGCTTCCATGGAATCTCTGAAGCAATAATTGCTACATGGACTGTAGCTTGGAGAGCTATGATATATTAATATATGAATAGAGTTAACATTATGTTAAATGTACAAATGTATGATACAGATAGAGTAAAAATCTAAGGAAACATCAACTGGGATAGCTAGAGCTGATGATTTAATGTACCTTTATATGAATGTGTATTTTATCTATATTAAAATCTATATTATCCATATTTGTCCTTCATTTAAAAATAATAAAACAAAATAAAGGATTCATGTGGGAAAATGAGTCTTTCATCATTATAAAGGCTGATCTCTTTAAGGATACTTAATTTAAATAAGGTGGTAATTTTCCCAGACAGTTACAATATATAAAGTTCTTAAAAAGACATGAGAGCCAAGAAAATGCATTTATGGCACCTCTAAAATAAAATGTAATAAAAAACAGACCAGTTAGAGCAGAACATTCCCTCAGTCATATTCTTCTTATTCTTCCCCTTCCGTTATCCCATTAAAGCAAAAGCACAGAGAATCCAATCAGCATCAGGTTTGGGCACAAGTAGAACATACTTAAATAAAGAGTGAAAACCATCATCTTTTGCGTCTGAATTTTTTCTTTTCACATTGGTTCCGAGTCACCATCACCTAATGTGAAATTAGGTGATCATACTGAAAAATGTATAAAGCCACTGTCATCCTGCCTAAAACACACACTGATGTGCCAGAAATGACAGCAGAGACATGAACTGGTGGCTGCCAAGGAGAACTGTGTATGTCTCTGCTGCCCACGCTATTGAGGTAGGAAGGGGAAGTCTCGGTGCTATGGTTTGAATGTATGTGTCCCTGCAAAATTCATATATTGGAACCTAATCATCAAGGTATGATATTAAAAAGTGAGGCCTTTGGGAGGTGACTAGAGGCCTTTCACCTAATCAACAAGGTATGATATTAAAAAGTGGGGCCTTTGGGAGGTGACTAGGCCATGAGGGCTCCACCTTCATGAATGAAATTAAAGTCCTTCATGAATAAGATTAAAGTCCAAAGAGACCTCAGAGAGCTGCCTTGCACTTTCATTTCTTCTGCCACGTGAGGATGCAGCAAGAGGCACCATCTTCCTCTTCTTCTGCCATCTCTTCTTCATCTTCATTATCTTCTTCTTCATCTTCCTCATCTTCATCTTCTTCATCTTCATCTTCTTCTTCATCTCTTCTGCCATGTGAAGATGCAGCAAGAGACACCATCTTCATCTTCTTCTGCCATCTCTTCTTCTTCTTCTTCATCTTCATCTTCATCTTCTTCATCTCTTCTGCCATGTGAGGATGCAGCAAAAGGCACCATCTTCATCTTCTTCTGCCATCTGTTCTTCTTCTTCATCATCTTCTTCATCTTCATCATCTTCTTCATTTTCATCTTCTTCTTCATCTCTTCTGTCATGTGAGGATGCAGCAAGAGGCACCATGTTCCTCTTCTGCTGTCATCTCTTCTTCATCTTCATCTTCTTCTTCATCTCTTCTGCCATGTGAGGATGCAGCAGGAGGCACCATCTTCATCTTCTTCTGCCATCTCTTCTTCTTCTTCATCTTCATCCTCTTCATCTTCATCATCTTCATTTTCATCTTCTTCTTCATTTCTTCTGCCATGTGAAGATGCAGCAAGAGGCACCATCTTAATCTTCTTCTGCCATCTCTTCTTCATCTTCATCTTCTTCATCTTCATCTTCTTCTTCATCTCTTCTGCCATGTGAGGATGCAGCAAGAGGCACCATCTTGAAGCAGAGAGTAAGATTCTCCATACACTGAATCCACCTTTGCCTTGATCTTGGACTTAGTAGCCTTCAGAACAGCTTTCTGGATAAATAAAGCTTTTTAATTTATTAATTACTCAGTCTGATGTATTTTGTTATAGCAGCAGAAATGGGCTGCTATTTGGGTTTTCTACAAAGGGTTAATTTGGTATGTGAATATTTGTTTGTTACTAATTTTCTTCTAACTTCTGGGTGTGGAGGAGAATTGCATGAGAGTTAAAATACATGAGTCCATACCTATTCAATAAATATTAATTGAACACTTTTGTAGGCCAGAGAAATTGCCCTAGACCCTACCCTGGAACTTATGGAGTTTATTCATCTAAGGCAAGACAACATTATATTACAATTATATCACATAACATTATGTTCAATATATCATATTAAACAAATATATAGTATAGAGTAAAAATCTAAGAGAACATCAACTGAGGTAGCTAAGGCTGATTTAATGTGCCTTTATATGAATGTGTATTTTCTCTATATTAATTATCTATATTGGTCCTTCATTTAAAAATAATAAAACAAAATAAAGGATTAATTTGGGAAAATTAGTCTTTTGTCATCATAACTGATTTATATATGCTTACCAGCATTCGTGTGTTTACTAGTTTGAACAGCATCATAAGCTTACTTACTATTTAGATAAAATATTTGAACTAATTTTATCATGAATAGTTTTTTTCAAATATTTCCACATTTTAATTACTACTCAGTTATAAGAAGTTTATTTTTTTTAATTTTCTCTAAGTTGTAAATCTGTTTTCAAGTCGGTGATGTTGAATTTGATCACCATATCCAAAAGAGTCTGCATGAATGCAGTGTTAAAATAACCTTGGTCTGGTTTTGTGTGAAATCATCATTTCACAGCAGTGTTTCTCAAAGAATGGTCCTCAAACACTTGCATCAAAGTCACCCAAGATGCTCATTACACATGCAGCTTCCTGGCCACTGCTTCAAATGTAAAAAATCAGTGTTTCTGAGAATGGAGCCTCCCAGGTGATGCATGTGCATAGTATGGTTTGAGAACCACTGATTGTTGGAGGCCGAGAGAGTGAGGGCCATCATCGACTCAATATACCACTGGAGGCTATGTGAGTAAACAGCAAACTGTTCTCATGAAAGCAGGATGTTGCCAAACTGACAAACTGCGTCTGCCATCCAGAAGGAATGCTGAGGGCAGTCACACCCCAAGTGCAGTGTTTCTTGTGATTAGGTACATCTGAAGCCATTAGTAATAATATGAACCTGTAATCAATTAAGCAGCTGACCAATTGTTATCTCCTCCTCCCTGCTCTTGCTATCTAATAAATATGAAGGGCTGCACAAGCTCAGGGTGGCTGCCTTTGCTCACTAGAAGCAGGGAGCCCTTTTCTTCTTCTCTTCTTCTCTCTTGTTCTCTCTTCTTCTTCTTCCCCACGTTACCCTTCCTTTAAAATAGTTACTTTTGTCTTAGGTGTTCATTTCTATGTTTGTCCCTTCGTTCAGTCTTTTTTTTTTTTTTTTGAGACGGAGTCTCGCCGTCGCCCAGGCTGGAGTGCAGTGGCGCGATCTCGGCTCACTGCAGGCTCCGCCTCCCGGGTTCACGCCATTCTCCTGCCTCAGCCTTTTGAGTAGCTGGGACTACAGGTGCCCGCCACCGCGCCCGGCTAATTTTTTGTATTTTTAGTAGAGATGGGGTTTCACCGTGTTAGCCAGGATGGTCTCGATCTCCTGACCTCGTGATCCGCCCACCTCGGCCTCCCAAAGTGCTGGGATTACAGGCCTGAGCCACCACGCCCGGCCTCGTTCAGTCTTGTAATGACGGTCCCAAGTAGTAACAGTGGTAACCGCTGTAATGACGGTCCCAAGTAGTAACAGTGGCAGTCGGCCACAACTCATGTGCAGAATGGAACCAACTTGTGCTGATTCTCATTTTGCCACTTTGCTCATTCAATATGGTTGCCTTGGTCTTTCATTTATTTGTTCAATGAATAATCATTGCACAAACACCATGAGCAAAGGCATTCGGCTGAGCTCTGGAGAAACACCAGGGGATAAGACAGAAATGTTCCCAAGAAGATGGGCCAGTTCTACCAGGGAAAGCAACCAACAAATAATTTCATAACTAATTACTCAATTGCAATTTTGACAGGTGCTGCTAAGGAGAAATAAGAGGTATTCATACCAAGGGGCATTGACTCAGACTCAGGGCTCTGGGATGTCATCTCTGGGGAGGGCTGCTCAAACAGGCATCTGAAGATTGGGAAGGAAAGAGCAGTCTAGGAGGAAGAGCATTCGAGGTGGAGGGAACATGTACCAAGGCTCTCGGGAAGGAAGAAGTAAGGTGGGGAATGAAATCAGTAAGAAACGCAGCTGCTAGAATGAGCAAGGCAAGGTCTCCAGACTTTTGAGACCAGTTGAGAATTTTGGATTCTATCCTGAGAACAATAATAATCAATTAGAGAGTTTTTAATGTGTCTGCCTTGTTAGTCAGTTCTGCAACTGTGTATATGGAGGAAAGAGAACAGAAGCAGTCTGAATATAATGAAGGCTCAGACAGGGTTTCGACCAATGGCAATCAGGCAGAAATGAGGAACTATGCAATGGAAATACAGCTGACAAGTAAAGATGTTCCAATTATGTCTGATGAAGTCAGTGTCCTGGAACGTTTTAAGGACGTTGAAATCTCATCTACCAAATTTTACTAATTTAAAAATAACTCTAAGAACATATATTGCCCTTTATCATCAGTGACAGCCATCCATGAGAATGAAACTAAAAACACCAATGCACATCCAAACGGTTCATTCCATCCCATGCCACAAAAGGACTTCATGTGGTTTGTGGCTGCAGCCCTTTGCCTCTAAAGAGAAGTTAGATTTGGTTGGGGCCCCTTCTCTGGCAGGGAGCACCATCCCTATTAACATGTAAACTATAAACGTGGTGGAGTTGAGGAGCACGACACTCAGCCCCAGGAACCTATTATTCTACAGAGTTAAACACAGGTTTAAGTCAAAAGGCAATGTGTTATTTTAAAAGAAGCATCAACCACTATTTTAGTCAAAAACACACAATAAGTTAGAGTAAGAGAAAAAAAAGCTTCAAAGGAAACATGGAATGAAATAATTTTGGAACTTGTAATCTATAATAGGTCAGTCCCTCTTTTTATCCTGGGCTATAATAAACAACAAAGCCCTTTACTTTCCATCCTCAGCACATTGACAATGTGGTTTGAGACTTTGATTTGGATTATGTGTTGCAATAGCTGTACTTTGAAAACACAGTCACCTATCACCGAGATTCTCTGCTGAGAGAAAAGTGTACCTGACAACCATACTTCAAAAGCTAACTTCATTTATTTGAACATCACTAAATCAAAATCTGTAAGATCCAGTCTGATTTGAGGTTTACATTTAATATGATTATAATAAAAAACTTTATTAAGCACATTTCAAACACAGACAAGATTGGAAGAGGAATGCGTAAGGAAATCTTAGAAGATGAAATATTTCAAGAGTAGTCACTGTAAAAACAATTAATATATTATTCACAAATGTCATATCTACTTAATACCACAAGGACAGTGGGATCTCTAATAAAGTCCCTGAATATCTGAGAAAACATAGTAGGCTTTCTTTTATAGCTATAGTAAGATAATTTATTATTCATTGATATATATAGTTAGTTAAATCTATCTATGTACATACTTGCCATACATACTACAAGAGATTACCAGTTTTTGAAGAATTGGACATAAAAAACATTATCTAAACATAATTGAACCTTCTTTTCCTTGTATATTTGTGTTTTAAATTTACCTATATAGTACGAATGTTGATGTTAAGCTCTATGAACTATAACACATGCATAGCTTCTTGTAACCACCAAAATAAACAGGATACAGAACAACTCTAAAACCCCAAAGAATTCTTTCCTCTTGAAAGTTGTCAGATCTTTTCCCCCAACCCTAACCCCCGGCAACCACTGTTCTGTTTTACTTCTCTATGGTTTTGCCCTTTTTAGAATGTCATATAAATGAATTCACACAGTATGTAAATGTTTGAATCTGCCTTCTTTCACTTAGCACGATTCTTCTGAGATTTATCCATGTTGTTGCATACATCTTCTATTGAGGATTCTCTCAGTAGTACTTCACAGCCTCTCAGGCTATTAATATGAAAAACATTTATATATAAAGTGACAAACATGTAGCAAGTATAAGAGGTAAGATGTAGTTAGTTCTGTGTCACAATGCAGTTTCCTTGACTTAAATAAGATCGCCACATCAGCTAGCTTGTTTGCCATTTGTTTCTTTCCAATAAAAATGTTACACAGAAAAACAGTGGTAGTTATTTGACTGCATATTGAGCCTCTGCTCAACGATTTTCAAGGCTTTCCCATTGCCTGTCAACTGAAGACCAAACTCCTTCTCAACCAAAGTTCTCTCAGAATATTTTTTTCAATCTTACCTCTACCAACTCCCTCAAGTAACCTACTTTCAACCAAACTGGGCTATTCCTTCCTCCCTGATGTCCTTCTCAGATTTGCAACATTGTGCCGACTCAGTCTTCAAGGACCTGTTCAAATGCCACCTTCTATGAATATATGCAGTCTTTTCTAATTCCTCCCTTTCTTTCCTTAAGGCTGCCCCTAACTGGATTTCATCTCCAGTTCACACACATAGCTTGCTGGGATACTCTCCTTTGGCACTACTGGTACCTTGCCTTGAGGTAAAGGATCTATGATCCTGTCTCATCACCTCCTTCTCCCATTCCCTCTACTTCTTCCCCACCGCCAGCCCCAGTAGATGGTGTGCTCCCTCTGGGAAATGCCCCGTCTTTCTCATCTTTGCGAGCACAGAGCAGACAGCGTAGCATCTTCAATTATTATTAATGTGACACTAAAGAGGCATATTACAAATAAATGTCTGGCCCTGGAAGACGTGGCAGAGGAAAGACCAGACATCTGAAAACTGACTGAAAAAGAAAATATAGCAGTTGTGACTATAATGCTACTAGGAAAATATTTCATCATCTATTCCTGGGACAACAACCATATGACAGCAGTTTCTGAATGAAAATTTTGAAATTGTAAAAAATTGCAAACTACTGTTGTTTCATCTTCTGTTAAATAGAAACACTATACAGTTAAGACTCCAGTCTCTCTAGAGGCCACACATGCCGTCTTAATGAAGTAAAACAGTTTTCCTTGCTGGAGTGACTCACGGAAGCTGGTTCACCCAAGGATCAGAAAGATGGGTTACACTTTGGATTCTGAAACACCACTTAGCAATTGGTTACCTATAACACAGTGAGTCATCATCATCTCATGATTCTGCATGTGACTGGACCTCCCCAACTGGTTCACAAACACTGTGCAGGCAGGACTCACATCCTAGGCTTTGTTTCATCTTGGGTGGTGTCCATTGATTCCCTCCTTGTCCCCACCTCCTCCTACCAGGTCCATCACCTACATGTACACACTTCACAGAAGAGATAAACCGAAACTCAAAACCACCCCGACTCTTCAGACATTTGAGCATCTGAAGTACAGTCCCAATCATTTCCCAATTTCCTAAAGTTACACTCAGCCCCGCAAGGGTGGTGCATGCTTCCTCCAGCTCCTCCTCTTTGTCAGGTTCAAGATCTTGGCAACTTTTAGCTTGGCACTTGTAAAAGGATAGCAACAGTCCTCTCACAAAACCAATAGTAAGGCCAGGCTTGGTGGCTCACATCTGTAATCCTAGCACTATGGGAGGCCAAGGCAGGAGTATCACTTGAGGCCAGGTGTCCAGGACTGGCCTGGGCAACAGAGTGAGGCCCCATCTCTACAAAAAACTAAAAATTAGCTGGGCATGGTGGTGCATGCCTGTCGTCCCAGCCACTTGAGAGGCTGAGGTGGGAGGGTCATTTGAACCCAGGAGTTCAAGGCTGCAGTGAGTCACAATAGCACCATTGCATTCCAGCCTGGGCAACACAGAGAAACCCTATCTCTAAAATTAATTAATTAATTAATTAATTAAACCAACAATAGGGGGACAAAAGAACAAGGTTCTCATTCTAGTTCCACCTCTAACCAGACATATGGCCTCATGGAAGTCCCCAGACTGTTGTGGGCTTTGGCTTCCTTGTCTGTAAACTGACAGGTTGTATTAGATGTATCAGCTATCTATGCCACATTCCAGTTCTGATATATTGTGGTTCTAACCTTGGTGCACTCTCACATCCCTAAGGGGCAGGTAGAGTCTATATTTGGACTTGCTCTTCATCCCTGCCTGGTTTCCTCTCTAGACAAAGCTCAGTCCAAAGAGTATGCTCTGGGCTTTCTTTTTCTCTTATCTGGCCTTTGCTTGAAATAGGCAAACAGGTATGCTCTATTTGGATAGCCCCACAGGGAAATCTTTGGAGTAGACAATAGGACAGAAAGAAAAATTCTATTTCATTTTGTCCGGTTTCTAATGATTTCCAACTTAGAAAATTGATGACAGGATGGAAGTCTCATCAATATTACACACACACAGCTCTCAGGAACTGCAGATTCCAGTGTTCAGGGACCTTCAATATCTCAGCTGTTAATAGATAATAAAAATTATTAGATCTTGAATTTATATTCGACTGTTCCTCTGATATAGCTGGGGCTATACATAAATAACTACTCTCTCTAGCACTCAAGTCCTTCCCTAAGGGTGAATGAGCCACTGGGGAGGATTCATTAACTCCCAAACGAGCCTCTGGGGAGCTGCCTACCTGGCTGCCACACTCGTGCCCCCAAGAGGGAGTGCCACACCCCTTTCCTACCATCCCCTGTGAGGAAGTCAGAGTTCTTGGAGTTTGAGAGAGTGAGGGCTGGTGGGGCACAGGCACATAAGCCGGTCAAATGGCCACGGACAACAAGAGGCTTTTTTCTCTCCATACGTCAAGCCTTCAAGCCTCACCCACCCAAGAAATAGGTCCTACTTTTTGATATACCACGGAGTGGCTTGACCTTGGCCAATCACTTACTCTCCCAGGACTCAGAATTTTTCAATAAAGGTATAAGATTTATAAGCTCAACCACAAATGTCCATAATCAGAATGTTGAGAAGAAAGCTATATGCTAAATCCTCTGTTTCTCTTTCTCTCCGGGGACCTTTCAAAAATCCATCCTCAGTAGTTACAGAGCAAAGTGCTGCATCTTCAGACTTCTACAATCCCTTAAAGTAAATGAAAGAAAGGGTTCTGATGACATACAAACCTTCATAGAAGTGTAGCTATTTTGGTTAAGGAAGGCATACTCTATGCCAAATGCTGTCAGTACACTATCTCATTTGGTTCTCAAAATAGCTGCCACAATACTGTAAATTTGAGTATTTTAGATATGAGGAACATCTCTAAAAGTAATAATAATAATAGCTAACATTTGTTGAGTATTTACTCAATTACTGCTATAATTTGAATGTATGTGTTCCTCCCAAATTCATGGGTTAGAACCTAAGACCCAATGCGATAGTATTAAGAGGCCGTTAGGAAGTGATTGAGTCATGAACACTTGGCTTTCATGAATGGGTCGGTGCTGTTATAAGAGAAGTTGAAGGGAGCACATGAGGCATCTCATGTGAGAATGCCTCAAGAAGGTGCCATCGATGGGACAGACCCTGACCAGACACCAAATCTACTTGTGCCTTGGTCTTGGACCTCGCAGCCTCTAGAGCTGTGCAAAATAAACTTCTACTGTTTATAAATTACTCATTTTGTGGTATTTTGTTATAGCAGCCTGAAAGGACTGAGACAATTACTAAGTGGTTGGATGCATTCAATCATTTAATCCTGACAACAGACCTAGAAGGTGAATTGGTTCTATTATTATCCCCATTTATAGATGAGAAAACTAAGCACAGAGAAGCTAAATAATTTGCTGAAATTCACACAGCTAGCAAGTCTTCCGAGTGGTCCAGATGCAGGGCCTATCCTCTTAACCACTAAGCTCCATGTGATCAGTGAGGGGAGGAGAAGGGCTGGCAGACTCAGCAAATACAAATACAAGACATCCAGTTAAATTTGCATTTCAGATAAACAATGGATAATTTTAAATACAAGTATCTCCACTGTAACATTTGGAAAACACTTAGGCTGACAAAATTGTCTGTTTATCCAAAATTCAAGTTTGTTGGACAGCCTATATTTGTTTTTACTTTCTTTTTTTTTTTTTTTTTTGAGACAGGGTCTCACTCCATCACCCAGGCTGGAGTGCAGTGGTGCGATCTCCTCTCACTGCAACCTCTGCCTCCCGGGTTCAAGTGAATTCTCCCACCTCAGCCTCCCCAGTAGCTACAGGCACGGGCCACCATTCCAGACAGCCTGTATGTAAACTGGCAACCCTGTAGGGAAGGAATGCCTGAGATTCATGCCTATGCCTACTTCCAGAGAGCCTTCTCACTCCTGCTGCCATATTTTAATACACATTTCTAAAGTCAAATTCATGTCACATTCTGGCCCTGGTGCTGTACTTGGTCAACCACTGAAATTAAAAGGGCTAGCAAGATAAAATGTAGGAATACTAAGGCACTATGACTTCTAGTGCTTCTTAAAAACTCTCAAATTCTGTACCTGACTTACAAGGCAAATTTGAGTGCAGACCTGAGGACACATTACAAAGGGTTAAAGGATGAGAATTGGCTCATTTATTTTTATATTCAGAAATGTTGTTTGTTCATAAATACTACAATAATAAATATTAGCAATGTAACAATGTTTTTTCTTTTCTTTTCCTTTCCTTTTTTTTTTTGGAGACAGGGTTTCACTCTGTTGCCCAGACTGGACTGGAGTGCAGTGGTGTGATCATAGCTTACTGTAGCCTTGAACTCTTGGGCTCAAGTGATAATCCCACATCAGCCTCCCAAGTAGCTGGGACTGCAGGTGCGTGCCACCAAGCCTGGCTATTTTTAAAAACAATTATTTGTAGAGACAGGATGCTGCCGTGTTGCCCAGGCTGATCTTGAACTCCTGGGCTCAAGCAATTGGTTCCACCTTAGCCTCCCAAAGTGCTGGGATTATAAGCATGAGCCACTGCGCTGGGCCAGCAGGGTTTTCTAAGTACTTAAAGATCCCAGTTAGGAATAGGACTGAGGGTAGGGTAAGGAGAAAATGCAGAATGGCAATAGATAATCATTAGCAAGGGGATTCTTAACCCCCTAATTCCCCTATAACAAATGGGCCACAGTCCCACCATGAGCCAGGAAGATGACATTTATGTTTCTGCTCATAGGACATGTTTGAATATTTACTCAAAACACACTTAGGTTCTAGGACCACTATGGTAAACTGTTGGAATTTTTTAGAAGTCCTCTGTCTTAGAACATTTTGCTGGCTTCCCTTTTTACATTAAGTGATGTCTGTCATTCAGATAAGTTTGTCTGTATTCCCATAAGTCTTGACGTCACAGAAGTGAATCAGCAGGAAACCATCATCTTTAACACATTTCCTATTCACTGACAATCATCCTGGATATGGAGCCCAGTGTACAACGACAAAAGCTTTCTCTCCCTTCTTAGGACAAAACATTTTATGGGAAGAAGAGAATCTTGGCAGAATCCCACTGTTCAAAATGAAGATAACAATGTACAGATTTGGTCCATTGCAGGAAAAGAAGCATTTCACCCAGAGGCCTGATGCTTTAACCCACAGTCAGACTTGCCAGTTGAGGAGAATCACATTTAGTGAGCCTTCCTCTGCAGGGGGATTCAAATCCTGGCTCCCCACTTAATAGCTCTGTGATCTTCTATAAGTTATTTAACCCTTCTGTTTTTTCATCTCTAAAATAAAAACAGTAATAGAAGCTACCTTGCAGCTTTGGAAGGAATTAATGATCTAGTCCATGTACGGTGCTTTAAGCACAGTGCCTGGCCTGTATAAACACTCCATGAATGTCACTACTGTTATTACGATTGGTCATTTGACTCCCACCGATGTGCCCTCTCACTGGCCCCTTTGTAGAAAAACACACTCTGCCCTTGGGTCAGGTCCCTTTAGATAATTTAACTGCATTCATTCTCAGGGTGACCAGGAGGGTTGGCAAGGGTAGCTGTCATATAACTGGGTTCATGGTATGTAAATATGTCTATAATTAGACTGCAGTGTTCTTAAGAAAGGAGTTCTCAAGTCATAGTTTGTGTATATCTTTTTAAAAAATCTGATTTGCACACATATTTAAATATTTAAGACCATATAGACTATTGAAAGAAACAGTATTTTTTAAAGAAAAGCTTATTTGTTCATGAGGCGGTTTATTAGTAAGTATTTAGGAAATAGATTTAGTATGAAAGTAGTCTTCATCTCCTTGTCCCTTAATTAAATATTTACACTTTTCCAAACTAGTTAAATGAGACAAAATTAGATTTTAAGACAAAAACAACTCATTGCCTTTAATATCACTATTTAAAATGCTAATTACATTGCAGATAAAAAGAATTAAAACTTTTGTAACTTAAAAATAAATGTAATTCCAGAGTCAATATCATATAAATAGGTGCCCATCTGGCCAACCTCAGGATTGCCAAATTTCTTCTCCCTCAATTGTTTCCTTGTTAACAAGAGTTTAAACAGCTCCCTCTTGTGGTCTAAAAAGCCATTGGCAATCCAGAGTTAGGTCAGCTTCTTATCTGTCGTTTTATTCGCTGCACATTTATTTACTACATTATATATTGTGTATTTGCTACAGTAGTGGAGGAGAAGAACAGTAACAGAGGACAGGGATGAATGTTGTTGCCTATGGGGTTAATATGGACACAGTCAGCTCTAATGTTTCATTCAAAGTGTCACTCTGGGATGGTGTTTATGCTGCTTGTAATTCAGGGACGGTATTTCTTAAAATGAAAGAATGAGCTTTGGTCAGAGCAGCTTATTAAGTGAATGTTTGCCTGCCTTGATTGGTTGAGCTGCAAGATGCTCAGAAATCCTGATACCCAATCTACCTATTTTCAGCTGAAAAGCTTCAGATCCGAAAAGGTGTAAATGAAAAGTCCCCTTCATTGACATCTCATTTACATGTTCAGGTAAACTTTGTCATAGTTCCTGAGACTCTGCTTTAATTTGCTCATTTTCTGAGCAGCCATTACATACATGACACTGTGCTAGATGCTGCAGATACAACAGCAAACAAAAAGACCCGGCCCCACAGTGTCCACAGTCTAGCGGGAAGACAAGCATTAGACAGTTACTCTAACAGTTGTGTTGGTAAATGCAATAAATGTTGGTGTTAGGTGTGGCAATCACTGCCAGTGAAAATAACAGGAAGATTTAATGTAGACAAGAACATTGGAGGTGGTCTCTCTGAGAAATGACAGAGCAGGAATTTGCCAGGTCAAGGGAGAGTGGGAAACTAAGTAGAAAAAAAATCACATATACCAACGTTGAGGACAGGGAAAAGCTTGACTCTTGGGAGGAACTGGAAGAACAAAATGGAGCTGCAGAGGTGCCCAGAGAGGGCGGGGGACGGTGTCAGGCACAAGCCAGTTCACACAGGGCTTCACAGACCACGTGCAGGCCGAGGGAACTATCCTAAATGCACTGGGAACTCATGACATGTTTCAAGTATGTGAATAACCTGGTATACTCTGCTTTTTTGTAACTGTCCCGCCAGCTGCATGTGTAGACAGGAGGAGAGGGAAACAGGAATGGAAGTGAGGACATGGATCAAAAGACAAAGCAGCCTTCAAGCAGGAAGTACTGCCAGTGGAAGGAGTGAGACTTTAGATAGATTTGAAGATGACATTGACAGGATTTGGTCATGAGATAAAAGAAGGGGTGAGGGAAAAGGAGGTTTAAAGATGAATTCCAACACAGCAAAGACCATGAACTATCTTTGACGACAGACAAAAGAATATGGATCAATCTCACAACTGATGTTTAATTAAGAAGCCAGGCAAGACCAGGAGTGGTGGCTCACATCTGTAATCCAAGCACTTTGGGAGGCAAGGCAGGCAGATCACTTGAGCTCAGGAGTTCAAGACCAGCCTGGGAAACATGGCAAAACCCCATCTCTACAAAAAACACAGAAGATGAGTCGGGCATGGTGGTGCACACCTGTAATCCCAGCTACTCAGGAGGCTGAGGCGGGAGGATCGCTTGAGCCCAGGAGGCTGATGCTGCCAGTTAGCAGCAAGTGCACTGCTGCACTACGGCCTGGGTGACAGAGTGAGACCTTGTCTCAAAAAAAAAAAAAAAAAATCATAGAGGAATGCATCCTGTAGTTTCCACTGCCTCCCTTCTGAGAAGCTGCCAGGTACCCAGTCAGGGGTCTCTTTTGTACCAGTCTGCCTTCCAAAATCACAGCAAGGAGAACAAACATGAAAAAATCAGGGCCTAAGGTTTGAGTAGTAAGAGACAACCAACCAATGAAGAAATTTATGGTTAGTACCTTGGTTGTTCAAGGAACTGCTTAAACTCTGAGCAGGAGAGAAAGGGAATGTCCATTTCTAAACATTCTATTCAAAGTAACATAACCTGAGCATTCTGGCCAACAGATTAAGGGAAGTAAAAAATCAGAATTCATATATTTTTTTCCATAGAGATGCTTAGTGTGAATATATGTGGAAAAAACCTATGCCACACAAAACCATAAAAAATATTATTTTGAATTTCCTGCTTATTTCATGCCCATTGTATCACAAAGTTTTCAGTCACTGGTATGAAATAAAAATAGATTTTTGTGGCCCCAAAGCAGAAAGCATGTTCTGGTTAGGAAAAGAAACACCAGCCTCTAAAATTGTCTGAGAGTTAGAATGAGATTGAATAAGGAGCCCACGCCTTCCAGCCGAGAAAAACCACATTTGAATGTGGGAGATCATCTGAGGACATTATTGGAGAATTTCCCATAGAAGCATCTGACACTAAGCAGAGAAGAAAACATAATTTCCATATGAAACAGGAAACAAAATATGAGGAAGAGAACCAAGAGTTAAGAGTGCACTTAGGTGGCTTAATTTGGTAATTCATTTCAAAGATAGACGAAAGGAAAGTGTTTAAACAGAATTGCTTTATTTGTTCTGACAGCTCCCAGCCTGAATCAGAAATCTTTACCATCTCAATCCCATAAAGGGGAAAAAATTCTCTTCTTTAGGGCAAGAAACAAATGTTTTCCCATTTGCTTTAGATGGGGTATTGAGTTGACCATTTCAGATTTTGGTACGTTTGTCTCGTTCTTCATAATTAGTCTTCAGAAAGAAAAGAAAAACAAGACTGAATCCTCAAAGAGAAGATAGAAAGATTCCACAAGTCCAAGAGGGACAAATAAAATCATGACCCCATTTTACTTATAGCATTTAACATCACAAGCTTGAATCTCTTGTGCAATTGCTGGTTTCTAAGCAGAATCCCAGAAGAGCAGATGTGAGATGGAGCGGACACAGTGATGAGCATCCCTTTCAGGAAGGCAGGCCTTCAGCTGCTGGGGGTGCTGGCAGCACTCTGGGAATCACTTTCTGTCTAAAAGAGCCAAATCACTCAAGGTCACCCCCTCTTTCTGGGGGCAGCCTGTGTCTGATGACTGGTCAAAGTGTGGTATCAAAGTCCAGCCCCTGCCACTTGAGAAAATTCAAAAAGGGCTTCAGTTTCAGCATTCCCCATAGGGTCAGCTGAGCCCTTTGCCAAGACATCATTACCACTCAACTTTTCCCTTGCACTCTCTTGCTCCCTTTCCTGCATACCCACAGGTGTAAATCCAAAGAATCCTCCTTGATAAACTTCCTGCCTACTGGCTTCCATCTCAGAGTCCACTTTCCAGGGAACATTACCTGAGACACTACCAAACTGGGGTACTTTGTTTGTTTTCCTAAATGTAGAGGTGAGGGCTGAGTGCAGTGATTCATGCCTGTAATCCCAGCACTTTGGGAGGCTGAGGTGGGTGGATCACTTGAGGTCAGAAATTCGAGACCAGCCTGGACAACATGGTGAAACCCCGTCTCTATCAAAACACGAAAATTAGCTGGACATGATGGTGAGCTCCTGTTAATTCCAGCTGCTAGGGAGGCTGAGGCAGGAGAATTGCTTGAACCCAGGAGGCGGAGGTTGCAGTGAGCCAACATCATGCCACTGTACTCCAGTGTGGACAACAGAGCAAGACTCCATCTCAAAATAAATAAATAAATAAATAAATAAATAAATAAATAAATAAATAAATAAATAAAATATAGAGGTGAGGGATGGGAGAGTCTTAGTTCTGACTTCTAATCATCGTTTATCTTTCTTTTCTTTAGGGAATTTGAAGGGGTGAAATTACAAAAGGTTCCAGTTAGGAACATTCAGAATCAATGTCAAGTGATTACAAACCAAGTCAATCCTCAGGCTATAAATTAATCTCTATAAAAATAATCTCTATAAAAAATCCTCAGGCTAAAAATATCTCTATAAAAAATTTTAAAAATTGAAGAATATGATGCTGCCAACCTTCCTCAAATTCTCTCTTTCTCTTGCTACTGGACACTGAATTCTTCTGGCTCTCCTGCACCCTCTATGACCATCCATTTCCTTGTGCCTTTTATTGTATTTATTAATGCATAGTGAATAGTTGAAATGTGTGCAGAAATCGGTGAAAACATTAACTGTGATATAGAGCTATTAAAATTTTTCCTTTTTCCGCATTTCTACAATGATGAAAATAAAAGAAGATGTAAGTAAAGCATTCACTTAATAAACAGCTATATAGTGAACACATTCTACATACCATAGATGATTTAGAGTTGGAAAAAGAAAAAAGGATAAGAGACATTCCTGCCTTTAAGCAGCTTAACATCTGGTGCAGAGTCTCAACCCTATCAAATCCAACATTTCTTTTTAAAACAAACACTTTGTAATGCCCCCATTACAATTTTGATATAAAATTCATAGGTATTATATAAAAATTTAAAAAAATAGAGCCCTAATTCTAGCATAAAACATAAACAAAAAGAAAGCAAATTTGCTCCTGTGACCTGTTTCTACTCCTAACACTCAGACACCAAATGGGTGTATTTCTTCCACACCAACAATCAATTCTCCAACTCTCCCCATAATTGCCTGATGGGTTCTTCTTGTCTGCTGCACAAACAAAACCACTTCACCGAAACCATGGGATTTCAGTAAAGAAAGAATTTAATGAACGCAAGGCAGATCATGTGGGAGAACTGGAGTTATGATTCAATCCGTCTCCCCGAGGCCCATAGGTTAGGGTGGGCAGGGAACTAGGGAATGAGTGCTGCTGATTGGTTAAGGATGCAGTGCAGGGTTGTGGAAAACAGTCCTTGTGTGCTGAGTCCACCTCTGGGTGGGGGACTACAGGACCAGTTGAGTCATGAGTCATGAGTCTGGGTAGGGTCAGTCTGAAAAACACCTCCAAAGACCAATCTGATGTTTATAGGAACAATTGAGGAAACTCACAAATCTCGTGACTTTGTAATACCCCCATTACAATTTTGATATAAAATTCATAGGGAATATAATTACTTAAAATTCTAAAAACCAGTATAATGCCTTAATACTGGTATAAAACATAAAAAGAAAGTATGTTTGCTACTATGATCTACAATATGACTCCTGAGTAGTAAGGATTATAGAAGGCATGCCCACATTTTAGCAGAATTCAAGCCCCTTCCATAATCTTAACCTTGTGGCTTTTCATTACGTCTTGTGGCTTTTCATTACTTTACAAAAGCAGTTTTAGTCCCTGAACAAGGAGAGGATCAGTTTTAGGGAGGGACTGTTATTATCCTTGCCTTAAAATTAAACTATAAATACATCCCATGGTTAGCTTAGTTTATACCCAGGAATGAGTGAAGACAGCCAGCCTGTGAGGCTAGAAGCAAGAAGGAATCAGCCATGTCAGATTTCACTCATTGTTATAATCTTTGCAAAGGTGATTTCATCCTGACATCAACTGGGTTTCTAACAATTCAAGTCAATGTCTACCCGAACTACCCAGACTAGGTGCGGATCTCACAGGTTAAGAACGGTATCCCACAAGACTGCCTTGACTTCAAATGCCAATCACAAGACTAGGCCATCCATACTTCTGACTGACTGGCTATAAAATTGGGGGATTCCCACAATGCTCTCCTCAGGTTCAATAATTTGCTAGAATGGCTCAGAAAACACTTTACTTACATTTACTAGTTTATTATAAACAATATTATAAAGAATACAGATGAACAGCCAGATGGAGGGATGCATAGGGCAAGGTATGGGGTGGGGTACATGGAGCTTCCGTCCCCTCTGGGGGCACCACCCTCCCAGCACCTTAATGTGTTCACCAACCAGGAAGCTCTCTGAACTCTGTGATTTAGGGTTTTTATGGAGGTTTCATTTCATAGGCATGATTGATCAAATCATTGGCCATTGGTGATCAGCTCAATATCCAGCTCTTCTCCTTTCCCCAGAGGGATATGTATGGGCCAAGGAGGGTTTGAAAGTTCTAACCCTGTAATCATGCCTTTGTCTTTCTGGCAACCAGCTCCCATCATGAAGCTAACGTATTAGTCCGTTCTCACACTACTATAAAGATTCTGCCTGAGACTGGGTAATTTATAAGAAAAAGAGGTTTAATTGACTCACAGTTCTGTATGGCTGGGAGGCCTCAGGAAACTTACAATCATGGCAGAAGGCAAAGAGGAAGCAAGATATGTCTTACATGGTGGCAGGAGAGAGACAGAGAGTGAAGGGGGAGCTGCCAAACACTTTTAAGCCATCAGATCTTGTGAGAACTCACTCACTATCATGAGAATAGCATGGGGGAACCCACCCCGTGATCCAATCACCTCCCACGAAGGCCCTCCCTCAACACAACATCTGGAGGTGACAATTCAAGATGAGATTTGGGTGGGGACACAGAGCCAAACCATATCAGCTACCGAAAGGTCACCAGCTAACAGTCATCTTATTAGCATACAAAATATACTCTTATCATTCCAGAGAGTCCAAGGCTCTTTGAAGCTCTTGTTTTAGAAACCAGGGACTAAGACCAAATATTATAACCAAAGATGCTCCTATCACTCCTATCACCAGGGAAATTACAAGGGGTTTAAGGAACTCTAGGTTAGGAATCAGGGATAAAAACCAAATATATATTTCTTATTATATAAAAATATCACAAAGTTGTAATTTTTTAACATGTAATTCAATATGTAGATGCTACAGAAATAATCAGATGCATAGTAGCAACCTCCAATCATTGTAACAACCAAAAGCTTCCAGCAAATTTCTAAAATGCTAACAGGAGCTGTTCTGCCTTCATTGAAAACCACTAGTCTAATAATTAAGAATAGGGAAGGTGAAGGCTCAGTTCCCAAGACAGCCACCCTCCAGCCAGACACCAGTCAAAAGTCTGGGCCTCTGGGACTTCTCACCCAATGGCTTCAAGTTGGAGTTCCCATGACCCCTTCTTTGGGTTCGAATAATTTTCTGGAGTGGCTCACAGAACTCAGGGAAACGTTTAATGTTTAGTGGTTTATTATAAAGGATATTGCGAAAGATACAGATAAAGAAACGCATGGGGCAAGGTATGGAGTATGCATGCACAGGGCTTCCGTGCCCTTCCTGGGCGTGTCACCCTCCAGGAACCTCCACATGTCCAGCTATCCAGAAGCTCCCTGAACCTAGTCCTCTTGGGTTTATATGGAAGCTTCGTGGCTTCAATATTACTTCCCTCAGGGTATGAGGCAGGACACTCTCTGGGGAGGTTTTTAAGACCCACAATCAGAAAGTTGGGGAAAGATTAGAGTTCTGCCTTGAGGCAGGTGAAGGATTCTGAAAGATTCAGAAAGATTCTGTCCCCTGAGGCCCGACACATCCAACATTATAACAAAAGACTGTAACAAGGGCTGAGGGAGTTATGAGCCAAGAACCATGGACAATATAGATCATAACCACAGACCACCACCTGATTTTCAATCATGGATACTGTACATCAAAAAATATGTACATAGTCATTACTAATGAGTCCACTCCATCATCTTGTATGAATGCCTCCCAGGCTGAGGGGACTCAGGTTTGCAGGGTTCCTTTTAATTTTGTCAGGTTCCAAAAGCAGAAGTGGTCTTGGCAAACCAATAGCTCCACCCTTTCAGGCATCTGGTATAATTGAGCTAAGAGACAATGTCATCTCTTGCTGTAAGCCTCTTTCAAAGTGTTAATATAATGTTTCATTTCCTTCCGTGTATACCCCATTTATTCATCCCTTTACCCTCTGCTATTATTTCTCCTTTCCTTCATTAATACTTAAACTTTTCTACCTTGGAAGGGACATTAGAATCACCACTCTGCTGGTCTAGATTGCAGGCAGCAATGCTAGTCTAGCAAGTAGCTCCTCCTCAGTCCACTCCCATTCAGATAGAGTAAGGTTACAAGGGAAGACTTAAAATCTCATTAGAAAGGTTTTTATTAACCCAGTAAAATGTGGCTTACTTTCCAATCAGACTCTGGTATAGCATCACGTGACAGCAGATCCTGAAGGAAATGAAAATATTTTACTCCCAAATATATTTCTTGGCCAGGTGCAGTGGCTCACACCTGTAATCCTAGCACTTTGGGAGGCTGAGGTGGGCGGATCACAAGGTCAGGAGTTCAAGACCAGCCTGGCCAACATGGTGAAACCCCATCTCTACAAAACACAAAAAAAATTATTTAGGCATGGTGGTGGGGACCTGTAATCCCAGCTACTTGGGAGGCTGAGACAGGAGAATCACTTGAACCCGGGAGGCAGAGCTTGCAGTAAGCCGAGATCACACCACTGCACTCCAGCATAGGCGACAGAGTGAGACTCTGTCTCAGAAAAAAAAATGTATATATATATATATATATATATATATATATATATATATATATTTCTTTGACATATTTTGAAATGTCTGCCACAGGGCCAATAGATTGAATTAGCCCTGCAAAATCATCTTTCGTGGGGGAAATTTGCATTTTAGAGAATCTCTATTAACGCAGACTGGACTTCTCTTTCCAAGCCTCTCTATGGATCTAGGAGAGATAAACTGAAAGCCTGACAACTTTAAGGTCTGAAAAGACATTTACCATTTATTTTCTCTGAAGGCTGCTTCACCTGAAGCCTTCTCTGAAGGCTGCTTCCTAGATGAACTTAGGAAGCTTCATCTAAATAACAAGAACCTTGGCCTCCACAACCCTCCTTATCTTAAGCATTTCTTTCTACTGACTTCACATCTTTAGACAAAGCTTTAACTCTTTCAAACAATCGTCAATCAGAAAATCTTTGAATCCACCTACGACCTGTAAACAATCTCTCTTTCAAGATATTCTGCCTCTTTAGGCTGAACCAATGTGCACCTTCCATGTATTGAGTTATGATTTTACCCGCAATTCCTGTCTCCCTAAAATGTACAAAACCAAACTGTAATTCAATTGCCTTGGGCAGACTTTCTCAGAACCTCTTGAGACTGTTCCCTGGGCCATGGTCACTCATATTGGCTCAGAATAAACCTGTTTATAATATTTTAAGAGTCTAGTTTTTCCATTAACAACTGTATTTGGATATAAGGCCTTTAAAGAGGTAATTACATTAAAATGGGTTGGTAAGTGTGGGCCACAATCCAATATTACTGTTATTCTTATAAGAAGAGGAGATTAAGGCCAGGCGTAGTGGCTCATGCCTGTAATCTCAGCACTTGGGGAGGCCAAGGTGGGTGGATCACTTGAGGTCAGAAGTTCAAGACCAGCCTGGCCAACATGGTGAAACCCCATCTCTACTAAAAATACAAAAATTTTCCAGGCAAGGTGGTGTGCATCTGTAATCCCAGCCACTTGGGAGGCTGAGGCAGGAGAATTGCTTAAACCCAGGAAGTGGAGGCTGCAGTGAGCCAAGGTTGTGCCACTGCACTCCAGCCTCGGCAACAGAGTGAGACTCTGTCCCACTAAAAATTAAAAAAAGAAGAAGAAGAAAAAGAGGAGATTAAGACACAGAGAACACAGACAGAAGGATGACCATGTGAGGACACAATGAGAATGTAACATCTGAAAGCCAAGGAGAAAGGCCTCAAAAGAAACCAAACCTGCTGACGACTTGTTCTTGGACTTCTAGCCTCTAAAATTGTGAGAAAATAAATTTCTGCTGCTTAAGCCACCCAGTCTGTGGTACTTTGTTATGGCAACCCTAGCCAAATAACATATACTCTGAGATGGGTGTTGGGAGGTCCCAGCAGCTCTGGATCTGCTAAATCAGGACTGTTAAATCTGAAAAGAAAAAAAAAAAGGACTGAGAAGGAGCACTTGAGGGGAAGGAGAGGAGTAGGAAGGTGAAGAGCCTTTGTGGTTAAGGAATTGCGTGGCCTGCTCATTTAATTTAGCATTGTGTTCAACATTTGAAAAAGCAAGGCACAATCCTCATAGAGTAGCCACTGTTAACAATAACGTCTGTGTCGAGGCAGTAAAAGAGAGCAATTGTGAGCAAAAGCCCAATTCCTAATTGCATTCTCAAAATGTAGTGTGTATAAAAATACACAAAAGAAATTATACAAGTAAATGTCTAATATTTGCATGGTTAGCAAAAGATTGCTCCCAACAAAATGAGAGTGGGGATGGGCAATGAGGTACACTTATTGTGTAAATTAATAAGAATCCATCTGTTAGGACTTTTTTTTTTTTTTTTTTGAGACAGTCTCGCTCTGTCACCCAGGCTGGAGTGCATTGGCACAATCTCGGATCACTGCAACCTCCACCTCCTGGGTGCAAGTGATTCTCCTGCCTCGTTCTCACAAGTAGCTGGGATTACAGGCATCTGCCACCACACCCAGCTATGTTTTTGTATTTTAAGTCGAGATAGGGTTTCACCATGTTGGCCAGGCTGGTTTTAAACTCCTGACCTCAGATGATCCACCCGCCTCGGCCTCCCAAAGTGCTGGGATTACAGGCATGTGTAAAGCCATTTTTAATTTCTGCATTCTGTTCTACCACATGTTCATTTTGATGCATTAGTCTTATGTTACTCCAGCCCATTAGATTGTCACTGCATTCTGCATATTTTCACCATCATTGCTGGTTCACAATAGATCTGAGTTTAACAATTAAGAGCTTTCTTTCTTGCAATCAGCTTTGGTGTAATTCCTCATTCCTTGTGACAGTACTATTGACATGATAGCCATATTTACCCTAGTATGTAAAAAACCCATACCAGCCACATGCCAAAGGGAGGAATTAAGAAGTGAGTGGAGTATCCCTTCTCACAGTTGAAATTGCATATGAGCAAGAAGGATGTGAGTACTATATGAGCTGAAATAAGAAAATATTTGCTCCATTGTTCTACTTTCTTACAGTAGCAATTAAATATTTATTAAGCTTTTATTATGTTCTGGTTTCTGCTAAACACTGCAGAAATACCAAAGAAATGATCACCTATCTGCAAAGATAAGACTAGTACATATGAAGTAATTATTTAGAGCAACTGAGTGCTAAACTTGAAGATGTTGATCATAGGTCTGCCACGACTGAGGCAATCAATCCTTAAGCACTAAGAGCCAGCCCATCCATTCACCAAGGAACATGTGAGAGAAGCATGGCCAGGTCTTTTCACGCTTATCTAACATTGAGATGGCACCTGCTCAAGTATATTACATCATCAGCAAGCACAGGGGCTTCAGTCCTTGCTCCAGTGCTATCTTGGTTTTCCTGAGGATATCCGTGTCAGCATTTTCCATGATTTTATTAATGAGTAATATTGCACATGGAGAGCAAGAAAGGTAGCTTTGAGACAGCATCCACAAGAAAGAATTCCAAACCCCGAGTAGAACGGCAAGAAGTAAATAGCTCCCCAGCCTGGTTTCTGGTTTCCATGGATGAAACCAAAATATGTTTAAAACCTAGACATTCAGGAAACAACTTTGCAGACAAGGAAGGAGGAAGAAAAAAGAAAAAAACAGCTAGCAAGAAAAGAAATGCAAGCAAGAGGCCCAAGGAGACTTCCTCCGAGTCAACAGATTTAATAAGATCTCTTGTATTTGTATGACTAGCCTTGCTAGCTTTTGCATACTGATAGGTCCTATCAGATTATAACTCAGGTTAAACACATTCCTATTATTCCTCTTACAATACAGGGCTTGGTCCCATGAAGAGTCCCCCTTAAGTATTTCTAAGAGTCCTAGGAGATGGCTCCTATGTGCACAAAACACGCCTCTCATGTTCTTCCATTTCACTTACTCTCATGGGCACTAGTTGCCTTACCAACAGTATTGGTGCTAGTCTCTGTCTCTCCATGAAATCTGCACTGTCTCCTGAGGTTCCCAAAGACAGAAACCCTGGAGGTTCTAAAGCCTGGTGCAGAACATTTGTATTAGTCCGTTTTCATGCTGCTCATAAAGACATACCAGAGACTGGGAAGAAAAAGAGGTTTAATTAGACTTACAGTTCCACATGGCTGGGGAGGCCTCAGAATCATGGCAGGAGGAGAAAGGCACTTCTTAACATCGTGGCAGCAAGAGAAAATGAGAGAAAGAAGCAAAAGCGGAAACCCCTGATAAACCCATCAGATCTCGTGAGACTTATTCGCTATCACAAGATAGCACGGGAGAGACCAGCCCCCATAATTCAATTACCTCCCCCTGGATCCCTCACAGAACATGCGGGAATTCTGGGAGATACAATTCAAGTTAAGATTTGAGTGGGGACACAACCAAACCATATCAATGTTCTTTTCCTTTCTCTGGGTCATACTTTTTCTATTAGGAATAAACACAGTGCTCCCATGTCCCTGGGTCTCACAGAGTCCCTCCTGCAGCCCCTCTTCTTACCTGGCTCAGAAAGGAGTTCATCCAAGTGGGCTGCAGAAACACTTAGGAGTATTAATAGCTGATGCTTATGTAGCACATATGTGCCATGTATATGCTAAGTAGACTACATAAATTAACTCAAAACACCCCTGAGAGGCATTGAGCTACTAACATCCCCATTTTGGAAATGAAATTTGGGTACAGGAGATTAAGCAACTTGTCTGAAGTTGCCACCAGCTGCTATGTGGTAGAACTGGGACATGACCCCAGGCCCTCTGGCAGTAGAATCTGTGCACTGAAACGCTACTGCTTAACAAATGTCAATTCATCCCTTGGCATTCCTATTTTTCCCTCAGACCCTCTCCCCTCCACCAACAACATGTGCACAGAAACGACTCTCTTCCAGTCAAATACCCAGTAAGAATAAATTTCTTGGTGTACTGATTCTAGCTGAGACCTTTACTAAACAGGCATCTTCCAAAGTTTATTTTTCCTAGCAAAAAAAATTTTTTTTTTGAGACAGAGTATCACTCTGTCATTCAGACTGCAGTGGTGCAGTCATAGCTCACTACAGCCTCAAACTCCTGGGCTCAAGCGATCCTCCCGCCTCAGTCTCCTGAGTAGCTGGGACTACAGACACACACCATTATGCCAGGCTAATTTTTAAAATTTTTGTAGAGATGGGGTTCTCGCTTTGTGGCCCAGGCTAATCTCAAACTCCTGGGCTATTCTTCCACTTCAGCCTTCCAAAGTGCTGGGATTACAGGTGTGAGGCACTGTGCCCAACCTCAGTGCAATTTAAAAACAATTCTCTTGAGCCCCAAACATCATGCATTCAGCCATTAACATCCGCTTATAACTTGACTTATATGTCAGATTTCCTAGCTCTTCTCTTAGCACTAGTTAGTTATCATAAAAGGGCAGAAAAGTCCAAAATAGGGGCCAACTATGCAGAATGTACAAACTGTGGCAGGACTCTACAGTGGGGACTGATGGGAGGCAGTGGGAAGCGGCAATAAGGCACAGAGGAGGGGAAAGGCAGACAGGTGACAAAACAAACATCCCAGTTTATTTTCTACATGTGGCCAAGGGACCAGTTGCTGTTATGATGCTATAGCCAAACCTGATTTTTTATTACCCCAAGTCCCTGGGCATTAAAAATAAACAAGTCTGGCTGGGCATGGTGGCTCACGCCTGTAATCCCAGCACTTTGGGAGGCTGACGGGGATGGATCATGAGATCAGGAGTTCAAGAAAAGCCTGGCCAAGATGGTGAAACCCCGTCTCTACTAAAAATACAAAAACTAGCCAGGTGTGGTGGCACATGCCTGTAATCTCAGCTACTCAGGAGGCAGGAGAATCACTTGAACCCAGGAGATGGAGGTAGAAGTGAGCCGACATCACACCACTGCACTCCAGGCTGGGCAACAGAGCAAGACTCTGTCTCAAAAAAAAAAAAAAAAAAAACACAGAAAAAAACAAAAAGAAAACAAGTCTACTTGGTTCCTACCTTCCCCAGCCATCAAAATGCATCTTTCTCTTCCTAAGACAATTCCAAGGAACGCTTAAGTTAGAGTTCATAATTTCACATGTAATAATTTGCAAGCAGCAGTCCAAATGGATCTCAGGTGCAGCTTCTATAAATGGTAAACTCTCAAGGCTTGCCAGCTGCAGGTGTGTCCTGTAAGCAAACCGGTTATAAGAGCAATTCGTTCTGTGAAAGATACTGCGCGATGACTTCTCTGAAAATATCCCATGGAATAAAAGGGGTTCTGTTTGTGCAGAAGCACAACTGACAATTGCATCCCAATAGAAACATTAAAAACAAACAATCTAATGGACATTTGAAAGAATCAGAACTCTCCTGAGAGCCTAGTAAATCCAGGTGCATACTCTCAGCTTGTGCTGTGGGGCCCAAGAAGAAAAACTGGGCAGTAACTCAGGTTGGCAGTTTTGCAGGGGGAGATGAGAGGCCTCTAGAGGGAGAGAAGCAGAGATGATGACCAGCAGAAGCATCCACATCTGTGCAGCAATCAAAACAGTTGGATGGGGTCGGGTGCAGTGGCTCACACCTGTAATCCCAGCACTTTGGGAGGCCAAGGCAGGTGGGTCACATGAGGCCAAGAGTTCGAGACCAGCCTGGCCAACATAGCGAAACCTCATCTCTACTAAAAATACAAAAATTAGCTGGATGTGGTGGTGTGCACCTGTAATCACAGCTACTCAAGCTAACCAAGGCTGTGGCATGAGATTTGCTTGAACCCAGGAGACGGAGGTTGTGGTGAGCCAAGATCACGCCACTGTACTCCAGCCTGGGCAGCAGAGAAAGACTCTGTCTCAAAAAACAAAACAAAGGTGGATGGGAGTGAGCTGATGGCTACGTGGCAGGGTCCCCTTTCTGCCAGGAGCAGGTCATCATTTCATGACCTCTGCTTCCCTTTGATAGTTTTATTCCTCTCCCTACAAACACTTCTACCTCTGCCTGGCATTCCAGGCATTCCTGCCTGCTGTCCAACAGGCCAGGATCCGCAGACACTAAATCAACCTCATGACACCATTGCATTAACAGTGGGGCTCCTGAGATGAAATGAGGAGACAATGTTGTTTTCTCACTTGGCCATTCGAATCCATCTTTTGGGCTGGTTCTTCCTCTACTGTTCAGATAAAAACTAAGATGAATCACTTAGCTCTTAGTCACTGTCAAATAACAAAAAGTCTTCCGATGATGTCATCATTAAAAATTAGTCTCGGTTCAGTGATGAATATGTCCAGTCTAGTGCAATAAGTAAAACTGTAATCTTCATTAAAAGTTAAAGTCTTCCCTCTCAGCTAAGGTCTGCACAGGAACAGGAGGCTTGTGGCTTCTCTCTCTCATTTCTGGCCTTCCACTCCCACAACTGGACACCCCCTCACTTAGGTGCTTCTGGTTCCCAGGGACTGAATTCTCCAAAAATCCTCTTCAGCCATTCTAATTGATGCCAGACACTTTTATGCCTTTCATGTGGGCAATGAATTAAGAGTTGCAAAACTGGCTTTGACCCCCTAAATCATTGATTCATTCAACCAATTCATTAAAATATCCATTTGACTTTTTGATTTAATAATTATTTATTAAATATCTGCTGTATGCTGAACACTGTGCTAGATACTGCAAGAAGACACACTCCCTACCATCCAAAAAATTTCCCTGTAGTTCAGATGAGAAAAGATGTACACAATTAGACCACAAGACCATGTATGCTAAGGGCCTTGTTGTCCGTGAGGACAGTAAGTGCTACAATAAATCAGCGAAGGAAACTGCCCTTTCCATTGGGGAGTATTGGAGATGACTTTACGAAGAAGTGGGATTTGGTTTTTTGTTTTTGTTTTGTTTTGTTTTTTTGAGATGGTGTCTTGCTCTGTCACCCAGGCTGGAGTGCAGTGGCTCGATCTCGGCTCGCTGCAACCTCCACCTCCAGGATTCAAGTGATGCTCCTGCCTCAGCCTCCTGAGTAGCTGAGATTACAGGCACCCGCCACCACACCCTGCTAATTTTTGTATTTATAGTAGAGACAGGGTTTCGCCCTATTGGCCGGACTGGTCTCGAACTCCTGACCTCAGGTAATCCGCCCACCTTGGCCTCCCAAAATGCTGAGATTACAGAGGTGAGCAACTGCACCCGGCCTGGAAGGGGGATTTGAACTTGAATCTTAAAGGCTGTGTAATAATAGCTCAATCGATGTTTTACATGCATATTATTACTTAATCTCTGTAACAACTTTATGAGGTAGGGACTATTATTATCTGCAGTTACACATAAGAAAATTGAAGCATAGCAATATCAAGTAACACGCCCAAGTTCACATAAGTGGGAGGTGAAGTATCAGAGATTCAAGTCTAGAGCATGGGAGAATTTTCCAGAATGAGAGGTAGAGGTGGAAAGTGTTATAAACTGGAAAACAAAGGGAAGAAAGATACAAAATGGTCATGGTGTGGATTAACATGACATCCCATTTTGACATAAGGGAATAATCTCAGGAGGCCTGTTACTGCTTAACAGGCAGATGGAAGATGACTTGAAGAATTAGATGAGGCAGTTTGGACTCAGTCATCTCCAAAGTGAGCAGCCATTAAGCACCTTTCACAAAAGAGCACATCCAGTAGGTGCTGCTTCCATCTATGTTCTCCCACTTCCCCTAGTGCTAACTGCATGAAATTTTCTTCAGCTCAACCCTGTCTTCATTTCACCTCTTTATTTCTTTATTTTGGAAGCAGGATTTGATCTAACAACTCCTATATGAGGAGAGTCTCTATCTGCACAGTTCATTTTTGTTACTTTCCTTTTCCGTAATTAGATAAATAAAAATGCCCATCAAAAGTCTCCAGTAGGGGGCTGGGCACAGTGGCTCACACCTGTAATCCCAGCACTTTTGGGAGGCTGAGGCAGGTGGATCACTTGAGCCCAGGAGTTTGAGACTAGCCTGGCCAACATGGTGAAACCCAGTCTCTACTAAAAATACAAAAATTAGCCAGGCATGGTGGTGTGTCCCTGTAATCCCAGCTACTCAGGAGGCTGAGGCAGGAGAATCGCTTGAAGCCGGGAGGCAGAGGTCGCAGTGAGCCGAGATTGATGGCACCACCGCACTCCAGCCTGAGCGACAGAGCAAAGACTCTGTCTCAAAAAAAAAAAAAAAAAGGTTTCCCAATAGGGAAGGCTGCTTGAGTTTAATCTTTTAGTGTGTTTGGGGGCTGGGTGCAAAAAGTGAGACGTCTGAGAGAGGAGGAAGAGTAGCCAATATTAAGGGATAAAATAGCTGGATGACCTGGAGGGATAGAGCTGTCAAAATGGAAGAAAAATTCATTTATGTGCTCAGGAAAGACAGTAGCTTATGATTTTCAGTGGGCCTTAGGAACTGTAATCTAAACTGCCATTTAGCCACAAGGATGCCTTTTTATTTATTTTTTAAATTGCAAATTGCCTATTGCTATGATTCATAGAGTGATGTCCTTATACAATGATGAAAACTAATGGTTTTTCTTCAAAAATCAACTTCAAAGTGCTGCTCCTTCATCTCTCCTGTGTCACCATTTCCCCTCCAAGCCAATGTCTACCCATATATGCTTTTCATCCCGAAAAATAGTCAAATGCATCACTAAGATTTGGGTATCTAATAATTCCCCCCAACTCCGATGTATTTGACTAGACTCCCTGACTACTACTTTTTTTTTTTCTAAATTAGAAAGAAACGAACAAAACAACAAACAACAAGTGTGAGACAGCTGGAGAGAGAATGAGTTAAAACTTCAAAACTCGAGTGTGCAGGCTGTTCCTGGGTCTGGCCCTGTCATTGTAATTCCTGTAGGGGTTCCTATAACTTCTCCTGTGAGTAAAGTACAAGAGGGAATTCTGAAAGCATTAGACACAAACTACTTGATATTTTTCCATGTGGTTTTCACCACTTCTTAGAATAGGTATGGTCTCAAATTTTGGATTCTTTCTTCAGGCTTTTTTTTTTTAAATAACTTTTGAAACCCTGTTTGTGATTTCTAAAAAGAGCAGCAAATGTTTCAAGGAAAAAAGGAAAAAAAAAAAAGGTACATGAGAGGCCAATCTAGGAGATTTACAGTGAGGAGCTGATGAGTTCTGTAAAAGTTGTGTTCAGCTCTGTTTCACCTGTGAGTTCCTGTACTTTTTTCTTTTTGTAATCACAATTATTATCCTGTAGCCACATGATAGGAAATGCTGTTATAGATGAAACAAAGACAGGCAGCATCTGGGCCACAGATTAGATAATAATGAAATTCTTTGTGGTTGACAAGAGAAAAATAATGGGTAATACAAAACTGTAATCATATTTTTCATGCATTAGCTACCTATAAATTGCATACCCTGAATATAAGCTGTTGCTGTGAAACTTTAAATGTTTAAGATTAAAAAAATGAACAAATCAGAGCTTATCATTTCAAGTCTCAATTTTGTGTTTTTCCCACAGAAATATACTCTAGGTTTCCAGAAAGTTCTCTCGAATTTTTGTTAATGGACGTCCAAAAGGTACCTGAGTTGCCTGCCCTGGCTTCTTTTTTTTCTTTTGAGACGGAGTTTCATTCTTTTTGCCATGGCTGGAGTGCAGTGGCGCTATCTCAGTTCACTGCAATCTCCTTCTCTGGGGTTCAAGGGATCCTTCTGCCTCAGCCTCCCCAGTAGCTGGGATCACAGGCGGGCACCACTAACGCCCGGCTAATCTTTGTATTTTTTGGTTGAGACAGGGGTTTCACCATGTTGGCCAGGCTGTTCTCGAACTCCTGACCTGAAGTGATCCTCCCGCCTCGGCATTCCAAAGAGCTGGGATTGTAGGCACGAGCCATCGTGCCCGGCCACCCTGGCTTCATCTTTCACGTTTATAAATAGGCGTGGCCGATTGAAGACTGCACAGATACAACTGTGTACCAGAAAGTATGACTGCAGAATTTTCTTTTCCAGAAACTGCAGTGGAGCCCTCCTGTGGCTAATTTAATCCAGCCAGTTTTCCCTGATCTAAGCAGAAAAACGTATAAAGAAGCAGCTGTAGCTGCCGCCGTCGCCTGAGGGGAGCGAGAAGAGGCAGCGGCGACCAGGGAGAAAACGCGGAGTCCCCACCGGAGAGCAGCCGCCGCCAGACAGCCGCCCGCCCACCCGTTCGCCCGTCCCCCTGCCGCATTCACAATGCAGCCTGCTTTTGCAAAGTGGTACGATCGAAGGGACTGTGTCTTCACTGAATCTTGTGTTGAAGACAATAAGGATGTTAATGTAAATTTTGAAAAATCCAAACTTACATTCAGTTGTCTTGGAGGAAGTGATAATTTTAAGCATTTAAATGAAATTGGTCTTTTTTACTCTATTGATCCAAATGATTCCAAGCATAAAAGAACGGACAGATCAATTTTATGTTGTTTACGAAAAGGAGAATCTGGCCAGTCATGGCCAAGGTTAACAAAAGAAAGGGCAAAGCTTAACTGGCTTAGTATGGACTTCAATCATTGGAAAGACTGGGAAGATGGTTCAGATGAAGACAGGTCTAATTTTGATCGTTTCTCCGAGATGATGAACAACATGGGTGGGGATGAGGATGTAGATTTACCAGAAGTAGATGAAGCAGGTGATGATTCACAAGACAGTGATGATGAAAAAATGCCAGATCTGGAGTAAGAAATATTTCATCACCTGGATTTTGAGAAAGAAAATAACTTCTCTGCAAGATTTCATAATTGAGAGAATTCCTCAGTTGATAGCCCTAAAGGCAGATGCTGTATTTGCCTACTTTAACCCATTTTTCAACCTGTTTGTTTTTTAAAAGGCTTCACTAAGGGTTTATATGTACCATTGTATGGAGCAATTTGAAGTCAGCTAAGGCAATAACCTTATGCATGAACATTTCCCAGACTTTCATGAAGCTGTTGAGGTCCTAGGCAATTGATGCAGCAGTTGTGATAAATAAAAACATCTCACCTAAGTCTCCTTTTCTTCATAACATAGATACTGACGTGATAGGAAGCTCTGGGCTTAGGTAAAGAGAACAAAATTTTAGTTTATAGGGGAGAGAATGACATTACTCCCCAGAGCACAGAGAGTGCACACCCCCCTGTGATATTATTCATAATATCCAGGGAGGGAGAGGATGACATTAGTCTCCATATCGCAGGGTGAGTACATTCCCCTTGTGATATTGTTCGAAATATCCAGGGAGGGGGAGAGGATAACATTACTCCCTATATAGGAGGGGTGTGCACCCCCCTGTGATATTGTTTATAATATCCAGGAAGGGAGAGGGTGACATTACTCTCAATATCACAGGGGATGTACCCCATCCCGTGATATTGTTCATAATATTCAGGGAGGGGGAAGATGATATTACTCCCAATATCGTAAACACCCTGTGTGTACGCCTTCTGTAATATTTTTCATAATATCCAGTGGGAGGAGAGGATGATATAACTCCCAGTGTTGAAGGGGGTGTACAACCCCCTATGATATTGCTGGTAATATCCAGAGAGGGAGAGGTTGATATTTCTGCCAATATCGCAGGGGATGTACACTCTGCTGTGATATTGTTCGTAATATCAAGAGAAGGAGAGGATGATGTTACTCCCAATGTCGCAGGGAGTGTACAACCCCTGTGATACTGTTCGAAATATCCAGGGTGGGGAGAGAATGATATTACTCCCAATATCATAAAAACCCTGTGTGTACACCCCCTGCTGTATTGTTCGTAATATCCAGGGGAAGAGAGGATGATATTACTCTCAATATTGCAGAGGGTGTACAGCCCCTTGTGATACTATTTGTAAAGAGCAGGGGAGGGTAAGATGATGCTACTCCCAATATTGCAGGGTATGTACATTCCCCTGTGATATGGTTCCTAATTTCCAGGGGGAGATAGGATGATATTACTCCCAATATCTCAGGAGGTGTACATACCCCTGTGATAGTCTTCGTAATATTAACTAGAACAGAGGATGATATAACTGCCAATATCACAGAGAATGTACACCTTCCTGTGATATTTTTCATAATATCGAGCGGGGGGAGAGGATAAAATTATTCCCAATATCACAGGGGGTGTACACAACACTGTGATATTGTTTGTAATATCCATGGGGGGAAAGGATGATATTACTCTTAATATCGCAGGTGGTGTACATTCTCCTATAATATTGTTCATGATATTCAGGGTGGAAAAGGATATTACTCCCAATATCGCAGGGGATGTACACCCCCTTATGATATTGTTTGTAATATTCAGGGTGGGAGAGGATATTACTCCCAATATCGCAGGCGGGGTACATTCCCCTATGATATTGCTCATAATATCCACGGGAGGAGACGATGATATTTCTCCCAATGTAGCAGAGGGTGTACACGCCCCTGTGATATGATATACAATATCCAGGGGGGAAGTGAATGATATTACTTTCAATACGCAGGGGGTGTACACGCCCCTGTGATATTGTTCGTAATATACAGGGGGAAAGAGGATGATATTACTCCCAATATCCCAGGGAGTGTACACCCTCCTGTGATATTGTTCGTAATATCCAGGGGAGAGAGGATGATATTACTACAAACATCATAAGGGGTGTACATCCCCTTGTGATATTTTTGAAATATCCAGGGGGGAAAGAATTATGTTGCTCCCAATATCACAGGGGTTGTACACCCCCCTGTGATATTTTTCATAATATCCAAAAGGGGAGAGGATGCTATTACACCCCATATCGCAGGAGGTGTACACCCCTCTGGGATATTGTTCATAATATCCAAGGGGGAAGAGTATAATATTACACTTAATATCACAGAGGGTGTACACCCCTATGTGATATTGTTCGTAATATCTAGGAGGAAGAGGGTGATATTACTCCCAATATCGAGTGGGGTGTGCACCCCCCTGTGATATTGTTCATAATACTCAGGGTGGGAAAGGATGATGTTACTCCCAATATCGCAGGGGTGTACACCTTCTGTGATATTGTTCATATTTTTCAGGAAGGGAACGGATAATATTACTCCCAATATCACCCGGGATGAACACTCCCCTCTGATATTGTTCGCGTTATTCAAGGGAAGAGAGGATGATACTACTCCCAATATCGCTAGGGGTGTACACCCCCCGTGACATTGTTCATAATATCCAGGGGAGAAGAGGATGATATTACTCCCAATATCCCAGGGAGTGTACAACTTTGTCATATTGTTCGCAATATCCGGGGTGGGGAGAGGATGACATTACTCAACAATATCGCAGGGGGTGTACACCTTCTTGTGATATCGTTCGTAATATCCAGAAGGGGAGAAAATAATATTACTCCCAATATCGCAAAGGGTGTACAGCCCCCTGTGACATTGCTCATAATATCCAGAGAGGGAGAGGACAATATTATTCCGAATATCACAGGGGTGTACATCCCCCTGTAACATTATTTGTAATATCCATGGGGAGAGATGATGATATTGCTCCCAATATCCCAGGGGGTGTACAGGCCCCTGTGATATTGTTCGTAATATCCAGGGGAGGAAAGGATGATATTAATCCCAATATCGGAAACATGCTGTGTGAACACCCCCCAGTGATATTGTTTGTAATATCCACAAGGGGTTAGGATGATATTACTCTCAATATCGCAAGGGTTGTTCACTTCCAATTGATACTACTTCCAATATTGCAGGGGGTGTACACCCCCCTGTGATGTTGTTTGTAGTAATAAAATGGGGAGAGGAAGATATTACACCCACTATCAAGGTGGTGTACACACCCTTCTGATATTGTTGGGAATATCCGGGAGGGAGGATGATATTACTACTAATATCGCAAGGGGTGTACATCCCCCTGTGAAGTTGTTCGTAATATCCAGGAAGGGAGAGGATGATATTACTCACAATATCGCAGGGGGTGTACAACCTCCTGTTATATTGTTCGTAATAAGCAGGGAGAGAGAGGAAGATACTAATCCCAATATCGCAGAAGGTGTACACCCTACCCCATGATATTCTTTGTAATTTTCAGGGAAGGAGAGGATGATATTACTCCCAATATCGCAGTGGGTGTACACCCCCCTGTGATATTGTTCATAATATCCTGAAGGGGGAGAGGATGATATTATTACCAATATCACAAACGGTGTACACCCTCCTGTGATATTGTTCCTAATATCCACGGGGAAGACGATGATATTACTCCCAATATCATAGGGGGTGTACACCCCCCTGTGATATACGTCATAATGTCCAGAATGGTAGAGGATGATATTACTCTCAGTATCGCAGGGGGCGTACACCCCCCTGTGATATGGTTCATAATATCCAAGGGGAGTGAGGATGATATTATTCCAACTATTGCAGGGGGTGTATACCCCCTTTTATATTGTTCCAAATATCCAGTGAGGAGAGGATGATATTACTCCGAACATCGCAGGGAATGTACACCTTCCGGGATGCTGTTCGCAATTTCCATAAGGGGAGAGGATAATATTACTCCCAATATCATAGAAGGTGTACTCCACCCGGTGAAATTGTTCGTAATATCCAGGGGAAAAGAGGATGATATTACCCCCAATATCCCAGGGAGTGTACACCCCCCTGTGATATTGTTGGTAACATCCGGGGAGGGAGAAAATGATGTTGCTCCCCATATCCCAGGGGTTGTACACCCCCCTACGATATTGTCCATAATATCCAGGGGGGAAGGGATGATGTTACTCTTCACATCATAGGGAGCGTTCACCCCCCTGTGATATTGTCCGTAATAACCAGGGGGCGAGAGGACGATATTACTCTTCATGTCACAGGAAATCTACATGCCACTGCGATATTGTTCATAATATCCAAGGGGGGAGAGGATGATTTTACTCCCCATATCAAAGGGGGTATACACACCCCTGTGATATTGTTCATAATATCCACAGGGAAAGGAGATGATGTTCCTTTTCATATCGAGGGGGGTGTACACCCGCTACGATATTGTTTGTAATGTCCGGATGGGGGGGAGATATTACTCCCAGTATCGTAAACATTCTGTGTGTACATCCTCTGTGATACTGTTTGTAATATCCAGGGTGGCAGAGCATATTACTCCCAATATGGCAGGATGTGTAAACCCTCCTGTTATACTGTTCCTAATATCCAGAGGAGGAGAAAATGATATTACTTCCCATATCGCAGGGAGTGTACACTCTCCTGTGATATTGTTCATAATTTTCAGGGGGTGGAAGGATGATATTATTTTCAATATCCCAGGGGGCCCAAACCTCCGTGATATTGTTTATAATATCCACTGGGGGGGAAATGATATTACTCCCAATATCTCAGGGGTTGTACACCCCCTGTAATATTGTTTATAATATCCAGGGAGGGAGAAGATAATATTGCTCACAATATTACAGGGGGTGTACACCATTCTGCAATATAGTTCATAATATTCAGGAGAGGAGAGGATGATATTACTCCCAATATCTCAGGGTGTGTACACTCCCCTGTGATATTGTTTGTAGTATCCGGGGAGGGGGAGAGCATGATATTACTCCAAATATCACAGGGGGTGTACACACCCCTTGTGATATTGTTCCTAATATCCAGGGGGTGAAAAGGATGATATTACTCCCAATATCACAGCAGGTGTACACCCACCTGTGATATTGTTGCTAATATCTAGAGAGGGGAGAGAGGATGATATTACTCCCAATATCGCAGGGGGATGTAAACCCTTCTGTGATATTGTGTGTAATATCCTGGTGGAAAGAAAATGATATTACCCCCAATATCGCAGGGTGTGTACACCCACCTGTGATATTGTTCATAATTTCCGGGGGGAGAGGATGATATTACTCCCTATATTGCAGGGGAGTGTCCCCCTCTGCGATATCAAGAGTAATATCCTCTTTTGGCCTGGATATTAGGAGCAATATCACTCTGTAAGTGTACATCCCCTGCGATATTGAAAGTAATATTATCCTCTCCCGCTTTGGCTATTAGGAACAATATCACAGGCTGTGTGTACACAACCTACGATATTGGGAGTAATATCATCCTCTCCCCCCCTCGATATTAGGAACAATATCACCAAAAAGGGTGTACACCGCCTGTGACATTAACAGTAATATCATTCTCTCCCCCCAGGACATTAAAAAAAATCACAGAAGAGTGTAAACCCCCTGCAATATTGGGAGTAATATCATCCTGTTACCCCCTGGATATTACGAAGAATATCACAGGGGGGTGTGCACTTCCTGCGATATTGTTCGTATATCATCCTCTCCCACCTTGGCTATTATAAACAATATCACAAAAGGTGTGTACACCCCCTGTGATATTGGGAGTAATATCATTCTTCCCCCCCCTGTATATTATGAACACTATCACAAAGGGGCATACACCATCTGCGATATTGAAAGTAATATCATCCTCTCCCCCTCTGGATAATACAAACAATATCACAGTGGGGTGTTCCCCCCCTGTGATATTGGATATTGACAGTAATATCATCCTCTCCTCCTCCCGGGTATTATGAACAATATCACATGGGAGTGCACACCCTCTGTGATATTGGAAGTAATATCATCCTCTCCCCACTTGACATTACGAACAATATCAGAGTTGGGTGTACACCCTCTGCGATATTGGGAGTAGTATCATCCTCTCCCACCCTGGATATTATGAACAATATCACAGGAGAATGTACACCCCCTGCGATATTGGGAGTAATATTATTCTCTTTCCCCTAGATATTACGAATAATATCACTGGGTGTGTACACCTGCTGCGATATTGGGAGTAATATTATCCTCCCCCTCGGGTATTACGAACAATGTCAAAGGTGAATGTACACCCCATGCGATATGGGGAGTAGTATCATCCTCTTCCCTTTTGCATGTTACAAGCAATATCACAGGGAAGTAATATCATCTTCTCTCCGTCTGTGTATTTCAAACAATATCACAGGGAGGTGTACACTTTCTGCAATATTGGGAGTAATATCATCCTCTCCCCACCTGGATATTACGAACAATATCACAGAGGTGTGTACACCTCTTTCAATATTGGGAGTAATATCATCCTTCCCCTGCCGCTGGATATTAGGAATAATGTCACAGGGGTGTGTACACCACCTGCGATATTGGGAGTAATATCATCCTCTTTCCTCCTGGATATTACAAACAATATCACAGGGGGTCCACATCCCCTGCGATACAGGGAATAATATCATCCTCTACCCCCTTGGATATTATGAACAACATCACAGGAGGGTGTACAGGCCTTGCGATATTGGAGGTAATATCATCCTCTCCCCACCTAGATATTACGAATACTATCACAGAAGGGTGTACACCCCCTGTGATATTGGGAGTAATATCATCTTCTCCCCCACTGGATATTAGCAATAATATCACAGGGGGGTGTACAGCCCCTGCGATATTGGAAGTAATATCATTGTCTCCTCCCCCCGCCCCGGATATTACGAACAATATAACAAAGGGGGTGTACACTTTCTGCGATATTGAGGGTAATATCATACTCTCCACCCCTGGATATTACAAAGAATATCACAGGGGGGTGTACACCCCCTGTGATTTTGGGAGTAATATCATTCTCTCCCACCCCTGAAAATTATGAACAATATCCCAGGGGAGTGTACCCTCCCTGCTATCTGGGGAGTAATATCCTCTCCTCCCCTGAATATTGCGAACAATATCACAGGGGGTTGTATCCCCCTATGATATTTGGAGTAATATCACCCTCTCCTCTCCTGGATATTACGAACAACATCAAAAGAGAGTGTATAAATCTTGCGATATTAGGAGGAATATCATCCTCTGCCACCCTGGATATTACAAACAATGTCACAGAAAATGTACACGAAGGGTGTTTACGATATTGGGAATAACATCATCTCCCCCCTGGATATTATTAACAATATCGCAGTGGGGTATACACCCCCTCCGATATGGGGAGTAATATCATCATCTCCCCCCCAAATATTACGAACAATATTGCAGGGGTGTGTACATCCCCTGCGATATGTGGAGTAATATCATTTTCTCTCCCCCTGAGTATTATGAACAATATGCAGGGGGATGTACACTACTGGCAATATGGGGAGTAACATCATCTCCTCCCCCCGTGGATATTACAAACAATTTCGCAGGGGTGTGTACACCCACTGCGATATGGGGAGTAACATCATCCTCTCTCCTCCTGGATATTACGAACAATATCGCAGGGGGTTGTATGTTCCTTGTGATATAAAGAGTAACATCATCCTCTCCACCCTTGGTTATTACGGACAACATCGCAGGAGGGTGTATGTTCCTTGTGATATAAAGAGTAACATCATCCTCTCCACCCCTGGTTATTACGGACAATATCGCAGGAGGGTGTATGTTCCTTGTGATATAAAGAGTAACATCATCCTCTCCACCCCTGGTTATTACGGACAATATCGCAGGGGGGTGTATATTCCTTGTGAAATAAAGAGTAACATCATCCTCTCCACCCCTGGTTATTACGGACAATATCGCAGGGGGGTGTATATTCCTTGTGAAATAAAGAGTAACATCATCCTCTCCACCCCTGGTTATTACGGACAGTATCGCAGTGGGGTGTACATTCCCTGCAATATGGAAAATAACACCATCCTCTCCCTCCCTGGATATTATGGACAATATCGCAGGTTGTTTATGGGGAGGAACATCATCCTCTCTTCCCCTGGATATTACGGACAATATCACAGGAAGTTGTACACCCCCTGCGATATGGGGAGTAATATCAGCCCCTCCCCCTCTGAATGTTACCGACAATGTTACAGGGGGGTGTGCACATTCTGTGATATGGGGATTAATATCATCCTCCCCTGCCCCGGATGTTGCAGACAATATCACAGGGGACAATATTCCCCTGCGATATGGGGAGCAATATCATCCCCTCCCCCTCTGGATGTTATGGACTATTTTACAGGGGGGTGAACACGCCTTGCAATATGGGAAGTAATGTCATCCCCTCCCCTTCTGGATGTTACGGGCAATATTACAGGGGGGTGTACACATTCTGCGATATGGGGATTAATATCCTTCCCCACCCCGGATGTTGCGGACAATATCACAAGGGGGTGTACACCACCTGCGATATGGGGAGAAATATCATCCTCTCCCTCCCTGGATGATACGAACAGTATCACAGCAGGCTGTACACACTCTGCGACATGGAGAATAATATCATCCTCTTTAGCCTTGAATGTTATGGACAATATTACAGGGGGGTGTACACACAATGCGATATGGGAAATAATATCATCCTCTCCAACCTGGATATTATGGACAATATCACAGAGGGGTGTACACCACCTGCGATATTGGGAGTAATATCATCCTGTCTTCTTCTGGATATTACGAATGATATCACAGAGGGGTGTACAGCCCCCTGCGATATAGGGAGTAATATCATTTTCTCCTTCCTAAATATTACAAACAATATCAGAGGGGGGTGTACAGCCTCTGCAATATTGGGAGTAATATCATTCTCTCCCCACCCCACCCCCGGATATTACGAACAATGTCACATAGAAGTATACAAACCCTGTGACATTGGGAGTAATATCATCTTCTTTCCCCCTGAATATTACAAACTATATGATGGGGGGGCGTACAGCCCCTGTGATGTTGCGTGTAATATCATCCTCTTCCCCCCGGTTATTAGGAACAATATCATAGGAAGGTGTACACCCCCTGCGATATTGGCAGTGATATCATCTTCTGCCCCCTGGACATTATGAACAATATCACGGGGAGGTGTACACCTCCTGCAATATTGGGAATAATATCATATTCTCCCCTTTTGTATATTACAAACAGTACCACAGGGATGTGTACAACCCCAGCTATATTAGAATTAATATCAACCTCTCCCCTCCTTGATATTATGAACAATATCACAGGAAGGTGTACACCCCCTGCGATATTGGCAGTAATATCATGCTCTTCCCGCTTGGATATTATGAACAATATCACAGTGGGGTGACATTATTCATAGTATCTAAGGGAGACATTATTCTTAATATCTCATTAGGTATACACCCTTTCATATTATTTGGAATATCTAAGGAAGGCATTACTCCTAATATCACAGTAGGTGTACATCGTTTGATATTATTCATAATATTTAAGGAAAATATTCCTTTTAATATCGCTGAGGCTGTACACCCTGTGATATTATTCGTGATACCTAAGAGAGATATCACTCTTAATATCACAGCAGGTGTACACTCTGTGATATTATTTGTAATAGCTAAAGGAGATAGTACTCCTAACATCAGAGTAGGTGTCCCCCCGTGATTTTATTTGTAATATCTAAGGGAGATATTACTACTAATATCACAGTGGGTTTATACCCTGTATATACACCCTTTGATATTATTTGTAATATCTACGGGAGATATTATTCCTAATATCATAGTGGTTATACACCCTGTGACAATAGTCATAATAGCTAAGGGAGATATCACCCCTAATATCACAGTAGGTGTACACCCTGTGATATTAATAAGTTAGAAGTAATATCTAAGGGAGATATTACTAAATTAGAAGTAATATCTTCTAGTAATATCTAAGGGAGATATTACTTCTAATTTCACAGTGGGTATACACCTTCTGATATTATTCATAATATCTCAGGGAGCTATTACTCCTAATGTCATGGTGGGTGTACACCCTATGATATTATTTGTAATATCTAAGAAAGATATTACTTCTCATATCACAGTGGGTGTACACCCTGTGATATATTATTCATAATATCTAAGAAAGATCTTAATGCTAATATAGCAGTGGCTCTATACCCTGTGATATTATTCCTAATATCTAAGAGAGATATTACTCCTAATATCACATTGGATGTACACCCTGTGTTATTATTCATAATATCTAAGGGTAATATTACTCATCATATCACAGTGGGGGTACACATTTTGACATTATTTATAATATATAAGGGAGATATTACTCCTAATATCACATTGGATGTACACCCTGTGTTATTATTCATAATATCTAAGGGTAATATTACTCCTCATATCACAGTGGGGGTACACTCTTTGACATTATTCATAATATATAACGGAGATATTACTCCTAATATCACAGTTGGTGTACACCTGTGGTACTGTTCGTTTTATATATAAGGGAGATATTACTCCTAATATCACAGAGGGTGTACACCCTGTGGTATTGTTCATAATATCTAGGGGAGATATTACTCCTAATATCACAGGGGGTGTACATATATTATTCATATTATTCATATATTATTATTATATTATACTATTCTTATATTTAAGGGATATATTATTCATATATTGAAGGGATATATTACTCTTAATATCAATATTAAGTGGCTGTACACCCTGTGATATTATTCATAATATCACAGTGGCTGTACACCCTGAGATATTACTCCTACTATCACATTGTGTGTACACTCTGTGTGTACACCCACAGACACATGGCTTACAGTGGCTCCCAGGAGAGTTTGCAGCCATGGGGAGTCCAATTCTAGGACACTGAACTTTTTCTTTTTTATTTTTATTTTATTTTTTATTATTATTATACTTCAAGTTTTAGGGTACATGTGCACAATGTGCAGGTTAGTTACATATGTATACATGTGCCATGCTGGTGTGCTGCACCCATTAACTCATCATTTAGCATTAGGTATATCTCCTAATGCTATCCCTCCCCCCTCCCCCCACCCCACAACAGTCCCCAGAGTGTGATGTTCCCCTTCCTCTGTCCATGTGTTCTCATTGTTCAATTCCCATCTATGAGTGAGAATATGCGGTGTTTGGTTTTTTGTCCTTGTGATAGTTTACTGAGAATGATGATTTCCAATTTCATCCATGTCCCTACAAAGAACATGAACTCATCATTTTTTATGGCTGCATAGTATTCCACAGTGTATATGTGCCACATTTTCTTAATCCAGTCTATCATTGTTAGACATTTGGGTTGGTTCCAAGTCTTTGCTATTGTGAATAGTGCTGCAATAAACATACGTGTGCATGTGTCTTTATAGCAGCATGATTTATAGTTCTTTGGGTATATACCCAGTAATGGGATGGCTGGGTCAAATGGTATTTCTAGTTCTAGATCACTGAGGAATCACCACACTGACTTCTACAATGGTTGAACTAGTTTACAGTCCCACCAACACTGTAAGTGTTCCAATTTCTCCACATCCTCTCCAGCACCTGTTGTTTCCTGACTTTTTAATGATTGCCATTCTAACTGGTGTGAGATGGTATCTCACTGTGGTTTTGATTTGCATTTCTCTGATGGCCAGTGATGATGAGCATTTTTTCATGTGTCTTTTGGCTGCATAAATGTCTTCTTTTGAGAAGTGTCTGTTCATATCCTTTGCCCACTTTTTGATGGGGTTGTTTTTTTTTCTTGTAAATTTGTTTGAGTTCATTGTAGATTCTGGATATTAGCCCCTTGTCAGATGAGTAGGTTGCAAAAATTTTCTCCCATTTTGTAGGTTGCCTGTTCACTCTGATGGTAGTTTATTTTGCTGTGCAGAAGCTCTTTAGTTTAATTAGATCCCATTTGTCAATTTTGGCTTTTGTTGCCATTGCTTTTGGTGTTTTAGACATGAAGTCCTTGCCCATGCCTATGTCCTGAATGGTAATGCCTAGGTTTTCTTCTAGGGTTTTTATGGTTTTAGGTCTAATGTTTAAGTCTTTAATCCGTCTTGAATTAATTTTTGTATAAGGTGTAAGGAAGGGATCCAGTTTCAGCTTTCTACATATGGCTGGCCAGTTTTCCCAGCACCATTTATTAAATAGGGAATCCTTTCCCCATTGCTTGTTTTTCTCAGGTTTGTCAAAGATCAGATAGTTGTAGATATGCGGCGTTATTTCTGAGGGCTCTGTTCTGTTCCATTGATCTATATCTCTGTTATCCACCATGATCAAGTGGGCTTCATCCCTGGGATGCAAGGCTGGTTCAATATACGCAAATCAATAAATGTAATCCAGCATATAAATAGAACCAAAGACAAAAACCACATGATTATCTCAATAGACGCAGAAAAGGCCTTTGACAAAATTCAACAACTTTTCATGCTAAAAACTCTCAATAAATTAGGTATTGATGGGACGTATCTCAAAATAATAAAAGCTATCTATGACAAACCCACAGCCAATATCATACTGAATGGGCAAAAACTGGAAGCATTCCCTTTGAAAACTGGCACAAGACAGGGATGCCCTCTCTCACCACTCCTATTCAACATAGTGTTGGAAGTTCTGGCCAGGGCAATTAGGCAGGAGAAGGAAATAAAGGGTATTCAATTAGGAAAAGAGGAAGTCAAATTGTCCCTGTTTGCAGATGACATGATTGTATATCTAGAAAACCCCATTGTCTCAGCCCAAAATCTCCTTAAGCTGATAAGCAACTTCAGCAAAGTCTCAGGATACAAAATCAATGTACAAGAATCACAAGCATTCTTATACACCAATAACAGACAAACAGAGAGACAAATCATGAGTGAACTCCCATTCACAATCGCTTCAAAGAGAATAAAATACTTAGAAATCCAACTTACAAGGGACGTGAAGGACCTCTTCAAGGAGAACTACAAACCACTGCTCAATGAAATAAAAGAGGATACAAACAAATGGAAGAACATTCCATGCTCATGGGTAGGAAGAATCAATATCGTGAAAATGGCTGTACTGCCCAAGGTAATTTACAAATTCAATGCCATCCCCATCAAGCTACCAATGACTTTCTTCACAGAATTGGAAAAAACTACTTTAAAGTTCATATGGAACCAAAAAAGAGCCCACATCGCCAAGTCAATCCTAAGCCAAAAGAACAAAGCTGGAGGCATCATGCTACCTGACTTCAAACTATACTACAAGGCTACAGTAACCAAAACAGCATGGTACTGGTACCAAGACACTGAACTTTTTCATCTTTTTTTTTTTCTATGAGAAGGAGTCTCGCTTTTTGTCACCCAGGCTGTAATGCAGTGGCTTGATCTCGGCTCACTGCAACCTCTACCTCCTGTGTTCAAGTGATTCTCCTGCCTCAGCCTCCCGGTTAGCTGGGATTACAGGCGCCTGCCACCATGCCTGGCTAATTTTTTGGATTTTTAGTAGACATGAGGTTTCATTATGATGGCCAGGCTGGTCTCGAACTCCTTACCTCAAGTGATCCACCCTCCTTGACCTCCCAAAGTGCAGGGATTACAGGCATGAGCCACTGTACCCGGCCTGACACTGAACTTTTTCAAAACCTACTTCTGCATATATGTCATCTCTGGCTCACCAGCACCCTTCTAAGAACAGAATCTGTCCAGAGACACGGCCACTGGCCAAGAAGGAGGGGACAGAAGCACTGACAGGCTCAGCCAGGATCAGGAAGCCAAAGAACTCACTCTTCTGTCAGTGTTTCTTCCTTCCAGTCACATGGAGAAAACAGATTTGCTTTACAACCACTTGCTGACCACACATTGTCTGCGATCATGAATCTTGGAAATAAATCATTTCCAATGCTCTTTTTACAAAAATTTTTAAAATTCAATATTAAAACATTAAACATTAGCTGGTCATAATGGTGCGTACCTGTAGTCCCAACTACATGGGAGGCTGAGGCAGGAGGATCACTTAAGCCCAGGAGATGGAGGCTGCAGTGTGTTGTGATCGGGCCACTGTACTGCAGCCTATGCAATAGAGTGAGACCCTGACTCAAAAGTAAATAAAATTTTAAAAATAAAATAACACCCAATTCCTTTGTTCTTGTACATTCTTTCAAGGCCTAACCCATGACCTTCTAAGGCATCCTGCATCAATATCCAGTTCACAATGATCTCTTCTTACGAATTTCAACATTGCCACTGTCCCAACAGCTTTCATAGTTGACTATGCCAACTCAGCTCTAAACTCTAGGCTCATGGTGCACAGGGGCTAGGTTTTCTTTCAACTTAGTCTCAACATCTCCTAAAAATTACTCAGTACTTAAAAATTAGCCTGATCACATAATTAGGAGACTAAATGTATGAAAGAAAATACCCCAAACATAAGCTATCTCAAAGTCCATGCTGCGGATTATCTAAACCCTTGTCCCCCAATTAAAGAATCCAACTTCATTTCTTTTTCTTCTTTTGTGTGTGTGTGTGTGTGTGTGGGCGGGGTGGGGGGGTGGGGGATGGAGTCTCACTGTGTCGCCCAGGCTAGAATGCTGTGGCTCAATATCAGCTCACTGTAACCTCCACCTCAGGTTCAAGCAATTGTCCCACCTCAATTGTCCCACCTCAGCCTCTCCGAGTAGCTGGGACCACAGGTGAGTACCACCTGGCCTGGCTAATTTTTGTATTTTTAGTAGAGACAGGGTTTCACCATAATCTCCAGGCTTGTCTCAAACTCCTGACCTCAAGTGATCTGCACGCCTCAACCTCCCAAAGTGCTGAGATCACAGGCGTGAGCCACTGTGCCTGGCCCCAACTTCATTTTCTTTATATGGCCATACACCTGATAATGGTGGGACAGCAGATTGAAATCAAAATGTTATGAATCATTTAACTTCCACTTCTCTTAACAGGTGGCTAACCCGTCCATTGTATCCACTCTTGGAGTTTATGCCTTGGTTAGAAAAATGCGCCTTTCTTAACAATGAAGGCAGAGTGTGAGTAGCACAAGAGTCCACTCTTCTTGTACTTGGCTCATGGGACATACTTGGCTGGGTTCATTCATTTATTCATTCACACAACATTTACCTAGCTTCTCCAAATGCCAAGCAAGTTAACAGGTGCTGGTATAACAGATCCTCACAATAGAGCTATGACAGCAGGGCTGCAGATTTGCTCCACACAGTGAGACAGGAAACATTAGCTGCTGGCTTTACTGACAAGGGATAGAGCTTCAGGTTAAAAAAGAAGGAAAAAAAAAAAGTCATGGCCGGGAATTCTAGCATCTTGGGAGGCCAAGGAGAGAGGATAGCTTGATATCAGGAGTTCGAGGCCAGCCTGGGCAAGATAGTGAGACCCTGTCTCTACAAAAAAAAAATTTAATTAGCCAGGCGTGGTTTTGTGGACCTGTAGTCCCAGCTACTTGGGAAGCTGAGGTGAGAGGATCACCTGAGCCCACGAGGTCCAGGCTGCAGTGAGTTATGATGGTGCCATTGCACTCCAGCCTGAGCAACAGAGTGAGACCCTGTCAAAAAAAAAAAAAAAATGAGAGAGAGATAGAAAGGGAAGGAAAAAAGGGAGGGACGGAGGGAGGGCAGGAGGAAGAAAGGAAAAACGGAAGGAAGGAAGGATGGTAGGAAGGAAGGAAAAATAAGTCACTAGTCTTGCACCAGAACGCTCCTAAGTGTAAGGCTAATCTTGTCCATCTGATCTGAGATCATGGTCAGAAGGACAAATAAACTCTAAATTTTGTCTAAGCCACAAAGATCAGCCGGCTAGGTCAGCTCCTCCCCCTTGCTCTTCCGAGGCCCCTGCCCTGGGGACGGACAAATGGACTCTGGGGACCTCTCCATGGGCTGGATCCAATCTCCGATGCTGCTGCAGCGCCGAGATCTCGACGCATTCACACCACGGTGCAAGAGACGGGCAGTCACTTCAGGAAAGGGAGAGAGGAGAGGACAGGTACAAGGGCAATGGTAGGCGGAGCTTTCCCAAGAAAGGTGCCCAACCAAGGAGAACGCGTTAAAAGCTGCGTTCTTTCTCCAGGAGGGGATGGGAGAAAGCAAAGACCCCTGATCGTGACCGCAGGAATGCAGCCAGGCCCTTAGAAACGGGCGGCGGGCCCCTCCCCTGCGACCTGGACGTGGATCCAGGAGCCCGGCAAGCTGGGCCCCACGGCCACCCGCATTTCCAACAGCTACATGGCGGACCCCTCCTCCGTTCTCCGCACGGGGGCGCCCAGCTCGTCCACCCACCCTAGGGGGCGCGTGGGAACCGCGGAGTCCGCTGCGCACACTTCGAAGTCCCTTCTGGGCGGCTCGGAAGCCTCATCTCGATCGCGGGCCTTCCAGGAGACGCCCCGGTCCACAGCAGGATAGGATGGGGGCTCCCCAAGGGAGGAACTACAGGAAGATGGAACGGGATTTCTTCACCTGCCCTTCATCGCCTAAGTGGGCCTAGATTCTAACCGGCTGTCCCTTCTGTGTCATCGCCACAGTCCCCATGTGCACCCCGTTTGTCCTCCCCACTTCCTGCCCTGTGTCGCCTCCCCCAACTCCACCTCCCTTCGTGACCGCTGGCTGGGTTGACCCTGCCGGGCCGGCGCTCTGGACCTTCAGGCCAGCCTGTCCTCTCTCCTTGTGTGCACCCCAACACCTCCCAGCTCGGCCTGGAGCATCTATTAGGTTGGTGCAAAAGGAATTGCGGTTTTGCGATTTTTTTTTAATGGCAAAAACCGCAATAACTTTTATACCGCCCATAAATAGGCAGGGGGAACCTGCAAGAAAAGCCTTAGAGAAGGGGCCAAGATCCAACCGCCTAGCCCGCCAGGAGTATGGGTTTGCCAGAGGCATATGATATATTGAAGCAGGAAAGGAAGAAAAAAGATTAAGGAGACAAATTTTTCGTGATAAGGGGTTTCGTGATAAACTCAGAAACAGCAACTACCAGTTATGGGGCACTTAAACTGACACTACCTCATTAATCCTCACAACGGTCCTCTGCAGGTGGCGGTTTTGTTTGTTTGTTTTTTACCATCTTACATGCCAGAGCTGCAGTTGGTATGCAACAAAGGCAGCATTTGAACCCTGGCCTGCTCATGCCAGCGCGGGGACATCTAACTGCACCCGCCACAAAGGACAATGGAGGAATACTGTGTCATTTGTAATATGAGCAAGTGGGGAAAAGACAAAACAAATGCCTGTATTATGCCCAAGTTGTAAATTTATAAACATGAATGAAATAAACATAAAAGAGGCTAACCGTTTTTTGTTTTTGTTTTTTTGTTTTTTTGTTTTTTGTTTTGAGACAGAGTCTTTCTCTGTCACCCAGGCTGGAGTGCAGTGGCACAATCTCAACTCACTGCAACCTCCGCCTTCCCAGGTTCTAGGCGATTCTCCTGCCTTGGCCTCGGAGTAGCTGTAATTACAGGCATGCACCACCTCGCCCGGCTAATTTTGTATTTTTAGTAGAGATGGAGTTTCACCACCTTGGCCAGGGTGGTCTTCAACTCCTGACCTCAGGTGATCCATCCATCTCGGCCTCCCAAAGTGCTGGGATTACAGGCGTGAGCCACCACGCCCAGCCATGGCTAACCATTTTCTAAAAACAAAGAGAGTAAATGGGAATTGTCCACAAAATAAAGTTTTAAATTTATGTAGTTCCTTGTTGATTTGTAAAGGGCGCCATTTGTTTGAAATCATTCTTACACGCTTGGATTAAAACACTGGTTCCTTCACACACTTGTATTTTGAAGGGAGTATAAAATGTGATTCCCTCACACCTGTGATCCCAGCACTTTGGGAGGTCGAGGCGGATGGATCACCTTAAATCAGGAGTTTGAGACCAGCCTGGCCAACATGGTGAAACTCCATCTCTGCAAAAAATACAAAAATTAGCCGGGTATGATGGTGGGCGCCTGTAGTCCCAGCTACTCAGGAGGCTGAGGCAGGAGAATCACTTGAACCTGGGAGGCAGAGGTTGCACTGAGCTAAGATCGCATCACTGCACTCCACCCTGAGTGACAGAGCAAGACTCTGTCTCCAAAAAAAAAAAAAAAAAAAAAGTTGTGATTCCATATGATACAAATGTTAGAAAAAAGACAGATGTTAGTTTGCTGACTCTGGCAGTGAGTTACCTGTCGGGAGGTAGTTCCCACCACAGCCCAGGATGCCAATGTTTTCTCTAGTTACATGTTAAGGTCTCCAAATCCAGGGCATCCCTCCTCAAACCATGCTAGTCCTACACTGCTAAATGTTTACTGAATGAATGGATGGATGAAGGCAACATTTTTAGATGTGGGAATCCCATAGTGCTTGGTTCTCTAGATGAATCTCTGGCGGCCTCTTTTGAACTTTGTTCTTGAACCTCCTCAGTTGCCCACATACTACGTCCTAGAGTGAGGCATTTCTCCAGAGCTCACTTATTACCTTGAAAGTGCCATACTCCTACATGTAGGCCTTGACATGGTAGCTCTTTTGCCTGAACTCTCCCTGCTTCTCTCCCCACATTCCCCACCTGTCATTTACCTCTATCCACTCTTTTGCTCAGGCCAAAAACCTAGGAATTTTCCCGTTACCACTTTGCTCCACTGCTATAACCAGAGGTGATAGTGACTCGTACCAAGGATACATGCCCACCAGCAAGTTCTGGTTACCAGAAAAAAATTAAGAGTACATTTGGTCACCGTGTAACAGAAATGCAAATCTAGCGATGGCAGCAAGAGTATCTTGACAGGAGATATAAATTTGGGAGCTTTGACCTGTGATCTGCCATTATCAAAACTGTCCAACCCTGTTTCCGAGCAGGGGTTTGACTAGCTCCCTAAAAAAAAATCTCAGGACATTCTCTCCTAGTATCCCAGAGAGCTCTGGGAGCCTTTGAGATCAGTTTCAAACTCATGACCATGAGTCATTAGTGATGTACCAGGGAATAAAGAACTATCAAACTTCTCTGGGTTTTCAGATCTGTGTAATACCAACATCACTTTGGGGTATGTTTTTGTTTTTGTTTTCTTTTTGTGTGTGTGTGTTTTTTGAGACAGAGTCTCACTCTGTCACCCAGGCTGGAGTGCAGTGGTGCAGTCTCGGCTCACTGCAACCTCTGCCTCCCGGGCTCAAGCAATTCTTGTGCCTCAGCCTCCCAGGTAGCTGGAATTACAGGCACGCACCACCACGCCCAGCTAATTTTTGTATTTTTAGGAGAGACAGAGTTTCACCATGTTGGCCAGGCTGGTCTCAAACTCCTAGCCTCAAGCGACCTACCCGCCTCAGCCTCCCAAAGTGTTGGGATTACAGGCGTGAGCCACTGCACCTGGCCTGGGGCATGTTTCTTAAAATATTCCTCTGTAAAATGGAGCTAGCTGCTTTGCAGAATTGTGAGACTAACGTTTAGATATGTACAAACATACATGTATGTGTGTAGGGTAGGTGGAAAGACAGAAGATAAAGGCGCCCTCTACTATTACATTTCTCTTCTCTCCCCCTTCAAGGCCAAAATGACTCAGAACACAAACTCAAATATCAGGCCAATTAAATATCTGCTTAAAGTTTTGCCCTGAAGGACTATTTTGATTTCGCATTCTTTAAAGTGTGTTTTACTTATTTAAAAAATATGGCCGGGCACGGTGGCTCACGCCTGTAATGCCAGCACTTTGAGAGGCCAAGGCAGGCTGATCACCTGAGGTGAGGAGTTCGAGACCAGCCTGGCCAACATAGTGAAACCCTGTCTCTACTAAAAATACAAAAATTAGCCAGGAGTGGTGGCAGGTGCCTGTAATCCCCGCCACTTGGGAGGCTAATGCAGGAGAATTTCTTGAACCCAGGAAGCAGAGGTTGCAGTGAGCCAAGATCATGCCACTGTACTCCAGCCTGGGTGACAGAGTGAGACTCTGTCTCAAAAAAAAAAAAAAGAAGAAGAAGAAGAAAATAAAAGTTATTTCTAGTTCTACTGAAACCTCAAACTATTTACTCCTGGGAGCATTTCAGATCAGTTGCAAACTAATGACAATGAGTCATCAGTGATGTACTAGGGATTGAAGAGCTATCAAACTTCTCTGGGTTTTGAGATCTGTGTAATACCAACATCACTTTGGGGTGCGTTTTTGTTTCCTTTTTGGCTTTTTGTGGGTGTTTTGTTTTGTTTTGTTTAAGGCAGAGTCTCACTCTGTCACCCAGGCTGGAGTGCAGTGGTGCAATCTCGGCTCACTGCAACCTCAAACATACATGTGTGTAACCTCAATTTATGTTCATGACAGTGGGGATTTGTTTAAATGTCTACATTCTTTCTAATAAACTGTTGGAAGACTTCTTGGCTGTCCTTTTAAGTGTCTGGCTTACTGTAATTTTTATGTATTTACCATTTACTGGAATGGAGTTTTTAGTTTTATTTGAGGAAGAATTTGGGATTATTCCTGTTTGAAAAAAGAGGCTTGCTGTAATGTCACAGGAAACCTTTTTAAAGTGGATCTGTAATAGAATATTGTAGATGCACTTTGTAGCAGTTGGAAAAGAAAGTGTTGTGATTTGATAAAAATAAAACTAAATGTGTTGTCCTCCTCTAAAAACAAATAAAAAAGAAGCAGCTGTTCTGCAGCTGTAGCCATGACAATGTGCTTTCCTTCTAAGAGTCCTGGGAATAAGCAGCCCTATGACAAACATGTATTTCCTCCAAAAGAAAATAATGCCTAAAGAGCAAAGGAGCAGAGTTTACCTCTTTATTTTGCAGACAGCATCTGAAACTATTGATAAAGCCATTTTCATCAATTTCATGGTGTAGTTTACCAAAGAAAAAGATCTGAAATTTAGAAGTTATGTCAGCAGTGGGAAAACAGATGTACCTAAAAAAAGCAAAACCACCTATTTCCATGACTCTAATTTCCCAAATGTAAAATAAGAAAACAGTCTCTCATTTATCCAGAAATAATTTATCTGGCAGGCCTCTATTTATCTAAGACACAGCTCAAAAGCAGAAAGTAAGAACAGAAAAAAAATACTGTTCTAATTTTGCCTTATTTGATGATTGCTCCTTGTTAAAAACCAGGGGCAATCATCAAATTCTATCTTGTCTGACAAGGAGCTATTTTGGTCTGTTTGCGTTTGTATAACAGAATACCTGAGACCAGGTAATTTATAAAGAAAAGAGGTTAATTTAGTTCATGGTTCTGCAGGCTGGGAAGTTCAAGCGCAGAGCCCTGGCATCTGGTGCTGCATCATAACATGGTGAAGAAGGTCAAAGGAAGAACAAAATGTGTGAAGAGGCCAAACTCAAAGGCTGCCTCTTAACTTTATAATAACCCACTTTGGTGGGAAAATTCCCGTGGGAACTGATCCAGCCTTTAGAGAGTGAGAACTCACTCACTACTGCAAGAACAACACCAAGCCATTCATGAGGGATCCGCCTCCATAACCCAAATCACTCCAAGGCTGCACCTCCCAACGCCATCACACTGGGGTTCAAATTTCAACATGAGTTTTTGTGGAGACAAATTCAAACCATAGCAGAAGCATTCAAGGACCTGCTCATACATTTACAGCAGAACTGCAAAGACTCACTTCTCACCTAATTTTCCACACATCTCTCAATCTTGACTCACTTTCTAATGACATTTTCTTATCTCTCTTGGCTCAAAGATTCCATGGACCACCCTGATAATGTCCTGGTTCATTGCTGCCCGTGGAATCCCCTTCCCATACACTGTCTTTATGTACAATTACTACCCTCTCTCTCACCGTCATGTAGCAGGTAGAAAAGTGCATGAATAATTTTGAAATCTTACCTCCTTCCCAGAAAAAAAAGCTCCTGATAAATCTGTTTGGAGCAGACTACCATTGATTCTAGGTAGGGTGGTATACAGTGGCTAAATGATTTTGGAATTTATAGAGACCAACACAATGCCTCCCACATAAGTGACCCCCAATGAATATTTGCTAAATGATGGCCGGGCGGGTAGATGGATGGATAAAAATGTGCTGATTGGTGTTATGCAAGTATTTTATTCTTAATTTTTAATTAATATATTAAATCATTAATGTTCATTGCAACATATATATGGCTTCTACAGTTAAATTTAAAAGAGGACAGCTTGCTGCCTTCCTTACCTGATAATCTTATGTGGATTCTTATATTGAAAAGGACAACGCTAGCTATTATTAATATAATAAATGAATACCAACATTAATTTATAGTGGGTTAATATAATAAAAGTTTATTTCTTGCTCATAAAGAAGTCCAATCAAATTCAGCTGTTGTGAATTGTCAGGTGGCCTGCCTGTGTGTGGTGGTAGAGGCTCAGGTTCCTTCTAACTTTGGCTCTGTTATCCCAAGAGCCTCAAAGCCCTCTTTATCTAGCTGGCAGAGGAGGGAGAGAAAGTGAAGTCACCCTTGCTTCTTGAGAAAACCTGGCCTGGAGGTGACACGCATCTCTCCTACTTACTTGCCATCAGCAACAGTTCATCATGTGGCCGCATCAGGATGCAAGGTAGGCTGGGAAATAAAGTCCCTGGCTAGACAATCGCCTCCTACCTACCACAAATTCATGCTAAGGAAAGCTGAGCACAAAATAGCCATCTCACTGTTTAACCTCAAAAGAAATACTAAACAAAACAATTAGCAAAGATTGCGTTTCATGACAATGCTATTTTGAAAAGAGCACTCTCCAATACTGCTTCTAACTGATAAAAACACATTTTCATTCCATTTTCTTTTCTTCTTTTCCAACATCTTTATTTTACAGTTTGAGAAACTGTTTCAGAACAATTGAGTGATTGCTCAAGATTTCTGAGCAGACAAATGCAAGGATGGGACTAGAACCTGGGTTTGCCAATCTTTCGTCCAATGCATTTTGTAAAACCTGACCTTCAGGTTATAACTCTGAAGGGGCTGAAGACAAGTAGAATGGAGATAAATCAGATAAGCCCTGACTTTTTTATCCTACCATGTGTAGGTTATTCCCAAGCAGCAGTGCCCTTAACTCATGCCAATGGGAAAATAACATATGCTCTTTTTATTTTGTCTCTGTTTATTTATTTATTTTAAAACGTTTTTATTTTACTCTCCTTCCCCACCCCCACCTTATTGAGATATAATTGACAAATAAAAATTCTATATAGTTAAGGTGTACAACTTGATGTTTTAATATACATATATTTTTGTGAAATTATCACCATAATCAAGCTAATTAACATAGCATCACCTCACACAGTACCTTTGTGTGTGTATGTGGTTAGAACATGTAAGATCTGCCCTCCTAGCAAATTTTAAATATGCAATACAATATTCTTAACTGTAGTCACAATGTGGTACATTGTTTTGTTCAATTTCAGACTGCCTTGTTTACAAAGCAATTTGGGAATATGGATTATGACACTAAGTTTATTCCTGTCTGTGAAGCCAGCAGTTCCTCTAAGAATTTAAACTAAGGTAATATTCCAAAATATTTTTTAAAACCTTATGTACAAAAATGTTGACCACAGGGTTATACATAGCAATAAAAAGTTATGACACACAGTAAAAACTTATAACTACGAGAACAGTTACTTTATCAAACATTTGTCCAATGGCATATTTATGTAGCCATTAAAATATTGATGAAGCATTTTTACAATGTTTATTTGTTATTAAGCTTACTTTTTAAGGCCTATTACCAAATTTTATGTGCAGCATTATTTCATTTAACAAACTATAATAAGATACATGTAGAAAAATACTGAATATACCAAATATTGTCTGAGGCTACATCTAGGTGGCATAATATAATTAATTTTCTTTTTATTTTTAGATAGTATTCAAATTTTCTAAAATTATTACTACTTTTTATAGAGACAGGGTCTTGCTATGTTGCCCAGACTGGTCTCAAACTCCTGGATTTAAGTGATCCTCCCACCTCAGCCTCCCAAAGTGCTGGGATTACAGGAATAACCCACTGCACCCAGCCCTAAAATTAAGTATAACTTTATATTCAGAAATTAAACACATAACTTGGAAGGTGAGGAGAATGACCTTATACAAGGCAATTACTCAATAGTAATATCCTGTTGGATCCTTCTAGTAACTGCTCCCTACATTCCCAGCTCCTGTTTCCTTGGCTATTTTCCACAATCTTGATCTCAGTTGCTGCTTTTGATGTTCCCTTGTAACATCACCTCGCAAACTCCTCATATTACCTGAGCTTGCTCTCTACCATATCGCCCTTTGTTGTGTCACTTCTTATTTCCTGGTGGTAACACTAGTCGTTCAGAATTTTTGCTCTGATCAACTCTGTGATAGTCACAGAGTAAAATGATTAGATCAATTCTTTTAAAGAGACTACTCTGGAGCAATGTGTCTGGAAGGTTGGAGTGTGATAAAGACTTACATAATTCTTACACTGCTTCTATGTGACTAGCAGGAATACTGACTGTACATTTATAGGACTCCTCAGTACACTATAAGCTCCTGGAACATAGCAACTGTGTCATCTTGGTCTTTTCAGTGCCTAACATAGTTCTGACACATAATTGGGACTTAATAAATGTTCTGAATGAACAAATAACTGAATGGATGAAAGGATGGGCAAGTAACTATTTAATGATGGTGACTGCTATTCATTAAAGAGGTCGATAAGCCAATTAATATTTACTGAGCACCCATTATGTGCCAGTTTGTGCTCAGAGCTAGATTCTAAGAAATTGTGGTAGGAAAAGAATTGGCGAATCAGCTGGAATTTTCATCCACTGTAAATATGAAGACTGGAGAACCTCTGGGGCCTTTCAAAGATGTGTTTGGATCATCCAACTAGTGCTAATTAAGGGTTACATGGTCCCAGAGTAACTGATCTGGATTAAGCATAATTGGGCAGACCAGTTTCACCACCATTTAGCTGTATAATTTGCCAGAGTCAAAGTGGCCAAAGGTAAGGCCAAGAGTGCAGTGTCAAAGATTAATGCTACAGCTCATTTGCAGCCCATCAATAACAATTGTCTAGGATCAGCTCTGCCTGAAGCTTCTGCTAACTTTTATACAGCAAATTAGAAAAAAAGTTTATCCTTCCCAAATCTGTTTCTTCTGCAATACAATCACCCATATCTCCCAAATTAGGTCCCCCTGCTATGAATAGCCCCTAAAAGAAGTCCTATTTTACAGCCTATTTGGGAATCAGAATCATAAGGCTATGGGGGCTCTGGGCCTTCTCAAAGCTGATTTATCCTCCAGGGTTGGCCAACAGCGTGAGTCACAGGACTCAGCTCAATCCTGACTGCCAGAGTGAATGACTTCCATCATTTAGAACCTTAGAAATTCAATTGGATAAGCCTGTAATTCCTTACACATGTGCTGCTCTATGTGGTTATTCTGCCCTGAATACACGTTAATGCTGAATGTCTGGCTACACTCTCAAGTCCTGGGATCCTAAGTGGCATCTTGTCTTGTCTTTAATTTTCAGCAGCTCTCATAACAAAGGCAGAAAGAAATGCTTAAGAAGCTAGCTATGACATCTATGGCCTTCAAAGTGCACAAAGATTGAAAAAAAAAGAAAAAACTTGTAAAAATATTCTCTTTTTTTTTTTTTTTTTGAGACAGAGTCTTGCTCTGTTGCCCAGGCTGGAGTGCAGTGGTGGGATCTCGGCTCACTGCAGCCTCTGCTTCTCAGGTTCAAGTGATTCTCCTGCCTCAGCCACCCAGGTACTAGGATTATAGGCATAAGCCGAGCCCGGCTAATTGTTGTATTTTTTAGAGATGGGGTTTCACCATGTTGGCCAGACTGGTCTTGAATTCCTGACCTCAGGTGATCCGCCCACCTTGGCCTACCAAAGTGTTGAGATTACAGGCATGAGCCACCACACCCAGTCTAAAAATATTCTCTTTGATCTAGAGCTTAAATTTAGATGAATGCTAGAATCAGACGCTCTTAAAGAATACATAGGAACTCTTGCTTCCATTTTCTGTCTTTTATTAATCCATGTTTCACCAAGGACTACCACCTACATAGCAAATCCAGTAACTTTTAGACCTGAAAAATATACATTTCATAGCTACTATTGTTGTGTGTTCTCTAAATCTGTATTGTGATTAGGATCCTTTTCTTTTTTAGCATTTTATTTGGTTTGAGAACCTCGAACCGTGCCATCCTTACATTTCACTGATTTTACTTGTCACTCTATAGTTCTGGTAGCCCACATCTGAATTCTCACTTATTAGTATTCTACAGAATCACATTCTATATATCTTGTTTGACACAGATTTCTATAAAAACACATATTTTAAGTTATCATATTATAATTATTAAGGGAAAATCAAAGGTGCTGGCAATGACCAATCAATTCTGCTTTCATACAGATAATTTTTCCACGTAAGCTCACTAGCATCATCCCCAATGAAGACATAGATCTAAAAGTATATTGATGACCATTGTGTCACCCCAGATTTGACAAAAAAGGAAAAAACAATACAAACAAATATAACTTTCTCCCCAGGCAAAGTCAGCAATCTGATACAAAGCTATGGACATATTATGGCTTAATTCTAGGGAAACTGGCAATTTTTAAATTATTTTTTCTAATAAAACTGATATCCTTCTAGTTTTTTCTGTCTTTCTTTCGAGACAGGGTCTCACTCTGTCACCCAGGCTGGAGTGCAGTGGCGCAATCTTGGTTCACTGCAACCTTTGCCTCCTGGGCTCAAGCGATCCTCCCACCTAGGCCTCCTGAGTATCTGGGACCAAAGTCATGTGCTACCATGCCCAGAGAATTTCTGTGCTTTTAGTAGAGACAGGGTGTTGCCGTGTTGCCAAAGCTAGTCTCGAACTCCTAAGCTCAGGCAATCCACTTGCCTCGGCCTCCCAAAGTGTTGGGACTACAGGCGTGAACCACTGCACCCAGCCACCTTCTAACTTTTTCTTTGTTTCACTGAGAAACTTAAAAAAAAAGTCTTTCAAAGATACAAATCTCAAAAGAGGATATTATTTATGTCAAACTCACTAGAGGAAAACAAAACATTGAGAGGCTAAAAATTCTGCAATTTCAAACCACTCCCAGTGAATTTTATTTGAAAATTTCCCAGCAACCATAAATACATGAGAAAAGCTCCAGTTAGCCCTAGTGAATAAGAGAAGGTAAGTTATCTTCCTGAAGTAGTGACAAAGAGGTCCTCAATCAACTTAAAGAGGGCAGCAGAATAGTTAAACATTGCATTTCCTTATTTCCTCTTTTACTGGCCGTTTTGAAAATGAGGGACCCACAGTTTTGTCCACTCTCTTGATTAAAGGGAGGTTCAGAGGATACAGTAAAACCTATGTATCCTGGCAGGACGTGGTGGCTCATGCCTGTAATCTCAGCACTTTGGGAGGCTGAGATGGGAGGATGGCTTCGAGCCCAGGAGTTTGAGGCCAACCTGGGCAATACAGTGAGATCCTGTCTCTCTCTCTTTTTTTTTAAAGATGCATCCTTTAGATACAAATTTCCTAAGTTAATTAAACTAGGATTAAAAATGCAAGTGGCTCTGTGAACTACAGACTTTATTCAATCTGGCTGATTGCTAGACAGACAGTATTGCATAGCGTTGAAAGTACTCTGAAAGGATAGACTATTCAGGTTTGAATCCCACCTCCAGAGCTTGCTGTGTGACTTTGGAAAATTCACTTAACCTCTTTGAATGTTAGCTGCCTTATCTGTAAAATGGGAGTACAAATAGGAATTACCTCACATGACTGGTATGTGGCTTATATCAGTTAGTCTCAGCAAAGCACTTAGTATTATTGTGGTTTATTCAAAAATGCTCAACATTGCTAGTTATCAGAGAAATACAAATTAAAACCACAATGAGATAGTACCTGACACCTGTTACAATAGCAATAGACATTATCAAAGATAACATGGGTTGGTGAGAATGTAAGAAAAAGGAAACTCTTGTACACTGTTGGTGGGAGTGGTAATTAACACAGCCATTATGACAGTGTGGAGGTTCCTCAAAAAACTAAAACTAGAACTACTATATGATCCAGCAATTGCACTCCTGAGTATATACACAAAGGAATTGCAATCAACATGTTAAAGAGATGTCTAGGCATCCATATTGATTGCAGCATTATTCACAATAGCCAACATAAGTGTCCATCAACAGATGAATGGATAATGTGGTACATATACAATGGAATACTATTCAGCCTTAACAAACGAAATTCTGTCATTTTTGACAATGTAGGTGAAACTAGAGGACATTATGCTAAGTGAAATAAGCCAGTCACAGAAAGACAAATATTGCATAATCTCACTTATATGTGGAATCTAAAAAAGTTGAACTTACAGAAGTAGAGAGTAGAATGCTGGTTACCAGAGGCTGGGGGTTGGAAATGGGAACTGCAGAGATACTGTCAAAGGGTACAAAGTTTTAGTTAGACAGAAGGAATAAGTTTTTGAGATCTATTGCACCACATAGTGAACATAGTTAATAATAATGTATTACATATGACAACATTGTTAGAAGAGTAGATTTGAAATGTTCTCACTCCAAAAAACAATAGGTATTTGATGTAATGAATATGTAAATTAGCTTGACATAATCATTCCACTGTGTGTATATATATATCAAAACATCACATTGTATTCTATAAATATACACAATTATCTGTCAATTAAAAATAAATATTAGAAAAGAATAGTATTGCATAGTAAGTACTAGATATAAAACATTTATTAATAATAACTTTGTTTCAAAATGACAGACACTGATAACCTGAAGAAGTATACCAAATTTGGTCAACTCTACCCATTCCTTCAAAATCACTGTGGAGTAAACATATGAACAGGATAAAATATATTAAATGTCAAATGTTTGAATTAAAATAGAAATTTCATTCTATAAAAGATGGTTACAAATTATTATTCAGAGCAAAGTTTTAGTTCTGAACTTGAAATTGCATATAATAAGTGCAGTTTTACAGGTTACAACTGCCAACCTGATGTTATTCAACTGAAAAATAGCAACAATAAATCCTCCAGTTAACATACTTAACATACCTTGAAAACATCCACTTTCCTCCACTCCTTAAGAAGCCTCACTAAAACAAAGATAAAGAAGGTTAAAAAGGGGGACAGATGGACCATATACTCATAAAAACAAAGAAAACTGGAGAAGAGACAACTGAAAAATGCCACAAAACTTTAGAAATCAGTTGATGTGGTTGAACTGCATCCCCCCAAAGGATACATTGACTGTAACCATATTTGGAAATAGGGTCTGCGTGGATGTGATCAAAATAAGATAAAGTGACAGCCAGGTGTGGTGCTCACGCCTGTAATCCCAGCACTCCGGGAGGCTGAGGCAGGTGGATCGTTTGAGGTCAGGAGCTCAAGACCAGCCTGACCAACATGGTGAAACCCTGTCTCTACTAAAAATACAAAAACTAGCTGGGCCTGGTGGTGCGTGCCTGTAGTCCCAGCTACTCAGGAGGCTGAAGCCGGAGAATTGCTTGAACCTGGGAGGTAGAGGTTGCAGTGAGCCAAGATGGCACCACTGTACTCCAGCCTGGGCAACAGAGTGAAACTCCATCTCAAAAAAAAAAAAAAAAAAAGATAAAGTGATACTGGATTAGGGTGGGCCGTAATCTAACGGACTGCTGTCCTTACAAAAAGAAAGTTAGACACAGGCAGATGCACAGGGAGAACACGTAATGACAGAGGCAGATATTGGAGTGATTCATCTGCAAGCCAAGGAACACCAAGGACTGCCAGCAGTCACCAGAAGCTAAGGCAAAGGCATGGCACAGATTGTCCCTCAGTCCCCAGAAGGAACCAACCTCCTGACACCTTGATTTTTTATTTCTAGCCTCCGTAACTGTGAGGGAATAAATTTCCATAGTTTTAAGCCACCCAGTTTTTGGTAATTGTTATGGCAGCTTTAGGGAGCTAATATACTGGTGAACATATGGACTTCCCAGAGAAAACCCAAGTGTTTTCAGAGATGATGCCTGGAAGCAAGCTCACTGACACTGCAGAACCTCACAATGGCTCAGGAATTGGAAGTACCATACCTCTTCAGTGGGTTGAGCTGAAAAGAGACCATTAAAAGTCCCAGAAGCAGTTAAGACTCCTAGATTTCCTCCCCTGGCAAAGTCAGGGAAACATTCTCTAACCTCCATTCCCAACCTGAAGATTGTTTCTTTTGGGAGATATGGAACCAGAATATGGATTCAGGGACACCAGACACAGCTGAAGGTAAAAATGCTATTATGAAACAGTGGTGTTAAGTGAAGGTATGCATAATTATATCTTATCTTATTTTTGTTTGAGACGGAGTCTCACTCTGTCGCCCAGGCTGGAGTGCAGTGGCGTGATCTCAGCTCACTACAACCTCTGCCTCCCGGGTTCAAGTGATTCTTGTATCTCAGCCTCCCAAGTAGCTGAGACTACAGGCACGTGCCACCATGACTGGCTAATTTTTGTATTTTTAGTAGAGATGAGGTTTCACCACATTGGCCAGGCTGGTCTCGAACTCCTGACCTCAAGTGATCCACCCTCCCTGGCCTCCCAAAGTGCTGGGAAACAGGCATGAGCCGCCACACGCGGTGGAGAGTTAATTTTATGTGTCAACTTGACTGGACCACAGGATGCCCAGATACCTGGTTAATCGGTATTACTGAGTGTCTGCGGGGGCACTAAGTAAAAGAGATTATCCTCACCAATGTGGGTGGGCATCATCTTATCCATTCGGGTCTGAATAAAACAAAAAGGTAGAGGAAGGGAGGATTCACTCTCTCTCTGCTAGATTCTTGAACTGAATCTTTGATCTTTTCCTGCCCTTGGTGATCCTGGTTTGCAAGACTTCAAACTCGAACTGGAATCTACACCATTGGCTCCCCAGTTATCAGGGCTTCAAACTACAATATGGGCTTTCTGGATCTTCAGCTTGCAGACAGCAGATTATGCAGCTTCTCAACCCCTATAATCACGTGAGCTAATAGATAGCTAGATACAGATGTAGGTATAGATATAGATAAATAGATACCTATTTGTTCTGTTTCTCTGGAGAACCCCGACTAATACAGTGCATATAATGAAATTATTAAGACTCCCAGCCTCCTTCCTGCATTGGGCTCCAAGAAGTCTGTATATTCTCAAAGTGAGTAATTAGAAGATTACTCTCTAGAAGAAAATAAACAGCTGGTTCTTTCCCCATCATCTTACACCTTGTCCAGCAGTAAACAAGCCTTGCCTATGTCCCCAAAGCACCTTTTTAGAGCCTCATTTTTACATATAAATTGACAGCAAGGATCACCACACAAGATGAAGAATGCCTCTAGCAGAAACAACAGGAACCAAATGTAAACAAACAAACAACCAAAAAAGACTCAAAAGAATCAAAGTCAATGCAGAGTTACGTAGAAAGCATTTTTAAAAACGCTATAATTGACATCTTCAGAGATAAAAGGAGCTATATTCATGAAAAATAATGTAATGCTATAAAAGAACAGAGAATAAAAAGAGCACTGAGAAATAAAGGTATAATACAGAAATTAAGTAATTAATCTTTATTAAGTATAATAAAGAAATTAAGTAATTGTCCAATTAAGTTGAGAAAGTCACAGAGAAAGTAGAATAAAAATATGAAGACATAGAAAATAGGACAGACAGGTAAGAAAAAACATCAGCCAAGAAGGTCCACGATCTAAATAACAAATTTCAAAAAAGAAGAGATACGATGGGGGGTGGGGGGGAAGAAATGATCAAATAAATAATACCAGAAGAATTCCCATAACTGAAGAACATGTGTTTCAGGATTGAAAAACTGGTCGATAGGAATGAGAAAAGACCCATAACCAAGACACTCAATAGTGTTTTAGAACACTGGGAATAGGCCGGACGCGGTGGCTCACACCCGTCATCCCAGCACTTTGGGAGGCCGAGGAGGGCGGATCACGAGGTCAGGAGATCGAGACCATCCTGGCTAACACGGTGAAACCCCGTCTCTACTAAAAATACAAAAAAAAAAAAAATTAGCTGGGCGTGGTGGCGGGCGCCTGTAGTCCCAGCTACTCCGGAGGCTGAGGTAGGAGAACGGTGTGAACCCGGGAGGTGGAGCTTGCAGTGAGCTGAGGTGGCACCACTGCACTCCAGCCTGGGCAACAGAGCGAGACTCCGTCTCAAAAAAAACAAAACAAAACAAAACAAAACAAAAAACACTGGAAACAGAGAAAAGATCCTAAAGCTTCTTGAGACAAAACAAAACAGAAAGGAAAGCAGGTTACATATCAAGAAATTTAGTGACCTGTGAAGGAGAAGGAAATATAACGACATAGTTTCTTAACAATTCTGGAAGCTAAAATATTGCGGAGCAAGCCCTCCAATATTCCGAGTGAAAGTTATTTTCAACCTAGAACTGTGCTCAGCCAGAATAAAAACATTTCCAGACATGCACACTCTGTGGGAAAAAAGACCTGGCAGCAACCTCTCTCAAGGAACTATTGGCGGATATGTTCCACAACATGAGGGTATATAATCAAGAAAAAGGAACACCCAGATTGAGGAAATAGAGAACTCATCTCAGGAATGAGGAATAAGACCTTCCCAGGATGGATGTGAAGGAGGTCCAAGGACATCAGTTGAGAGTTGTGCCTTCCAAATTTTATGTGCATAGGAATTACCAGGGGATCTTGTTGCGATGCAGATATTGATTCAGTAAGTCTGGGTAAGGCCTGAGATTTGGCGTTTTAACAAATTCCCTCAGGATGCTGAGGCCGCTGGTTCAGGGACTACACTTTGCATATCAGCGGTGTAGAGGAAAAACAGTCCAAATTGTACCAAGAAGACGACGGTACAGAGACAGAGACCGACAGACATTTATTTCCTTCTTGGAGACAATCGGGAATGAATTAGTGTAAGCCAATAACCGTACAGTAGGGTAGGGAGAGGGATGGAGGAGAAGGAGAAAAGGATTAATATTTTAAGTAAATATAAATGAAGAAAAAACAAGGAAGGGGCTGTATTGAGAACAGCCGCATACATCCAACCTTGCCTCTAGTAGACACCTGAAGAGGAAGGTTGGACCACTCTAAGGATTCAGATTCAGTAGTCTGGGGGGTCTCTGGAGCGACCCTGGAAGATGCTCCAGAAAGCCTAGATGCAGACTACGCTGACAGAAGACGCTCCTTGCACGCGCCCAGCACGGGAGTGGGCGGGGCCTCAACGCGTCCGGTGCCAGGTCTCAGGGGGCGGGGAATGGGCGGAGCCTTTCCCCTAAATTGGCGAGCCCGGGCGGCGCTGAAATTCGGCTTGGAGGCTTTTGAACCCGGAAGCGGTTGGCGGCGCTCGGAAGCGGCCGCGGATCGGGGAATTCTGCTGGCGCTGCAGCTGCAGAATGGTCGGCGGTGGCGGGAAGCGCAGGCCCGGCGGAGAGGGGCCGCAGGTACTGCCGGAAAGGCTGTGCGGGCTACGCGGGGCGCTTTGGGTGACAGCCAGGGCACCAGGAGGCAGCGCTTTTCATTCATCCAGTGACTATTAAGCTTGCTGTGTGTCCAGGGGCTGCGGTTTGCTGCGGGGATCCTGCCCAGGGCCGCTGTTTCGCGCTCTGCAGGGGGTTGGACCAGGAAAGTAGCTCCTCTGCATCTTCTGCCCAGCTCCTCTTGGAGCATTTCCTGGGGAAACGGATTAAGCCAACCAATGGTTCATTCGCCCAGCCAGATTGATTGGGAACCGATTACATACCTGACATTCTGTGGGGCGCTGCGGATTTGGGGGTCAACCTGCTTGCTCCTGCTGCTTGTTGAGCCCTCGGCCTGGGGAGGAGGGGCACAAGCAAATATGCATTCTACTGTGACTTTTTTGTTTGGGATTATAACGCTGGTGTGTAGAAAGTGCTATGGAAACACTGAAGGAGGATTTAACAAGTCCCAGGGGGTGTTAAAGAAGACTTTTAAGACAACTCTTTGAAAATTGGTTTTGAAGGCAGAGAAGTAAGATTCTGAGACATAAAACTGTAGGAGATGTTTGGGCGTAGCGGAGCGTTCGGCTTGGCTGGAGCCAGGGAAATGGGAAAATAAGAGGGACCTGATCATAAAAGCACTACTGAGAGGGGAGGAGGAGAGAGTGTGTGCATTCTCATACTTTACTACGATTTCGGAAGTTCTGTAACCACTACAGTAGCAATAAGGGGAATCAGGAAAGAAGTGCCATTGTGATAACTAAAGTTTTAGAAAAGTTACTCTGGTAGTGTCATAAATCGGACAGGGTGAGACATTCTTAGAGGGCTTAACTAACTGTTAAAGGGCCATCGGTATAGGCATCCTTCATATTGGGTCATGCATTCTAGGAAGACCAGGGTAAAGAAGAAGTGTAGCCTCTGAAGGGGACAGCTGTTCTAAATCCTAGTTGTTAGGGCTATGGAGATGCTGAACTAGTGTGTGAGTAAAGGCACAGCTGAAAAAATTCTCTTTTTGAAGGTGCAGTGAAGAACTGCTTTGGTGGAGTGATGTGCTTAACTAGAAATACAATAACAGAAATGAAGATGAGTCTGTAGAGACTATAACCGTAATGGCCAGCATTTGTATATTATGTGCTAGGACCGTTCTGTGTATTTTTACATATAATAACATTCCTTGTAACAACCCCGATATAGGCACTGTATGCCCTTTTTGCAGATGAGAAAACAAAGCACAGAGAGGTTAAGTAACTTGCCTAAGGTTGGAAATCAGTAGAGTCAGGAGTCAACCCAGGCAACCTAACTATTATGCAAAACTGCCTTTCAGCAAGGCAGATTAAGCCTTTTCTAACATCTTAAGTTGGAGCCAGTCTTTGAACGTCTGAACAAAGACAGTTATGAAAACAGAAGATAGGATAGCTCAGGACTTCATATGTTCCTACTGTTCTATATTTGATGTTGGAGAAGCAGCATAGTGAAGTGGTTGAGGATCTGCTGTGGACCCAGATTTAAACCTGAGTTTAAATCCCTTCTCTTCCACTTCCTAGTTAGGGACGTAGGGAGGTTAACCTCAGTTTCCTCAGCTGTACGATGAGGTTAATGGTATCTAGTGCATGAGACAGTTGAGGACTAAATGAGTTAATCCACAGAAGGTGCTTAGAACAGTGAAACAGCACAAAATAAGTTCTCAGTAAGTATCACTTAACTACTTGTTTTTACTATTATATTATCTTTACTATTACTATTTGCTATTATTGATACTCACTTTTGGATTCATTGTTCAACAGGCTTTTTGTTGAACGTAATTTTTTTTATAAATCAGACACATTATAATCCTTGGCATAATAAACTGTTACCATATTCATGATCGTCTTTGACCTTATTTATGTTAAGTAATGTAACAAACACCAGTGAACCCATTGCCCAATCCCAAAGCTGAAACAGACAATAGCTCTACATCTACACGTGTTCCTCTCCTATCCGTTCAGCCTTCTTCCTGTCAATTATTTTCAGTGTAGCTATCCTGAATTTTGTTTTCCCTTGCCTTTTAAAAATAGGCTTATCTCCCATGAGTGTATACCTAAACAATATTTATTCTTAGTTTTTGAACTTCATAAAAAGGCTATCATGCTGCATATAATCAAGAGCTTTTTTCCTCATTAAAAATATTGAATATAGGTTGGTCCATATTGTGTAGCCATAGAGTAACCATTCGGTAAATGACGGAGATTGGTTCCAGGACCTTAGGAGAGCATACACTAATTTTTAAAGCAACAAGAAAACAAACCATCTCATTAGCCAAAGATAACACAGTTAATAGTCTAGTATACAGTAACAAATTTCCATATATCCCCAAATCTGAGCATACCCAAGTTCCAAAGTTGGTCCTGTGGAACCCGAGTATACGAAAAGTTGGCCCTCTCTATAAGTGGATTTCACATCCCAAGAATACTGTATTTTTTTATTTGCATTTGGTTGGAAAAAAAATTCATGTATAAGTGGGTCCACAAAATTCAAACCCTTGTTGCTCAAGGGTCAACTGTAATATTAAGTGTAATAGTCTATTGTTTGAAAACCTTACAACTGTTCTCCTAACAATAGGTATTTCATTTGTTCTGTTTTTGCTCTTGGAATTAATGCCACCATGACCATTCTTGTATCATCTGATTACATTTTGTAGACGTTGAATGATACCTAACGTTAATAAACTTCAGACTACTGAGAAAATAGAAGAATATAAATATGAGGGGGCGGGGGGAGGGATAGCATTAGGAGATATACCTAATAATGACGAGTTAATGGGTGCAGTACACCAACATGGCACATGTATACATATGTAACAAACCTGCACATTGTGCACATGTACCCTAAAACTTAAAGTATAATAATAATAAAATAAAAAAATATATAAATATGAGAAACATCTAGCTCAGAATTTCTCAACTTGAGCACTGTTGACATTTGGGGCCAGTAGTCTTTGTTGAGGATGCCTATCCTGGGCATTATAGGATGTTGAGCATACCTGGCCTCTGCCCCACTAGCACCGTTTCTTCCAATTGGTGACAACTAAATAGGTCTCCAAATGTCCCCTGGGGGGCAAAATCACCACCGGTTGAGAACCACTGCTCTAGGTAGGAAGAATAAAAAGGAAAGAACTTAATCCAAAAAGAAAGAATCTAGGTTCATAGAAAAACAGATTGCTGCTTAGAAAACTAAACATACGTAACTTCCAATTAAGCATATTGTCTTTACAGAAATTTATCAAATATCTAGTAGGCATTATAAAACCTAGTATACTTATATAATGAACCTGTATTGTGGTGGTCCTAGAGATGAGTATTATAACTTCATCCTGGCATTAAAAGGCCTTTTCTGAAATAATTGGATTTTTGGCCCAGAGTTTAGTGCTATTCTGCTAACTTTATTAGGAACTATAGATGTTTAACATTGTCACTAACCTTCCCTCTTTATCTGGAAAATCAAAAGGGAGGTATCTGTTTTTAAGGCTGGGTAATGATTGTAGTGAATAGCTCAGACACAACTCTAGAAGTTGCTAAAGAAACAGCTTTTTAACTGATGAATTGCTTATATCCAGTTACTTCTATTTGTTTCTCATTTGATCAATGAATCTGTTTAAAAGACTCACACCTTTAACCAAAAGAGGGCAAAATCTGCCCTTTCTTTATTCCTCTCTTCCTGCTCTTTATTATTTCTTTTTTTTACCTTTTTGTTTTTTGTGGTTTCCATTATCTTACAAAAATATATTTAAAGACTTGCTGTGTGGATTCCTCTTAACCACCATATAAACTACTCTTTTTTCCTGTGCCCAAATGAATTCCCAGATTTTACTCAAAGACCATTTAGAGAGTTTTAAGGAAAACACATGTATTTCATAGAGTTGGGTGAACAAGAGTGATAGATACTGTTATGCAAGGAGAGTTACTGAAATTTGGAGAACTAAAGTTTGTGTGCCAATTTTCAGTGTGAAAAAACAACTGATGTGAAGAAAAGTAAATTCTGTGAAGCTGATGTCTCCAGTGACCTTCGAAAAGAAGTAGAAAATCATTATAAGCTTTCTTTACCTGAAGATTTCTATCACTTCTGGAAGTTCTGTGAAGAACTTGATCCTGAAAAGCCATCTGGTGAGTTGCTCCAGAATCATTCTTGTATTAATGGAAAGAGTAATGTAATAGGAAACCAGCTGGGTGTGGTGGCTCACACTCTGTAATCCCAGCTGAGGCAGGAGGATTGCCTGAGGCCAGGAGTTTGAGACCAACCTGGTCAACATAGTGAGACCTCCACAAAAAAATTAAAAACAAAAACAAAAAACTAGACGTGGTTGCATGTGCCTATAGTCCTAGCTACTTAGGAGACTGAGATGGGAGGATCCCTCCTTGAGCTCAGTGGTTTGAGGTTGCAGTGAGCTCTGATCACTCCAGCCTCAGTGACAGAGCAAGACCCCGTCTCTAAAACATAGAATAATTGGCCAGGCATGGTGGCTTATGCCTGTAATCCCAGCACTTTGGGAGGCTGAGGCAGGCAGATCACTTGAGGTCAGGAATTCGAGACCCGTCTGGGCAACACAGTGAAACCCTGTCTCTACTAAAAATACAAAATTTAGCTGGGCATGGTGGTGCACACCTGTAGTCCCAGCTACTCGGGAAGCTGAGGCACGATCATTGCTTGAACCTGGGAAGCAGAGGCTGCAGTGAGTCGAGATTGTGCCAGTGCACTCCAGCCTGGGTGACAGAGCAAGACCCTGTCTCAGAAAAAAAAAAAAAAAAAAAAACCTAACCAAGGATATAAACTGTTCATAGAAAACAAATATTTTCCAAGATGTTTCTTCTAGTAAGAGAAAATATAGAAAGAAATATAGATTAATGCTATAGTAATGCCACTGTCACCTAGTTTATTGGCAAAGGTAATTTCATCACATTCTGGGGGAATGTGAAGGAAAGCAAGCTCTTTCATGTGTTGCAGGAGTTATAACAGTTCTGCTTCCAAGAACTTGTCTTATGGATTACATAAACTAAGAATTATGTTTGAGGATATTTACTTAAAGAAAAAATGGGAAATGGCTTAAATGCCTACCAATACCACATCTATTCAGTAGATCTTCATTGTTTTAAAAGAATGAAGCAGATTTTTAGGAAATAATAAACTATCATGCCTGAAATATGTTAAGTGAAAAAGAAGAGTGTATAGAGTATGCTACCATTAGTATTTTTTTAAAAATAGCATGGGGGAGAGAGAGTACACACATATCCCTGTATACTTTTCTGTGTGCTTATTTTGTCTCTGAAAGGATAAAGAAACTGTTAATGGGCTGTGTTCATTACTTTGCACTATACTATTTAAATTTTTTAACTAGTAGGCACTGTCATACACTATTGATGGAAATGTGTATTGATACATATTCTGAATTTTGCCAGTAGATCAGAACAGAACTGTGTAGCTGTTTCTTTAAAAATAGTCATGCCTTTAGCTGGGCGTGGTGGCGGGTGCCTGTAATCTCAGCTACTTGGGAGGCTGAGGCAGAGAATTGCTTGAACCCAGGAGGCGGAGGTTGCAGTGAGCCAAGATCACACCACTGCACTCCAGTCTGGGTGACAGAGCGAGACTCCATCTCAAAAAAAAAAAAAAAAAAAAGTCATGCCTGTATACAAACATTTATTAGCAAAGATGTTCACTGAAACATTTTAGAACAGAAAAAAGAAATAGTAAATTTCCCTCAGTAAGAGAATAGATGGTTACCTCTTTATAATGCAGTATTATGCCCTATTAAAAAATCATGTCAAATAACATTGAATAGCATGGAAAAATATTCAGAACATTTAAATGGGACAGGATGGAGGACAAAAGCAGATTACAATACAAAACAACCCTTCTCAGTTTGTTACATGTTTGTATCTGTTCATGGGGGTGGAGAGTATGGAAATTTGTTACTGTATAATAGACTATTAACTGTTATCTTCGGCTAATGAGATGGATGGTTTTAGTTTTCTTCATGCTTTAAAAATTAGTGTATGCTCTCCTAAGCTTCAGTTAAGCTGAACTATTTTTCCTGTCAAGTTATCTCCATGCTTCTATTCATGTTATTACCTCTTCCAGGAATTTTTTTGTTTTCTTCATCCTTCCCTCCTTATAAAACTGGGTCCTGTCTGGGGTGCTTCCCTCCATCTTAGAAGTAAGGACCCATTTGAAGTTATGCATTGTACACTTGCACAGACTTCATGTCTTTGTGGTTTATGAACACTCCCTGTCTGTGATCCGTGAATAGAGAAGGAAGATGGAGTCATCCAGGGTTAGGGTTGGCCAAATAGATTGTCAAAGAGTCAGGGGAATCTGGTGTGATTAGCTGAGGTAGAGGAAAGGGGATAGAAATGTTTTTTACCTTTTTTTTTTTTTTTTTTTTGAGACAGAGCCTCACCCTGTCACCCAGGCTGGAGTGCAATGGCGCAATCTCGTTTCACTGCAACCTCCACCTCCAGGGTTCAAGTGATTCTTGTTCCTCAGCCTCTCCAATAGCTGGGATTACAGGCGTGAGCCACCACACCCGGCTAATTTTTGTATTTTTAGTAGAGACGGGGTTTTGCCATGTTGGCCAGGCTTGTCTCCTCCTGACCTCAGGTGATCAGCCCGCCTCAGCCTGCCAAAGTGCTGGGATTACAGGTGTGAGCGACCACACCTGGCCTGTTTTTTACTACTCTTAATCCACACATTTTTGCTATCTTTCTCTCCCTTAACCTGTGTGTACTACAAGTATTTGAGGCTAACTGCAGTGTGGTAATGGGCCTATAGGAATACAAACCAGTCTTGCTTTGGCCAAAATAAGAAACAACAGGAATGTCTGAAATGTTAGGCTAATTCAGTGGTAAATTTAAGAGGAAATCCTAAATGTAAATACCACTTTTCCTGTTACTCTGACTTCTTTTCCATTGAATGTTTATAACTGACATCTTCACACATAACTCAAGATTTTTTTAGTTTAGAAACTTTTTAAAGACAATTGCTTAGAAATAGTTTACTAAATAAAAGCATTATTTCCTACCTGTCTCCAGAAAGTATTGTCTAAATTTATTTTCTTTATAGATTCACTTTCTGCAAGCCTTGGACTTCAATTAGTTGGTCCTTATGATATCCTTGCTGGAAAACATAAAACGAAGAAAAAATCAACAGGCCTGAATTTTAACCTTCACTGGAGGTTTTACTATGATCCTCCTGAGTTCCAGACCATTATTATTGGAGATAATAAAACTCAGTACCACATGGGGTATTTCAGGTAAAGGATCTTTTCTTCGCCTCTAAAATACAGCTGCTGTCCTGCTAATGAGGATAAATAGTTATTCACTAGCCTCACCCAAGGTGAAAGGCATATTTTCCCCTGTTGGTGGATATATGAGCCATCTGTTGTTCTTGCTGTTACCGTTTTAACCTTCCCTAGGATGGGTAAACTCTTTAGGTTTAATCTCACTTGTTTTTCCTTTCCTTGTAAACTTTTTTTCCCTTTTGGGTTCAGAAGAGCTCTTTTGGCCCAAGAAAGATAATTTAGAGCAGCTGTGCTTAATAAGCCGTGTGCCAGAGTGGCAACTGGTAGTTAAGAGTGGTCTCTGGAGTCACACTGGTCCTCTTGTTTATTATCTGTGTGACCCTGTATCATTACTGACTGTGACTTTCTGTGACTCGGTTTCCTGTCTTGTAACAATAGGGATAACTGTACATACCTGATAGGAATATTATGAGAATTAAATGAATGCATGCAGAATACTTAGAAATAGAGAAACTCCAGGAGGAAAATACTTGTCCGCTTGTACCAGTAGAAATGCTATCCTTTAAAGTGAAGATTAAATGTAAGGTAATAGAAGGAACGTGCCCAGGAAGAAGTGTTGTAGTACAGCAGAATGCACATGTGGCTAGGAATTGAATTATACTGTAGCCAAGGTCCTAACTTACTAGGTCCTTGGCTGAGTAATTTAACCTCTCGGTATTTGTTTCCTCAATTTTAAAATAAAAGGTTTGGTTATATACGTGAATAGGATCCTTTCATCTCTAATGTTTTACAATCCTTTTTCTTGTTTTTCCTTTTTTTTTTTTTTTGTATTTGAGTATAAAAGCAACTAGGTCCTAAGAATCTTAGTTTTAGGTTCCATTATATAAGATTTATCATAGATATTCCTAAGAAACTTGGAGCTTAAAACTGGCAAATTTGTTTGAATTTTTTTAAAAATGCCCTTATAAAAAAGGCATCAACCTAGATCCTTGGGAGGGACCTGGCTTTCCTTTTTAAAAGATATTTTACTGAGGAGCTGATGAAAAATGACTAGTGTGGGGTTAGCAGATCGAATAATTTGAAGTAGACCATGCAGTATTCCTACCACTACAATGTAATCATCCTATTTGTGACAGAGAAAGGGAAAAAAGTGTAATAATAGGACGATGTACCTATAATTTGGATAATTTTGAGCTATTGAAATGTCTTTGTAATTTTCACAACTGTTGTCCGTTGTTTGAGGATGCTACCTACTAAACTGAAAACATTCATTCCATATCTACTACATATACACCAGCAACAGTATAAATTTAAGCCTAACTTTGCAATATTTATAATACTTTAGTGATGGAATTTTTTAACATGCAGTATGTAAATGTGCAGATTTTATGTGTGTTGACAAAATTTTTCAGCTTGCAAAATGGGACTGCAATATTACATTTTTCACTTAAACAATTTTTTACATCTACGTTGTTGCTTTCTAAAATGAATGTGAATGCCATCTTTTATGACTGCAACTTGCCTTTTCCATTACAGAAATTTTTGTTTGATGTAATCGATAAATTCTGGTATGATTAAAAAAAAAAAAAGGCCTCCAAAAAGGAAAAAAAATAGGTGTAAATTGTTGTCTGTAGACCTGAAATCCCACTTGCCTGATAATATAAATTATGGGCAGCTAAATTTTTAATGTCTTTTGCTTACACAGGGATTCTCCTGATGAATTTCCTGTATATGTTGGTATAAATGAAGCAAAGAAAAATTGTATAATTGTTCCAAATGGAGATAATGTATTTGCTGCAGTCAAGTAAGAATATTTTAATTTATATTTGTTTACAATGTTTATACTACATTAGTCCATTACAAAGGGGGTTTGAGGGGCTGGGCACAGTGGCTTACACCTGTAATTCCAGCACTTTGGGAGGCCGAGGTGGGCAGATCGCTTAGGTCAGGGGTTCGAGACCAGCCTGGACAACATGGGTATACCCCATCTCTACTAAAAATACAAAAATTAGCTGGAGGCATGGTGGCACACACCTGTAATCCCAGCTACTCAGGAGGCTGAGTCAGGAGAATTGCTTGAACACAGGAGGCGGAGGTTGCAGTGAGCCGAGATTGCGCCACTGCATTGCAGCCTGAGTGACAGAGTGAGACTCTATCTCCAAAAAAAAAAACAAAGCGGATTTGAGACAAGCCCATAATTGTAGATTTCTAGAGATAATTTCCATGACTTTTGCAGGTAGTCTTATCTATACTGTTATTTTGTGCCTCTTCACCAAAAAAATACACCTCTTATGTAACTATTTTACTTAACGAAAATAATACTTGACCTCAGGTGTTCCATGGCAACATCAACAGTTTTGTTAGACATCTGATTTTAAACACCTGTTAAGAGTTTATTTCTTATGTATGGTTCAAACAGAAAGGCTTAATAAAGTAAAAAGAGGTGGTCATTATATCCTTGGAAGGGTTGAGGGAGCAGGCTGAGCTTCCAGGAATGACAGTTGTGTGGCTCACAGTGGATTTTGTCTCTGCCACCATCAGGGAGCTGGGAATTCGAGAACTGCTGCCACAGTGAGTGGCTCTAGGACCACATTATCTTTGGTATAATCTGGGCCAGGTAAATGGATGCCCTACTCTTTGCCTCTCAGCCCCCGTGAAGCTAAGAACCAGGTGCTGGGATCTCAGCTACAGCTGCTGCAGAACCATCAGATGCCTCTACAGCTGTGCTCATTGATGGAGATCGTGGAAGCACAGCCTCCATGTGGTATCTCTTCTGCCTCTGAGATTTCAAAGTATTGCAGCTGCTTGGAAGAAGATAGGTCCCATGTGGAGCCTGAGCTAAAGAGTAGTATGGGAAATGCAGTGAACTTTCATGGGGAAGGGGTTGGAATAGAGGTGAGTGAGCCAGTCTGTGCTATATCAGCCACAGACATGACTTGAAGCCATTTTATTTGTCAGCAGCTGTGTAGTTTGCATTGTAATGAAGAAAGCAAACTTTATCACTTCAAATACAAGTAGATTATCTTTTCTTTGACCTCTTTTAGTACTGTCTCTTTAAAGGGCTGTTGTTCCCTGTGATTTGATCATACAAATTTGCAGTAAAGTGAATTCAAACTAAATCACCCTACTACAACCACTAGACTATGCTACGTACATACTGGTGTATCTACAAGGCAGCTACATTGTAGATGTCCAAAAATGTTCTTTCTTTTCTAATACCTCTCAGTTTCCTATAAAATGTTACTTGGTATTTGTAATTTATAACTTCTTTTAAACTCTTTGGATTTATCATTCAATTTAAATTGGTGCCATCTTTATTAGAAACTCTTGTTGTTTTCTTGCTTATTGTCTGTCTCTTGCACTAGCATGTTAAGTTCCACGAGGGCAGAGTATCTGCCCCATACTAGATGCTCCATAAATATTAATTCTATAAATACCTTGGCATGTAAAAACACCTAATTTTTTCAGGCTGGGCAACATAGTGAGACTGTCTCTTTTTCGAAAAACAAGCCTAACTTTTCATTTGTGTTATTAGTCATGTTTTTTTTTTTTTTTAAAAAAAGATAACATAATAGTGGTCATGTAACATAACCCAAGACTCTTCTGGTATCTTTTTTTTTTTTTAAGCTAATTGGAGAACATAGACAATGAAAAAGAAAAAAAAAATGCATGGGTGATATTTATAACTTAGGTGAAGATCAGCAAGTGAGTATTTGAGGAACTACCTCCAATAATTTATCTCAAACAGGGGTAAAAAATTACTTGAGATATAACTATTTTAGTACTTTTAAAGTATTATAACGGTTTTAGTTTTTTAGGTACTACCTCCTTAAATCAGCTAACCAGAACACTTAATTTCTTTATATATTTTAAAATTTATTTTTATGGCAGACTGAATAAGGTCTTTCAAGGCATACCTTTGATCAACACATTTTTATCTTTAGTTATTATTAAATCTTGTGTCTGCAAGATTTAATAGTAACTAAAGAAATGCCAATTTAACCAGCAAAGATTTTTTTTAAAGGTTAAAGAATGGTAATAACCAATGATGGTTAGGGTATAAGAACCCTTACTGATGTGTTAATTGGTAAAACTTTTGTAGAAAGCAGTTTGAAAAATGTTTAATGTTAACATTTGAAAAATGTTAACTTAGAAAGCATATTCTAAGATTTCTTAATAGGTGACATTGTCAGGTACTATGTGAAGTACACATTTATACCCTTAAGTTAGCAATTTCACTTCTAGCTGTTTATTAAAGGGATTTTGGACAGGTACAGAAATATGTGTATTACAGATTGTTTATCAAATGAAAAATTGGCAACATATCCAGCAATAGGGAAGATTAGGTAAATATAAACTATCCATATACTATAATACTTTGGTATTGATTTGTTGAATTTGTTATGAAGTGGGCAAATAACAATAGTGTAGAATGATTCCATTTCATACTGTCTAATGCATATGGAAGTAAACATAATTCTTAAATAACTTTGAACAACAAAGGAATGATTTTTTTTTTCCTTCTGCCTTATTTATTTTCCTAAAATAACTGGGGTAAACAGTTTTGACCTTGGGTCAGGGACCCTTAAGGTCAAAACTATTTGTGATAATAAAATGTTATTTTTGCACCAATGGCACAAAGTAAATAGTGGATAATACTGTTGTCACCTTGGCAGGAATCAAGATAGTGCCACCAGGGTAGCAGCAGTCATTGCATTATTCACAGCAGTAACATGCAAATGTATTTAAAAATGTTTGTGATGGAGCCAGGCATGGTGGCTACTCGGGATGTTGAGGTGGGAGCATTGCTCGAGCCCAGGAGTTCAAGTTCATCCTAAACGACATAGCAAGACCCTGTGCCTGAAAAATGTCAGTGTTGGAGTATACATGTATTAGATGTCTACCATTGAGTTCATCTCTTTAACATTCTGTGATGAAATAGGAAATACATAGAAAGCATTTCTCATACTGAAGTACTGTGGTTTGTCTCAAGGGAAAAAAAAGCCCTTGTATGATTGAATTTTGAGATGAACTTTTCCCCACTTTTAGAAAGAGTGACTCATTGACTGTGTGCCTGTCAAGATTCCCTCTGGTTTTCTGGCTAGAAAGCTCACCCATTTCCAGTTTCTAAGAGTCAGTTCAGTGGCAGAGCCACCAGGGACAAGTAAGACTCTTGGGGGTGCTTTGACCCTGCCTACCTGGGAGCACACTTTTCCCTTCCCTGATGACCTGGGATGGTGGCCAGGCCGTGCCCTTGCTGTCGCTGGGCAGTGTCCTTTTGGAAAGGGAGCTGCCCCAGGGTTTAGTGCAGCTGCCAACCCTGTTAGGCCCGGCCTCTCGAGGCCTCTTCCGACTTCAAGGGTCACACACCCCCAAAGATCCTCTCACCCATGGTAGTTGCTGTGCATGGTTCTGTCTGTCCGTGCACCTATGCACACACACCACCCCACCACCCTACTCTGAAATTGGCGAGTGAGTTGAGAGCCAGCTCTGTGGGGTCATCCCGCAGCCATGGTTGTGCCTGTCCTTCATGGTGGTCTTTCAGGTTATCTTGGCAACATGTACATTGCTTTTCTTTTTTTTTCTTATTGTACAGTCAGTACTATAAAATTTCTCTTTGAGTTTTATACCTTTGTAGCATTTTAGATGACATTGTGTTTGTACTTTGTTGTGTAGAGTGGAAGAATTGTGTTGAATAAACCCAAGATTGGAATGCAAAAAAAAAAAAGAGTGACTCATTGACAAACTGGTTATTTGGGTCTAGCTACTGGCAGGAATTCTCTCAAATGAACCAAAGAAAACAACTGACTATATTTTTTGTCAGTGATAAAATTCAGGGTTTCAAATAAAAATTAGATTGAGAAACTTGTAATACCACTGTGAGCGCAATAGCTTTTTTTCATAATGTTATGTAATGAATTTGATATATAAGTTTCAACACTTACATCTATATAACTTAGTAAACCACTATTTCCAAAGGGCCATTGCATGATGCCATATAACATGCATGGGTACAAATTCATTTGCGTTGAAGACATTCTAATGGATTTAAAGTCACAGCACAAAATGTTCACGTTCATGGTTATGGCTTCAGTTGCACATCGCACCTTATCTTTAAGCATCACACAGTAAAGTGTTAGAGTAGGTTTCGGCAGAGACAAAAACTTACAGAGATAGTCATAATAATGTCATATGTATGGGAAGGCAGCTACCAAGTGCCTTCAATAGTGGCAGAGGTAAAAGAGGATATTTTATGTGGGCTTTGATGGATGCCTAAGAACTTACTAGAAAGAATGGGAAGAAGGATGTTTTAGGTAAGGGAGCAGTATGTGTGTGAAAGTGTGAAAATACGTGGCACAGGGTACTTGAATGGCTATATTGCCGTGCCAGAGTGTTGAGGAAGACTGTAAAGATCGATTGATTCACATAGGACTGACATGATCAAATCTGTATTTTATGGTTGATATAAAAATACCCTCTAGACATACAGCTGGTAATAATTGAAGGTAAGATTTAGTGTAACCGTGTGCTGTAATCAGAAGTTAGATTTTGATGGCTTGGGTTTCTGTGGCATTTTAATCTACCAGTTCTACTGGTAACTCTACGGGTTTAATCTATTAGCTCTCTCAACTTGGGTAAGTTGACTATCCTCTGTGCCTTTTTTTTTTCCTGATAAGTACAATGAAGCTAAGACTAGCACCCACTATAAATGTTCTAACTCCCTAACAGTGTTGCAGGGAATACTACAAACTCTCAGATGTTGGCAGTGAATAGAAGTGAGTTTCTTCCTAGGAGTTGTTACTCCCTCAGCCTTCTTCCTGGAAGTCTGGCACACTCTTGCCGCTCTTCATTTTACTCCTGACCTTTTATATTGATGGCAAAAATCTTAACCTGTTTATGACAAAATATAAAATTATTTCCATAAGTGGCATTAACATGATATATATTCACATACTTTTGAGAACTACTTTGGATTATGCTTTTGTATAAGCTTACAAAGTAGCTTTGCTTTCCTTTTGTGTTTTCTAAATTTTTCTTAACACAAACTTCAACATTAAAAAAAAAATCTATCGACCTTTAGTGTTATAATAGTGTCCTGTCTCTTTAAAAATGAAAAAAAAAAAAAAAAAAAAAAAAAGGCCAGGGGCAGTGGCTCACGCCTGTAATCCCAGCACTTTGGGAGGCCAAGGCAGATGGATCACCTGAGGTCAGGAGTTCGAGACCACCCTGACCAACATGAGGAAACCCTGTCTCCACTAAAAATACAAAAATTAGCTGGGCGTGGTGGCATGTACCTGTAATCCCAGCTACTCGGGAGGCTGAGTCAGGAGAATCATTTGAACCTGGGAGGTGGAGGTTGCAGTGAGCTGAGACCCTGCCACTGCACTCCAGCCTGGGCAACAAGAATGAAACAACATCTCGGAAAAAAAGACAGTTTTTTGTTTTTTTTTTTGAGGCAGTCTTAGGCTGAAGTGCAGTGGCACGATCTCGGCTGACTGGATGGCTGCAACCTCTACCTCCCGGGTTCAAGTGGTTCTCGTACCCCAGCCTCCCGGGTAGCTGTGAATACAGGTGCATGCCACCATGCCCAGCTAATTTTTGTATTTTTGGTGGAGACAGGGTTTCACTATGTTGGCCAGGTTGGTCTCCAACTCCTGACCTTGAGTGATCCGCCCACCTCGGCTTCCAAAAGTACTGGGGTTACAGGCATGGACCACCATGCCTGGTCCCTGAAAATATATACATATATTTTTTTGAGACGGAGTCTTGCTCTGTGGCCCAGGCTGGAGTGCAGTGGCGCGATCTCGGTTCACTGCAAGCTCTGCCTCCCGGGTTCACGCCGTTCTCCTGCCTCAGCCTCCCAAGTAGCTGGGACTACAGGCGCCCGCCATCACGCCCGGCTAATTTTTTGTATTTTTAGTAGAGACGGGGTTTCACCTTGTTAGCCAGGATGGTCTTGATCTCCTGACCTCATGATCCGCCCGCCTTGGCCTCCCAAAGTGCTGGGATTACAGGCGTGAGCCACTGCGCCTTGCCTGAAAAATTTTTTTGATGTCTACTTTTTTTTGATGTCTACTTTTTTTTCTGTTAGGTCAGACTTCTCCAAAGTAGTATGCCATATCTTAGTATCAAGTGATACAGTTTAAACCTTGACTAATCTCAGCTTTGCAAATACCCCTTATACCTTTATTGTAGACATTAGAGTGCTAATATAAATTTGAATCGTATTTGCTCTTTCTCTGACTGGCAGTTTTTTATGAATATTGCTTTTCTCTTATTTGAAGAAAACTATTAGGGATTTTGAGAGAAGTGTTGGTAATTATTCTGTGGACTTATTCTTGTATGGAATTTGACATTTTTACCTTGGCTCAACTTTGAAAGGTCTTTGTACTTAGTACAGTGGCCTGCCACATAATGCGGACTTTTACTTCTTTTTCAGATTATTTTTGACGAAAAAACTTAGAGAAATAACGGATAAAAAGAAAATCAATCTCTTGAAAAACATAGATGAAAAACTCACAGAAGCAGCCAGAGAATTGGGGTACTCGCTTGAACAGAGAACCGTGAAGATGAAACAGAGAGATAAGAAAGTATGATTTCAACCTGTTGGTCTCTGTTTTGCTATAGCATATTTTTTTCCCCTCTTGATTCCTTCCCATCTCTACTTTACCCTTCTCTTCCCTAGTCCTATCTTAAGAACTGGATGCTGTCCCTTAGGGATGTTAGGAGGATGGCACTGAAAGAGGATGGCACTGAAACAGGGGTCAGATGGCTCCTTTGGGTTGGTACACTGATTGAATTGCGCAACTGGTGATATCACTGCTGTGGTTGAATAACTCATGCCAGTATTTACCACTCTTTTAATCTTGTTTACCATTTAATCACTTCATAAAGTTAAGTGAAAGCTGCTTTGTACATAATGAAATTTACATACATACATTTTCTCCAGTAAACGTGTATATAAGCAGTGCTCCTTTCTTTTTCCTTATTAATCCTATCATTTCCTTTTGCATCTCTCCTAATGTCTGCAATATGAGGGGAGTATTTTGTAAAGGAGCAAATACTTGTTAATGTTGGATTCTTTTGGTTTTTCAGCTATAGATTTCAGAGTAAGTTAATGACAAGCTGGAAGATTTCTGGTTTGGAGTAAATGAGAATTCTATAGGAGTTTGTTCTTATGGCCTCTGGGGAAAAAACAAAAACAAAAAAAAAATTTGTCACTGGAATGAGGGCTCCCCAGTCTCCTCCAGCCTCTCACCATTTGTCTGCCCATGCTGGTTCATCTGAATGTTCTAAGCTAAATGGAGAACTTGCTATTCCTTAATAAACTAGCACTGGTAATGAAGTACCTTAGTGTACTTAGGCATTAAATCCTACTTCAGTTCCTTCTCTGATCTTGATTCAGCTGCAGGGGTGACATTTGTATCAAGTTCTAGGCACTCTTTAGTCCTATAGACTGGAAAGTTTCTTAAAACATACATTTTAATGAAACCCATTACAATATGGCATTTTAAATATTAAGATTTTATATTGCCATTTACCTTTCTGGTTATCACAGGAAGCTTCTTCCACTTTGTGACTAGGAGGAAGGGTAGCATTTGTAACCTAGTTAATGTATTTCTAATTTGTTTTGACTAAAGTCTGAGCATCCGTACACATAATAGCTGTTAGCAAATTATTTAATCAGTCTTTTTTTATTTTTCTACCACAAGCTATGATTTATTTCAGAGGAGATTTTCTTAATTCTTCCCCATAAAGAAGATATGATTGAGGTTTAAATTTCATAGATATTTTTGTCCTAGACCCCTCCCCTATGAAGTTTCATTTTAGTATTTGTTTTTTATACAAAAACAGCTGGTAAAAACAAAGACAAAAAAGAACTTTCAAGACAATCATGTTTTTAATCCTCCCCTGTTAATGACTATACTTTCAAACCCTTTTCTGTTAAATGCAAGGTTGTTCTTTTATTGTTTTTGTGAGATCTTCATTGAATTCATATTTTTCTACTGAAGAATTCAATTCCACTAGTATATGTGAGTTAGTGGCTTTGTCCTTGTGTGTGAGCGTAAGCATATTTCCACTCTAGTATGATAGAGCACTGTGCAGCACACTAGAAATCAGTGTTTTTATACTGATAGTAACTTAGCATACTTTGGAATGCAGAGTCTTTATGAGTTATATCATTTGACTCCCTACAACAAATCTGCAAAGTTGGAATTATCCTATTTTATAGATGAGTAAATTGAGGGTTATAGAGGTTTTGTGTCTTGTCCAAAATCTTAAATGACACATGTAAAACCCAACTTCATATTTTCCATATTTAGCATTCTTTCCACCCCATCTTCTTACTAATTGGCTCTCTGCCACTTCACCTTTTTCATACCTGGATTTCTTCATAAGGAACGTTGGTTAAATGATGCATAAAATGATGGTGTGGCACTCCATCCACCTGTGATCCCATGCTTCAGGATGTCACCCACCCCTATACAGCTTTCCTAAATTTGTAATCTTATTCTTCTTAATTTCTTAATAAAATTACAATTCTGATGACTTCTTAATTGATTCCTCTTCATGGACAATTAGTACAGGTAATCATCTGTGAAAAATCTGAACATATTACCATCATTCTTTATGTTGTTCAGCCTGAGCTGGCAACTATAGCACTGCTGTCTTTTTCTTTCATTATCAGTGCTTTATGTCCTGCTTTTTACACTTATGAATATGGTATCTTTATCATTTCATATTGCCAATTTAAGATCTACCTCATAATTTTGAGCGGCTGCAGAATACTGTGCTTATGGTCAAAGTTTGGGTTGCTTAAGATTTTTCACAAACACAATCCTGCCATAGATATCCTTTTATACCTTTATTCTCATACTTATCTGGTTATTTTTTTAGAAGAAATTCCTAGACGTAGTATTGCCAGGTCCAAAGTAGTTTGTGTGTGTGTAGGTGTGTTTGTAGTTTTTCTTTGCTTGTTTCTAATTTTGGGGGGTTTTCTTTAGTCTTTTTAGTTTTTTCCATGCTGGTAGGTATAAAATTCTGCAGTTTTAATTAGCATTTCTTTAATTATAAAGGACGTTAAATACTTTTCTCTGTTGGCCATTGTATTTTTTTTTTAACTGCCTGAACTCTGCCCATTTCTCTATCAGGGTTAGAATTAGTCTTTTTCTTACATGTGTTCTAATTTGGATGTTAGTCTTTTCCTTTGTTAGACTCCCTTATAGTTTAAAGACATTAATTTTTATTTACTATTACATTTTGCAGATATATTTTATCAGTTAATTTGTCTTGTGTACTTGATTTCACTGGATAGACTTTTTATTTTTATATAGTCAACTCTTCTCTATCACAAAATTATTTTTTAAAATTTACCTTCGAGTAGTTTTATGTCTTTATTTTTTATTTATTATGCTTTAAATTTTAGGGTACATGTGCACAACGTGCAGGTTTGTTACATATGTATACATGTGCCATGTTGGTGTGCTGCATCCATTAACTCGTCATTTACATTAGGTATATCTCCTAATGCTATCCCTCCCTCCTCCCCCCACCCCACCACAGGCCCCAGTGTGTGATGTTCCCCACTCTGTGTCCAAGTGTTCTCATTGTTCAATTCCCACCTATGAGTGAGAACATGTAGTGTTTGGTTTTTTGTCCTTGTGGTAGTTTGCTGAGAATGATGGGTTCCAGCTTCATCCATGTCCCTACAAAGGACATGAACTCATCCTTTTTTATGGCTGCATAGTATTCCATGGTGTATATGTGTATGGTTTTATTTTTACATTTAATTCTGAAATCCAGCTGCAGATTATCTTGATAGAAAGATTAAGATAGAAGACAATGACTTCATTTTTTTCCCAAGTGGTAAGCAGTTGTCTGATAACTTCCTTTGAATAATCTGCCCTTTCTGGCAGCTTAATAAAGGATAATGAAAGAAGCAAGAGACTGGGAGAATAGGGAGATTAGAGAGAAAAAAATCTTTAAGATATAGAGACTTAGGTGAGAGGCCTTTAAAATTGGAGTTTGGTTTTTGGGTTGTGTCCTTCCTCTGCCTTGGAAACTTTTCACTGAATTGCACAAAGAAGTGGAATATTTGTACAGATGTTTCGCTAAGGAAAGACCTAAAAATAATGTCACTAACATGAGCTAAAGGAAGAATGGAAACTGGAAGGGTTATGGTGGTAGTTGTAGTTGGGCCTGTTTTTGTCTTTGAAGACTACCACTTAATAAAAGCTCACTGGTTATGTGATTTGCCTCCATAAAGGACACCACAAACCTAGAAACTGCCCTACTTTTGGGAAGTTTGCAGAGAAGCCTAAATATTCCAGGTAAAAATAGGGGAGTCTCAATTTGGCAGGATGGATGAGAGGAGTTCTGTCCTACCATATCTTCTTGCTGACAAGAACTATTTCTTACTCTTTTTCTTTTAGAACCAGGTTCCTCTGTGCTTTCTACCAGAAGGTACTTTGACCTTAGAGGAAACCAATATTTTGACTTGCCTTCTAGGATGTATTGGGTTCTTCCTTAACAAATCAGGGTGCAGACTTCCAAGTGACTGGCACAATTAAGAAAAGCCAATTATTTCACTGTTCTGTGATTACTTCAACTGTTTAACTTTTAGCTGATTTTCAAGAAAAAAATAGTGTTAAATTTTTACCCTGGAGTCCAAATTTACTGAAATAAAATGTGATTAAATGTTACATTTTGGCAGAAATGTTGAGGGTTTATGTATTTGGGGATTTTTTTTTTTGATGTCTGCTTACCATGATTACATTTTATTCTTTTCTTTAATGTAGGTTGTGACAAAGACCTTTCATGGTGCAGGCTTGGTTGTTCCAGTAGATAAAAATGATGTTGGGTACCGAGAGCTCCCTGAAACAGATGGTAATGTATTTCATAGTAAACATGTGCATATATGTTAATGCACATGAATAAAGGTTTTGCTTATATTGGGAAGTAGGTATGTCTATATACCTTTTCTGACACAGTCGCTAGACCTTAGTAATAAAGAGTAAGCTGAGGTTTTAGAGTCAGTCATTCCTGAATTAAAACCGAGTTCATAGCTGTGTGGCCTTGAACAAATTATTTAACCCTGTGAAATCTTGTCTTTTTCATCTGTAAAATGGAGCTAATCATATGCACTTCATAAAGGAATTTGTGGTGTAAACAAGTATTAAAATACTTAACAAAATGCTTGCCTCAGTGTTCAAAATTCAGTAGTTTCTTTTTTTGTTTGTTTTTTTTTTTTTTTTTTGAGACGGAGTGTTGCTCTGTCGCCCAGGCTGGAGTGCAGTGGCGCAATCTCAGCTCACTGCAACCTCCGCCTCCCAGGTTCAAGCGATTCTCCTGCCTCAGCCTCCCAAGTAGCTGGGATTATAGGCACCCACCACCATGCCCAGCTAATTTTTGTATTTTCAGTAGAGACGGGGTTTCAGAATTTTAACCCATTGCCTGCTTCTTGGGAACTATTTCCGAACCTTTGACATTACAGTCAACTTGCAAAGTAGTAATTATTGAAATTGTGTTTTTATGGTTCTTTGTGAACATTTTTTCATCTGCCTATAAAATGATTTAGCTTTCAGAAGCCCAAGATCCTGAACTACGTCATCTGTAAGTATAAAAACACTTTGAAAATGGACCACTGCGCATAATCTAGTTATTGCTACGTTAAACATCGAGAATTAAAATCGCTTCTCAATTCTTTTCCCCTTGTCTCCATTCCCTTATCGTGAACAGCCCTGCTGGTATTCCTTTATTGATCATCCTCTTCTGGGGGGATAAAACTTAAAGGGAAATCAAACTTAGCATCTTCTCAAAGAACCACATATTCCTGCCCAATGCACGTATTTGGCCGTCTGCTTTTCAGAACAGAACTAACTAGCCTTGGTAGTTACCAGTCTCTGGGGGTTGTGACCTGGACATCTGCATTTAAACCAATTCTCTAAAGCAGTTCTTCTCAAATTTTACTGTGCAGAGTCTCCAGCCAGTAGGTAGAGATGTCTTAGATGGCAGCTACTCATACGGACCTGTTTTTGCTGTACCCCTGCCACTTAGAGGAGTGCCATAGGGAAGACGAATGTGGCTGAGCTGTCCAGTGTGATGGCCACTGAGTGCCTCACAGGTGGCTCCTGCAACAAAATTTGTAACTCGTATTTATTTTTTACTTCTTTTTTTTTTTTTTTTTGTGACAGGGTCTCACTCTGTCACCCAGGACGGAGCGCAGTGGTGCAATTAACCTGTCTCGGCCTCCCGAGTAGCTGGGACTACAGGTGTGCACCACCATGCCTGGCTAATTGGTGGGTTTTGTTTTTGTTTTTGTTTTTGTCCTGTAGAGACGGGGTCTCACTCTGTTGCCGATGCTGGTCTCGAACTCCTGGGCTCACGTGATCAACCCACCTCGGCTTCCCAAAGTTTTGGGATTATAGGCATGAGCCACCGAACCTGGCCTGTAATTTTCTATAATTTTAATTAGTTTAAGTTTGTAAATTAAAACAGGATTAAATGTTTCTTACATTGATTATATGTTGACATAATACTATTTTGGAAATATGGGTTAAATAAAATATCTTAATTTCACCTGTTTTTTGTTGTTGGTTTTTTTTTTTTTTTTTAGCTCCTTCTCCTGCCCCACCTGTTTCTTTTTTCATGTGGATACTGGAAAAAATGTAACCCACACTGTATTTCTCTTAGACAGGCTGATCTGTCCTATATCTCCTCTTTGAAGCCAGAGTCAATTAGTCTCTGATGGGACCATTGTGGGCCCTAGCTACTGGTCAGTCTTCTGCTTCTACACTAAGTCATCTTCTCTTCATGTCTCTGCTCACAGAGAGAGCTTTAAAAAGCATGATTACTATCTCGTTTGGGAAAGGTTGCGCACATTTGTTGTAGAGATGGGCAGTCTCTAAAGCTTTTGGGGTGATGGATGTTAAATTGTAGTGCCCTGGAGTAAAGCCTGTTACCCTGCGGTAGTTGTGGTTCTGGGGTTTTATATCCAAGTCTACTATTCTAGGCATTAGATCCTTCTGTATTTAATTAGTTTTGAAGTGGTAGCAAAACATTAAGACTGAAGGACCTAATCTTCTTGCTCTTGCCAGTGTCATTTGCCAAGAGGTATAACTGACTGGCAGTTTGTTAATGTGACAATGATTAGCAAATCACAACTAAGTTTGTTCTTAACCCTTTGAAGCTTCTCACAATAACGCTTTAACTTAGCAAATAAGATACGTTTTATTGAGCAATTCTTAAATGTCAGTGTCATGATTCACTTTAACAAGTGATGTATTTAATTCTCACCCAACTCTTTATTGTAGGTCTTATTCCCATGTTCACAAAGGAAATAGACTCACGGTGCTTAGCATTAGTCAGTAAGGGCTCTGGTTTTCTTTTTTTCTTTCTTTCTTCTTTTTTTTTTTTTTTGAGATGGAATTTTGCTCTTGTCACCCAGGCCGGAGTGCAATGGTAGGGTGTCAGCTCACTGTAACCTCCGCCTCCCAGGTTCAAGTGATTCTCCTGCCTCAGCCTCCTGAGTAGCTGGGATTACAGGCACCCACCACCATGCCCAGCTAATTTTTGTATTTTTAGTAGAGACAGGGTTTCAACCATGTTGATCAGGCTGGTCTCGAACTCCTGACCTCAAGTTATCTACCTGCCTTGGCTTCCCAAAGCCCCGGCTGAGGGCACTGGTTTTCATACTTGGTTTTCTGACTGTAGAGTGCATACTACTATCCGAAGTAAGAAGAGTTGCCTGCCTAGTTGCCTGATTTTTACCTTGACAGAACTACTGTAGCTTAATTTAAGTATTCTAGTTGATAGTAGTGGCAGGGATATAGTAAGAATTCAGCAGTGAAACTCCTAACTCATTAAATTGAGTATTTTGAGTAGAAACATTTAAGTCATCATTTTTGAATAGTTAACTTAAGGCTTCACTCATGTTCTTTAAGTTTGGGTTTCAGTTAAATGAAATTTCTGTAGAATGTTTTATTGCTGGAAGAACATATTTTTCCTTGTACTGATGGTGAGCTGAATATTTTCATCTCTGTTCTTCAGTGTTTTTCTAGCTTAGTAATTCGCATAAGTTGCTTATTCTTTTTAGTCCATATGTGACTTGCCAGGTGTAAAAATAGAAAATAAGATACTGGAAAGCGATAAACTTTAAATTCTTCACTTCCATACCCACCCTGATTTGTAGTGGCTGACTGGAGCACAGCGAGAGAGATTCTAAGGGTCCCAGTCAATCAGTTACACCCACGATAACAGGGAGGAACCACTTATTTTCCATCCTTAAGGAGCTTTTTGGAGAAAGCTTCATCTGTTTTCTTGAAATGATCAGCACTGATTTTTCTGAAGAAAGGAATGTCATGAAGCTCATGTAAAATAATTTAATTTGTAAAAGGTTTCAAACCAACAAATATGTCACTACTGTTTATAGATAGTTAGAAACGTAGGTGGTGCAGTTTGCCATTCGTTCAATGCGATACTGGTCCACCAAAAGTGGGAAAGGGAACAACACATTTTGTGACTGGGGTAACAGCATGTATTCTGTACTGTCGTCAAGACTGAACCAAATGTTATTCATAGACTGGGGTTAAAAGCACTAGTATATAGTATATTTTTAATACCATCCTTGGTAATTTTTTTTTTTTTTTTTTTGAGACAGGGTCTTACTCTGTCACCCAGGCTGGAGTGCAGTGGCATGACCACGGCTCACTGCAGCCTGCACCTCCTGCACTGGGTGATCCTCCCACCTCAGCCTCCCAAGTAGCTGGGACTACAGGTGTCCACCACCAAGTCCAGCTAATTTCTCTATTTTTTGTAGAGACAGGGTCTCACCACATTGCCCAGGCTGGTCTCCAATTCCTGGGTTCAAGCAGTCCTCCTGCCTCAGCCTCCCAAATCCTCCCACTAGGATTACAGGCGTGAGCCACTGCGCTCAGCCCGTCCCTGGTAATATCATACCTGATATTTTTCGTTAGTCTCATCAGAACGTTGTGCCTCATACATAGAATTTAACATCACCTATCATTCTTGAGTATAATTGTTAATGTTTTAACCAGTCTTCCTCTCCCCCAGTATGGCAGCCACCTGTTTGGAAATGTTTTGTTGGTTTGTTTGAATAATATCCATTCTTTTCATTCTCAAAGAAGTACTGTTTGTTAAAAAGGACATACAATTTGTCAAAAGGAAGTCTAAATAGATATTGTTCATACTTCCATCTCATTTGCGTCCTGAAATCGGATGTACATTAACATCCAGAAAGAATGAAAAAAATCTTGAAAGCCAAAATTGAAATGTTAATTTGTAAAAATATATTCTTTAGGTAAATATTAGACATTTTCTCTCTATTCTTACCTCAAACGCATGCTTGCCATGCCTACTCTTCTCCCAATTTGGTGAAGGTTTTAGTTAAAGGTTTAATTCTGCAGTGATTTCTTGTCTCTTACATTGTTGTCTTTTTCTGGGTTTAGTTCACCACAAGTCACAAGTCAGTAATTTTTTTTAGCAAACAAGGTAGGACAGGGCAAAAAGAATAAATTTTGCCTACTTGGATTATTTTTTAATCCAGTTGTCTTAGTATCAGGACCTCGAAGGATACCCAGAATCTGATGCTCAAGTCCCTCAAATAAGTTGGTGTAGAATTTGCATAACTTACGCACATCCTCCTGTATATTTCAAATCATTTCTAGATTACTTAGAATACCTAATATAAAGTAGACACTATGTAAATAGTTGTTATACTGTATTTTTAAAATCCGTATGTTTTATTTTTTTCCTGAGTATTTCAATCCGCACTTGGTTTAATCGAAGGATGTAGAACCCTCAGATACAGAGGCAACTATATAGTGCATGAACCAGGCTGGCAGACTTTCCATGTACAGCCAGATAGTAAATGTTTTACACTTTGTGGGCTACATAATCTATCACATTCTTGTTTGATTTTTCAACCATTTAAAAATGAAAAAAACTTAGTTTGAGGGCAGTTAAACACAGGGTGAGCCAGGTTTGCCCAAAGTTTGCCAACTCCTGGACTAGTCTGCTGAATCTTTAAAGCTTATGTAAATGCATGATGACCACCATGGAATAGACTTTTTAAAAAAATCATGACTGTATCTGGGCCCAGTGGCTCACGCCTGTAATCCCAGCACTTTGGGAGGCCGAGGCAGGCAGATCATGAGGTCAAGAGATCAAGACCATCCTGGCCAACATGGTGAAATCCCGTCTCTACTAAAAATACAAATATTAGCTGGGCGTGGTGGCATGTGCCTGTAGTGCCAGCTACTTGGGAGGCTGGGGCAGGAGAATTGCTTGAACCTGGGAGGCAGAGGTTGCAGTGAGCTGAGATCGCACCACTGCTTTCCAGCCTGGTGACAGAGCAAGACTCCGTCTAAAAAAAAAAAAAAAAAAAAAAATCGTGACTGTAACTAAATCCTGTGAAATAGTCGTTAATAAAGAAATACTTGTTAACCTGTTTTTAAGCTTGAATCCTAAGTAGAAAAGTTACCAAATTGCCATTCTAAATTAGAGTGCTGAAGACTACTACCCAAGGTGGCACAAGTTGTATTAGTACAAAGTCTTAGGAGGAAAAACCCTCTTTATAATCTTCTTACTTTTGAAGACTGATTCATTTTCTAACTATGTAGATAATCTTTTATATTATTGATTTCTTTCAGCTGACCTCAAGAGAATTTGCAAGACAATAGTTGAGGCTGCAAGTGATGAGGAGAGACTAAAAGCTTTTGCTCCCATTCAGGAAATGATGACTTTTGTGCAGTTTGCTAATGATGAATGTGATTATGGCATGGGGCTTGAATTGGGAATGGATCTCTTTTGCTATGGCTCACATGTGAGTAAAAAAACCCTCCACCTTCTACCCACTGCCACACCTCCCTCCTCTCCCCGCGACATACATCCACACATGAATACGTGCACATTTATACCCCCAAATTCCAGCAGAGGTAAGACAGGGATTCAGCTTGTATTTCAAAATGAAGTTTTTGAAGTGATTTTTTTTAACGTAGATGTCCTAAAAATGTTTTAAACTCATCTTATATTCTGGCAAAGGTGAATATTTGCATTCACTCAAAGGTGAAGATTATTTGCATTCAGGCTTACATTAAAGTGAATTTACTCATTAGACACATTATAGGGACATGCCTTCTTGCCGTGTGTGTACGTTTGGGGCTAGGTATGGGGGTGTGTGCACACACCTTAGGCTCCATTTCGTTTCCATTGTGGTGGGGGTATTTGTTATTGTGCTTAAATTCTTAGATGAAAAATGCACTTTAAATTATTTAAGCTTTATAAGAGATGCTGTTTTACCGTTAACTAATTGCTCATTAAATAAGAAAATTTTACTTAATAGCTAAACCAGTGCTTACTCGACCATAGTTGCCTGAAGATCAAAGAGGCAATAAGGTGTAGCGGATATGACCTGTTTCTGGGGCCAAACTGGTTGTAAATCACATCTTCCCAGTGTGTAAGATCGGGCAAGCTTTCCAACACCTTTGCATCTGTTTCTTTACCTGTAAGATATGTGTGCACATGTGCACGAGTGCATACCCACACGCAGATCATTTAATTCTCATTTAACCTACTTTGTAACCAAGTCACAGAGAGGCAAAGCATCTTGCCCAGGTTCACACAAGCAGTCTGGCTCCAGAATCAGTGCCTAAATCAGTGCAGTAATTCCCAAACTAAAATGCATATGACTCACCTGCAGACATTGTTAAAATGCACTCTATCGGTAGGTCCAGCATGAGATCTGAGACTGCATATCTGTCATGCTCCCAGGTGACGGTCATGCTGCTGCTCTACAGACCACACTGGGAAAAGCAAGACCAAACCAGTAGCTCTCCAGCTTTAGCGTGCATCAGCGTCAATGGGAAGGCTTGTCCAAACGCTCACTGGCAGTCTTCCCACCCTCCCCAAGTTTGATTGAGTTCTAGGGTGGGTCCTGAGAATTTGCATTTCCAACAAGTTGCCAAGTGAAGTTGATGCTCCTGGTCGGGGGTGTACATTTTGAGAACCCTGCTATAAACCATATTATACTACTTTTCTTTGCCCACCTCATAGATAGTTATCAGTAAAAATAATCAAAATGCTTAACAGCCAGAATGACAGTCATTGACCAATCCAAATAGTACTTGACCTGCTAGAGAGGCCCTAGCCATAAATAAGTAGAGCCATAAGATGTGAACCAGTGAATAGCAAACTTGCTTGTTGTGAGAATGAAATAACATGTATGAGTTATAAAAAGGTTTAGCACAGTGCTTACCGCATGTTAAGGGCTAAATGTTTATTATGATCAGCAAAACGGTGGTATATGTAGATAATAGCAGTAATCTCAAATCTTTTGATAAGCCTAAGGCAGTGACTCTTAACAGGGATTGGGAGGCGGTACGTGTTGGGGATGGGGGAGAGAAGGAATTTGAGGATAAAGGCAATACGATCTGAAAACTTTCAGCATAGCTATTCTTACAGAATTGAGGAAAATAAAGCTTAAACTTTTGCCTGGGAATACACTGGAGAGAATAAAAAGTATTTGTGGGCATTGTTTGGGGTGAGAAAAAGTTGATAAAACCTAAGGGAATAAGGAAGCTCGATTTAATTTGGTTTTCTTAATTTTCAAGATATGCCATTAGTCATCTAGAGCAACAAGACTGCCTCTTAGAATGCCAGGCGCCTGTCCTTAAATTATGTTCACTAACCACCTGAGGGTGTAGCTAAAATGATTTTGGAAGTAGCCTTTGTTAAACAAGTGCTTTGTTGATATATTTTCTGCTACTTATTAGGATATCTGCTATATTCTCTGCTTAATGTTATATTTTTATTTTTCAGTATTTTCATAAAGTTGCTGGCCAGCTTTTACCTCTTGCATATAATCTGTTGAAGAGGAATCTGTTTGCAGAAATTATTGAGGAGCATCTGGCAAACAGAAGTCAAGAGAACATAGACCAACTTGCTGCATGAGTAAGGTGGCTTTGATTGGTGTACAGTATTTCAAAGGACTAGTATTAAACTTGTGATTTTTGTTTTGTTTTTAAGGAATACAAAAAATAAACATTTACTAAAAACGTTTATAAGGTTCTTCTGCCTGGTTTTCCTTCTTTAATGTGCAAAAAAATGGCAGTCAAATCACCTAAATGGTGACCCTAATCACATTTTGGAGGACAATTAAAGTCACCCTCTGATATGTCACAGGAAGCCACTGTCTAATGCCTGTGGCTATAACTAGACCATCCTTACAGAGTCCTGTTTCAATATTTATCATATGGGCAACTAAGAATATTTCTTCTGAGTCTTGAGTTAATAGCTGTAGCTTTAAGGATCGGGTTTATGGCAGGAGAAGAGGGGAACAGAAGGAAACTTAGAAGGAGACTCATGACACTGCAATAAGCACTCTTCCAGGGTGCCTGACCCCGACCTACCCAAACTGCATTTTGAGTAGTAGCTCCAGGTGACTCCCAGTAAGTAGTCCAGTTATCCCATTAGGTATATTATTTTAAATCTTCTCTTGACTCAGTCATTTACTAATACAGTCTAGTATATTGATACATAGTATATAGTTTTAGTATAAGATAGTAATCAGTATACCATTACTTTAGATTTTAAAGTTTTTCATTGCAAATGATTTCAATGGATGTTTAGTACGAATCTGTGGATAGCTGTGTTTTACTAGATCCAGATTTTCCTTAAACCTGATTACATGTCCTTCACCTTAAAAGTAGAGGGCAGGGCCGGGCGTGGTGGCTCACGCCTGTAACCCCAGCACTTTGGGAGGCTGAGGTGGGCGGATCACCTGAGGTCTGGAGTTCATGAGCAGCCTGGCCAACGTGGTGAAACCCCATCTCTACTAAATATACAAAATTAGCTGGGTGTGATGGCAGGCGCCTGTAATCCCAGCTACTTGGGAGGCTGAGGCAGGAGAGTCGCTTGAACTCAGGTGGAGGTTGCAGTAGATAGCCATTGCACACCGGCCTGGGCAACAAGAGCGAGACTCCGTCTCCAAAAAAAAAAAAAAAAAAAATAGGTAGAGGGCAGACCATGAAATGCAGAATAGCAAACTTCCTGGATGGGGCTGAGGAGTGTATAAGCTTTTTTCCCCTTTCTATGAAGTTCAACATGGAAAAGCACCGTCCCCCCATCCCAGGTCATCTAGTTAAACCTCCACATTGTGTAAAATTGATGTGATTTACTCAAATAACTTATTGACTAGACAGTAGTTCTCCAAAGTTCTGTCAGCTGTCCCCTTAAAATATATTTCAGGTACTTACTCTTTTTTATATAAGGGTATGAGTAAACTATTAAAAGACAACACTTAGAATTTTAAATATAAGTAGCATTCCTCATCTCCCCAATTAGGCTGCAAGCTTCTTAAGGGCATGTATTTTATGGATGTATATCCCCCTCAGTAACACAAACCTTTGGAATTGCACTTTGTGAATAAAATGACCCTGTCACATGTTCTTCAATGCTAGACAGAATCAAACTGGCAAGAGCTGGGAAACTGATAAGATGCCTGGGAGTTAAGGATTCTTGACTTCTCAGACAAAAAGTCTTCTGGGGTCAAAAATCTCTGCCACAAACAAAATCTGTTCCTTTCTGCCAATGGCTCATGTTGCCTTTGGAGGCAGGTAAGATGCTTTCTTCAAGGTAGGTATATTTTGTATAATATCTTAACCAAAATGAAACTGAAAAGATCTTCAGCTTCCCTTTCATAACTGTGCAGGAACTTTTACAGCTCTTAATGGGGAGGTCTTAGGTTTTAAGGAACTGCCATTTTAGTTAGGTAAGTAGCTCCAGGCCCTGGAACCATCTGAACTATTAACTTGTTTTATATTAAAACATTACAGTTACAGTTAGCTCACACATATTTTATTAGAAAAAGTGACCAAATCACATTGATCTTAAATGATTTTAGGCTATAAATTTTAAATAAAATGTTAGAAGTTCGAGCTTTGTTCCTCAGATTTCTTTAGTTTCTAACGGGCTCAACCATTTCTAAATACTGCCCCTAATGTTAACACACTTAAAAAATATCCAAATTCATGTATCTCATTAAATATTTGTTTAGCTAGAAACATTAGATTCCTTTAATTTTGTCACTTGGTGATCCAACAGTCTCAACTGTATAGTTTGTAAGATTTTTTTTTTATATGCTTTATCAGTAATATGGATTCCAGAAGGATTTTTTATCAAGGAACAAATGAAAGGGGACAAAAAAGGTGAATCGGCTTTTCATCCATTCCTTACAGAAACCTAATATGAATGTATCTTCAGGAAGCTGGGCACATCAGAGCCAAGACAGAAATTGGACACAAACTCTAAGAATATGGTGGTTATAATTCAGATGATACAGTTGTGAATGGAGTTTCCTGAAGACAGTAATAAGAAATGTGGATTTCCAGTCTCAAACTCCAACCAGTTGTGTCAGAGTGCTACTAACCTGTTTCAGGAGGTACTATCTTCCAACTACTGAACATTTTTCATTAAAGAGCAAGCTCCCTACAGGAAGATACCAAATTTTATCTTTTTCCTTAACTAAAGGCATAGTCCACTTAAACCTAGTTCACTAAATATTACCTAGGATCTGGTCACTCAATTGCTATAGTAGCTTCCAAATGGCATCTATATACCTCTGTTCTCTGAGAACACAGTTTAAGTGCCTAGGCTCTTTCATGAATGAAGAACCTTGATCCAATCAGGACTTAACAGAAAATCATTACCAGTTCACATTTAGCTAAGCTCACCTCTTGGAGTTCAATAATGGAGTTTCTGTATAACCTCTCAAACATGTATGTAGAATAACACCCAAGGAAAAATGAAAGCTGCAAAACAGATTGCTATAAACTAATCTGCAGTGTCCTAAGACCTTTGCATTACCTCAAACACTGACCTTACCAGCTTAATGGCATTCTGTCCAAACTATTCCTATCATAATTAATTTTAATGTCTGGCTGGACACGGTGGCTCACAGCTGTAATCCCAGCACTTCGGGAGGCCAAGGTGGGCAGACAGCTTAAGGCCAGGAGTTCGAGACCAGCTTGGGCAACATGGTGAAACTCCATCTCTACTAAAAATAGAAAAGATTAGCCAGGCATGGTGGTGCACACCTGTGGTCCCAGCTACTCAGGAGGCTAAGGTGGGAGGACTGCTTAAGCCCAGGAGGCAGAGGTTGCAGTGAGCCAAGATCGTGCCACTGCACTCCAGCCTGGGCGATGGAGTGAGACTCTGTCTCAAAAAAAAAAAAAAAAAATTATATATATACATACATGTATGTATATATATATGTAGGTGATCCCTACAATACTCTAACCTCTCAGTTCCCTGACTTACTCTTTCAATGATCTAGATTAGGGATTGATTGACAAACTAGAAACTAGTACCTTCTCAGTACCAATAATGAAAACCTCCCAAATCTCAATCTCAAGCATCCTACTGTCTTAACATCATCACTCATCCTTCCATCTCTTTCCCTCTAGTACCCCAAAAATTTTTTCAACACGACAGTCCCCTACAATTCACAAATGTAACCACCTTTTTCATTCTTCACCCACTCCATTCCTGATTCTCTCTTTACCGAGCCTTTAGATTCTACTCCCCATCATTACAATCACCCCCGCATCCTCCACTCCACTGCCCTTCTCTCCATTTGTTGTATTTATCTGTTAACCTTAAGGCAGATTTTTAAAACTGCCTATTCCTTACCAGAGTCTGCTCAGTATCAGGTAGCTGGAGAAAAAACACAACCATGGCAGCTTGTCTTATTTTAACCTCAAGTTGGCCACACTGGATGCCCATCGATCCTACTTTCTCATCTCTCAACCCCCAACCCCCACCCTCATCCTCAGTTTATTTCACTGAGAAAATAGAAGCCACCAAAATAACTTTAACAGAATCCCACTGCCCTACCAACTACCCAAGGAAGGTTGAATGTGTGCCCAAGACCCCATCCTCCCTTGCCTACTCGAGGTCCTCTCCTCTATTTTTCCTCTCAAACATTCCTATCATTAACAAAAAGGCTATAATTTCCTGCATCTTAAAACCCGAATGTTCTGATTAATTTTCCCTGTCAAACCATCAACAGGAAAAGAAGCTATAATATCCTGCATCTTAAAACTATCACGTATTACTTTCCTGGAAACCTGATAGGAAGAATTGGAATCGTTGTCTTCAATTCTTCAAATCTCTGTTGGACCCACTCCTTTCAGGCTTTGGCTTGCCACCATCGCGCTGAACCTACTCTGGGGGAAGTTATCAGTTCTCTCTTTATTGGTCCATTTTGAGCCCTCATTTACTTCACCTATCAGCAACACGGGACAGTTAATCATCGCTCCTTGAAACTATTATTCATTTGGTTTAGGGGACTACCCTTGCTTTTTGAGACAGGGTCTTGCTCTGTCACCCAGGCTGGAGTGCAGTAGCACCATCTTAGCTCACTGCAGCCTCCAACTCCTGGGCTCAAGTGATCCTCCTGCCTTAGCCTCCTAAGTAGCCAGGACTACAGGCATGTGCTACCATGCCCAGTTCATATTTTTATTTCTTAATTTTTTGTAGAGGAGACCTAGTCTCTTTCCCACGCTAGTCATGAGCTCCTGGGCTCAGATGCTGCTGCCCCGCCTTGGCATCTTGAAGTGCTACAGGCCTGAGCTACCACACGCAGCTTATTTTTTAATATATCCACCAGTGGAATACCCTTCTTTGAAGGTCACTACTCCTAACCCAACCATACTGGCAGCTCCCTCATTTGCTGGCTCCTCACCTCCCCAAATCTAAACATAAGCATGTGTCAGTGCTCGGTCCTTGTACCTCTTCTCTGTCTGCATTCAATGCACGGTACTCTCCTGTCTCAGGATGATGCCGCCCCTGTGTAGCTCTCAGGCTGGGCCTTTCTCCTGAACTCGAGTCTGATACATGCTAATGCCTATGTGACACCCCCACTTGGAAGTCTAAAAGACATTTAAAACAATGTCTAAAACCAAAATTCCTCTGCACACAGCACCCCACCCCCAATCTATTCTTAAGTCTTTCCCAACTCAGCCAGTGGCCATTCCATTGTTCTGTCATTACTCAGCCAAAAACTTTGCAGGCATCCTTGACTCCTCACTTACCACACTACATCCAACCCATTCACAAGTCCTGTCCATTCTACCTTCAGCATGTCTCGAATCCAACTGCTTTCACCACCTCCACCAGCTTCAATCAGGTTCAGATCTCTACCACATCTCACCTGAATTATTCCAAGAGCCTTCTAGCTGGTAGCCTGCTTCCACCCCTGCCCCCTTATAGTCTATTCCCAACAAAGGAGTCTGAGAGATATTTTAGGTCACATTATGTGACTTTTCTGCCTCACTGGCTTCTCATTTAGAATAAAAATCAAATGCCTACACCCCCAACCTCTTTCCTTACCACTTTCTTCCCTCTTATCCCTCTCCAGCCACAGTGATCTACTCAGTGTTCCTTGAACCTGGCAGGAGAATCCTTTGTATATAGCATTTTCTCTTCTTACAACATTTTTTCTCACGGATAAATGTCCTTCTCTAACTTTCTGTAGGTTTCTGCTCAAATGCTTCCTTATCCCTGAGGCTTTCCCTGATCACCCTCTATAAAAATGGGGTGGGTGCACACACCTTCACTTTTTGTACATTACAAAAACTATAACAGGATTCTTGACTGATTTTGTATATTCGTAACAGTGTGCAGTACATAAAAATCCTTTTTTAAAATTGCTGAACTAATCCATATTTATCACCATCTGACATACTCTAGATTTCTCTTCCTGCTGGAATGAAAACTTCAAGAACATAGAATAGCGCCTGGCGCCCAGTAATTGCTCAGTAAATACTCAGTGAATATAAATGATCTACTCTGAACTTTTAGTGTGTTCCTTTTTACTAAAAGCTTAATAGTAAAAGACCACATCTTAATCAAAGGTTGTTACTTACCACCCTCTTTTGGCAGTTCTATTAGCAAATGTCCAAGGTGATTTTTTAAAGACATGTAAATAAATCGTTTTACCTCTTTTCATGCAAATAGCGTAATTTTTCTTGCGAAAAAAAAAAAAATCACTTTTGAAAGTGAGCTGAAATGAAATCAGTTTTCTGTGGACCTGCAGCTTTCACTGACAAATGGGGGCGCTAAACCATTGCTGGTGGTATGAACATCCTGCTGTCAATCCAGCATCTATCTACTCTTCTATTGCTCCTTGCTTGCAAAGTGTAGAAATGCTTTGTAACCTGAGAGAAGCATTATAATTATTACCTTTTTGGGGCTCCCTGTGCCAGGCATATCGGCCTACACTGCGTAGGGCAGCAGTGAAGAGGGAGGACTGTTACAGATATAATTAAAGGCCAAACCACACATTGTCATATAGATTTTAATAGATTTTCTGATTAACTCATCACAGTAGTCGTTTTTACTGTAATGATATGCAGCTTTACTACACTAGTATAAATAAAAACAGATAAATACAGCTCTAGGCAACATTACAGATTAACTAAGCATTCTTCGTGAACCAAAACTGAAAACAATTAATTATTAAGAAGAAGAGATGCTGACACCCTTGCCCATTCTCATCATACCTTCTCAAAAAGGGTATTCAAACAAGGCGCTACACTTATTATATTGGTAAATTAATTTGCCAATTAGCCAGGCACAACAATTTCATGGTCTCCACTATTTCATTATTTTGGTTGAAAAGGAGACACACTTCAATGTATGAAAAAGAAAAATGGAACAGATAACACCAAAGAAAACCACTAAATGCATTAAAAATACGGCACTTTTCCTGTATTTTAGCAGTAAGATAGAAATACTAGGGATAGAAATATACCAAAAAACAAAATTAATGCTTTAATTAATATCCACCCTGAAATGTCAGTCTCTGAAGCAAGATGGGCAATTAAAGGAGGAGCAGAAATAAAAAAGGGAAATATGATAAAATAAACTCCATGTGAAGTTTTACGAAGCTATCTGCAAAGAAACCGATTTGTCCTTTGAAGGCTATTAACTCAGGACAATTAAGTTATCCAGCAGCCATGCTGAGGAGTTCATAGTCTAGCAATACGTTGCACACAGGCAAATACACTTAAGACGAGTTGGAGATATACAGAACTATCATTTAGAAATGATTTTACTCTGGATGGCTCAAAAAACTTTGAAAGGGCTATGAAGAAAACTTGAAGTCTGTCAAAGGAGAGAAGTAATAAGGAATAATTTTAGGCAGATAGCACAGCTAAGAATGTTTCCCAAAATCCCGAAAATTTTGCTCAACTTTCAATCCTCATTCTTATATGGCTTCATGATCTTATGTCTTCAGGATCTTACAGATCTTAATAGGTATACTATAATTAAGAACTAGGAAGTGAAGAATCACTTTCAAAATGTAAAAACAGCTCATTGCCAGTTGTGTTTCAGAAAATGTCTGTCTGGGCCAGGCGCAGTGGCCCACGCCTGTAATTCCACCACTTTGGGAGGCTCACGCAGGCAGATTGCTTGAGCTGAGGAGTTGAGACCAGCCTGGGCAGCATGGCAAAACCCCATCTCTACTAAAAATACAAAAAAATTAGCTGGGCATGGTGGCGTGTGCCCGTAGTGCCAGCTACTTGGGTGGCTGAGGCGGGAGTATCACTTGAGCCCAGGTGGTCAACGCTGCAGTGAGCCAAGACCATGCCCCACTGCACTCCAGCCAAAAAAAAAGAAAATGTCTGTTTGCAAAAATTTCATTTTCCTATCAAAAATGCATAATTACAGAATATTTAGCCCAGTCCTTTGAGTAAACTGCCTTTGCCAATTGTGAATTAAGGCTGTGATTAAAACAGACAATTCCAAAAACAAAAATCCCAAATATAATCCAGTGCATTTTCACTCATCCTGCAAAAAATGTTCAAACCATCACTGACCACTTCAAATATGGACGTAACCTAGCCCGAGATTCAAAGGTTATTTTCAGATTAAAATTTTAACTGCTATCTTTGCAATTCTATTGTTTTCACATTTTTGGTTTGATTTTTTTTTTAAGAAGGTATACACGAACTTTCGGTTTTATTCTCCAAAGTAATGTAGTTTTTCAACTTTCCAGTTAATGTAGTTTTTCAACTTTCCAGTTAATGGGTCAAAATGGACAGGTCAGAAGACATAATCCAGAGGATGGCAGTGAAAGATCAGAGAAAGGTTTATGTGCACACTGGATCACAGAGAGAGAACCACAACCTTTTTTTAAACCTTTGTTCCCACTGTAAACTTTGTTCATATCTCTGTATTTGTAAGTCTGAATTATTCTATAAAAATCACATTAAAAAGGTAAAATTACTTAAGTGCAATATTAACTGATCTGTATTTTATAAATTTTAATCCATAAAAATATAAATAAGAATGGTAAATTTTTAAGAAAAAAAATATACATTTAGTGCAAGTTATGAATTACATTTCTTCTTCAGTGTCAGCCATGAGATATCTTGAGAAAAGAAAAGAATGACTGATCTAATTTCAATTTTAAAAATTCCAGTGTTTTAACATGCAATTAATACCAGATACAGCTAATCAGAATACTTCCTTCTCTTTACTGTCAAAGCAGCAGCATTTTATTTAATTATGCTCAACAGCACTTGTATATCATAGTAGTAGTTTTAGAAATAGAAAATTTGCATAAGACCCGGTCACATTATCCATAAAGTCTGAGAGGAAAACAAAAAAGAAAACTTTATCCTTTAAAACCAAGCTTCATTGTTTTCGGTTTTGAGCCACACGGCACACAATGAGAGATTTCGTTCTCGCTTCCTTCGAGACTTTACCTGTTTGATGAGCCTTTGTTGTGGTGCATGTGTACTGTTCCAAGCATTTAGTGATGGTACAAACTACATGGTTAATGGCACAAGAAACACTCCCTTCTTGTGATGAAACCTCAGTAAAATCACAGTACATCTCAATATGAGAAAGGACTGCTTCAAAAGGATACACCGATTTAAAGAGGCTTTGTTACAGCTCAGTAGAGAGAGAGAGAGAGAGAGAGAGAGAGAGAGAAATAAAGGCTCTTCTGGAATGTAGAAAGGTAATGCTTAACTATACAATTCATGAATTAAACAGAACAGTTTTGATTAAAAAAAAGGGCAAGACCTTGCAGTTTTATAGATGGCTCAATTCAAAGTAATCCCTCTAGAAATAGGGACTGATAATGTGTCTTTGCAATGTTGGAGCAACAGGCCAGGTGCTCGAGGACTCTGCTGTCATCTCTGTTGAGGCGCAAGCCTGCACTATCAGGCACATCCTCAGCTGAATGCATCCAGTGCAGAACAATAGGAGTTGATACGCTGCTTTCTGTTAGACGGGAAATACCTCACTCCTTTCCTTCTCTCTCCTTTCCCTCCCCAAACAACTCCTCCATTCCACCAGCATTATTTGCAAACCATGTTGCAAAAACCCGGCTTTTATATTTCCTTTCTTTTTTTGTAAAGGAGGAAAAAAAAGTAGATGACTCCCTCAGGTTAAAGAGTTGTGCTATTCAACAAATAAACTTCCTCTTCCGTTTCTTCTCTCTCCTCATCTGTGAGATTCAGTTGAACATTATTGAAGCGGGGTCTTGGTTTGCCGTCTGGGCCATATGCCGGAGGATATCTTTTTTTGTTATAATGCCAAGGAGGCGCCTGAAAGGAATAAACAGAAGACTCCTATGAAATAAAAGGGAAAATAAAAGGAGAAGCTAAATCTATAGCTAAATCCTTTTTGTTGACAGGAATAGAGCAAAGCAAGCAGCCTGATTTTGTATTTCCAAAAAGTACTTTATTGGTAAAGATATTAAAATTATCCAGCAACCATCCTTTGGTATAAAAAGTTACTATGGTCACTAATAGTATGACAGCCTTTCCACCGAGAGTCTGAGGACTGCATGCCTCAATGAAGCAGAGCTATTTTGATTAATGTATGCCAACAAAAAAGTAACAAAAACTGGATGGATGTATGACTAGGAAATGATACTGATCCCATTTGAGAAGGAAAATTGATTTCCATCACATGAAGAGAGCAGTAAAATGATGACCAAATCCTCTCAATATTTTCTCTTTTTCATTTATTTATTTATTTATTTTTTGAGACAGAGTCTCGCTCTGTAGCCCAGGCTGGAGTGCAGTGGCGCGATCTCAGCTCACTGCAACCTCCGCCTCCTGGGTCCCCGGTTCAAGCAATTCTCCTGCCTCAGCTTCCCAAGTAGCTGGGATTACAGGCATGTGCCACCATGCCCCAATTATTTTCAGTAGAGACAGGGTTTCACCATGTTGGCCAGAATGGGCTTCAACTCCTGACCTTGTGATCCACCCGTCCCGGCCTCCCAAAGTGCTGGGGATTACAGGCGTGAGCCACTGCACCCAGCCACTTTCCCTTTTTTAACCAAAATTAACCAATTTTTCAAAGATAATTTAAGGATTGCCCACTTGTATCAGAATCTTCATGAAAGCACATACTATTAAGATAAAATGCATATAAAATGGTCAGCACAGAACGTCAATCCCAAACATCAGAGCCCCAAGAACAAATCTATAAAAGAATCCAAGTTTCTAGGACACTTATCAATGTTTTCCTTTTTTTGATTTAGGCCAGGAAAGTTAAGATACAGTGCTTTTATGAAAGTCTTAGTTGTTAATGCTTACATTAAAAGATAGGTGAAAAATCAGAAGGCAGTCCTAAAAGATTATTATAGGTGAAGCAGAAAGCAGAATGAATGAGTAGCTACGATAATATTCTGGTTAGTAGTTTTTTAAAAAAGGATGCATGAAACACTTGTGAAATATTAGCATACACACAGGAATACATAATCAGTTGTGCACTTAAGCAAACTGGGACAGGTTTCATACAGGTATGACAATTGCAGGGCAAAATAATTTCGGGCATTAATTGCTAAAGCCAGACATTTTTTATGTTATGCAGTAAGATAATTCAAATTTGTAGTCATGAAACCACTAGGACATAAAGCCAGTTAAAATGAATGCATTTGACTCTAAAAGCTGCTTATAGCGTTCCAGAAACATCATACAAAAGGGGCACACACATAATCTAGGTACAATTCACTAATGAGATGGCAGGACACACACTGTGACTTTGAAGATATGCAGGGTATAGCAGAAAAAGAACTAATGCTATGATCACAAATAATATACACATTACACTCTAGTTAGTGTGCCCATTAAAAAATCCATTTAACTGTAAGCAGTTCTAATTGCTAAGCTCCTTTAAAATCCTTTAGGAGCTTAGATTTACCATAAGACTACCACAAGATCGGGAAACATTTAAAAAAAAAAAAAAGGGCTTGCGGGGATGGGTCAGACATTTTTAACCAGTCAGGTGTCTTCTGAGACCGGTGTATCCACTGAGGTAGACAGATTTGCCATATTCACTTTAAGAATGTCCAATAATATTCACTTATTCCACTACCAAACTGTTTACAGTTCTGAAATTGTAATGAATGATTTGATGAGAGATGTTAACTTTTGCTTACTTTCTATAAATGGGATTTTACACATATCTAAATTTATCTTACAGACACATTTTATCAGATACAAATGTAATTGGCAGCATAGTAGGATATTTTTGTTCAGCAGATATCTGGGAAAGACAGAACTCAACAGTTCACAAGTTTCATGCTTCCTGACTTCTAAGGTGTCTAATGAGGAGATCTGATATATCTAATCACCAAGGGTTCGACGTGCTGCTTTAGTTGCTCGAGATGCTCTAATATGTTCTTCTTTGTGATGATCCCCAAGACAATCCTGAAACAGATTATTATGCTAATAACTGTGTGAGAAATTAAATTAAAAGAGTTTCCAATCATAATGATAAAGAATGAGAGAAAAAATAAAAACATGAACCATAAGAATGAGTCTCATGAACTTTAGAAAATAAAAACAAAATGATTTAAAGTTCCAGGTTCCTTTTGCATAAATTCTACTGACTTTCAAAAGTGACACAATACTAATCTTCAATATTGGTGGGTTATTTTTCTTTTTAAAGTAAAAATAATAATTATGAAAGTTTGGAATGAAGATGACTACAAAGCAAAGTACAAAAGAAACTTAATATTGATACATAGCTATAGACCTCTGATATGTAGAGTTTCATTTACAATGTTCTTTCCTCAGAGGAAAATATTTTTCTAATTTCTATGATGTCACAACACAGCAGTTATCATCTGGATCTACCTTGGTGAAAAGGTAGCAAAAGGCTGTGAGGAGACTTAAAAACTCCCGTGGATTTTACTATAATTTCAAATTAAAATTAAAGGCAATGTGCACTAAATAAATAATGCTGACCAAAAGAAACACTCCCTAATGTTCAGGAGCTGTGACTGCCACTTCTTAAAGTAAGCTAATAAAATGTATTTATGATTAGGGATTAAAAGGACTTTCACTTTGTGCATTTTTTTCTAAATAACAATTGTTTCTCATTTAGCATGTCACTGTTATCACATCAAGCAAAGTGATGGACATAAATTCTCATAATGAGGATACATGAAAATAATTAGATTGCTAATTAAAACAAAACTATGGTTACTGGTTTTATAATGGAAATTAATGTGGCAATATAAACAGTGAAAATAAAAAAACCTTAAAAAAACTTTAATCTTTAAATTCTGGAAGCCCATCCAAAATACCCTTCAGGATGACTGGACATTTCCTTGATGATCTCATTAAGTCAACCTCCCTGTTAAACTGCCTTTGAACATTCAGACTTGAAGGATGTCACTAGGAGACTTCAAAGTAGCCTGTTCCTATAGCTACGTCCAGGTGTAAAATAGTTACTTAGCTTGATGGCTGGGGTGGGAGGTGGGGGAGCAGGAGGATAGAGAATGGGAATGACAGAAATGGGTTCTCTGCTCATGTTTTCTCATTATTATGTTAAAAATAATGTATCGATCCTTAAAAGTTCTCAGAGCATGGGAGCAACTTCCCCCTCCAAAAAAGCTCAGAAAATGCACTATATATAATGAACATTCACTCATTCAATAGATGTTCTTCATTGACTAAACATTTGAGATTTCTTTTTTTTAAGCCATCAATTCATTTGATTTTATTGTTGTAGTCAGGAAATGTGAAAATCTTGGCAATTAATTAAATATAATACCAATTGAATTCTTACTCATGCTTTTCTATCCAATTATACAGAATGATTAATTTCAGTTAGTATCATCTATATTGGTAAACTCTGCCAAATCACAAAATATACTGTGAGGAAGGTTACAAATGTATAACGACCCAGTGGCAAATTTAGAATTTTACACAGTAATCTCTGTATTTATAAAGTAAAAACCCTAAAAGATGGAGAAACACACATTAATGGAGAAGAGCGATTTGAGCATAATAAAGTCAGAGTGCTGCTTTAGTAATTTTACAGAGTGGAAGGAAAATCAACGCAAAATGTGGCTCATATAAAACATTATTTGCTGTTTCCTTTTGGGCTAAAAACTAATGATGTAAGAGTTAACAGGGCATAACCCAGCATTTCCAAAGCATGTTCCAAGAAACACCAGTTCCCATGAGTTCTACTATATCCTTCCCTGCAACCCAAAAATAGTTGCATTTTCAAACAAGTCTGGAAAACCATGTATCCTATTACCCATCCCCTCATCTGGGAATCAAAGAATATCAACATATTATAAGTTCTGAGGAGTTCCATAGTAAAGAAACCTCAATTGTATTTAATCCAATACTTTCCAAACTTAGACAGTCACAAAATGTTTTTTCTGAGTCACTCCTATTAACATCCTGCTAATTCCACCAAGATTAACTGATTTTGAAAAATTCTGCAGTTAAAATATAAAGTGCAGAAAACCAATAGCTAATTGAAATTTTTATAATTTACAAACATCTTTCCCTTTCATCTATTCTTTTTCTCCTTGCACCTAAGGTTCCAGATTTGTTATCTTCCTCCAAATAACTATTTTCCACTTCTAAAAATGCAGTATGAACTACACATCAATGATAGCTATGCAGAACTTCATGGTCTCCTTTAAAAACCAGAAGATATCATTTCTTTTCTGGGTTTTAAATAATTTAAGTGAGAAAAAAAACACCCGACTTCCTAATACACTTCAAACAAAACAAAAAGTCCCATGAGCCACTTCCCTAAATGATCTCTTTTCTCCCCATATATGTATCAATTTATTTTCCTTGACAGACAGAAATAAGGAAAATATGATGAAAGCAATTTAATATATTCCCTTAGAAGAAAGTCCAACCCCTTTTTTCATATGAACAGGCAGGACCAGACAAAATTTTAATTAGCTATCCACCCCTCGCTCTATACACTTCGTTATTTTTACACTTTCTTTTAAATATTTTCCTTTCTAATATCTATGCTGCCAAATACCTGGGAATTAATCAACAAACTGAAATATGAAAATTAATCCCTAACAGTTCTGTGTTCATAGTTAACCATAACTCAACAGAATAACATTTATATTTGTCAGTACACAAAAGAAAAAGCCATGCCAGGAACAGAAAACAACTTGAAGCAAATAATAGTTTGTAACAACTCAGCTTAGGTTCCAGTTGAGCCATTTAACAAATAAAAGGGCTCAAGGACTAGCAAAGCTTTATGAAAAGTTGCCCCATTTAACTAGTACTGAGTTTTTAAACTTAATGAAGTCGGTGCCATCATTTAATCAAACAATATTACACAAAGACAAATAGTAACAATAATAACTTATGAATACATCTCTTCTCCAATCAGTATCTAAATTATTAGAATTTAATAATTCTAAACTCCCTGCCTTTAAGGGCTTTATCTCTTTAATGATTTACTTCATATTCCTAAAGAGTTATTTTAATTAGCGCAGTGAAAAACACTAAACATAGATCTAATTCTCTAGTTTCATATTTCTATTCTTAACTCAATCTAATATATTGGCCAAGAAAATGTTTTAGTAGTTTAAGAAATCACAAAGAAAGAGGATTTCTATCAGTCACTTACAGTGCAAAATAGTAGCAAGAGGCTGGGTTTTAAAGTAGGAAAGACAGTCTGATTCCTTGAACCATGACTTGTTCACCACATGACTTTGGGCAAATTATTAAAGCTTCTTGAGCTTTAATTACTACATCTGTAAAGTAGGGCTATAACTACCTACTTTGCAGAGGTCCTGCAAAGTTAAATGAGAAAATATGAAGGTGTTCAATAAACAAATTTCCTTCCTTTCTGTTCTTTTTCTCTCCTTTCTCTGGACAGGAGTCATGTATTCTGTCACCAATGTGTTTTCTACAACATGTTAAAAAAAAAAAACAACAAAAAACTGCTATGATTCTCTGTTTAGAATTTCAACCAGCTTTACGCTGTTCAGGATTAGCCATCCAGTTTATGCATAATCCAAGAATACCCTCTGTTTTTTGGTATTTGCCTTCGGATAAAACAACATTCTTAAGTTCAACAAGAAAGAATATATAGTGGAAATGAAGGGTCCTAAAGAAAGAAGTGTGGAGAAACAGATCCCAGGTCCAGGAAAAGAGAGCAGTGGTGACGAAGTAGTGTATTTGCTAAATCAATTCTGTGCATTAAGGTCTCCACAACCCCCGTGACATCTGTTTCTTTCCTATATTCCTGTCAATGGAGAAACACTGGCAGTTCATGTGTAAAAGGTGGAAAAATAAATTATCAATGTATACATTTTAAATACATGAGTATTTATTTGTCCTTAGCAGTTATATAAATATAAAAGATTTGTGTATAGAGAAAGGTAGACAAAAGGAAACAAAGCATTTGTTAAAGGAGATTTTTAGCTCATTTACAAATTTCATTTAAGTATATATTCTTTCCTTCATTACATGATAAATCAAATATTGGCTGAAAGAGTAAATAGCAAAATATCTAGAAACTTATTATTGTACTAGAAATTTATATACTAAAAATGAAACATTTACAAAAATAAAACAGGTTTTTGCAGTGCTCCATGCAGGTTAGGTCCACTCTTCCCTAGGAAAAGAAGCACTCTAAGCTCAACATGCTTTCATGCTGGAGATCTTTCAGCACCTCTTTTCCAACTTTGAGGTATTATTTACAAATGTCACTGTTTGGCAAAGAGCAGGCAGATGACATCTTTCTTATTCCTTAGTAAATGTGAAATTTGATTGACTGATCCTATATTTGTGACTATACCATAGGACAGACTTTCCCACCTGGGAGCTGACTCACATGCTCCCCTAATAACTATATAGATTCCACTAAAAAGGATCCTATATTCTAGCAAGTGAACTGATTCCTGTGGTACCAGACTTACCCATTGTGAGTTACAAGGCACTGCCTCAGTCCCAGCTTTCGGAAAATATCCACCACGATCTCCATTGGGGTGTGGTCTGTCACTGTAAAAGGGCTCATGTCAAGAATGCTTCGAAGCTTCAATGGCCGAGGACTTTCTGCTGGAAGAGATGGGGTGTGCTGTGCAAAACACACCCGAGAACTGCCAACGATACCTTCTTGTTTTTTCCTGGCACTTTCTGAAAAGAGAGAGAAGAGACCAACACTTTTAAACTGATAGATTTTTAAGTAGGCAACCTGTTTATTCAGAGATAAAAAAAATTAATGTATCCTATGACTTCTGATCCCTTCATTTTTTCCTATCTTCTCCTTAACCAAGAAAGGAGTCAACTGAAAAGCCATTTAGCAATTGTTTATATTTGATTGAATTAGAAGTCAACAATAATATATCATCTTCATGGAAAGAAATTATTTTTTGGTAAAGTTATATCATCGTACAATTTTCTTTACTGAAGCTGTTTTCTAACTTGGGGGCTAAGGAAGTGGGTTTGGAATACGGGATTTTAAAACCTGCACAAATTCTGAGCGCAGTTTATTATAGGAATCCATTATCAAATGAAACCTGCCTCTGCTGAATGTTACTTATTCTGCACTGGAGGTGGCACTAAAGAGAGTTTCATTCTTGCTTTGACTATGCTGTGTCCTCCATCCCTATGAATTAGCTGGTTCTTTTTCTTTTCTCATGTTAAAGTATAATTTTCTAGAAAAGTCATGAACATTACAGATGAGATGAAAGTACAATTATGCTCATAATGCACACAGACTGATATTGGGGGGTTGTTTTATTCATAAAGGCTTTGTTAATTTCTCCTCTCCAGTGTGCTCTGCTTCAAGTTCTTCTGTCCTGCTGCCTACTTCCACTCCACCGTTGAAAGAACTAAAAAAAAAATCTGAATGAAACTGCTGATAAAAAAAAAATGCTAGACAAGAAGTGGCAAAGATGGAGAAAAGTTCAGAGATCACACAAGACGGAGAAGGAAACTCAATGGAGAGAATCTGAAAATAAAATAGTCATTCAGCTTTATGTTTCTACTTTGAGTTAGTATTAAAACTGAGTATATACAGATATGATATTTGTTATAGTGAAAATATTTTGGCCGGCCATGGTGGCTCAGGCTTGTAATCCTAACACTTTGGGAGGCCGAGGCAGGAGTATCACATGAGCCCTAAAGTTCAAGACCAGCCTTGGCAACATAGGGAAACCTTGCTTCTACAAAAAAAAAAAAAAAAAAAAAATCGGCCAAGCATGCTGGTGGTCCCAAGTAATTGGGAGGCTGAGGTGGAAAGATCACTTGAGCCCGGAAGGTCAGGGCTGCAGTCAGCCATGATCATACCACCACACTCCAGCCTGGGTGACAAAGCAAGACTCTGTCGCAAAAAGAAAAAAAAATATATTTTTTGAATACAAATTTTACTACAAAAACATTTAAGCCATAATAAGCATCAGTCCTAAATTGAGAAGCAGATATTACTGCAAACACTGCACTGCTTTTTACTCCTTTTGAACACTACAGCCTTCTTAACTATGTTCTAACACATTTGAGTAGGAGGGCACTAAGTAAAGCCCCAGCAACTAGTACTTACTCAACCACCTTAAAAGCATGATCAGGCCAGGCGCAGTGGCTCACGTCTGTAATCCCAGCACTTTGGGAGGCCAAGGTGGGCAGATCAACTGAGGTCAGGAGTTCGAGACCAGCCTGGCCAACATGGTGAAACCCTGTCTCTACTAAAAATACAAAATTAGCTGGCACGGTGGCACATGCCTGTAATCCCAGCTGAGGCAGGAGAATCGCTTGAACCCAGGAGGCGGAGGTTGCAGTGAGCTGAGGCCGCGCCATTGCACTCCAGCCCAGGCAACAAGAGTGAAACTCCGTCTCAAAAATAAAAAAAGCATGATCATGGCATAGAAAAGAAGTCCATTAGCAATTGACATAAATGATTTTTGAAAAATACCCATTAAGTTGCTTTTAGCTCATAACAATCTAACAACTGAATGGTGTCTGACAACTGAATAGTGGAGTGTAAAAACTACCAGAAGTATCATTAATGGATTCACAAAATAAAAAGATGTAAAGTGTGACATCAATAGTATAAAATGTGGACGGGGGAGTAAAACTCTGTAGTTTTTGTAAGCAACTGAAGTTAAGTTGTTATAAGAAATATATAGTCAAATTCATAACGCTCTAAAACTGCAATAGGGTTTGTAAATCATTTCTAACTCTAGTATAAAAGTTGAAAGACAAAAGAATTAAAAATAACTACAGCAGGCCAGATACAGTGGCACACGTCTCTAATCTCATGTGCTCCGGAGGTTGAGGAGGGGATTGCTGAAGCCCAGGAGTTCAAGTCTACCCTGGGCAACATAGAAGACCTCATCTCTAAAACAGTAATAACTATAGCTAAAATAATTCATTAATAGATATACAAAATAAAAAGACATGAAGTGTGACATTAAATAGAATAACATTCTGAATTAAAACTAACCCCAATTATCAATCTTAAACACCGACAAAATAACAAACACTGTATCAATGAAATTATACTGATTGTTTAAACATTTAATGACAAAATATGTAATTTTAGAAATGTTTAAAAAATTATTTAATGGAATGTTTCTCTTATATACAAAGTACCAGAAGTGAACATTCAATCTCTTTGACTTAAATTTGTCATTTAAAAAAATAACACTTTTCGCCAGGTGTGGTGGCTCACACTTGTAATCCCAGCACTTCAGGAGGCTGAGGCAGGTGGATCGTTTGAGCCCAGGAGCTTGAAACCAGCCTGGGCAACATGGCAAAACCTTGCCTATACAAGAAATACAAAAATTAGCCAGTCATGGTGGCGCATGCCTGTAGTCCTAGCTAATTAGGAGAGTGAAGTGGGAGGATCACCGGATGCCAGGGAAGTCGAGGATCAAGTAAGCCAAGATCGTGCCACTGCATTCCAGCCTGAGAAACAGGGTGAGATGCTGTCTCAAAAAAATAAATCACTTTTATTCTTTCATTTCATTTGGAAACTGCTAAGGAGAGGGATTTTAGATATTCTCCCCACACACACAAAAAATCTGAGTTAATTAGCCTGATTTAACCATTCCACAATATATACATCACATAAACATACATACAATTTTTATCAATTAAAAATAAATAAAATTTAAAAAACAAGTATTACTTTTACATAAATACAGTTTTTGTTTGTTTGTTTGTTTTAGAGACAGGGTCTCACTCTGGACTCTAGAGTCCCAGGGATCCTCCTGCATCAGCGTTCCCAGTAGCTAGGAATACAGGTGGCACCACCACACCCAGACAATTTTTTTTTTTTGGTAGAGACAAAGGTCTTGCTATGTTACCCAAGCTGGTCTTGATCTCCTGGTGCCAAACAAACCTCCCACCCTGGCCTCCCATTTAAAAATATTTTTGATGCTACTCATTCAAGGGCCTTTTAAATAAGGAACATTACAATTTTCATTTTCTTCATTTTTTAAAAAATATTTTTAGTGCTATTCATTCAAGGGCCTCTGAAACAGAGAACAACATTACAGTTTTCATTTGCTGATATAATTCAGGCTTTTTTTTTTTTTGAGACAGGGTTTTGCTCTTCGCCCAGGCTGGAGTGCAGTGGTGGGGCTTACTGCAATCTCCACCTCCCAGGTTCAAGTGATTCTCCTGCCTCAGCCTCCCAAGTAGCTGGAATTATAGGCATGCGTCACCACACCCATGTATTTTTTTTGTATTTTAGTAGAGGCGGGATTTCACCACATTGGCCAGGCTGGTCTCAAACTCCTGGCCTCAAGTGATCCACCTGCTTCAGCTTCCCAAAGTGCTGGGATTACAGGCATGAGCCACCACGCCCAGCCTCAGACTTTTTTTTTTTTTAAAGTCTCAGCATTCCTGTTGAAATGGCCTTAATCTGAGACATCTCATTTGAATTTAATATTTTACAACATTCTGCTTTAGTATGAAACAGGAGAATCTATCTAGTTTAGCATATGTCAACCATCTTATTTTATGAGACAGCATGGAAATTTTTTCATCCTTCAATAAAGTATTTATCATTATATATATCAATTATATGTATTATATGATGTAACTATATATAACACATACATTTTTAATTTATATACAGATCTGTACACTAGGTTTTCTATATATATAATGTAATTATGTTAATATTTATATAATTAATTATAAATTAACATTTACGTACATAATTTTCATATATAGATATGTTTTTTTATAGAGGATATAGAAATATATATCTCTCCCATATAAAAGTTACATATATAAACATATATATGTAATTTTAAATTTATATATATATATAAAACTTAATATACAGGTCTGTTTTTCCCAGTTAAAAATTTAAAACTTTACAAAAACATACACGGTAAAACATTTAAGGTGTGCTTAGAAAGTCATGTGACTAACATTTCTGATGACATGGCTTGGCACCTCACCTACAGAAAGTACCCTCATTCCCTTAAACCAACATTATGTCCTATCTCAATATTCTCTCTCTCAAGACAGTAACAAAACTTTAAAAAACACATCCACACAATCAGTGGGATAATGAATAGTTCTTAATTTCCACACTTTAAAAACATGCCTGGCCTTTTCCCCTTAAATTTCTATGTAAATACCGAAATTCTGACCTCCTTTTTCTTTTCTTTGGCTGGCTACTAGTAAAAACTAGAGAATGGGAATCTTAAACAATGAAATTCTTTTGACTGGGTCTAGCCATGGTAATGGCTAAAAAACTAAAATGCTTGAACGGAGCCAAGCATGACAAAATACTATGTCATCAGCTCTGGCAACTACTATTGTATTAGCTAAGTAAAATTTAGAATGATGGGAATGCTAGGCCTTGAAAAATCCAAAGCTGTAGCCTGTTCCCAAACTGAACAGGGTGTTCTCTGTAGGATCTTTTTTCTTTTCCTTTCTTTTTTCTCTCTCTGCTTAATGGTTCTTACAAATTAAAGAGTTTCCAGTTTGATTTGAGAAACACTCCCCCACATACACTGTCTGGTCTTGTGCCATTCAAATGGCACAAAAATTATTTTTAAATCCTTTTGCAATGGCCACAGAGGTAAGCTGGAAGGGAGATGATATGCTCACAGGAATGACCTTTCAGACAGGCCAAAGGCTTGACACTTCCATTCAGGGTCTGGCACTAAAACCTGGGGAGTAACAAAGCAATGGCTTGATGTACCTATCCTCAGTCACTTTTTAGGGGTTGGAGGAAGAGATATAAGATTGTGTCAAAAAAATATTAAGTCTTAATGGTCTCCTCATCAATACTGCGGGACTATAAGGTAAAGAGAAAAACAAATTTTAGAGAAACAGAACTATAGAAAGTTTAATTTATCTCCAAGAAATACACTATGGCTAATACCTTTAAACAGTATTTTCAGGAAAGTCTGCATAAAACACAACAGGACTGATACGTTATACTTTTTCAACCTGGCATTTGATCAGAAATAAAAATCTCAGTGATTGTCACTTTAAATCAGATATTATAAATTAATATTATAATTCTAACCCCAAAGACTGATAAAGCAAAACAGTGTTATTCTAATATGAAAGAGACTGATGAAGATGAGATTTTCAATAACTTGTATTCCAATAAGCCAACTTTATTAAATACAAGAATGTATTTGACTGAATGCATTTAGCTAAGGTCTTATATTACATGCTGTTTTGAATAACCAAGATCAACTTATCTAGGCTTATCTGAGTGGGAAAATAATCTGACTCCAATTTCTGGTACAATGCCAGATCAAAAGACAAAACTGAAATACAGATTTTCTGCTAAATAGCAGAAAATCATCCACTGAAGCATACCTTCCTTTCCTAAAGAACAGAAGATTTTAAGGGACATAAAATAATGTCCCTTGCCCCCACAAATCCAACCCATTAAATGTTACTGCTTATTGCTTTCCTTTCTTCCAGAAATCCATCTCATATATACATATATATATTTTTGAAAGGGTACCTATTGCAATTGTCAGGTCTCTTCTGAGGGCAAATCCCACTAATCTCTGAGATTCTTTTGACATTATGACAGGAAATCCATTGTAGCTGGTTTCATTAATCATGTTTTCTATATCATCCACTGTCATATTGTCCTGTGTCAGGACAGCTAAGGGAGGATCATTCCTTCGAGGTCTCATAACGTCAGCAGCCAGGGTGGTATGAGTGAATTCTTCTTTTGCATCCAAGAAAGGGTATCCATTTAATCGGATGTGTGCTTCATAAATGCCTTCCCTGCCAAAGGCATCTCCAACCCATTTACTGGTCATGACTGCAGCCATAAGGGGAACAATATATTCCAAGCCTCCAGTAAGCTCAAAAACAATAACCACCAGGGAGACAGTCATTCTTGTCACACCACCTGAAAAAAGTAAGCACCCACTGGTCAGGAAGGACAGGATCCTCATCATTACATTTTATTAGAATTTTTGCACTAGGCAGTTAAAACTAAATGGCAAATAGAACTCAGTCAGGGAAAAGCATTAGCATCTAAAACTGCTACTCCTCTTTTAGGACAATAATCACTACTTTTAATAAGCTCTAGAGAAACACCAATTTTCTTTGTTTATAACAGAGAAGACTATTAAAATAACATTTTAAAAACCTGTTTATTTCATATTTTAAAAAAGCAAAGCTTACCGACTAAAACAATTTTGCCATTTTGGTTTAGTGCTGTAGCAAAGACATAATTTCACCCTTATAAAAGCTTATTCTAATTATAAAGGAATTTAGTAAAGCACATCATGCTTTGCTACAATTTACAAATTAAACTCATATATGGGTAGAATATTAATATAATAAATTTCTCCTCTAAATTTTTTTCAAAAAGAGTAAAATACTTTGATGCCTTTGATTTACATTAACGATGCAAGTAATATTCACTCACAGAAAACTATTTGGGCCAGGCACTGTGGCTCATGCCTGTAATCACTTTGGGAGGCCAAGGCAGGAAGATCACTTAAGTCAAGGAGTTTGAGACCAGCCTGGGCAATACAGTGAGACCCTGTCTCTACAAAAGTAAAAACTAAAAAAAGTAGTCATGCATGGTGGTGTATGTCTGTGGTCCCAGCTACTTGGGAGGCTGAGGTGGGAGGCTCGTTTGGGCTGGGGTTTGAGGCTGCAGTGAGCTGCGTTCACACTGCCTATGGTCCCTTTCTCGGTATTCTCACTGTTATCAATCCAGTCCAAGCCCTCATGACTTTATTCCTTTTTTACTTTGTATTTTTTAGGATTTGGGGTCTCACTCAGTTGCCCAGGCTGGTCTCAAACTCCTGGACTCCCATGATCCTCCCACCTCAGCCTCTCCAGTAGCTGGCATTACATGCATGTGCCATCGTGCCTGGCTATTCCTTAATTATAATACCATTTTATCTTACCTCCTTGACTCCAGGCCCCATTACCACTGTATAAGCCATGTTCCCTTGTTAATCTTTCCTAAGTACTACTTTTACTGTGTTGCTCTTTTGCTCAAAAACCTACCAGGGCTCGTCAGTTCATACTGTATTAAGCTGAAGCTCTTCCTTTTGTTTTTTTACCTAAAAATAGCAAGGAGACAGATCCTACCTACTATGTATTACATACCTACCCTATACCAGGCATGTCCTAAGCAGTTTACAAAGACTTGTTTTTAAAACTAGGCACTTATTTTACCAGGCACTATTATAACAGTTTTGCATGCATTTTATCTCATATAATCCTCAAAACAAACCTAGCAGATCACCAGGTGTTATTACTTTTTATATACAGAAAATTAAAACTTCAAGAAGGAACTTTCTCAAAGTCATCAAACTAAAAATGGCAAAGCCAGGACTGCCATAAATCTGACCAACTTCAAATATAAAATCATCCTGACATTAATCAGGTTTCTTGTCTTTTCATAATCTGTTCCTTCTCACTAATCCAACTTCATTTCCCAAAAGTACCCAAAATATACTCTCTAGAGTCAATTTCTTCAAAGCCTCATGAATACAAAATTTATTCCCATCCTCGTTCCTTTGTCTTCACATTATAATCTTCAACAAAGTCACCTTTTCCTTAAATTCTGCTAATCTTTTAAATAAAGCTCATGTTCTACTCTTCCTGAAGTACTTCAGCTCTTTCTTCCCCTATATTCCTACCATACTTAGACTCTTTTAACCTTGTATATATTTGTTAGTATTCCTCACTATTGTATTCTCAGTGTTCATCTTGTCTCCTCAACTTGATTAGAGTCGAGATTGGGTCCATGTTCTTTTTGTATTATGCACTGTATCTAGCACAATGCTAAAAAGAAAGTGGACATTTAATAAATACTTGCTACTTTGGTGAAAATGAGTCTGTCCTTTCCTTTTAATTGATATTACATTTTTAAAGATCAATAATCACATAATTTTTATTCACTAAACAAAACTGGTCAAAATGGCAACCATTAATATTATCACCAGAGTGTAGCTGATATTTTAAATATGAAAAGCAATAACCATTTTTTCCTGCCCTAACAGACATTAAATAGACTCAAGTACTTAATGTAGGTATTTTGCTTTTCTTCTCATTAAAATGAAGTTACCTTTTCTCATTTTGTTACAAATATACCTTAGATGATGGAGCATGGGTAAATACATCTTTTACTAAGGCTAACAATAAATCATTTCAGAACCAAAGTAAACCTACTCTGAAACTCTGTTGCAATGCTAATCTTAGGTATTATGCTATAGTTGTTATAGGTAAGCCAAGATCCTTAACGATGAAAGAATCAAAGACATCTTTGGTCAGGATTCAAATTAAGCTTATGTTGTACTTAGATGGCTTCTGCCATAGTGTATTAAGTTATATTACAATATGCTAATGCCATTAAATTCTTGTATTAACAAATGTTGTAAGACAGAAAACCGGTACTGTATAATACCCTAATAGTACTACTGTTTCTTATCTGTTAAAACATCTCCTCCTGGCACCCTCCTTTACTCAACCAATCCGCCCACCAATTAAGCAAGAATGTGTCCCACTTTCTCTTGGCTCTCTCAGACTTGCAAACATCCACACACAGGCAGACACAGCCATATTACCTAAGCATGCAGCAGCACCAACCATGGCATAAAGGCCAGGTGTAATGCAATCAGCCCCGACCTCACACCACTCCTTAAAGATAAACCAGTCGTGGTGATAGTAGGCAAGCTGCTCCACCGCAATCCCCACAATCCTTCCTGCGATCGCTCCAATGGCCATGCTGGGGATGAACAAGCCTGATGGAACCTATAACAACAACAGAACTCTTTATGGAGCAGAGATCCTCTACTCACATGCCTGAAACTTACATTCTATGCATTTATTTCTAACACTTTTGATTCTTTTCACATTGTATTAATATAGCAAAATCCTAGTACAAATAAAACTAAAGCAAAATCTTGTACCTTAACAATCCCATGAATTCAGTTACAAAACAAACCACATTCTCTAGGCCAAACAGAAAAAAATTCAAGGGTTATTTCCTTTAGCTCAAGGTAGCTCAAGGGTGCCCTAATGTCAGTCCCTAACAAAATTTTCATTAGTCCATGGTGAAATGAAAAAAAAAAAAGAAAAAAAAAAGGACAATATGCTGGATACAATATATACTACTTGGGTGACAGTTGCAGTAAAATCTTAGACTTCACCATTATAGAATTCATCCACGTAACCAAAACCACTTGTAACCCAAAAGCTATTGAAATTAAAAAATATATATTTTTAAAAGTACAATATGAAGTATTTTTCATAAAACTTAACTGATTCAGTTTTAAGCACTGTCTTTTACTTCAAGATTATGTGATTATGTCCTCCTATATATTTACAAATGACGGAAATGGTAGATGCTATTCATCTTAAGTGGTACAATGTTAAGTGGACAAACTTATCAGAGTTGCCCAATATTTTGACTGATATACAGACATATCTTGTTTTACTATGCTTTGTGTTACTGTGCTTCACACATGTTGCAGTTTTCACAAATTGAGGTTTATGACATCCTTGCATCAAGCTAGTCCATCAGCACTACTTTTCCAACAGCATGTGGTCACTTTGTGTCTCTGTATCATATTTTGCTAATTCTCTCAATACTTTGAAAATTTTCACTATTATTATATGTTACAGTGCTCTGTGATTAATGATCTTTGATGTTCCTGTTACAGTTGTTTTACTGCACCATGAACCATGCCCATAGAAGAAAGTGAACTTAATAAGTGTTGTATGTGGTCTGACTGCTCCACTAACTGGCTGTTCCCCTGTCTCTCCCTCTTCTCAGGCTTCCCTATTCCCTGAGACCCAATGATATTGAAATTAGTCCAACTAAGAACCCTACAATGGTCTCTAAGTGTACAACTGAAAGCAGAAGTCACGTCTCTTGGCTGGGCGTGATCCTGCCGACTCAGCCTCGTGAGTAGCTGGGACTACAGGCGTGCACCACCACACCTGGCTTTCTTTTTTTTTTTTTTTTTTTTGTAGAGATGGGTCTTACTATGTTGCCCAGGTTAGTCTCTAACTCCTGACCTCAAGTGATCCTTCTGCCTTGGCCTCCCAAAGCATGGAGATTACAGGCGTGAGCCACAATACCTGGCCATTTTTAGCTGTTGATATAAAGTGAGAGACGTGACTTTTTTTTGAGAGTAATCAAAGACTTTTTTTTTAAGTAATCCTTAAATTATGCCAATCTACTCTCTCTGTGCTCTATAAATGGAATAACAAAGCCTGGATAACAGCATATCTGTTTACAGCATGGTTTACTAACTATTTTAAGCCCACTGTTGAGACCTACTGCTCAGACAAAAAGATTCCTTTTAAAACATTACTCATCACTAATAATGCACCTGGTCTTCCAAGAGCTCTGATGGAGATGTACAAGGAGATTCATGTTGTTTTAAAGACTAATTTTGACTTTTAAGTTTTACTGAAGAAATGCATTTCCTATGGCTACAGCTACCATAGATAGTACTTTTGTTACAGCAGGTAGCTAGTCAGGCATGAGCAGGGCAGGACAGGCATCCTCCCAACCCCACCAGGAATGTCAGGCAACCATCAGGTGATGATGGTGAGACAGCTCTCATGCTCTCTCTCTAAAGTAATAATTGGTTGCAGCCAGCATCAGGGAAAGGCCATCTTCCAATAGATAGAAACACCTGAAACTAGCGATCGGCAGCTTTCCGATAAGATCCCAGGAGTTGGGTGAGTGGGCTCAAGCATGCACATTTAGAGGCAAAATCATGGAGTTTATGAATATGACCTCCTAGGGACATTTGGCTGGTAAGCAACAAACACCTCAGGTAAGCATGCATACAACTCCAGTAAATACACTGTGCACACTCCCCTCCCAAGTGCTAGCAGGCCACTGAGCATGTGGGCAACTCACCCCAAAAGAAGAATCAATGGAATAGGGATGCAAGATGCCAGAAGTATGCCAACATATAAAACCCTAAGTCCAAGGTCAAATGGGGCACTTGTCTTCCAAGATGCCCACTTGGCCCTCTTTCAAGTGTATTTTAATTTCTTTTCATTCCCACTCTAAAGCTTTTTAATAATAAACTTTCACTCCTGCTCTAAAACTTGCCTCAGTCTCTTTTTCTGCCTTATGTCCCTCCGTAGAATTCTTTCCTCTGAGAAGGCAAGAGTTGAGGTTGCTGAAGATCTGTATGGTTCGCCCCTGACAACTTGGAAACCCACCACTGATAACAACTTCTCTGATTGATCCGGGCAAAATAAATTGAAAATGTTCAAAAAGTAGTCACCATTCTAGATGCCATCCAGAACATTCACGTTTCATGGGAGGAGGTCAAAATATCAATATTAACAGGAGTTTGGAAGAAGTTGATTCCAACTCTCATGAATGACTCTGAGGGGTTCAAGACTTCAGTTGAAGAAGTAACTACAGAGTGGTGGAAATAGCAAGAGAACTAGAATGATAAGCGTAGCCTAAAGATGTGACTGAATTGCTAGAATCTCATTTAAAAAACTTGAATGTATAAGGAGTTACTTCTTATGGATGAGCAAAGAAAGTGGTTTCTTGAGGTAGAATCCAGTCCTGGTAAAGATGTTGTGAACATTGTTAAAAGGACAAAAGATTTTGAATTTTCCTTAAACTTAGTTGATAAAGCAGTAGCAGGGTTTGAGAGGATGACTCTAATTTTGAAAAGAAGGTCTACTGTAGGTAAAATGGTATCAAACAGCATCACATGCTACAGAGAAATCTTTCATGAAAGGCAGTGTCAATCAATGCGGCAAATTTCACTGTTATCTTATTTTAAGAATTGCTACAGCCAGTCCTACCTCTAGCAACCACCAATATCAAGGCAAGACCCTACAGAAGCAAAACAGATTACAATTCACTGAAGACTCAGATTACTATTAGCATTTTTTAGCAATCAAGTATTTTTAAATTAAAGTATTACTTTTTTAAAAGACATAATGCTATTGTACACATAAGACTACAGCATAGTGTAAACAGAACTTTTATATGCACTAAGAAACTAAGACTTTTATGTGACTTGCTTTATTATGATATTCACTTTATTGTGGTGCTCTGAACTGAACCTATATCTCTCAGGTAAGTCTATTTATATGAATCAATTAAAAAGAGAAAAATATTTATTGATTAAATTTAATAAGGATAATAAACAGGGATAAGAAGCACCATAAGCAAGATCATTTAAAGACTACTGAAAGAGGCCAGGTTCAGTGGCTCACACCTATAATCCTAGCACTCTGGGAGGCCAAGGCCTCCCAAAGGATCACCTGAGGTCAGGAGTTCCAGACCAGCCTGGCCAACATGGCAAAATCACATCTCTACTAAAAACACAAAAATTAGCCGGGTGTGATGGCCCACACCTGTAATCCCAGCTACTTGGGAGGCTGAGGCAGGAGAATCGCTTGAACCTGGGAGGTGGAGGTTACAGTGAGCCAAGACTGCAACACTGCCCTCTAGTCTGGGCAAAAAGGCGAGATCCTGTCTCAAAAAACAAACAAACGAACAAACTACTGAAAGAGTAATAAACTCCTCTGAATATGAAATGAGCCAAACACAAAATGATGGCATGTACTCTTGAGTCTCTTAGGATCATTAAAAGGATAAACAATAGAAAAAATCAAAGTGTGTTTTACACTCTCTTGCCAGGTATGATCCTTCAGCCAGAGCTGAGTCAAAGGTGGGACTTAACAAAGGCCTGCCAATTGCCTCCAGCTTCTTGTAGTTCAACTGACTGTGAGAAAGTTGGGATTTACCCAACACTTACTTATTGTAGGAAAAAGAGCTTTAACAGCTCTTTTAACTTGATTCCCTAAGAAAAAAAGGTAAAATGTTTAGGCTTTTCTATTACTATTATTATTTTCTTCTTATTATTATTTTTTGAGACAGTGTCTTGCCCTGTTGCCTGGGCTGGAGTGCAGTGGTGTGATCTTGGCTCATTGCAACCTCCACCTCCTGGGTTTAAGTGATTCTCTTGCCTCAGCCTCTCGAGTAGCCGGGATTACAGACACCTGCCACCACGCCTGGCTAATTTTTGTATTTTTAGTAAAGACGGGGTTTCACCGCATTAGCCAGGATGGTCTCGATCTCCTGACATTGTGATCTGCCCGCCTCGGCCTCCCAAAGAGCTGGGATTACAGGTGTGAGCCACTGCGCCTGGCCAGGCTTTTCTATTATTTAACTCTAGATACTCAGTGGACTACAGACTTAGGACAAGAGAAAAGAGACCTTATTTCAAAAACTAAAACCACTCTAATTTTGTAGAAACAAAGCTGTTATTCCACATTAATTTACATCTGTAAAAGCACATCATCACTAGCAAATACTATTACATGAAGTACAGGGGTAGTAATTTAAAGAACAAGAATAAGCTGATATGTGCTTCCCCATATATATCACTGATAGTCACATAAGAAATTATATTTACTGATAGACCATTAATCAACAAATTTTGTTATTTTATAAATCCAAAAGAAGCAATGTCCCAGGGCATAAGACCCAGCTGCCTTAATTTCTTGATGGAAAAAGGCATGTATTTATAGATCTAGTAATTTAACTGAGTCTGCAGTGTCCTTTCAAGCTAATACCCTATACTGGTATGAGGCAGAATAATGGCTCATCAAAGATGTCCATAACTTAATTCCCAGAACCTGTGATTACATTACGTTGCATGGCAAGGAGGAATCAAGGTGGCAGAAAGAAAGTTTCGAAGCAACTGACCTTGAAAAAGGAGATTATTTTCTGATTTATCTGCGTGGGCCTAAAGTAATCACAAAGGTTTTTCAAATGTGGAAGGGAGATTTAGCAGAGTTTGGGTCAGGGTGATGAGACAAGAGAAAGACTTGACCAGCTACTGCTGGCTTTGAAGATGCAAATAGACAGCCAGGAGCCAAGGAATGCTGGCAGCTTTTAATAGCCAGAAAAGGCAAAAAACAAGACTCTCTCCTACAGCCTCCAGAATGCCCTACGAACACCTTAATTTTAGCACAGTGAGATCCGTTTCAGACTTTTGATTTGCAGAACTGTAAGATATTAAATTTGTGTGGCTTTTAAGCCATTAAGTTGTGGTAATTTATTACAGCAGCAATAGGAAACTAATAAAAGTGGTTTTAAAACATGATCATGAATTCTCTTACACTTGTCCCAGCAAGTGTATGTCCCTCCTCTGAATGTGGTCGGGCCTCTGTGACTGCCTCAATGAATAGAATAAAACAAGTCACGCTGCAAGACTTCTTTGGCTACATTAAAAACAGCCCTCTTGGGAATCCTGAGCTATAATATAAGAAATCCAATTCCCTGAGGCCACCACCCTAGAAAACCACAGAGAGAGAGGAAAAAGGAAGCGAGAGAAAGAGAGAGAGACAGCGGGAGTGAGCACAAGAGACACAGTATGCGTGATTGATCCCAGGAGCCCAGGTGTCTGAATTTTTTTAGCCTAGGTGCTAGTCATGAATGAAGAAGTCTTTGAACTATATTCAATAATTTAATTGTACACTTAAAAATAATTAAGAGTGTAATTGGATTGTTTGTAACACAAGGGATAAATGCTTGAGGTGATGGATACTCCATTTACCCTGAGATTATTATGCACTCCATGCCTCTATCAAAATACTTCATATACCCCAAAACTATATATAGCTACTGTGTATCCACAAAAACAGTTTTTTAAAAAGGAAACGAAAAAAAGAAGCTTTGAGATGATTAGCCCTCGCCATGTCTAATAACAACTATATGAAAGACCACAAGCAAAAATTGCCCAGTTGAGCCCTTCCCAAGTCGTTGACTCAATATCAAGAACAAAATAAGTAGTTACCTTAAGCTGCTAAGTTTTGGGGGGTAATTTGTTAAATAGCAACAGATAACATGGTCAACAATATATGCTAAGGAATTATCTTTTTCATTACTTAAAATTAAACTCAAAAGATAAGTACTTTTTTCAGTCATTTATGAAACAACAACCTCTCTCATTCCACATATAAGTTTTGAACATGCCAAAATTACCCAAATATCACCTCACATTAGCACTTACCTTGATGCCAAAAGTGAATACTGTCATTATGATTTTAAATATGAGTGCCAGGCATAACTGCCATATAGCTGAATATACTCCAATGCCTGCTGGACGATCAGGAATGTCATCGACAATTTTACTGGCATTCATGTCATTTCTGTAGTCACAAAGAGAAGAGGATTCCAGGGGACCACAGTCTGTAAAAAGCTCTTTGATCAGTTCACTGGTGTTTAGCCTAGTGTATGGATTAGGGAAGGCTATCACAGCAGTAATGGCTGCAACAATAATGACTTCCAGAACGGGATACTTTCCAAATTTCGTGGACTTGCGTCGACGACACCAGGCAATATTTGCCCTAATGAAAAAGGCTCCCCAAAGCCCTCCAAATACCCCTAGAAGAATAAAAGGAAACAGTTCAAAAAGGTACCATGGTGTATGATACTCCACATAAAAAAGGACCAGACGGCTGTTACCAAATGGATTGATGGACCTCAAAACAAATGCAGCCACTAAAGCAGCAAAAAATGATCTCCATAAAGTTTTGAGAGGAAAATAATAGCTAACCTAAAAAAAAGAAAAGGAAAAGAAAAATTAATGCTATAATTTTATAAGATGTTTCTGATATATTATAACTTGAATGGTAAATATCCTAGCTCTAAATTTTGCTGTAGTTAGAATTTACATGTAATGGATTTTACTGTAATAAGAAAAATTGATGTTATTATTATTTTTGGAGATGGTGATCATCATTACAAATTGACAGTATCAATTGATCATAAATGTCTAATAAATACTAATAGAATACCTAGTGCTGTTTTATATTCAAAATGAGTTTCACATTCAATTCAATCATGGTAGTTAAAAATAAATGTACCATCACCAACTCCTGTTAACTTATAATGCATTTAATTTGCCTCTTCTACATTAAAAAAAAAAAAAGAATACAAACAACTAAAAGAAAAAAGTACATTTAAAAACATCTTGAACTAAAAGAGTTAAATTCATAGAAGTAGAGAGTAGAATAGGGGTTACCAGAGGCTAGGGGTTGGGGAGGTGAACAGGGAAAGGGGAGACATTAGTCAACGGGTATGAACTTACAGAGGAGGAATAAGTTCTGGTGTTCTATTGCACAGTAAGATGACCACAGTTAATAATATGTATTATATATTTCAAAATAGCTAAAAGAGGATTTTAAATGTTCTCACCACCACAAGGACATAATAAATATTTGAGGGATTTGCTAATCACTCTGATTTGATTATTCCGCAATGTATACATGTATAGACACATCACATTATACCCCATAAACAAAAACAATTATTATTTGTCAAAAAAAATTAAAAAAAAATTCCTGGTTACATTTTTATGTAAAAAGAAAAGTCTTAAACACCTATTAAGAAAACAAAAACAAAATAATCCACTGAAGTCACTAAAATTATTTTCTTTAACATCACTAACTGTATCAGAAATAATCACATGGGAAAAACTTTAAAACACAACATAGGAATTGATTAAAATTTTTTAAACAAAAACTACTTGGGAGGCTGAGGCAGGAGAATCACTTGAACCCTGGAGGCGGAGGTTGCAGTGAGCCAAGATCGCGCCATTGCACTCCAGCCTGGGCAACAAGAGTGAAACTCCGTCTCAAAAACAAAAACAAAACAAAACAAAACAAAAAAACCCCACAAAAAAACAGCCTGGCCAACATGGTGAAATTCCATCTCTACTAAAAATACAGAATTTAGCCAATGGAAATAGATTGTTTCACATGTCCTCTATTAAGTCAAATTCACATCTTCTTACTTTTAAATATGTCAACAAAGTTAGATTTTAAATAATTACTAACATTCATACATTAATAAATTTTTAAAAAGTTTCCTCCAGGTATGGAGCATGAATAACATTTACTTTTTATTAAGAATGAGTGGAAAACAACTTTAGAAAAATAAATTTGAAAACAAAGTCTCTACCTATTACATCACCTACAAAACTGAAATGTGTGAAATATATTTGTAATGGTAATTATATATAATTTTAATTGTTGTATTCTTTTCACCTACCTCTTCCAGGCTAAAAAGAACTCCTCCAATTGGTGCACCAAAAGCTACAGAAACCCCTGCAGCTGAGGCAGCTGATAGCACCTAGAAAGAGGATATGGCTTATTTCATAATTTCATAGAAATTCAAACATACCAAATAAAAATTCTTCATGTTACTTGAATTTTCCAAATGGATTTTCTGAATTTAACTTGCATGTTTCCTTGCTCCCTAAGCAAAGGGTAACTATTCATTTCTTCTATTAAGATTTGTTTCTTTCTCCTGGCTTTAATTGAAAGGTCAGTCATGCATTTACCATTCAGTTAAAAAAAATTTTTGCCAGATATACTAATGTGAATAGGGTGTAAAGAGGAGGAGGCAATGAATATAGACAATTTTCAAGACGTATGTTTGTGTAGGTAAGAGGGGAGGGCAGTAACTGGGATGGGGAGCTATTTTTAAATAGGATATCATTTCTTCAAATTTTAGAGCTAACTGCTCCACCATAAATACTCTATTCCAAATCGTAGCAAGATATGCAGGGAACCGAAGACCTTGTAAGATTCCCTATATTTTCACTACCCTATGCATTCTGAAATACTGCTAAAATACTATCAATCTAGAGAGCCTCATTCTGAAAGCACACACAACAGCTCCTCAAGTTACAGTCTCACCAACCAACACCTCTACAAAAAAATTAAAGGAAAAGAAAAATCCAAGGACACTCTTCCGTGTCCTCTCTCCAGCTCCCCAGTCTATCAGTTGGTAATGGTCTACTTCCCACCTGTAAGCCAACTATACCTAACTATACCTATAATTTCACTAGGGTTTTATTTGTAATTATTTTTCTAAGAGTCTGTATTCCTTTATTTTTTTTGAGACAGAGTTTCTCTCTTGTTTCTCAGGCTGGAGTGCAATGGCGTCGTCTCAGCTCACTGCAACCTCCACCTCCTGGGTTCAAGTGATTCTCCTGCCTCAGCCTCCCGAGTAGCTGGGATTACAGGCGCCTGCCACCACGCCCGGCTAATTTTTGTATTTTTAGTAGAGACGGGGTTTCACCATGTTGGCAACACTGGTCTCGAATTCCTGACCTTAGGTGATCTGCCTGCCTCAACCTACCAAAATGCTGGGATTATAGGCGTGAGCCACCGCGCCCAGCCAAGTGTCTGTATTACTTTCACTACTTTAATACAGCAAATATCCAAAGCTACCTAAAGTATTTCTTCAAATGGTCAATTGTTACATTTCCAGAAGAGAAATTATAAATAATAAAAATTAAGCTGTAAATGGTTAAGATCATGAACTCCATAGTCAGGCTGCTGTGTTGAAATCATGGCTCTGCTACTTACTAGCTGTATGGCTATGGGTAGATAACCTAACCTATATGTGCCTCAGTTTTCTCTAAAATGGAAACGTGATAATATTACTTAGCTCTTAAGGACTGAGTAAATATATACAGAGTGCTTTAGAACAGTGCCTGGCACCAGTAAATACTTTATAAAAGTTTGGTGAATTAAAAGTAAATAAATATTTGTTTTAATCAAATTGTTGGCATTAAAATGTAGACTCTGCTTATTTGGGGAGGAAAGGGAGCAAATTTAGCTTCTTTTTTTTTTCCTCCACTAAGAGGAAAGCAAACATATTTATTTGAATGTCCTGATCCTGAATTTACAACCAAACTAACACCTAGGTATCTATAACTCATATACATGTTTTAATCCATTTCATACGTATCTAAGAAGCATTTAATTTAAAAATATCAACGCTCTCCCCTCTTGTCTACACAAAACTATGGGACCTTAATGCTTTCAACTAACCGTGAATTCTTGCCATTTATATATACACTAAGGTGACAGAATAACAACGTATTAAACATTAACTAATCACTACAGTATGAACATTAAAATTTAGGTAAACTTAATTTCTCAAACATCTAATAAATTACATTTTTTGAACTTAGAATAAGTAAAAGTCTTACCAAAAAATATAAAGGTACAACAGAAAGTAATGGAATTGAATTGAGGAGGCAAATGCTCTAGCTTCATCTTAGCCACTAACTTGCTACGCTACAGGATGGTTTTGAGTTTGTTTTGAACACACACAAATATATACCCACATAGTCGTAAGGGCAGTAATGTAAGTAGGTAAGACCACAGACTTTGAAGTCAAAGAAAAATGAATTTTAACCTACGTTCCACCACTTACTAGGTATGTAGTCTCGGGCAAGTTAGTTAGCTGTTTTCAGCCCTAGTTTACTAATCACTAAATGAGGATAACAGGGCCATATTACTAAATTACTGTGAAATTAAGTATTAAAATCCAAGTAAAGTATCTGCCACAGTACCAGATACACAGAAAGTAATCAATAATGCTAGCTATTTTTGTTATAAAGTACTGGAATCACAATTATTCAGAGATGAAACTACGACAATCTGAAGTATTCCACTTTTGGGATATCTACGTCCAATGCAAGGACAATATTTTAATGCGAACATTAAAATGTACTAGAATTATTTCAATTGAAGATTAAACAGTTTGATAAAATATTCTACTTTTTTGGTTACAGTACATTAAAAAACTCAACAAGATGAAAAGGTTCTGCCAGTATTTAATGAGATGTTTTTCAAAAAATCATATCTTAAAAACTCAAAGATCTCTGTACCATCTAGGGCTGTAGATTTAGATTTGGAAAATAGGAAGGGACTGGGCTCCCAAAGTCTAGAGCTAATATAAAGGATTCAGGAAAATGCCCAGAGCAATATGGAAACATCAGAGGAAATCCATAATATATATAAGGTTTCAAGGTCTTGTAGAAGATCTCAGGCTGGCCTAAAGAAATGGTAAAGGAAATTGCCTTAAACAATCAAATGAAAAGGATTTCCTGTAATCTCTTTAATGTGAATTTCTGATTTAAACTTCAAGAGCTTCTAAAGGCCCTCAGAACTTCCCCATAGCACTGGATAGCATTTTTCATATCACACACCACTTACACTGGCACCAGACACTGCCTCCAGGAGGAAAACATAGCTATTAAGATTTCCCAACCTCTTAATGTTGAAAGTAAGAGTGAAAAACAAAGCTAAGCTTAGAAAACACTTCAGAAGAGGAAAGATGTAAGGTAAAGTGATAACAGGAAGATCTTCGTGAAATGCAGCTGAAACCCAATGGACACCAGCTGTCTATCTAAAGCTTCTCTAAAATGTAAGACGAACTGAGCAGCACTGGGAATGGATTCTAGAAAGATGTTATAGATTATTCAGGAAAAACAGAAGCACAAATCTCAAAATTTTTTATCTGAATACAGAATTTATTATTTTTACACTAAGAAATTCTTTACTTAAATAAATACTATATAATATATATTTTTCAGTCAAATTAACTACAAAAGACACTTACCTCCCTTTTTTTAGCTTCGTTTGTGCTATACTTTGGAAAGAGGTAGGAAAAGATATTTCCGCAGCAACAGGCAACATGTACCAGGGGACCTTCTTTTCCTAAACTCAAACCTGATGCCACAGCCAGGACTAATGTGATGGTTTTAATCATTAAAGTCCATTTTCCCAAGTAACCTCTGATGATGAATCCACTTAAAATAGTTTTAATCTACAAGGCAAAGATTAAGGCAGCTTAATGTCCTTTAAGAAACATGAGAATGTAACGAATCCAAGTTATTTTCTTGTTTTATGCACAAAAACAACCTTGCAAATTTTAGCAGTCTACAGAAAAATTTACAGTTAATTTTTCGAAAACTTTGCCTATTATGCTACATATAATAAATTGATATTATAATCTAATTCTCTACCCAAGAAAGGAGAGAGGGCAACACTATCTCAGGAACAAAATCAAAATATCAGGCCATGTTAAAATGAATACAGACCTTAATTATAAGGATTATAATTACATAACCAAAAAAAGGGCAAATTTGAATATTTCTGTTGTAAAAATAAGCATAATATTTTAAATATATTTTGGACATTATGTTAGAAATAAGAATATTATGTTTTCTCTGAGTACTGTAATTATGTGCAATAGTTTTTTATGTATCAAGAATGAGTAACAACTGTTATATACTGCATGATATTGCTTTTTATGAAAGATATTCTTAATACAAACTTAAAGATCAATACAATTCCATTTTAAAAAGAAATGTATTAGGAAAAAGTTGGTAACTTATTTAACTACAGAAAAATAAAAGAGAAGAGATAAGTTCAAATCAAGTTCAATCAATCCTATGTATAACTCTACTTTATTGTGATGAAAAATAAAACCCAAAAGTTTGTACTGTTGACCCACTGTGATTAACTACTTTCTCAAAGCATAAAATGGCCAAATTCAAGAATAATTAACTTATCTAATCAAAAGGTAATTATAAAAAGTGAATGAATCAAAATCAGGGTCATAGCCACGTGTGGTGGCTCACACCTGTAATCCCAGCACTTTGGGAGGCTGAGGCGGGTGATCACTTGAGGTTAGGAGTTTGAGACCAGCCTGGCCAACATGGTGAAACCCCATCTCTACTAAAAAAAAAAAACAAACAAAAAAATGCAAAAATTAGCAGGGCATGGTGACAGGTGCCTGCAATCGCAACTCCTCAGGAGGCTGAGACACAAGAATTGCTTGAGCCTGGGACGCAGAGGTTGCAGTGAGCTGAGATTGCGCCACTGCACTCCAGTCTGGGCGACAGCACAAGACTCAGTCTCAAAAAAAAAAAATTCAGGGTCATAACAGCAAAGTAACAACTAACCCGTCAAAGAACATTAGGTCACAAGATACTTCTTCCAGGCTCTTGATGTTTAACTAAATAGTCTGAAAATTTGCCTAGTCATGTGTTAAATTAGTGGTGAGAGAAAAAAAAAATCAGCCTTCACAGTAAATGACCAAATGACTATGGGGAACAATATTTTTCAATGATGTCTACCATCAGCTTATACTTAAAAAAATTTTTTTTTCATATTATGAACAAACTATCCCCTCCCTCCAGAAAAGCCAACTTTTATTATCACTAAGGTCAAAAAGATAAGCATCATAATAATGTTTAATGACACTAAATATTACTTGGCTTACCTCTGGAATTCCAGAGCCACAGGCATATGGAGCAAATACCTTTACCAGGGAAACTGCAAGAAAGGCAAAACTCAAGGCCCAGAAGATGTACATTATGTAGTTCATGATATAAGAACCAGGACCCTAAAAAGAAAATAGTTCGAGAGTATGAATTTAATTTACATTGCACCTCTAATGCAAATGCTTGTCATAAGAAACTTCAGTAAACGGCCAGGCATGGTGGCTCACGCCTGTAATCCCAGCACTGGGGAGGTTGAGGCGGGTGGATCACCTGAGGTCAGGAGTTCGAGACTAGCTTGGCCAATGTGGTGAAACCCCGTTGCTATTAAAAATACAAAAATTAGCTGGGCATGGTGGCGCACGCCTGTAATACCAGCTACTCGGGAGGCTGAGGTAGAAGAATCGCTTAAACCCCAGAAGCGGAGGTTGCAGGGAGCCGAGATCGTGCCACTGCGCTCCAGCCTGGGCAACAGAGTGAGACTCCATCCCACCGGCCAAAAAAAAAAAAAAAAAAAGAAAGAAAAGAAACTTCAGTAAAATGTGTAAAAGTCTCCTGGTTTATTTCCACAATAATAAAAACTTTATATGAACAAAATATTTAAGTAGAGTCCAAAAATTAATGCCTACATATACCAAGGAACCCTGAGCACATTTAATCTTTTTCCTAATCCCTAAAGTCTTGTTACCAACACATCTCAGCTATACTTCAATCTCTGCCTACAAACCACTTTTTGGAAACAGTGGAAACAAATTGCATCACCACTCAGATTTCATTCTGCTGCAACTTTCCAGATCATTAAACTCAATTCAATTAAGCCAGGTGAGAAACAGCATACTACTCATCTTACCGCAAATGTATACCTTTTAGCTCTAAAGTTCAGCTAAAACAAAATTTAAAAAATATATCCATGTCATCATGTAAAAAATATACATGTAACATCCTAAGTTCTAAAATGTTCTTTGTAGATCATAGTAAATCAATCATTTAAATGCCGTAATGCCACAAATAAAAATGTCTGATTATCTTCAATGTATCTCTACGTAGGTTGATTTTACTAAATTATTTGATAATACTTTCATAATTCAAACTTCCCAATCTTAGTAATATATTAGTTTTAATAACTTGACTTCTTAGTAACTTTACACAGATCTTACTGCAATAACTATCACTTCTTTTCTACTACAGCTCAAATATATTTGCACCACAATCCAGAGGATTTGTTATATGACTATGCAGTTAACTAATAAAAAAGCTACTTGAAACAATATTGCACTTAATTCTTTCTTGCTGCAATGTGTTGAGGGTGGATCCATTTGATGTGTATGTAATCATCTAATATGTGATTAGTTCTATAATTAAATGAATTGGAAACATTTTGCTATATCAATTATTAATTCATCTTGAGACAAAGCAAGACTTACCTCTGCTTGACCTATGATTAATTCTGCCCATGTTTTCCACTGTGGACATTTATCCCTCTCTTCAAATGTTGTTTCATTAGATCCCCAACAGCACTGTTCGTGGTTGTACCACAACGCACTAAGGCAAATGCCCTCCTTTAGGTCAGTCATCCAATCGGCAGCAATGTCTATTAATCCGGCCAGTGCCCCTATAAAAACATGTTGGAGATGGTAAAAAAATTAAGTCAATTTTTTGGGAGTCGAGAACAATCTAGTTAAAAGGCAAGTAGAAAGCAGGAGACTCCTAAATAAAGGGTCATTTATGAACTACATATAAATTTAAGATTTTCAAATTTTAGTTATAAACTGTAAAGAGTTATTTTTTACAATAAAAGTGCTATTTTTGTTTGGAATTTTAAAAAGTTACATCATTCAAATTAATTGTGATCTGAAAAACAATGTTTAAAAGATACTAAAATATCTTCAAAAGACAGCTACTTGGCAGGAGGTTCACAAATCTAATTTTCAATCGATAACTTAATTAACAGACTTATAAATGATGTCAATTTCATTAAAATTTAATGTCCATTAGAAATAATTATTGAAACTCATAGGAATAATATTTTCTTAAATTACAGAAAACCATATATCAAGATTATTTTATTGTGAGAATATAAAAAATACACAAATTTATGGTCAAATCTGGGTCCTTCTTACATAAAGAGATCAGTGGGTTACATACACAGAGGCCATAAAATTACTATGCATGCCAATTAGAATTATCAGTACTTTATTCTCCACAAAAATTTTAATTTTTATGGTCTTCTGAACATAATCTTCCATCATGGAAGCTGAAAGTGATTATAACAGTGCTTAATATTTGTTTTCAGGTCCTCAACAGCTCTTTCTTAAAATCTCACACATTGGGACTTTGTGGCCACGCTGTATAGCAGGGTGATGAAGGGGATAGGTCTTGAGCTAGAAGGCTTTAATTCAAATCCTGGTTTAGCCATTTACTAAACTGTATGACCTCAGTCAAACTAAGTTACTTTTCTTCTGCTTCAGTCTCCTCATCTGCAAAATGGTGATAATGACAGCACTGGTACCACAGGATTCCGGTGAGGTTTAAATACATGTCAAGTTTTTAGAACAGTGTACAACACATAGGAAGCACTCAAGAAATATTAGCTATTTATTACGATGTTAATATCAAAAGATACTTTATTGATCATCTGATCCAAACCACTTATTTTACAGATATAGAAACTGAGTCCAGAAAGATCAACCAAGCTGGATAAACACGTAAAGTGATAGAGCCAAGACTAGACTTGGAAGCCTCTGCCTCCTAGTCTTATATTTAAGGAGATTTTTTGAAGAAGAGAAACAAATGCTTTTTAAAATCCAATGGTACCTGAAAAAAAATTGAGGGAAGGAGGGAAGAACAGTTTATACTTCTGTTAACTAAAAAAGGATTGCTTGAAAAATTTTCTTTACCTGATGCCAATCCTGTTAGTGTTACTACTAGCCATCCTGACCACGCATCATACAAACTTTTTGTCATTTCCCATGCTGATTCTTTCTTTTTGCTGTTGATCTGAAATTAGAAATGTTTATGCTTCATTTTTCCAACTATGAATAGAAGCCACAGTTCTAGAATCTAGCAATTTTTCTCATTTACCATACATAGAACAGTAATTTCAGAACTAAATAATGGAAAAGGTAAGTCTGGAGCAAAATCACTACATTACAGACAGTTGTTAATACCTGTAAACCAGACTACATGTCTTTACCCAAGATCTGCTTTTATTTTTTATTAAAAAATTTTTTTTCTTTCAATGAGACTGGGCCTCGCTATGTTGGCCAGACTGGTCTTGAACTTCTGAGCTCAAATGATCTACCTGCCTTGGGCTCCCAAAGTGCTGGGATTACAGGTGTGAGCCACCGTGCCCAGCCAAGATCTGCATTTTAATAAGAACCTTGAGATTTGAGTGCAAAGGGTCCACAAACTATATAAAATCTGGCCTAGATTGTTTTAAATTGAATCAAATTTGAACCTCAATTGGTACACATAACCATCTTTTATATATGTCTTCTGTAAGACAATATGGTTTGAATTATCGGTCATTCTCTGGTCCTAGCAGTTAAGTGGATTATAATGTTCTTTAAAAGACAGGATCTGTGTATAATAATACCATGTCCATAAATACAATGTATTACAGAATAATCATGTGGACAAAGGGACCCCCCAAAACTTATAGGCCTTTTAATATGCAGGTTTGGAGAGCTCCGATCCCATTGGTAGAGTCCAGAGGCTCTTTCTTTACTGTGTAAGGCAAAAGTGTCCTCTACTGGATATAGTGTAGGAAGTTAGGAGATTAATAAGAGTAATAGATTTGATCCAGATCTCACTATACTAAAACACAAGAAGGTAAGTCTCACCTCTCTTACTAAGAATGTACTTCTAAACCTAAATCCCTAACTAGTCAACACCTCTCTTCTGTTGTACTAGGACTGTTGCTTTAGAAACCCATATTTTTGGCCAGGTGTGGTGGCTCACGCTTGTAATCCCAGCACTTTGGGAGTCCGAAGCAGGTGGATCACGAGGTCAGAAGTTCAAGACCAGTCTGGCCAACACAGTGAAACCCCTTCTCTACTAAAAATACAGAAATTAGCTGGGTGTGGTGGCGAACGCCTGTAATCCCAGCTACTTGGGAAGCTGAGGCAGGAGAATCACTTGAAACCGGGAGGCGGAGGTGGCAGTGAGCAGAGATCGTGCCACTGCACTCCAGCCTGGGTGACAGAGCTAGACTCCATCTCAAAAAAAAAAAAAAAGTCAATTTTCAGCCCAGGACTTCAGTGCTCAACTGTTCTGAAGGAGGGCTACAGCTGGAATTCAATGACCCAGTCTATTTCTTTTTTTTTTTTTATTATTATACTTTAAGTTTTAGGGTACATGTGCACAATGTGCAGGTTTGTTACATATGTATACATGTGCCATGATGGTGTGCTGCATCCATTAACTCGTCATTTAGCATTAGGTATATCTCCTAATGCTATCCCTCCCCACTCCCCGACCCCACAACAGTCCCCAGTGTGTGATGTTCCCCTTCCTGTGTCCATGTGTTCTCATTGTTCAATTCCCACCTATGAGTGAGAACATGCGATGTTTGGTTTTTTGTCCTTGCGACAGTTTGCTGAGAATGATGGTTTCCAGCTTCATCCATGTCCCAACAAAGGACATGGACCCAGTCTATTTCAAGAATCGGGTCTATTTGAAGTCACAACGCCCCACTAAAATGACACGGTAAGTTCTAAGTTGAATGAGGCAATTTTACCCCTTCTACCCTATAAGCAACCAAACACAGATATTAACCATTCTTTAGAATTAGAAATAGGTTATTTCTTTCAAAAATAATCACTAAACTCCATGTTGCTTTTCCTCAATAAAAATAATGTGTAAGAAAACATGATAATATTAAGCCGTTTTCAGGCTGAGTCACTGCTGTTTTCTTTATATAACTGCTTGCACAGCATCATAGTCAGTCACTTAAGTAGTTGCTTGATGGAGTGTACCAAGTAAAAAAGATATATGTACAGAGAGTTCAATCATCACCGTTCCTAAAATCTGGAAATCATTTAAATGTTCATCAACATAGCATCAGATAAATAAATTGCAGTATACCTATGTAATGAGAAATTCTGCAGCAATTAAAAAGAATGAGATATATTTAGCATTATACAGGAAAAAAGCAAGATGGCTAAAAGCATGCTAAAAGACAGGAATATAAATATTTATGCTTATATTTTTAAAAATCAGAAGATAAACCACAAGTTAAAAATGTAAATTATTACTTATAAGGGGAAGAAGACAATGGGTTGGATGGGACAGAGATAGAAACTAGACTTCTTTGAACATGCCTGTTTTGTTCATTTAACTTTGGAACCGTGGAAATACTTCATATATGTATAATAAAACAAAACTAAATCTAAAAAGCAAACCTTAAAAATTGAAGTAAAGTTAAATGAATCAAAGGTGCATCTAACTGGTAACATAATGCCACAGAAGAAACTATTCCAAGGGACTTTACAACAAAGTAATTTGTATAAATAACTTTGGTGGAATAAATAAAGGATAGGCCAGACGTGGTGGCTCAGGTCTGTAATCTCTGCACTTTGGAAGGCAAAGGCAGGAGGACTGTTAGAGGCCAGAAATTTCAGACCAGCCTGAGTAACATAGCAAGACCCAGTCTCTTAAAAAAAAAAAAAAAAAAAAAAATTAGCCAGGCATGGTGGTGTGCACCTGCAGTCCCAGCTACCTGGGAGGCTGGAGACAGATTACCTAAAATTTTTCAGTAGGCATATTGTTGGAGATGGTGTTGGTACTGTTATACTGACAATGTTGTATGTGTGTATTGTGGGGTAAACGAAATGACTATGTTTGTGATGTTCAGATTTTTGGCATGACTTAAAGGAAATGCAGATTTAAGAATTAGAAGTTTAGTCCCATAGTTATGAATTCAAATTAGTACAGTCATATAAACTTAGGAGGCTAGAAACAATAGCCAACCCAGAAGTAACAAGTATCACCTAGTGCCTAGATTGTACCTATATTATATTTTCCTTCAATGGAATCAGAGAGCTCCTTGAGAAATGGCTGATTCCAGGTTTGCTGCGGGAAATGTCTACGATGAATCAGGATTAGGATTAGGATTATCTAAGGACATGACGAAGGACACAGATAGCAAACTAAAAAAGCTCCCACTAATCTAAAATAACATGAACATCAATAAGAATAATAACAGTGATGATTAAACCACAAATATACTTAAATCCATGAGTCCATGAAGACACAGAAAAAAACAACCAAACAAGCAAAAAATCTCATTGGTCAACTTTGAGGATGCTAAGGAACCTAGTATTTCAAGATTTCTCCCTTTCCTGTACCACCCTTACTTCAGGTAATCCAAATGGTTGATGTGGGGTAAACTCTCTATAGAAATATGCAAGCTAATAAATAAAAAAGGAACAACAATTAAACTGCAACCATTTTGTAAAATACTGAAATAGTAATATTTGAAATTACAGAATGACAATTTGCTTCGAAATAATCTGGGGTAGGAAGGCTACAAGCATAACAAAAAAGTTCACGGAAAAAAAGAATTAGGTTGGGTATATGCACTGACATAGAAAGGCTTTAAAATTTAATGTAGGCCGGGCGCAGTGGCTCCCACCTGTAATCCCAACATTTTGGGAGGCTGAGACAGGTGGATCACTTGAGGCCGGGAGTTTGAGACCAGCCTGGCCAACATGGCGAAACCACATCTCTACTTAAACTACAAAAATTAGCCAGTGTGGTGGCGTATGCCTGTAATCCCAGTTACTTGGGGTGCTGAAGCACGAGAGCTGCTTGAGCCTGGAAGGCAGAGGTTGCAGGGAGTCGAGATCGCACCACTGAACTTCAGCCTGGGCAAAAGAGCAAGACTCTGCTTAAAAAAAAAAAAAAAAAATTAATTTTAAGAACAATAGTAAGTATATAAATGTGTGGAATTTTCCAGCTTTAAAAAATCTTGTTCATATAAGCATGGATCAAAATATTGAAAAATATTTGATTGGTCTAGGAAGAGATGATTGATAAAATTAGCTAGGACACATACTGGCTACTTCATATATTGCTATACTATTTGCAATGTTTTCAAGGACTGTACACTAACCATTTACATACTCAGAGAAAAAAGTGTTTTTTGTTTGTTTTGGAGGGTGACAGGGTCTTGCTGTTTCACCCAGGTTGGAGGGCAGTGGTGCAATCATAATTCACTGTAACTTAGAACTTCCAGGCTCAAGGGATCCTCCCACCTCAGCTTTCCGAGTAGCTAGGACTATAGGCGCAAGACACTATACCCAGCTAATTTTTGTTTTGTTGTGTAGAGATAGTCTCCATATTTGCCCAGGCTGGTCTCAAACTCCTGGGATCCAGCGATCCTCTGCCTCAACCTTCCAAAGCACTGGGATTACAGGCATGAGCCACTATGACCAGCCTGTTTTGGTTTCCTTTGATCTCAGTTTTCTCTAAAATTTTATGAACATAGTGTCATGGATACTCTCTAGGTACCACACTTTAAAATATACTTAAATCCCAACCTGAATACTGTTAATGTCTCTGAATGTATACTTCTAAGTACAAATGTATTTACCTAATGATCATACAAGACACAGGATTTATAGTGTGTCTGATCTAGGCACTTTGGATTAAAATAGTGATTTTCAAAGTACGGTCTACTGGCACCTTGGAGGATCCCCGAGACCTTTTCAAGGGGTCTGCAAGATAAAACTGTTTACAAAATAATACAAGACATTATGTGCCTTTTTCACTGTGTTGACATTTTTACTGAAAATGCAAAACCAGTGGCAAAATTGCTGACTCCATAGCAAAAATCAAGCAGTGGCACTCAAATGTACTGGCAGTCATTACATTCTTGACTGCCATGCTTCCCAGTAAAATCAAATAAATAAATCATATTATGCCAGTTTCAAATAAGAGCATCTTTGATGAAGCAGTAAAAACTGCTACGTCTCAATCACTGAGTCTTTTTAATATTTTGTGTGATGAAATAAGAACCATGCATAAGGAACTATGCATAACTACACACATCTGCTGCTTGTGGAAGTATGTATGAAGTTATGTCCTAAAGAAAAGCACTTGCGTAATTTATTTGAGTTGCATAATAAACTAGACACTTCTTACATGGAATGCCATTTTTACTTGAAAGAGTGACATCAAACTATGGTTTTCCAGACTTGGGAATTTGACAGGTATTTTCTCAATAATGAAACCAAGTAATCCTGTCATTTTTAAGTTAAATAAATGTGTATTTGTTTCCAATGATAGAATTTGAGCTCTCCAGTAAAAATCAGAATTTTAGGAAACTTGTATCTATCACTGTGAGGATGATAGGTTCCCAATACTTAGAGTCTTTTCTGAATAGATCAAAGGTAAAATTAACAAATGTGATTTTTAAAATATTGTATTATATTATATAAGTGTCAACATTTAAAAGATCCACATAAATCAGTGAATCAATATTTTCTAAATGATCACTGCATAATGTTACAAAATCATATATTCAAAATCAATGGATTTTAATGTAACAGAAGACAAAGTTCATTGATGCAGTTTCAAAGTACACATTACAACTAATCTTTAAGAAACTAACAACTGTCACTTTAGTGTAGTATCAAAGAAGAATATTTGCAATAATCTTAAAAGACTATTAAAATACTCATAGCTTTTCCAACTATATTATCTGTGTATGAGGTTGAATTTCTTCACATACTTCCATAAAAACAACATACAACATATTGACTGCAAAAGCAGATATGAGAATCCAGCAGTGTTTTATTAAGCCAGACAATAATGAGATTTATAACAAATGTAGCACAATGTCATTCTCTCACTAATTTTTGAAAATATAGTTTCGTAAAAATGTTATTTATGTCAACATGTAATGGGTTTTGTTACTGTTATTTTTAAATGAATTATTTTTTTTTAAAATCCTCAGTTTCAGTGTCTAATATGGTAAATATCCATTGATAAAAACCACGTAAACAAAGCCTCCTTGGAGCTCTTCAATATCTTTTAAGAGTTTAAAGGGGATCTGAGAGCAAAAAGTTTAAGAATCACTGGATTAAAGCACTGGATTTCATGTACTGTATTTTATTTTTAGATATGCCCTAAAGGTAAATACCATCTGATGAATCTCAGAGGCTGTACCTTTCATAAACAATATAATAAAATTTGAATTTCAGGTTCACACACATATATATTAATATGGAAGCTTATAATTTGTGTAAATAGTCATTTTCATTGACAAGTAAATTTCCAACACCAAAATTATATAGGGCCTTTTGAGATTTGGAATTTTATTTTTCAAGAAGATTTTCTACTTTGGGAGGCTGAGGTCAGCCAATCACTTGAGGCCAGGAGTCTGAGACTAGCCTCGCCAACATGGCGAAACTTCATCTCTACTAAAAATACAAAAATTAGCTTGGCATGATGGCACACACCTATAATTCCAGCTACTCAGGAGGCTGAGTACAAGAATCGCTTGAACCTGGGAGGCAGAGGTTGCAGTGAGCCAAGATTGCACCACTGCACTCCAGTTTGGGCAACAGAATGGGCGACGGTCCCCCGACCTCCAAAAAAAAAATTGTTTTTTAAAAAACGTATTTTGTATAAAAACTAGCCAGGCATGGTGGCGTACGTTTGTAGTCTCAGCTACTCAGGAGGCTGAGGCAGGAGCATCGCTTGAATCCAGGAGGCGGAGGGTGCAGTGAGCCAATATCACACCACTATACTCCAGCATGGGCAGAAGACTGAGACTCCGTCTCAAAAATAAATAAATAAATACAAAATAAAAAATGTATTTTGGATTATATTATCAGTAAGTCACGACCACAAACAAAAAGGATCCATAAGTTGTACTTTTATATGTTAAAGCCATTTTTAAAAAAAACAGTAAACCATTACAACACTCAATAAGCTTTATTTGGGAGCCAAATTGAGAAATATCTCAGAATCAAATGCTGGGAAAGGAGATAAAAGAAAACAGCAAAATCCCACAAGACCATCTGCCCCCAGTAGATTTCTTCTTTTTCCATAGGTAAGAGCTATGCAATGAGTTTCCTTTTTTGCCTTAGCTGGTGGGCTGCTCAAAGCCCAAAATCATGCTGACCTCCATATCTGGAACTTGGCTTGTTCTTCCCCCCAACTCCTGTGCTGTATTTTTCCCTTTCCTTCTTATTTTGTCTTCTTATTGTATTTCTTTGTTTTTTAGCTACCTGAAATCCTTTCTGGAAAGTTACAGGGTATAAGTAAACTAAAAAAATTAAACATAGAAAAAGAAAAAAACATGTACCACATATGAAATGTAGACATTTACTTATATTAAATGTAAACATTTGGCAGCCTGAGATCATTGGCAGAAATATATTATTAAAAGATCTAATTATGCACTATGTTTTTAAAAATTTTTACTAAAAACACTTACCCGTCTATGCCTTTCTCTGTCTTTACATTTTTCTCGCACCCAATCAATAGTATGGAAATCATCATATGTACCAACACCTGGAATTGGTTCATCCAAAAGATCCAGTAAATGTGTAGAACTGTTAATGCTGCCTCCATTTGTCATTGTATAATGAGTTCCTACAGAAGAGAAAAGGAAAGATGAGTATGTTTTAGAAGAGACAACAGTGAGCTAAGTGACCTTCTTAGAAATTCATTATTAAGTCATACAGAAATAATCCCTCTCCCTCTCCCTCGTCTCCACCTCCCGCTTTCCACGGTCTCCCCCTCTCCCTCGTCTCCGACTCCCGCCTTCCACGGTCTCCCTCTGTTGCCAAGGCTGGACTGTACTGCCGCGATCTCAGCTCACTGCAACCTCCCTGCCTGATTCTCCTGCCTCAGCCTGCCGAGTGCCTGGGATTGCAGGCACGCGCCGCCACGCCTGACTGATTTTTGTATTTTTTGGTGGAGATGGGGTTTTGCCGTGTTGGCCGGGCTGGTCTCCAGCTCCTGACCTCGAGTGATCTGCCCGCCTCGGCCTCCCAAGGTGCCGGGATTGCAGACGGAGTCTCGCTCACTCAGTGCTCAATGTTGCCCAGGCTGGAGTGCAGTGGCGTGATCTCGGCTCGCTACAACCTCCACCTGCCAGCCGCCTGCCTTGGCCTCCCAAAGTGCTGAGATTGCAGCCTCTGCCCGGCCGCCACCCCGTCTAGGAAGTGAGGAGCGTCTCTGCCTGACTGCCCATCGTCTGGGATGTGAGAAGCCCCTCTGCCCGGCCGCCCAGTCTAGGAAGTGAGGAGCACCTCTTCCCGGCCGCCATCCCATCTAGGAAGTGAGGAGCGCCTCTTCCCCGCCGCCATCCCGTCTAGGAAGTGAGGAGCGTCTCTGCCCGGCCGCCCATCGTCTGGGACGTGGGGAGCGCCTCTGCCCGGCCGCCCCCTCTGGGATGTGAGGAGCGCCTCTGCCCGGCTGCCCCGTCTGGGAGGTGAGGAGCGTCTCTGCCCAGCCGCCACCCTGTCTGGGAGGTGAGGAGCACCTCTGCCCAGCCGCGACCCCATCTGAGAAGTGAGGAGCCCCTCCGCCCGGCAGCCGCCCCATCTGGGAAGTGAGGAGCGTCTCCGCCCGGCCACCCAGTCTGGGAGGTGGGGGGCGCCCCCGCCCGGCAGCCGCCCCGTCTGGGAGGTGGGGGGCGCCTCCGCCCGGCCGCCCAGTGTGGGAAGTGAGGAGCCCCTCTGCCTGGCCGCCACCCTGTCTGGGAGGTGTACCCAACAGCTCATTGAGAACGGGCCATGGTGAGGATGGCAGTTTTGTCAAATAGAAAAGGGGAAATATGGGGAAAAGAGAGATCAGATTGTTACTGTGTCTGTGTAGAAAGAAGTAGACACAGGAGACTCCATTTTGTTCTGTACTAAGAAAAATTCTTCTGCCTTGGGATGCTGTTAATCCATAACCTTACCCCCAACCCCCTGCTCTCTGAAACATGTGCTATGTCAACTCAGGGTTAAAGGGATTAAGGGCGGTGCAAGATGTGCTTTGTTAAACAGATGCTTGAAGGCAGCATGCTCATTAAGAGTCATCACCACTCCCTAATCTCAAGTACCCAGGGACACAAACACTGTGGAAGGCCGCAGGGTCCTCTGCCTAGGAAAACCAGAGACCTTTGTTCACATGTTTATCTGCTGACCTTCCCTCCACTATTGTCCTATGACCCTGCCAAATCCCCCTCTCCGAGAAACACCCAAGAGTGATCAATAAATAGTAAAAAAATTTAAAAAAAAGAAATAATATCACTTGAAATCATTGCAATTAGAGAAAAATGTGTTAAGAAAAATTATCCAAAACTTGGAAGTAAGGCCAAAAGATTATGGCATGTTCTCTTAAAGTCAAGCCCGAGTGTCAACAATTAGCCTGCATAATAGTCACCTGACGCTGCGGAGAATTTTGAAGACTATTTACTACTGATTAGGGAATAGACTCTGTAAAATTAGAAAATGATTTGTAAAAGATAAATTGAAAATAGTAATTTTTATCTGGTAAAATGCAAATGAATTCTGTCCAGTAGAAACAATAACCCTTAGAGTTGTGGTTTTGTTTTTGCCCTGTAAGAATTTGCTTTCTTTCACTGATGATATACACTTCATCTCACACATCCTCTTCTCAATCAGCCTTGTCATCAGGCGGGTTCCCTCATTAGAGTCAAATAAATCTTTGACACATGTTCACCATATATCTTATATGAGTATCACAGACTTCAGAAATGTATCAGGAAGGACATTAAAAGATAGCTCAAGAAAAAGAAATACAATTGGCTTTTAAATATGAAAATAAGCTCAAGCTAACACATAAAAAGAAATGGAAATCAAATCCACAATATCATTTCCCTCTATCAGATTAGTAAAGATGAAGTGTGTGAATGCATTAATTTAGCAAAGCTATGGAGAAAGAAGTCCTATCACAAAATTAGTAGTTTAAGTATGAAATGGAATAATCCCTTTGGGAAGGCGAAAGCTAACAAAATTTAACATACACAGATGCTCTTCAACCTAGCAAGTTCACTTCTAGGTTTTTTTCTTGCAGCTACACTTGCATAAATCCTTGAATAAACCCATAAATTATGCACAATGTGGGCAGAACATCTTACTGTGTGCTATAGAAAGAAAACAAAAACATAATAATGCCAAAGTGCTCATAATCTAAAACGGGTTGGCAAAGAGCCAGAGAGTAAATATTTTAGGCTTTGGATGCCACACAGTTGCAACAACTCAATTCTGCCATAGTAGCAGAAAATAAATCATAGACAATATGTTCATGAATGAGTCTGAATGTGTTCTGATAAAACTTTATTTACAAAACAGGTGAAGGGCAGGATTTGGCACATGGCTCATAGTTTGCCAATCCCTGATCTAAAGTCTGTACAGCAGACTTTACAACTGAAGACTTCTATTAAGAATTTTTTACATAAATAGCACTTTACAGTGTAGCAGATACAAAGAGAATTAAAAAAAACTGCCCCTAACTTCCAGGTGCAATATATTATAATATTTTTATAATATAACAAATTATATTTCAAAATAAAGTTCAAATACTGAAGTTCCAAGGTTCCAATATTCTTTGACTACAATTCTAGTCATGTTACCTATATTTAATTTGTTAAAAAGAAAGAAATCTTGGGACTGTAGCACCTGGAACTAGGCGGATTAATCTAAGAAAACTTCCTAAAAAATATGAATTTTAAATTGTAATATGAAATAAATTAGGCTATGGTTTCACAATGAGAATTATAGCTATACATTCCATGTTAGATACACTTAACACCTATTTCTGAAAGAAGAAACATATATGAGTATAGTCTGTAAAAGACAATTTATATTGCTATTAGAAAAAGAGCTTTTGGGCCAGGTGCAGTGGCTCACGCTTGTAATCCCAGCATTTTGGGAGGCTGAGATGGGTGGATTGCTTGAGCTCAGGAATTTGAGACCAGCTTGGGCAACATGGCAAAACCTCATCTCTACTAAAAATACAAAAAAAAAAAAAAAAAAATGCTGGGCATGGTGATATGTGTCTGTAGTCCCAGCTACTCAGTAGGCTAAGTTGAGAGAATTGCTTGAGCCCAGGTTGGTCGTCGTGCCACTGCATTTCAACCGGGCCAAGAGCAAGATGCTGTCTCAAAAAAAAAAAGAAAAGAAAAAGAGTTTAGAGTGTAAAAAACAGGCTGGGTAAGAAATATGATAATCCAAGTGAAAATTATTAGACCTGAGAGTGGAAGTAAAGAGATACAAACATTTTGGGAAGAAATTTGGAAATACCTATCAAAATATAAGGGTTCTATGTCTAGGAATTAATTCTACAAGTGCACAAAAGCTTAAATATTTAATTGAACCATTATCTGTAATACTGAAAAATTCAAACCTATGGAAATGTCTCATCTATTGGTAATGAATGAAATGCAGCAGTTAAAAAGAATAAGGTTGATCAATATATACTGGTATAAAAAATTGGCCATAATAAATTGCAGTTTTTAAAAAAGGGCCAGGTGTAGACCAGCATTTTTAATATGCAAATTACTGTGTAAAATTTATACAGTAATACACAGAATACAGAGAAAACAGTATGACCAAACATGAGACAACATATTAATAACGGTTATCTCTGGGGATTACAATTGTCAAAAGCAGAAAATGAACTTTCATTTTCTACTTTGTACTTACAGGTATACATATATGTATAAGCACACACACAGTATTTTCATAGAACCATAGAGACAGCTATGAAAATAGAGAAATTCTAACGAATCCAATCATCATTTAAGTAAATAGAGCAATGAACTGTTACCAAAAGGCCCAGATTCTAGTCCTGGACAGCTAACTTTAGACAAGTCTCCTTTAAATATTAAGTATCTATCAGCATCCTTGACAACTACATGATATATGCTACAGCTTATAATAAAGATACATAAACAAAGAAACATTTAAATTTTTTCCAAAGCACTATAAACTTTGAAAACCTCATACATAATTTCAAATAGGTGATTTTAGCATAAGTGATTATAAATTATATCCTCAAATTATTTTGTAATGCAGATTTTAATGCCAAAAATTACTCAGAGGTTATTATTGAAAATGTAGCTCATTATTTGATATAGAATATAAGAAGTGGCACTCTGTACTAATGTTTAAAAAAATTGTAAAAATAAAACACAAGATATGTTTATTTTATTATAGGACTTTTAAGGAATGGAACAAAATTCCCAGACTACTCTTGCCATCTTTCTAGTTTAAACAAACTCATTCTCTTTGGTTTACAGATTAAAAAACAATTATATATGTTAAAGCCAGAATCTGAACTTCTCGTAATCACTATAAACATTCTTAGACTAGATCAAGAGATCATGTGAAATCAACTTGGGGTGGGATAAGGGAGGAATACACAAAGAACCACGATGCCAATACTATTAACTAATTTTATTACTCCTGAGATATAAGCCAAATAAACTATAGAGTAGGTTTTTTGATAATTCTGGGAGGACATGAATATAGAAGGCGCTAATATTTTAAACAACGTAATAGTACTAATAAATGTTTGCTTCTACCAGGTCCAACAGGGTTCTTGCTTATCTCCCTATTTATTACATTTAAATGCCTGCCTTGGAAGCCGGGAGTGGTGGCCCACGCCTGTAATCCCAGTACTTTGGCAGGCTGAGGAGGACGGATAGATTGAGCGCAGGAGTTGGAGACCAGCCTGGGCAACATGGCAAAACCCCATCTCTACAAAAACTAGCTGGGCATGGTGGTGTGCACCTGTAATCCCAGCTACTCGGGAGGCTGAAGTGGAAGGACTGCTGGAGTCTGGGAAACAGAGGCTGAAGTGGGCTGTGATTGCGCCAATGCACTCCAGCCTGGGCGACAGAGCAAAACTCGTCTCCAAAAAAAAAAGTGTACCTTGGAAAGGTGTAAAACTTCTAAAAGGAGAGTGGCACACTGATTTCAGTGTTTTAGCAGAAGTACTCCAAAAAATAATAATAATAATAATTGATACCATTCTTGGCCAAAGGTTTAAAGGCCCAATCCCTGCATCAATGCCCACTTTCATTTACATACAACACATACTCAAAAGCTCAATCTTAAAGCTTTAATAAAGCTCTTCCCCACCCTCCCATCCTAATGTTATGTAGTAACTTCCACTTTGAAAAGCTAGCTGAAAGGCCACAAATTTTCTTGAGAAAAAGCAATTGGAGAATAAATATAACAGGAATACTTATAATATCTTGACATATGTGAGAATCTCTGACTCTGCTTTCCATATAATATTAAAATTGATCATTTAGAAAATGCAAATGCCACTTAGGCTTTCTGGTAAGATATACAGTACTTCTGTGGTACTCTGGCCAGAAATGCATAAAATGAATCTTATAAGGAAAAACCAGACACACCCAAACTAAGGGAAATTCTGCAAAATATATGGATTGTACTCTCCAAAAATGTCAAGGTTATGAAAGATAAAGAACTGAGGAACGGTTCTAGATTAAAACAACAGGATGTAACATGTGCTCCAGGATTAGCTCCTAGACCAGGAAAAAAAACTTTTTTCTTTTGTACTAAAGGACACAGTGGGACAACTGGCATATTGGAAAATGGTCTGCAGATCATGTCATAGTATGGTATCAATGTAAATGTTCTGATTTTGAAAAGTGTAGAAGTGTACGGTAGCTATACAGAAGAAAATGCCCTTTCTTGAGGGAATACACACACTGAAGTATTTAGGAGTAAAAGCACGTCATGTCTGCGTTTTACTCTTTATGTGGCTCAGAAAAAAATATATAGTGCATACATGCCCTATGTCTATATAAAATGCTACATATTACATATAATGGCATATATCGTACTTGGAGAATACAGACATAATGAACAAATGTGGTAAAATATTAATATTTCAGGAATTGGGGTGACAGGTATATGGGATTCTTTGTACTATTTTTAAACTTCTGTAAGTCTGAAGTTACTTTAAGAAAAAGCCTACTATGAAATATTTTGCAAACTTCATTTTCCCTCCTACATTGCCCTTCTCTGGGTAGAGCTGAAGAAATATGGACTACTGGTCTTGTTACTCTTTATGCAAAAAAAAAAAAGTGAAATTTCTATACCACTTAACATGTATCCATAATACATCGCTAGCCCCACTTAAAGAATTTTCAAGCTATTTACAGCGTGAAGATAATAAGCAAACAAAATATGAATTTCTGCAAAGACTTACGAATGACGAAGTGGAAAAGTACAGACTGCTATTCTCATTTTTATGAGGTAGAAAAAGGTACAGTAGTGCAATAAACATTTACATTAGGCATGTGTCTTGCTTTCAGTGACTTTCAAATAATTACTCTGTGGAAACTACTCAACATCTTAATTTACACAACGATTCAGCAATTCAAAATCTCTGAAAACCAGAAAATTTTCAAACATTCAAACATTTACTTTAGTATGTGACATTTCAAATATTTTCTCTTATAATTTGTTCTGTCAAACATGCAAATCTGAATAGTATAAAGAAGGAGAAGAAAAGGAAAATTTCTATCCTAAACTGGGGAGAAGCCACTATATTTCTAATGTGAAAAGGAATTTTAAAGGTATTATGTTTTCTAACAATAACAATAGCTTTAAAATAATCCTATTGCACTGTTTCTTTGCATATAATTCTCTGAATGAAACCTAGATTTGTGTAAGATATAACTTACAGCCGGGCGCGGTGGCTCCCGCTTGTAATCCCAGCACTTTGGGAGGCTAAGGCACATGGATCACAAGGTCAGGAGTTCAAGACCAGCCTGGCCAAGATGGTGAAACCCTGTCTCTACTAAAAATAAAAAAAATTAGCTGGGCGCGGTGGCAGGTGCCTGTAATCCCAGCTATTCAGGAGGCTGAGGCAGGAGAATCGCTTGAATGCAGGAGGCGAAGGTTGCAGTGAGCCGAGATTGCACCACTGCACTCTAGCCTGGGTGACAGAGCAAGACTCCATCTCAAACAAAACAAACAAACAAACAAACAAAATATATATAACTTATATAGGCTAAAATGAGATAAGTACAAAAAATTACATATATGTTAAAATTTTTTAAAAGCAACAGTATATCCAATTTCACCTCTCGATTTCATCTTACGCATGAATAAAGGATGTATCTTTTAGGTACCGTCACAGCATAAATTAAAGTTCTCTTCTACATAAAGTACATCTCCTCTTTTTTCCTATAATAATATATCAAAGGCTGGGCGTGGTGACTCACACCTGTAATCCCAGCACTTCGGGAGGCTGAGGCAGGCAGCTCACTTGAGACCAGGGGTTTGAGACTAAACTGGCTAACATGGTGAATCCCCGACTTCATTAAAAATACAAAAATTATCTGGGTGTGGTGGTGCACGTCTGTAGTCCCAGATCCTCATTTTATCTATCTATCTATCTATCTATCTATCTATCTATCTATCATTTATTTTGAGATGGAGACTCGCTCTGTCACCCAGGCTGGAGTGCAGTGGCGCGATCTCGGCTCACTGCAAGCTCTGCCTCCCGGGTTCAGGCCATTCTCCTGCCTCAGCCTCCCGAGTAGCTGGGACTACAGGCGCCCACCACCACGCCCGGCTAATTTTTTTTTATTTTTAGTAGAGACGGGGTTTCACGGTGTTAGCCAGGATGGTCTCAATCTCCTGACCTCGTGATCTGCCCGCCTCGGCCTCCCAAAGTGTCGGGATTACAGGCGTGAGCCACTGTGCTCACAGTTAGATTTTATTAACCTAAAATGACAGGATTTGCCTTGGATCAGCCATTTCTCAAAGCATATGCAGTTCTCACTTACCTGTGAAGACAGTAGTAGAGCTGTAGTGGAACACCTCCAGGAAAGACTAAGCAAGTTCCTTAGTCCATGCTATTTTCTTGACCCCTCCACACACCTTCCCCACACCAATTCAGTCAGAGACATCCATTGCCATAGGAAAAGAAATACACAGCAGAGCATGGAGAACACGATTCGATATTACAGTATCCCAGTTTCAAATGTAGGCTTCTGAAACCCACAGAGGAGAAAAATTCTTTTTTTTTAAATTTAAGTTCTGGGATACATGTTCAGAATGTGCAGGTTTGTTACATAGGTGCACATGTGCCATGGTGGTTTGCTGCACTTACCAACCCATCGTTTAGGTTTTAAACCCCAAATGCATTATGTATTTGTCCTAATGCTCTCCCTCCCCTTGTCCCCCACCCTCCAACAGGCCTCGGTGTGTGATGTTCCCCTCCCTGTGTCCATGTGCTCTCATTGTTCAACTCCCACTTATAAGTGAGAACATGCAGTGTTTGGCTTTCTATTTCTGTGTTAGTTTGCTGAGAATGATGGCTTCCAGCTTCATCCATGTCCCTGCAAAGGACACGATCTCATTCTTTTTTATGGCTGCATAGTATTCCATGGTATATATGTGCCACATTTTCTTTATCCAGTCTACCATTGATGGCTTTTTGGGTTGGTTTCAAGTCTTTGCTATTGTAAATAGTGCTATAATAAACATACGTGTGCATGTGTCTTTATAGCAGAATGATTTATAATCCTTTGGGTATACACCCAGTAATGGGACTGCTGGGTCAAATGGTATTTCTGGTTCTAGATCCTTGAGGAATCGCCATACTGTCTTCCACAATGGTTGAACTAATTTACACTCCCACCAACAGTGTAAAAGCATTCCTATTTCTCCACAGCCTTACCCACATCTATTCTTTTTTGACTTTTTATAATAATCACCATTTGACTGGCATGAGATGACATCTCATTGTGGTTTTGATTTTCATTTCTCTAATGATCAGTGATGATGAGTACAACTTAAAAGAGACGTGAAGGACCTGTTCAAGGAGAACTACAAACCACTGCCCAAGGAAATAAGAAACGACACAAACAAATGGAAAAACATTCCATGCTCATGGATAGGAAGAATCAATATCATGAAAATGGCCATACTGCCCGAAGTAATTTATAGATTCAACGCTATTCCCATCAAGCTACCATTGACTTTCCTCACAAAATTAGAAAAACCTACTTTAAATTTCATATGGAACCAAAAAAGAGCCCGTATGGCCAAGACAATCCTAAGCAAAAATAACAAAGCTGGAGGCATCATACTACCTGACTTCAAACTATACTACAAGGCTCAGTAACCAAAACAGCATAGTACTGGTACCAAAACACATATACAGACCAACGGAACAGAACAAAGACCTCAGAAATAACACCACACATCTACAATCATCTGATCTTCAGCAAACTTGACAAAAACAAGTAATGGGGAAAGGATTCCCTATTTAATATTAATAAATGGTGCTGGGAAAACTGGCTATCCATATGCAGAAAACTGGAACTGGACCCCTTCCTTACACCTTATACAAAAATTAACTCAAGATCGATTTGAGGCTTAAATGTAAAACCCAAAACCATGAAAACCTAGGCAATACCATTCAGGACATAGGCACTGGCAAAGACTTCATGACTGAAACACCAAAAGCAATGGCGACAAAAGCCAAAACAGACAAATAGGATCTAATTAAACTAAAGAGCTTCTGCACAGTAAAAGAAACTATCATCAGAATGAACAAGCAACCTACAGAATGGGAGAAAACTTTTGCAATCTATCCATCTGACATAGGTCTAATATCCAGAATCTACAAGGAACTTAAACAAATGTACAAGAAAAAAACAAACAACCCCATCAAAAAGTGGGCAAAGTATATTAACAGACACTTCTCTGTTCATAAAAAGGAGACATTTATGCGGCCAACAAACATACAAAAAGACTAATAACAGTCAAAACTTTTGAATTCAAAAGATGGGTTTCTGGGTTTCAAAAAGCTTTAAGTAAAAAGGCTTAGGGGTTTCTGCAACAAGCCTGATGAAGAACCAACTTTACCTAACTATATGAGGATTGCTGGGGAGGAGAAAAAAGGGAATCAAGTAAACAAGAGGTTAGAACTATTAAACTGGTGACTGGCTTCAGCCTTTTATATTTTCTATAAGTGAGATACAGGTAAGATCATACTAGCCACACTTAAAAGTTGATTTTTTTATTCATACTTCCTAAAAATTATTTCACATCATTAAATGCACATGCACATTTTCTGTGACTTCAGATAACTATATTTGTCATAACATATTATAATTTATTCATTTTACTTTATTTTTTTAGAGATGGGGTCTTGCTCTGCCACCTAGGCTGGAAAGCAGTGGTGGAAACATAGCTCACTGTAGCCTCAAACCTAGGCTCAAGCAATCATCCTGCCTCAGCCTCCCAAGTAGTTGGGACTGCAGGCAAGCACCACCACACCTGGCTACATACTACAATTTAAACAAATCTTCAGGTTGGTTTGCCATTATGAACATTATCTAACATATATGTATCTGCTCAGCCATCCTCTTTTCCAGTTAATTTTTACGATTTTAAGTCTTTTCTTATTCTCGACTTTTTCTCCAACCCCACTACCAGATATCCAATACTAATAACCAGGTATATTTCCAAACTTAAAATAATCATATTATCCATTTATTATCGTCACATTAGGTTTATTATTTATGTAATAGAACCTGATTGTTTTGCCCACTTGGTATCTCCTTCCCCTTCTTCCTATAACAGAACCCAATTATTTTAAGGAAACTTCTGTCCCTCACTGCATGCAGTCCTGGTGAAGGTATCAATCAAGATACCTTCTCCTCCCCAGCTAAAGAAAACACATAGATCCAAGTTAGACCAATCAAACTGTGGCTCCTAGAAATGTAAATCTTGAGCACAGTGTTAATCAGAACCAATTAATTTTAACAGCTGAAGCTTCAAGAGGACTTAGGATAATTCCATAGTTTCTGCTACCTAAATATCCAGCTCTTGGATGATAAGAAAGTATGACCTGAAAGTTAGTAGCTTCCAAGTTTAAGACAAAAAAAAAAAAAAATCAAAAACTTTTTTGGAGGGCTGACTACCGGATGCCAGTGACTACTATTCTACTACCTAACTCTACTATCTCCTGGCTGAAAAACAGTAACAAAAAAGACTGGAAAAAAGATCACTTTTCTTCCAGGTGGCCTAGTAGAGAAATTCCATGACTTTACTGCACTTTGAGGTCAGAAAGACCTAGAGTCAAATTCCAGCCCTGCCTCCCGTTAGTTCTGTGATCCAGCGCAAGTTACTTATTAACCTCTTTGAGTACCTTGGTTTTGTTACCCACTTCTACTAGAGTATTGTATGTGGACTGGAGACAAATTATGTAAAACATTTAATACTATACTTGACAGATAGTAGAAAAACAATAAACACAAGCTATTATTTCTGCTCAAATATTTGGGTATTTAAAATTTCATCAGGAAAGCCACGTGTAGTGGTGCACACCTGTAGTCCCAGCTAATCAGGACGCTGTGGCAGGAGGCTATATCATCTGAGCCCAGGAGTTCAAGGGAGCCTGGGAAACACAGTGAGATCTCATCTCTATTTAAAAAACAAATAACAAACAAAAAACAACCCCCTCTCACACACACAATTCAGCATGTTGCATTATATTACTCATATGACTAAGTTATAATATCGCTTAACCAAAAGACTAACAATATGACAAAGACAGCAAAAAAAAAAAAAAAAAAAAAAATGTCTGGCCGGGCGCGGTGGCTCACACCTGTAATCTCAGAACTTTGGGAGGCTGAGGCAGGTGGATCACGAGGTCAGGAGTTCAAGAGCAGCCTGGCCAATATGGTGAAACCCCATCTCTACTAAAAAAAATCAGGCGGGCATAGTGGCATATGCCTGTAGTCCCAGCTACTCGGGAAGCTGAGGCAGCAGAATCACTTGAACCCTGGAGGTGGAGGTTGCAGTGAGTGGAGGTTGTGCCACTGCACTCCAACCTGGGCGACAGAGCGAGATCCATCTCAAAAAAAAAAAGAAAAAAAAGTCTTAAAAATTTGGACAATGAGTTCTTCTACAACTGTATATTGAGCAAAAATCCTGTATTTTTAACAGATAACTTAATTCATTATGCCTGGTATGGACACAGAAACAAATTCCTAAAATGCATCATTCATGCATCTCATAGTTCAGGTATTACCAATACTGAAATACCTCCAGCAAGCAGGAAAAATTATCCAATCGATGAACTAAAACTGGCTTGCAACTTTCTTGTAAAAATAACTCTACTAAGAAGATTGTTTTGCCTTATTTTAGTTTTTCCAGAGACAGGGAACTTTATAAAGATCAAGCATACCTATGGAATACAAATCCATTATTTCCTAATATGTGTAATCTAAACATAAAGACTTAAATTTACCTGTAGGAAAATTACTTAAAATTATTCATTATTCTTTTTCCAACTGAGTAACAGCGGTTAAAAAGAAAAAAAAAAGGATTCATTATTCTTTAAAGAAATATTTTTTCTAGTGAGGAAAGAATAGTCTTTTGAATAAATGATGCTGGGACAACTGGCTATTCACGTGCAAAAGAATGAAACCGTACCCCTACCTCACACCATATATAAAAATTAGCTAAAAATGGATCCTAGATCTAAAGAGCTAAAATTATAAAATACAGGAGTAAATTTTTGTGATCCTGAGTTAGGCAGGTTTTTTAGATATGACATCAATGCAAAAGGGACAAAAATAAAAAAAATAGATAAACTGAACTACATCAGAATTAAAATAATCTTTCCCATGTAGAGGCCACTGTTATCTAGCTCATGTCTAATAATAACAGTAAGAACAGCTAATTTTAATTAACTTAATGTGTACCAGACATTGTTCTCAGGACATTACATATATTAGTTCATATAATCCTCACAACAACACAATGTGACAGATATTATTATCTCCACTTTATAAATTTGGAAAACAAGGTGTCAAGAGTTAAACAGGCCCAAGGTCACACCGCTAGCAAGTAGTAGAACAGGGATTCAAACTCTAGCACTTTGATTCTCAAGTCACTAAAATAATTTCATTGTTGGTTTACATGTATACTTTAAGAAATGTGGACAACCTTCTCTCAGAGTAGGTTAAGAACTATTACGTGATGCCTTCTCCCAAACACATATGTATATGCACTTAGCCTTTGGACAATAAATACAATCTTACCCTTCACCATCACCATCCCTCTTTGCCTTTGGTTGCAGTCCACTTTTTCCCATATTATTTAAAATGCTGCAATAGAAAATTGCAGAAGTGGTGAGCACTGCTTTGCTCCCAGCACTCACATCCTTATGCTTTAGCAGAAGTTTACGATAGTAATGCATCCCCATTCTTACCCTCAGTTGTTCCCGACATCTTATGCCACAGGGTGTACCTTTACCCCAGGTGTACTTACAAACAGGTTTTCAAACTTTTTCTTAGCTTTTGAAATGTTTTTCAAACATGAAGTGGAGAAATGTTTCTCACTGACATAGTATATAGATATGTACTTAAATAAAACCAAAGTTTAGTAAACAATGCTTACTCTTACTACTTGGTATATACTGATATTTTATTTTGTTTTTTTAATCTTTCCTTTTAAAATACTGGTCACAAGTCAACTGGTTTCATGATCAACATGTTAAAACTTGAAGTTTGACAAACACTGAACTAGAAAAATATAGGCATTAATAAAATTGTCTGCTTTCCCAAAAATACAAATATAATTTTACCCACAAGCTTTCCACATATATTTGCTGAACTGAACTTAAAAAAAAAAAAACAACACAACCTTAATTGCTGCGCCTTAAACTGAGCTTATTAGTAAATATCACAGTGACACTGGCAGGAGCCTAAGCCTTTTCTCAAAGGGGTTTATCCAAATAATAGTTTTACATGAAAAATGATGCATATAGTTATTTAAAAAGAGTTACTTATTACCTCTGTGATCAATCTCCAAAGATGTGAAATGGTGATCCTCGTCATTTAAGTTCATAATGCAGATTACTGTTACATAAGACACACATAAAACATATGAACCTTTTTAAAAAAATTATGGAAGGAAGAGGCAGAAATCCAAAATACTATGTATTCCTTCACAACCTATTTGCTTCTGTATGTTAAGAGCAGGAAGTCTAGCCCCAGATGGTTTTTTTTTTTCTCTCTCTGTGACCCTACTGATAAGAAATGGCCATCCTGGTAAGGGATGGGAAAGTAAACGTTCTAAGTTGATAGTGGAAGTTCCAGAATGTTAGCAGACTCCAAATCAAAGATTAAAAAGGTAATGGCAAGAATAGTGCCTCACATTTAGCAGGTGGTCAATTAAATGTCTACTGGGTAAATAAATAGCAAAAAAGAAGCATACGCTATTAAAATTTGTTCAGCCATTCAGTCATATTTAACTGTCTAAACTGCAAAGACTTGCAAGTTAATGCCAAATCTCAAAGAAGTTTACCAAAGATACACAACCAGGCAGCAGCAATACTAAGCCCATTACTCAATTCACTGTTTTCTTTTCTGTTCTGTTGCCACCTCAAAATAAAAAGCCACATCCTTAGTTAGAGATGATAAGGTGGATATTAAGACATCTGTGTAATTGGAAACAAGTTCCACATTCAATTATTATGTCTGCAAATATGATGAGCTGTACAATACATGAATAAAAAGGTTTATAAAATTTGCTAAATTTCATATTTCATAAATTTATAAAATTTGTTAGAGAAACTAGAGTAAATCCATTTTATGACCTAATTAAAGTTGCAAAGGGCTACAAAGAAACTAGAAATTAAACATATGTTAACTTAAAAACAAGAAACAAAACCTTAAAGTTCAATTTAAACTACCAGTCTCCTGCATAAACGCAAAGCAGAAACCTCGATGCTGGGAAAATAGCCAAAATTACAAACTTAATCAATGCGGCAGGAAATCTGTTCACACTCGGAAATCTTGATACAAAGCATTTCTGACAAGCCATGAGATGGCATAAAATTAACCATACTAAAGTGTCAGCTATTTTTAGAAAATCAAGCTAGAGGTAGTAATATGAACCAGATTTTATTGAAGATTTGAAATTCAGATACTGTGGGAAAAGTACATTTAAAAACAGGCTTTGTTTTATACTACTGTTGTAGAAACAAGGAGTTTCTGACACCAAATAAAGAATCTTTAGTTGTTCCTTTAATTTACAGACACTTAGATGGATTAATTTTTAAGAAGAGGTTTAATTTTCTAGTTGGATAAAATATTAGGGCCAATAAAAATATAATAAGTATCTGAATCCTAAAATCATTTTACAAAGAGCCTGCAGAATGTCCCTCTGGCAATAAGAATATCATATAACACCTGGATTTTCAAATAATGTGCAAAAAATGATACTTTTCAAAGGGAAGAAAAAGGAACAAACCTCTATTATAATAGAAACCCAAAAAAGCTTTATTTAGATACACTGCTGAGCTAATGAATGTCAAGAAATAATTTCAGGGAGAAACTTGAAAAAATAAGACCCCAAACTTTTATTTCAATGGCAAAGCGACACTTTTTGTGGTTTAAGCCCATCATTAGTCCTCTAGGATCTGCCACTCTTCCAACTTCCACCTTTCTACACTACCCTCTCTACTGACTCACAACAAAGCTGCCTTTGTTGTATCAAAACTAATCCAAGAGCAACACACTAGGCATTTCCTCCTGTTATCGCATTTACTCATTTTATTATATCCACCAGGAATGCCCTATTGAGTCCCCTGTGTATGTGAGAACAGTCTACTTTGATAACACTTGTCAAAAGCAGACTAATCTGTTCTTGGGACTTTGGGGGAAGAAGAGATTTCTATCATTTCTATCGTTCACTAGAAATTTACTAACTTCCACAGGATTCTGTCTGTGTTTAAACTTCTTATGCTTCTACCAGACTTAAAACACAAGTTACTATGAAGATACGTGTAGAGAGAAGCAGTTTAGCCTCATGATTAAAGTATGAGCCAAATATCTGGATGGAATTCTGACTTTTCCTTAACAATTCCTTACCTCAGTCTTGTCAACTAGAAAATGGGGATTATAACAGTACCTACTTCATAAACTTGTGATGAGGATTTAAATAATTTCATACACATAAAGCACTTAGAACAAGCCAGGCACAGTGGCTCGCACCTGTAATCTCAGCTACTTGGGAGGCCAAGGCAGGAGGGTTGCTTGAGCCCAGGAGTTGGAGACCAGCCTGGACAACATAGTGAGACTCTCCCTAAAAAAAAAAAAAATTTTGTTTTTTAAATTAGCCAGGCAAGGTGTTGCAAGCCTGCAGTCCCAGGTACCAAGGAGGGTGAGACGGAGGATCTAAGCCCAGTAGTTCAAGGCTGCATTTGCTATAATCACTCCACTGCACTCCAGCCTGGGTGAAAAAGTGATACCTCTCTCTTAAGAAAACAACAACAACAACAACAACAACAACAACAAAAAAACCCACTTAGGACAGTATCCAGCTAACAGGAAATTCTAATAAATATTAACTATTATTAATATTACTATTTTTATAATTCTCCACAGCACCTAGGAGTGCCATATGTGTGTGTATATGTATATATATATATACACATATACGCACACACACACATATATATACACACACACACACACACACACACATATATGCTCACTCTGAATGAAACAATTAAATATTTAAATAATTGTTAAAGGCCCCTCATGGAGTAAATGGAGGCTCAGGCCCAAAAGATCAAATCCATTATAAAGGGTTGGTAGAAGAAAGAAATTTGACCTCTAAAACTACTTAAACATCTTGAACAAATTAAGAAGAAAAAGTGTAAAACTAACAGTCCAGATAAGCCAAGTCTTTTTTCCTGATAAAAAAGGAAGAGACATTTTGAGAGAGCTTGATTGTTTCTATATAGGAAATCTACCCCTAAAGATGGCTATTTCTGAAATGTCATCTTAATTTCTAATCTATCAATAGTATATCAAACTAATTCTAATTTGAATCTACTTATACTTCCAGACTTGACATTATTTACTTAAATAGGAAGCTTCACCATTTACCATCTCGCCTTGAAAAGTAGTATTAAATTCAATTTACTCAACAAAGGTAATCCTTGGCTATAGCACTCAGGGATTTACTAAACAGATCCATGTTTACTTTATTGATATCCTTCACAATTTTATACTTTATCTGCCTCTTCACTATCAGGCTGAAGATCAATTTTAATCATTATAGTTTTGTTCTTCCTCACAGGGAAGCTGATTCAGTTTTTTCGATTTGTTAGCTGCCTGTCTCCATCAATTCCATTGTGTTGACCCATGGCTACAACAGGTCATAAATTATGGACAAAAAATAACATCTTACGCATAGACACTAGGATACTACAGTATGTTTGAGGTAATACAGTACAGTCACGAAAGCCTAATAACTGACTTATCTCTACTACACATACACAATGTTACTTTCAAATAACAATGACTTATATTAATAGAATAAGTCTCATCAAGGGATAAAGAACCTATTTGAGCTGCCAAGAGTGGGACTGATTTAGATCCTAAGCAAGATTCTTAAAGGATTATTTATGAAAGTATAATAGAAATAAAAAGCTTACGTTTAGGTAATATCAGTAACCATGCCTACTCTCACATAAGTTTTGACTTATTTCTTATTATTTGCATATTTTACACTAAGACAGTCCATAAGTAAGTTCTGTCAAAGACTGTTAAGCTTCACAAAAGGAATTTAAATTTCTGAAGCCCAGGTATTCTGATCTATCATCATTAACAACCAAATGTTGTAATAGCATGAGGAAAATACAGTCTGTCTTGTTTTACAGTTTAATTACTGATTAGCAAATAATGTGACATTTGAACAGTCACTATTCATTCACCTTGCTTCCTGTTTAAAGAACTCCTTACCAGAAAACTGATAATCAGAACATAGGAAATAGAAGAATTTATGATCGTAACATTAAGAAAAAAAATTTAAAAAGCTCTGGGTGGTGTGATTACAAGAAATTATTTTCTTCTTTATGCTTTTAGATATTTCTTCCAAATGTTCTAACATATACATATACACATATATCAAAATTTTATTAAGAAGGTAACTCTGTAAGAGAAAGCACAATGTATGTAACATGATCCTTACACAGCTTTTCTCAAAATGTAAAAAGCAAGTTTTTACTAACTACAGAATACTGCAAGATAAATAATGCTACAACTGTTCAGACCCTAAAATAGTGTGTAGCAGACACAATGCAACCAACAGACATTTGTTGAATACATTATAATGTTTAAATTATAGTGGAACTTAATACTAAAAAAAAAGTGTTATCAGAACACAAAGTATATTTTAAATAAAGCAGGCTAATTATATTAGAAAAACATTATTACTTCCTTATATACTTACAAATAAAAGTTTGGGTTAAATCATAAGGTGAGTTTATAATATCATGCAGTAATTCAAACTAATGTGGCTCAAAAATGAAGTCACATAAGCTAAGAGATTTTTCTTGAAGTTCAATTTTTTTCTAGGACAACAAATGTCGACCAGTCTGTTTTTCGAATAAGCAATTAAACAAAAATGAAAAAAAGGGTAGTAATTAACATGCAATTAATTTTAAGGAGACTGAGGAAGTGCCTGCCAAAAGATTTACAGGCATGCTGGGTGCTCTTCTGCTTTTCACAAACCAATATTATTTTTTCTGACATTTAGTCAAATGTGTTTTATCATATCAAATTTCACAAGATACCTGTGGAAGACAATGTAGTATGTTACTCAGCCGAAATACATATTAAATAAAAAGTATTAATATAGAAATTATTCATCTTTACTATCATTTTAAAATGTTCTAAAATGTAGGTAAAGCTTTTGCTATAAATTTACTTTGTGGTGTAAAATCTACATGGTAATTGGCAGCAGCTAAAATATAATGGTACATAGGCACCTGATTTCTCTGTGTAAATTAAAGGAAATGTAAGTTTTCTGAAGGAAGAAAAACATTACTTTTTAGATGCCAACCAACACGACTTTAGTTGGCTGTAAAAGCAGATTAATTCATTTTCAGAGTTAGAAAGAAGATTTTCATGCAGAAGATGGAGTCGGAGCCCGACGTGATCTGAAGCAGTACTAATCTGCACAGAGAAAACAATCAGGGATGGCTACACAACCATTCAGAAGGTTGCATTTTCCCCTTACTAACAACCCAGGGCAACTAAACAACGTACTGCAGTATTTAAAGGACAAACGAGAACCAGTTTAAGCTAGAGGACCGCCCAGCCGCATGCAAAACATACCAACAGAGAATTCACAGCAAGGGGATAGTATTACCTCTTTTATGTAATTCCCTCAGGGGAATACTGTCTCCTCCCCCGTCATAAGGCAAATAAGGGTCGGAAGAAGCATCCATGATTAGAATTTTTAAATAGAAGAAGAAAAAGAAAAAGAAAAAGCTTGCTAGCTTAAAAAGAAAGTGACATTTCTTCCATCCCTGCTGCAGCAAGCAAGGGAGATGCCATATTTGATGAGGTTAAAACTGTAGTTCGACTCGCTGAAGCAACTGGGTTCTTCCACAGTGGATGATGTCATCAAAGGGAAATTATTGCAGCCTGGTTGCTAGTGGCTACAATCTAGCAAGGCTTAGAGGCGGCACAGCCTTCTTAATCAGGTCCTGCTACGTATGACAATGACTAAGCTCCAAGTACAACACACAAAACTGGTTTGAGAATTTTGAAACACTCACAATACAGCTTCGGTAGCATCAGTGGTAACTACAGTAAAACAATAGAAACATTATTTCTTTTGGTTTTAAGATAAATATAAAGGGGAAAAAGTAATACAGAGATGTAAAAAGGAAATTTTGAATGCAGACAATGCCCTTTTTCATTTCTAATGTAGAAAAATGAGAGCAGCACTCTAGTAAGTTTGTGTGGTTTTACGAGAGAATGTACTAGTTTTATACAGTAATGTCATGTGAGTCATAGCCATAAAAAAACTACAATATGCCAAAGGTTTCTCAAGAAACTTGGTTCTAAGTCTATTAAAAATAAAAAAAAAATACTCTATAATACAGCAGCCTTTCATTGAGGATTTAAAAACCGAATAACTGAAGAGTTGAATAGTGTTTTATCCCACTCACCAATCTCCTCCAGCGGCTTCTTGTTTCCTTTCTTGAAGGAACTAGCTAGTAAGACATTGTAGCTTTTGAGGAGAAAGAAAACTATCAACGTACTAAGTAACTTTACTATTGTATGTGTCTAAACTACGCAAAAAAGAGGTTTACTAAGCAGAGGGCTTTCCTATCTCTACTAGCTTCCTATTTTATCTCATAAGGGTTTTGTGTTTTTAACTTTTAGCAAAAATGTGTCTCAAAGTGAGGTACTCAACTGTTCTAGAAATTGTTATAAAATTCAGAAATTGTCTCTTTAATAGAAATTTTTATGAAGTTCAGAAATAAAGCAACTTTCTTGTTTAAAACTGTCATTAAAAACAAAAACAAAAACCGCACAATGCTTATTGAAGATCAGAGTTCAATATTTTATAGCTACCTCTGAGAGGATTCCTCTAGACTGGGAGATTCTCCTCCTGAAATGCCTGTTACACAGTGTCACTAAACAACAACAACAACAAAAGGTGTTGTTCATTAGAAGCAATTCCACAGAACTCAAGGGTTCTATAAAATTTGTTTTCCTAAAGTATTGAATGAGACAATCTCTAAGGTCCACTCGAACTGAAAGTGTTTACATGAAAATTGGAGGTGAGAGAAGGAAAGAGAAAACTCAGAGGGCAGTAAAGAGAAGAGAGAAATTCTCTTCAATTTGTGGAGTACTAAATTTTACTTATTTAGGGTCTTTTTAAAAAACTGTATAGGTTAAATCAAGTTTTTATATTTTAAATCTCAGATAAACAGAGCTTCTTATAAAATCTCACCTGAAATTTGGGAGACAGGGTTCCAGGAAAGGAATATAGACTAGAATTACTGCCACAGGAATATTCTATCTTATCCTGATTCTAGCTATTAAAATTTTTGATAGGATAGTAGGTGATTTTTTTCTTTATTTTCTGTATTTTTCAAATATTCTTGGCAATTTTTTCTCCTATGCTCCTTCCTGCACACTGAGCCAATAGTTTTTTTAAACAAGGAAAGCTTTGACAAAGGCTAACTGTACTAAATTAGCTCAATGTAAATTTGGGAGTGTGTGGTTCTTTTATATGTTTTACCACCATATAATTTTTCTAAATATATAATTGTATGGCATTTATAAAGGATTTTGTTTTTATACCATTCATGTTCTTATATGTCTTTACATAAAAAATGAAAATCTATCCACAAGTTTTCCCGGTATTTGTAGGCACTCTCTTAACTTGTTTTTCCTGATCTACAACTTGATCATAAAGAATGAAAATGACAGTCAGCACTCACTGATGGGGGAAATCCTCCCGGTAAAATAAATACTGACAATGCTTCATATTGTAAAAGTTTTGTAGCCATATTTGAATTATTTTTAAAGATAAACAATTGTGTGTATATATAATATATATCTATATAATTATATTTGTATAGAATTAAGTTTAGAATAAAACACATCAAGCCCTTAGCAATTGTTATCACTGAGACATAAGGTAGAGAGGTTGAGGAGTACATTCAGTGTTTATATAATTCCACACTGTTTAAACAAATATATTACTTTTGTAATAATAAACCTAAAAATCTTTAAAACTTCAGAAGTAAACACATCTCTTGTGTTTATGGGGTCCACAACTGCCACTTTCTTAAAGTAAAAGAATCAGTACACAGGTTAAGTCCAATCACAATTTAGAAAAGCACAAGGTAGACTGGAAGATGTGGCAAAAGAGGACTTTGACACATAAGAGGACTTTGATAGAGACTTTTTATTACCATATTAACAAACTGAATTACAGTCAGGGTGGAGCCCAGATAGAGAGAGAGCAGAAGACAAATTCAAGAATTCCTAGGCATAGCTCTGGAAAAATGCTCAGGATGAATTCTAAAGAACCAAAATCACAAGTAGCACACATGAAGCCATCAAAATTCAAAAGGAGAAGTTATTTTTACTTTCGAACGCACCCTCCACTGTAATCTCAACTTGATGTGGAAATCTGGATAAATCACAACCTCTCTGGGATGTCTCTGTATCTACAAACCAGGAAGGCAGAATAGATGATAATAATATTTTAAGAGTTCTACCTTTAAGCCGCCCCTTGTAACAGTAATGATCTGAGAAATCTACAATATTAGAAGTACTTAAATTTTAAAACAATAAAAATAAATTTTAAACAATTTTTTGCCTTTAAATCTACCAACTTATAGAAAATACAGGAGCAGAGAAACATGTTAAATTATAGCTCAAAAATGTAATCAGGAAAAAACCAAACTAGGAAACAAATGACCTGTTTTCTTCAACAAATACAATTTAGTAAGGAAAAAGGGAGAGAGGGAAACCTACAGAATTTTTTTTAAAAAGACTTAAAAGATACAGCAATACAATTTTTTAAGAAACAATTGGGGAAATGGGAAACACAAGATATTTGATTTTAAGGAATTATTCATATTTTAAAATAATGACCTTTAAAAGAATCTTAATCTTTTAGAAATACACAATATACATGTATATCTACCTACCTATATAAATGACACAATGTTTCAGATTACAACATAATTGAGGGAGTAGAAATGAAACAAAATTGGCTATGAATTGATAATTAATTAAAGTAAGTGACCAGGATGAAAAGGTACACAATATTCTTCTCCATATGTTTCCATGTTTTAAAATTTCTTCCATAATGAAAAGATTTTTTATTTGTATTTATTATTTTAGAGACAGGGTCTCACTCCAACGTCCAGGCTGTAGTACAGTGGCATGATCATAGCTCACTGAAGCTTCGACCCCCTAGCTCAAGTGATCCTCTCACCTCAGCCTCCCCAATAGCAGGGAATACACACGTGTGTGCCACCATGCCTGGCTAATTTTTTAATTTCTTTTTTTGTAGAGATAGGTCTTACAACGTTGTCCAGGCCCACCCAACACTGTCCACTGCACCAAGCCAAAAAGATTTTTAAAAGAATGCTTATAAATAAAACCACTTACATGAGATAAACATTAATAAAAAATTACAACCTTTACCCCTCTAATTAATAGAAGCAGGTTAAAAACTGTAGTTTACAATCCATCAGTATGGTTGTAATATGGTTTGGATCTGTATCCTCACCCAAATCTCATGTTGCATTGTAATCCCCAATGTTGGAGGCGGGGCCTGGAGGGAGGTAACTGGATCATGGTGTGGAGCCTACATGAAAGGTTTAGCACCATCCACTTGGTGCTATCTCATTATAGAGTACTCATGAGATCTGGTTCTTTAAAAGTGTGTAGCACCTCCCTCACTGCCCTCCTTGCTTTTGCTCTGGCCATGTAAGACATGCTAGCTTCTCCTTCATCTTCCGCCATGAATGTAAGTTTCCTGAGGCCTCCCCAGAAGACGCTATGCTTCGCGTACAGCGTGCAGAACTGTGAGCCAATTACATCTCTTTTCTTTATAAATTACCCAGTCTCACGTATTTCTTTATAGCATCATGAGAAGGGACTAATACAGGCTGCTTTAAGTTTACATTTGGACACACTATATGGCACTAAACCTTAACTTGCATTGTCAGTCATTCTCCGAATCAAAATGCATCAGAGAAAAAAAAAAAAGATACAGCAAAGCTTTTCTGGGGGACAATCAATAAACTACACAATTAGTTGTAAAGTTATTGAAGCCCTAAAGAAAGAAGAGGTGGAAATTCTTAAAACTGACAAGCCAGAAAATAAATGGAAAAAACAAAATGGTTTTATAATATTCATACCTCATAAACATAAGAAGTTTTAGTTTCCAATATAGCTATCCGGTTACCCAAATAACATATCACAGGAATAAAAATATGAAGAGTTTGCTTTCACAGACATCACACAATTGGCCCAGGCATGGCGGCTCATGCCTATAATCCCTGCACTCTGGAGGCTGAGGCAGGAGGATCACTTGAAGCCAGGAGTTCAAGACCAGACTGGGTAACATAGGGAGATTCCCAGATTCCCGTCTCTACAAAAAATTTATAAAAATGAGCTGGACATAGTGGCACATGCCTGCGGTCCTAGCTACGCAGGAGGCTGAAGTAGGAGGATCACTTGGGCCCTGGAGGTCAAGGCTGCAATGAGTCATGATTGCACTACTGCACTTTGGCCTGGGCAATAGAGCAAGACCCCATCTTAGAAACAAAAACAAAAAACATCACACGATGATCAATTTTTCAAAATCAGAACCAAAACCGGCAAACCTGTTTTAATGCCTAAACAATTCCTTTTGAAGGAGTTTCTCAAATATTCAGGCATGAACATAAGCTAATATAAAGACTAAGCAAAAAAAGATTTTAAGAGTTCTAAATTTTAGAAATATTTAAATCCAAATATGCCACTATTTACCTTAAGTGGAACCAAACTAAATGTTCCAATTAGAAAATAAATGCTACCTAATTGGATTTGAAAGTTCAACTATACAGTTCAAGAGTTTCAACAAAACAAACAGATGCAGAAAGACTGAAAGTAAAGAGGATAAAAACAGTATAATATGCAAACTCTAATCCAAAGAATATTGGGAGTTATATTAATATCAAAGTAGATTGTAAGATAAAAAACTATAATTAGAAATAGAGTTATTTAAAAAATAAAAGTGGTTCAATTCACCAGGAAGATATAACCTAATAACATAAGATCAAAGTATATAAAGCAAAAATTGACAGAATGACAAGAAGCAGTAGATAAATGTGCAAATACAGTGAAAATTTTTAAAATACTTAATAGAAACAAACAAGGAGAATAATCAGTAAAGAAACAGAGTATTTTCATAGATTAACAAACTTTACCTAATGGACATGGAGAGAACACCATAACTGAAAACTTCACATTATGTATTCTTATAGCATACATGGAACATTTACAAAAGTTGACTTTTTTTCTGGGCCACAATGCAAGTTGCAAAAAATTTCAACACACTGTAATTACATAATGCATATTCCCGGACCGCGATGCAATAATGTTATAAATAATTAAAAACAGCCAGAAATTCCTCATGTGTTGGAAATTATAAACTGAACTTCTAAATAACCTATAGCCCAAAGTAGACTCATTATAAACGTTAAAAATGATTTTTAAATAGTGATAATAAAAAAGGCATATGGCATAGAAATAAAACAGTATCTGAAAAAAAATTTATAGCTTTAAATGCACTTAAAGGCAAGTTAACTGAGGAGCTAACCATCCAGTTCAAGAAATTAGAAAAAAAACTCATCAAAATAAACTCAAAGAAAGTAGAAGATCAGAAATTAATGAAACAGAAAAGAAATACATAATAGAAAAGAACAAAAAAGGCAAACCAATTCATTGGAAAAACTAACTATTGATAAATCTACAGTGACACAGATTAAGATGGGGGAGGGCAAGGGGAGAGAAAGGAGAACAAGAGAGAGGAAGAAGGGAAAGGAGGAGGGAAGGAGAGGAGGGAATAGGAGAAAGGAAAGGAGACGGAGAAGAATTGGGAAAAAGAGAAGAAAAAGACACACAACCATTATCAGGATGAAAAACCAATAGTACAAAATGGGGAGTCTAGAAATAGGCCCTCCTATATATAATGAGCCCTTCATATATGTATCAGAGGTGGCACTGTACAAGAGTGGGTAAAAAATTGTTTTCTAGTAATTGATGTTGGGACAACTGGCTATCTGATATGGTTTGGTTGTTTTGTCCCCTCCAAATCTCATGTTGAAATGCGATTTCCAGTGTTAGAAGTGGGCTTAGTGGGTGTTTGTTTCATGGAGGTGGACCCTTCATGAATGGCTTGGTGCCCTCACCATGATAATGAGTGAGTTCTTGCTCTGTTAGTTCACAACAAAGCTGGTTGTTTAAAGGAGCCTGGCATCTCTCTCATGCTGCCTCTCTCACCATGTGACACGCCTGCTTCCACTTCAGCTTCTATCATGATTGGAAGCTTCCTGAGGCCCTCACCAGACAGAAGCAAATGCCAGCACTATGCTTCCTATACAGCCTGCACGACCTCTTTTCTTTCCTTTTTTTTTTTTTTTTTTTTTGAGACGGAGTCTCACTCTGTCACCCAGCCTGGAATGCGGTGGCATGATCTAGGCTCACTGCAACCTCCACCCTCCGGGTTCAAGTGATTCTCCTGCCTCAGCCTCCTGAGTAGGTGGGATTACAGGCGCCCACCACCACGCCTGACTAATTTTTTGTATTTTTAGTAGAGACAGGGTTTTATCATATTGGCCAGGCTGGTTTCTAATTCTTGACCTCAGGTGATCCACCCACATGGGCCTCCCAAAGTGCAGGGATTACAGGCTTGAGCCACCGCACCCAGCCAACCTCTTTTCTTTATAAATTGTCCGGCCTCAAGTATTCCTTTACAGCAATGCAAAACAGACTAACACACTATCTATATGAGAAAAAAATGAATACACTCTAACACATACACACACACACACATATACAAATCAGATGACTACACAACTAAATGTAAACGGCAAAGCTCTTACAAAATAATATAGAAAAATGTCTTCATAACATCAGGGTAGGGACGTTTTTTAAAATTAAGACACAAAAAGCCTTGGCCATAAAGCAAAAGATTAACACATAGGACCACATTACAACTAAGAATATTTGTTCATAATTTGTCCATTAGAAGAGTGAAATGCACTCCATAGAAGATAGCTGTAACACATTTATCCAACAAAAAGTTTGTGTCTAGAAAATAAAGAACTTCTACAAATCTGTAAGATAGACACTCCAATAGAAAAATGAGTAAATGACCCAAACTGGTACTCTGAAAAGGATTTCCAAATAGACATGAAAAGATGCTACATCTCTTTGACTACAAAGAAAATGCAAATTTAAACCACAATCAAAATCCATACATAGCTAGCACACTGACAAAATTAAAAGTGTGACAATATCAAGTGGTTAGTGAACATGAAGCAATGGAAGCTCTCATACATTCTTGGTCTGAATGTATACTGAAACACTACTGGGGAAAACATGACCTATGACCCAACAAGTTCACATCCAGGACAAATAAAATTTGTGCACCTAAGGACCTAAGTACCACACAAGTACATGCATAATATTCAAAGTAGCATTGTTAGTAACCACCAAAACCTGTTAGGAGCTTCAAGATCCATCAAAAGTAAAATGAATAGGTAAACTGTAGTAAATTCATTTTTTAAAAAATGATATATAATAGTTTAGAGCAACCACACAGCTACTACCTGCAACAACATGCCTGATTCTTGAAAGCCACATTGTGTGAAACCAAGAAACAAAGACATATACACTATATGATTCCATTTACTTAACTTTCAAAAACAGGCAATCCTAAATTATATACTTCTTTTTTCAACACACCATTTCTGGCTTGAATGAATTATATTCTTAAGGATGCATACCTAGATGAGCAAACCACAAAGTAAAGCAAGAAAGTGATTAGACAAAGAGAAAATAGTATTTACCTTCAGAGGGAAAGGAAGGGTTGTGATTAGGAACGTACACAGGAGGCTTCTGGAATATGGTTATGCTTTATTGTCTTAACCTCAGTGGGCTACAAAGATGCTTGCTTTGTAATAACTAATTAAACTACACAATTACGTTTTATGCATTTTCTGATGTGTTATGTCACAATTCAAAAGTCTTTAAGTTAAAAACATATCCTAAGTATCTCTAATTCTATTAATATCTAATGTGGATTTCTTCTTTTTTTCCCTACCTAAACCCTTCTAGTTTAATCTTATTTACAGTCTCAATCAGTTGTAGGTAACAAATTTCATAAGCATCTAAACTGACTTCAATGTGTTCTAAGGTGCTGGTTTTTCCAAGGAATTTCCTCTGTATTTCAGAACTGTGTAAAATAGGTCCATAGACTTATTATTTTATGTATAATCAATCTTCTGTATCCAGGGATTCTACATCTGTGGTTTCCACATATGTGGATTCAACCAACTATGGCTTGAAAATATTTAGGAAAAAAATGGATGGTTGTTCTGTACTGAACATGAACAGGCTTCTTCTTCTTGTCATGATTCCCTGAGCAATACAGTAGCACAACTATTTACACATTTACATTTTATCAGGTATCATAAGTAATCTACAGACAATTTAAAGCATATAAGAGGATGTGTGTAGGTGATATGCAAATACTATGTCATTTTATATAGGGGACTTGAAAATCCATGCATTTTGGTACCTGAGGGGCTCCTGGAGCCAAACTCTCACAAATACCAAGAAATGACTATATTTGCTTCAGCTTATGATTTTACAGGTTTAGCACATAACTCCTCCAGCCCTTTTCAACTGAAATTCTTAACCAGAACCACAACACAAAACATGAAGCTTGAAAATTTTCTCAATTCTCCCAAGGACAGTTCATAGGTAATATTCTACATGCACAGAAGAAAAGTTAATTTGTCGCATCATGATATTAGGGTGAGAAAGGTAGAGTGAAGAGGTAATCATTTTAGTTAACTTTCTTTGAAATTTTTTTAAGAAGAAAAATTTTTTTTGCAATGCAATGACAATAATTAAGGTGGTAAGTGAGGTATAAACCACCAGTTTCTGTATATTATAAAATTAAGCTGATTTCTTTCCAATGACCTTTCTGATGATATCTATCCAGTACTTGATTGACTTTCCACTGGCATCTTAGGCTAATTTTATCAAGGCACCAGTTTATTATTAATACCAACTTCTTTCCTAGTTCATTAGTAACATCCTGAATTACAGCATTTCATAAACCTAGTATGAGTTTGTCTTCCCTAAATGCATTACCTTACTCTTATATAAACGCACAAATTTGGGCAGTCTCCTACTCCCTCATATAAGTATAATAGGTTAACTAAGTTGCTCTGGCTGAAGCAGTCTGGAGACACAGGTGTAGAAATGTTTACAAAGTAGTTGGCAACAGAATGTGAAGTGTCAAATGTATTAAGAACATGACCCTGCTTAGAATAAATATCAGATGAACTTTAGAATTATTTGTTTATTTCTAAAAATAATTCAGAGTAGAGCATTTAAAAGAGCTCTGACCTTTTCCCAACAGACAGACATTAAATGGTAGCAGTGATATGTTAACTTCATTTAAGAATTTCTTACAAAAACTCTGCCAAAGATTTACAATGTAACCACCATTCTATACTTTCTAAACTGGCTTAAGAATATATGTTGTCAAATTTGACTTTAGAGTCAAATGTCTTACTCATTAGAATACTACCAATGTTATTGGAAAATGCCAGATAAAACAATAAAACTAAAATCAACTTGTCATCTACTGAAGACAATATGCGCACACATAACCTTTGAAACTCTGTAGCAAAGCCAAATTCTTCTAACTAAGAATACTTTTCTTGGAGCTATACCACAACTTTATACTGTTGGAAATTTTTCTGTGCTTATAAATCTACATACGAGAATACTGTGTTTCCTAAAACACCTTTCTTGGATTGTTTTATTAATGTTTTCTACCAGCAGTTAATATCAAACAAAGAGCTTCATTATTCTTAGTCACAGAAAGAACCAACTCAACTGTTTTATCAGCACTCAGACTATCTTTAGCAACAATTCCACCACTCATTTTTTTTTTCTCTTAGATAGGGTCTCGCTCTGTCACCCAGGCTGGATGGAGTCCAGTGGCATGATCATGGCTCACTGCAGCCTTAACTTCCCAGGCTCCAGTAATGGTCACGTCCCAGCCTCCCAAGTAGCTGGGACTACAGTCGTGCACCACCATGCCCCAGCTAATTTTTATATTTTTTGTAGAGACAAGGCCTTGCCATGTTGCCCAGACTGGTCTCAAGCTCTTGGGCTCAAGCAATCTGCCCGCTTCGGCCTCCCAAAGTGCTGGGATTATAGGCATGAGCCACCGCGCCCAGCCTTTCACCACTAATTTTCAAAACATCATATTCACTACACATTAACAGATGTTTTATTTCTGGGAACTGAAAATACATTTGTGTATCTGATTATTATGCAACCATTAAAAATGATTAAGCTCTTGCACCATAAGGCAGTGTTTTATATATTAAAAACTCTCTGCCTTATAAATGGCACTACCAACTGCATGTGCTAGAAATACAGAACATTTATCCTTATACTCCCTCATTCTACATCAAAACAATCAGTATATCTGGCTGATTTTACTCCTAAATCTATTTTGAATCTCTCTACTCTCTATCACTACCTATAGTCCTAGACACTATAATTTCTTTTCTGAACTATTATATTTACCTCCATACTCTCACCACCTAACAGTCCATTTGCCCACATGGCCTCTGAATGATCTTCTTAAATTACAAAGTTCGTATGATTCCCTTGATTCAAAAATCTTCAGTGGTTTCCCACCACTCTTGGGGAAAAGTACCAAAAACTTTACATGTATTATTTAGACCTTGCTTAGCTACGTCTTCAGCCTCAGTCCCTCGCTTTCTAGTTATCATTCTCTGCACTCCAGACATTTTACCTCTAACGCTCCAAGTTCCTTCCCTCTGCCTGCAACTGCACCTGTACAAGCTCCTAGCACCTCCAATGCCCTGCTTCCTTCTTTCACATGCCTGACTTGTATTCGTTTTTCAGTTCTCATCTTAAATAATACATATTCAATTTTGATTTCCCCACTTATATGTTCTCACATTCATACTTTTTTTTTTTTTTTTAGATATTCTCCCTTTATCACCCAGGCTGGAATACAGTGGCACCATCTCAGCTTACTGCAACCTCTGCCTCCTGGATTCAAGCGACTCTCGTGCCTCAGTCTCCCGAGTAGCTGGGATTACAGGTGTGCACCACCACACCTGGCTAACTTTTGTATTTTTAGTAGAGACAGGGTTTAGTCACATTGCCTGGGCTGGTCTCGAACTCCTGGCTTTAAGTGATCCATCTATCTTGGCTTCCCAAAGTGCTGGGATTATAGGCATAAGCCACTGTGCCTGGCTGACATTCATACTTCTTTACAGCCCTTATCGTATCACAGTTGTAACTTTTTTTGTGAGATTGTTTAATAGTACCCTCTATCACTAGAGTATAAGCTCCATAAGAGAAGGACACATCATTCTTCTTCACTGCTCTATCATTAGCACCTACCAAGATGTCTGGTCCACAAAGGAGTCTAATAATTATTTGCTGAGTGAAATACACATAGAATTAAGTCTAGAAAAAGACATATCCAAATAATCAGTTATCTCTGGGTGGTAGGATTATGGGTAGTTTTCATTTTCTACCTTATATTTTTCATCATTTATATTTTCTACAATAAGCACATTTTGCTTTTATTATTTAAAAGTTAACTCCAGTCCATTTTTAAAAATAAACTTCATTTTGGAATAATTTTAGATTTATGAAAGTTGCAATGATAGTACAGAGATGTCCCAAATACCTCTCATTCATAGTTTCCCCAATTGTTAACACGTTACATTTCCATGATACATTTGTCAAAACTAAGAAACTTGACATTTGTATATTAAGTAAACTCCAGACTTTACATAGATTTCAGCACCTTTTCCATGAGTGTCCTCTTTCTATTCCAGGTCCCAATACAGGATCCACATTGCATTTAGCTATCTTGTCTCCCTGAACTCCTTCGGTCTTAGTTTTTCAGTCTTTCCTAGTTTTCATGATCTTGACTAGTCAGGTATCCTGTAAAATGTCATTCAGTCTAAGCTCATCAGTTGCTTTTCTTATGATTAGACTAGGATTATGGGTCTTTGGAAACACTATCACAAAGGTGACATGCTCTTCTTGTCACATATCAAGAGTACATGATATCTATGATTTATCTCTGGTGATATTAATGTTCACTATTTGGCTAAGATAGTGTTTTCCAGGTTTTTCCCTACTCTATTCTTTGGAAGTAAGTCACTAAGTCCAGTCCACCCTCAAGGGAGGTAGGAATTGAGCTTCTCCTCCATAGAATGGAATGGGTACATAAATTATTTGATGGGAGATTTGTCTCTTTTGCCTCATATTTATTCAATCCTTTATGTCAACTTATATCCTTTATATCATATATATGGGATTATTTTATACTTTGAGTTATAATTCATGCTACATTATTTTTGTTGCTCAAATTATTCCAGCTTTGACCCTTAGGAGCTTCTTCAGGTAAGTTCCTGTGTTCCTCTGATGTGCCCCCATCCTTTGTTTTATGAGTACTTCTTCACTCCTGGTACTACAAGACACTCTGGCCACATCTTGTATTTCTACTCTCTCAGTCCTAGACTCTGCCATTTCTCCTAGGCAATCCAAGTCATTACTAAGACCTAAAGTTAACTATATAAGATTTTTTTTTCTTGAGATGGGGTCTTGCTCTGTCACCCAGGCTGGAGTGCAGTGGCTGATCTCGGCTAACTGCAGCCTTGACCTCCCCAGGCTCAAGTGATCTTCCCATCTCAGCCTCCTGCATATTGAGGACCACAGACAAGCACCACCATGTCCAGCTAATTTTTCTATTTTTTGTAGAGACAGGGTTTCGCCATATTGCCCAGGCTGGTCTCGAATTCCTGGGATCAAGAGATCCATCCACCCACCTCAGCCTCCCAAAGTGTTGGCATTACAGGCATGAGCCACCACGCCCAGCCAACCATATAAGATTTTTATGAACCCAGGATAATCTATCTGAATGTCATGATGTAGGTAGTCTGTTTGATAGCTGCAGAAAGTATAAGTAAGTTTAAACTTTGGGCACTCAGGCTAAAATTATCATAAAGGACTCTCACATATAATATTAAATAGCAACACTTCCATCATTTCTTCTACCGTATTCTTTTGTTTCCAAAACTAATCTGAATCAGGTAGGTAGAATAGATATGTTTCCCTTCATTTTTTAGATGAGAAAATCTAAAAGGGTGTGATGACACTGACTAATGTCAGGCAGGTAGCCATTTTCCTCTGTGGTTTTCTCCTGGCTTTCTATTCTATCCCTATTTCCTTCTGGATTACACTACCATTTTGGTGGGCCCTTATGCAATACAGTTTAACAATATAGATAAGTGGCTTATATCCTGCTACTCTACTGAATAACCCACCAGTTTAGTGTCCAGCTAAACCAAAACTTTATATAACTGTATTAGTTCGATAATTTAAAAGGTCTGAGTGCTGTGGCTCACGCCTGTAATCCCAGCATTTTGGAAGGCCGAGGGGGGCAGATCATTTGAGGTCAAGAATTCGAGACCAGCCTGGCCAACATAGCGAAACCCATCTCTACTGAAAAAAAAAAGTATAAAAACTTAGCTGGGCATGGTGGCACATGCCTGTAGTCCCAGCTACTCGGAAGGCTGAGGCACGAGAATCACTTCAACACTCCACCTGGGAGGCAGAGGTTGTAGTGAGCCAAAATATCACCAGGGCACTCTAGCCTGAATGACAGAGTGAGACTCTGTCTCAAAAATAATAATTAAAAAGGAAAAAAGACTCCTAAAAGGTATAAAATATGAGCAGTGAATATGTTGAATAGATGACTATTTTACAAAGAAGTAAACTCTTAACGAGCTCCTACTCTATGCATGCCAATATATTAGACATTTGTAAGAAGGAAGGATAAAATAAACAGTATATATGGCTGCCCATTATATATGAATATCCCTTCCCCACAAAACTTGGAAATAGAAAAAAATAAGAATGCTCATCAAGAGTTAAACTATGTAATCAAAATGTAATGAATCAGCTCTAAACAGAACTATGTACATAGGAAAATAAATTACTTACAAACTAACAGAAATTACTAGGATAATTTTACTGAAAAAAAATGTGTTGCTCAATTTAGGAGGAGGGCAGGCTATAAACAAGTAAGACAAATACAGATAAAGTCAAGAATGCAAGCACAATAGAAGCAACACCCAGTTTACTACATACGAGGGGCCCTTAACTTTAACTGAGTAGTAAGGTAAGGCTTACTAAAGGGACTGAGGGCTAATTTAAGAAGCAAAGTAAAAGTAGTACTTTAGCACTACTTGGTATTGGAATACTACTAGTATTCTAGACAAAGGACCATGTATAAAGACCTGGAAAAATGACAGCCAGGCACAAGCTCAAACCTAACATTTACAAGGGCCAGGGCAATAGTACAACAGAAGGCCCAATTACCATATGGACAAAATATTTAGTTATACATCAAGTTTAAACTATTAATATGTTCTATCCTATATACAAATATACCTCGGAATGACCTGGAAGTTTAAATTCAGTTTTCTAATTCTGCAGCCAAATTGCTGACAATTTGGAAAATACTGAAAGTATAAAGAAAAATTATAAATCCCCAAATTCCATCATGAAGAAAAAGCACATTATTTTGGTGTATTTTCCTCCAATGTTTTTTCTGTGTGTGTATATAATATTTGAAGAGAATTGGGAAATCATATATGTAGATTTTACCCTTTTTATATAAACCCTTCACTCTTAAAGTTTTTAATACAATATAACAAGTCACCTTATTCATGTACCCAGTGTGCATTTGGCAGCTAGCTTATCTTAGAATTCTCAAAGTGTGGTCAAGAATTGTCGAGAGACCCCAAAAATCTTTCTCAGGGGTCCACAAGGTTAAAAACAACACTTTCGATAATACTAAGATATCCGTGTCCGTTTCCTACTGTTATCGTAACACACTGCCATAAACTTAGTAGCTTAAAACAACACAAATTTATTTTCTTATAGTTCTGGAGACCAGAAGTCTAAGATCAAGGTGTGTCAGCAGGGCAGTGTTCCTTTTGGAGGCTTCAGGGGAGAATCTGTTTCCTCGCCTTTTCTAGCTTCCAAAGGCCACTTTCATTCCTCGGATTATGGCCTTTTTCTCACATGACTTCTTGTTTCCATTATCATGTCTGCTACCACTAACTCTGATCCTCCTGCCTCCCTCTTTTAAGGACCCTTGTGATTACATCAGAGATACCCAGATAATCCAGGATAATCACTCCATCTCTAGATATTTAATCACAAAGTCCATTTTAACATGAAAGGTAACATATTTACAGGTTTTGGGAATTCGGGTGTGGGGATGGCCATTATTAAGCAGACCATAACATTCTTTGTCTTGTTCATTGTATTGGCCTTTCATTTATAGTACAAAAGCAATAGTGAGGAAGACAGCTTGATATCTAGCATAAATCAAAACAGTGGCACCAAAATTTACTAGAACTTGTTGTATTGGCCAGGCACGGTGGCTCACGCCTGTAATCCCAACACTTTGGGAGGCTGAGGCGGGCGGATCACTTGAAATCAGGAGTTCAAGACTAGCCTGGCCATCTCTACTAAAAAGACAAAAATTAGCCAGGCGTGGTGGTGTACATCTGTAATCCCAGCTACTCAGAAGGCCAAAGCACGAGAATTGCTTGAACCCGGGAGGCGGAGGTTGCAGTGAGCCAAGATCGTGCTCCGGCCTGGGCAACAGAGGGAGACTCCATCTCAAAAAAAAAAAAAAGAAAAAAAAAAGCAGTTGTTATATTTTTCATCAACATGAATTTGCAGAAAACAAAAGCCTGTTTCACTTCCAAATGTTCTTGATAAAACAGTAAGTATTCATTTTATTAAATCACAACTCTTGAGTACACATCTTTTTAATATTCTGTGTAACAAAGTAGAAAGAACGAACAGAACACTTTCGCTCATACTGTTGTACAATGTTCCGTCCTGAGGAAAAGCACTTATCTGAATATTTGAGTTGTGGGCTGAACATTTTTCATGGTACACCATTTTTCTTTGAAAGAAAAACTGACACACTCACTTTAGTTATTTAGGCTAAAGATTTTGCCAGACATTTTCTCAACCTGTCTTTTCAAGTAAAACAACTGACAGTATATTGTTGCCAATAAAAAAAATTTGAGCTCTCAAGCAAAAACTAAATTTTGGAAAACTTGTATTCACCACTGTGAGCCAGACAGCTTCCCAACACTTTGGAAGGCCGAGATGGGAGGATCACTTGAGCCCAGGAGTTCGACATCAGCCTGAGCAACATAGTGAGATACCCCATCTCTACAAAAAAATTAAAAATTAGCTGGGTGTGGTAGTATATGCCTATAGTCCCAGCTACTTGGGAGGCTGAGGTGAGAGGATCACTCGAGTCCATGGAGGTCGAGGCTGCAGTGAGCTGTGATCATGCCACTGCACCCCAGCCTGGATGACAGAATGAGACCCTGAATTTTTTTAAAAAAATTATTTTGAGGCCAGGCGCAGTGGTGCACGCCTGTAATCCTAACACTTTGGGAGGCCGAGGCGGGTGGATAACCTGAGGTCAGGAGTTTGAGACCAGCTTGACTAACATGGTGAAACCCCGTCTCTACTAAATACAAAAAATTAGCCAGGCATGGTGGTGCGTGCCTGTAATCCCAGCTACTTGGGAGGCTGAAGCAGAAGAATTGCTTGAACCTAGGAGGCAGAGGTTGCAGTGAGCAGAGATTGCGCCATTGCACTCCAGCTTGGGCAACAAGAGCAAAACTCTGCCTCAAAAATATATATATATTTTATTTTGAATGAAGACTCCTGACTTTGCCCATTGGCATAGCCTTTACTTTTCATTAAGATGACTTCTGGTGGCTTCTATTCAGTCTTACATTCAGCTGGGTTGTGTTCTGTTGCTAAAGAAAAACTAGCTAAATGTAAATAATATACTCTTTTATAATATAGCTCTGTTATAATTCTAAAATCACTGTTACCTAATATATATCAAACCTCAGAAAAAATATACATTGATGACCTCCTGAAACTCTCTATACAGTCCATCTATTCGAAGATAGTCTAAAATACACCTATGAATCCTACCAGAACATCACAAATAATCAATGTTTATACTATATAATAATGGTGTCATTGTGGAATCTTGTGATTCAAGTAGGAGATATTGAAGAATGTTAATAATAAAAGCCCTGTGAGGACGGGCACGGTGGCTTACGCCTGTAGTCCCAGCACTTTGAAAGGCCAAGGCAGGTAGATTGCTTGAGCCCAGGAGTTGCAGACCAGCCTGAGCAACATGGAGAAACCCCGTCTCTACAAACAAAATACAAAACAATTAGCCAGGTGTGGTGGTGCACACCTGTAGTCCCAGCTACTCAGGAGGCTGAGGTGGGAGGATGGCTTGAGCCTGGGAGGCAGAGGTTAGAATGAGCTGAGATCGTGCCACTGGGTGTGACAGAGTCAGACCCCTGTCTGGCAAGAGAGCCTGGGCAACAGAGCCAGATCCCATCTCAAAAACAAAAAACAAAAAACAAAGCCCTGTGAAATTTTACTGCTTACTCCAAGCATATTCCTAAAAATCACTGTTTCATACACTAGCTAGTAAACACTTCATAATGTCACCGGAGATTTATCTTAATATTAGTAATAGGGTGTCTGCTGAACAATTGGTTAGGTTTTTGTTTTATAAACACTTTGAATCATTTAACTAAACAGGTTCTTTTATTTACTTGCTGCTATGAAGTTTAGAGGCAAATTTGTAGTCTCCTCTCAAGAAGTATACTGGTAAATCGGGCATGGTGGATCACACTTATAATCCCACCACTTTGGGAGGCTGAGGCAGGAGGAGAGCTTGCGGCCAGGAGTTTGAGACTAGCCTGGTCAACATAGTGAGATCCCATCTCTACAAAACATTTTTTAAAGTTAAAAAAAAAAATAAATTTTAAAATGTATATTGGTAACTTTTATTGGTCTCATATCTACATTTTACGTCACCTCAAGTTGTTTTCCCTTTGCTTCATCTGTGTCAGATACTTATGCAAATGATTGAATTCTGTTTATCCCTTTAAGTTGCTTTATATCCTTTTTTGGAATGAAGTAGATTATTAGTATATTTCTCACTATAAATACATTTGTATTATGGTTTTACCTAATGAGATCTAAAACCCTAGTTAATATGAATCCGCCTCTTAGAGACAGCTAGTTTCATGTTGATGCCATGTTTCTGCGTTTACAGGAGGAAAGGCTGGACCCTGTATTTGTGTTGTGTACCCTCACTCTAGGAGGTGTCTTCACACTAAGAGATGGCCACTCAGCTTCTGGCATTATCACTCTGCATCTACTTTGCCAAGCTTCTTCTTTTGAAACGTCTTGTGTAGGCAGTAGTTATGAATATGCCACCCAGAAGAATACCAGATGAATAAACTTACAAATATTTTGAATAAAGCTCAATCTAACAATAGATATTTGAATGAAAATACTGGAATCTCTTGTAATAGCTCAGAAGGTAGCTTAAGTTTTAGCACAGGTGGTAGGATCACAACACCTTGACCAGGACAGTCCACCTCTGAGCCTCGTCTACTATGTGGTTTCTGAGTTCTGAAGCTCAGAATGTTACATATATGGGAAGTAGAATATAATAATCTATGTAATTTCTCTGGATTCCATTCCCAGTTATCACATGCCCCAAGATTCCCAATAAATCAGAAAACCTCACATTTGCATTTTAGTATTTCCAAAGGTTTTTTATTTTTATTTAGAGACTGGGTTTCACTGTTGCCTAGGCCAGAGTGCAGGGGCTATTCACAGGTGCGATCATAGCACCCCACAGCCTTGAATACCTGGGCTCAAGCAATCCTCTTGCCTCAGCCTCCCAAGCAGCTGGGACTACAGGCACCCAGCTTCCAAGGCTGTTTTTATTTTTATTTTTTAAAGTTATGTATAGATAGGAAATCAAACACTTAGGAGTGAGCCCTCTCAACTCTTACTCCTCTCACATTTCCCTCTCAGTCTATACATAATCAGAAACCTGGGAGACCCTTGATGTTGTCAAGTAAACATTTCAGGTGTGATAAAAAAGGATATAGGCGCCTAAATTTTAAACTTACTAGCATAATCACGTTATCAACATAAATTAACTACTGAAAGTTAATTTGCTTAAACATGGCTGATCACAGTTTTTACCCCATCAGTCAATCTCAATAACTTCTCTTACTTCAAGTGAAGATAGTACTATCTATTATAAGAATAATTCTAAAGCTGCACTCATGAACAGTCATGTGCTTCATTTTCAATGAGTCAAGAGCCATATGGTTCTCTTTAATGAATACAACTCTGGCAACAAAATCTTGGCTCTCCCTTCCTGTTACTTGCAATAAAAAAATTTTGCATTTTCCATGGAATCTGAATTATTGACCAAAATGACTCATTCAAATTAGATATACCTAATATAAACACATTTCAGGCCTACTTTTTCAGCTTTTTGCTAGCTGACATTTCTGACTGATACTACTAGTCATCATTATACAGAATAACTTCTATTTTTTAATCAGTGTACTCTAGATTGTTTAGCACTCACTCTGAGCAGATTGATTACATTTTTGAGATTATTAAGTACACATAGTTACTTTCAAAGCAAGGGCTATGCAACAGATATCTACTGAAGTCAGTAGATTCCAAAGCAGTTTATCTCTGACAAGCTAAATCCTAATCCAGATGTCATATTTGAGTTCTAGAGCTACAGCTTTTCATTAATACTAGTAGAGATGTTACTGACATCTCATTTGAACATGAACATAAAAGAAAACTGCTTACGTTGGGGGTACAGAGTCTAACATATCCAAAGGGAAAGTAATCTAGAAGAAAACAGAAACAGCTACTATTTAGTGAGTCCTTACCTTACCATAAGCCAGTCACACTGCTAAGGATTCTATATGCATTATTTGTTAAGATCTCTATATGCATTTAATTCTCAGAGCAATCATTTAAAGACTTTATTATTTAGGAGTTTACTACTATGTTGTACGTGGGAATAAACTGAAGTATAAACAGGCTATGTGACTTGCCAAAAGTTAGAGAGAGAATAAGTGACAGAACCAGGATGTAAATTCAGGTCACCAACTTGAAAGCCACTGAACATCATGGATTTTCATTCAACACATATTCAAAAAAACACTATCAGTACCTTCTGGTAATAGTTATTTTTTGGTATGCTAAAAAGATATGGAGTCACGAAGAATTACTGCTTGACTTACTAACCACTTCCATACTCCCCAGATACTGAGCAGAAACAGAAATAAGTTTTTTCCTCTGAAATCTGCCTTAACCCATAGTGAGAGACCTAATGTGAGGCTCCAACTTCTTCCAAGACATTCCCCTCCCTGCTACTGTTAACAGAAGAATATCAGCTATGTTGAAAGAAAGAATATTCACTGTCTTAAAAAAGGACATTCACTGTTTCACATATATAATAATTATCCCTATTGCTGGATCTTCATGCATTATCTTCCCTTTACAACCTTCCCAATTCTAAAGGGATATCAAAATGATATCTTTTTTTGGTGACATGTAACATTTGGAATCTGTACCACCGAATTTAAAACTCACACAGTTATTTTTGACTGCTACTCCACAACTTATACCTTCAACTACACTAACTTTGAGGACAGACTCTTTATATAAACTACCAATAGACTGGGCACAGTGGCTCATGCCTGTAATCCCAGCACTTTGGGAGGCCAAGGCAAGAGGATCGTTCGAACCTAAAAGTTCAAAACCAGCCTGGGCAACACAGTGAGACCCCATTGTTACAAAAAATTTTAAAAAATTAGCTGGGTCTAGTGGTGTGCAACTGTGGTCCTAGCTACTCAGAAGGCTGAGGCACAAGTATCTCTTGAGCCCAGGAGGTAAAGGCTGTAGTTAGCCATCATTGTACCACCGCACTCCAGACTAGGCAAAAGAGCGAGACTCTGTCTCCAAAAAAAGAAAAGAAAACACCAATGGTTGCCTACGCTATAGTCATTCCAACTTTATACTTGCTAATTGGGCCTTCCTCTTGTTTGCATGTTAAAGTGCCTAATTTCAGAGAAGGAATCATAATTGTCCTAACCAATCAGTAATTTCATTCCCCTTTGCCAGTTATCAGTCTTGGGGTGGGCATGTGACCCAATTATGGCCAGTGACACATAAGGAAGTCTAATGATAAGGTTCTAGAAAAATTATCCTCCCTGATAAAAGAGCAACACAAATAGATCCTTTTTATGCCCTTGCCCCATCCTTACTGCTTGGCACTCTCTCCTGTTGAAGACCATGAGTAAAGACATCACCAGCACTTGACGGCAACGTGGGAAGGTGGAAGGAGTCAGCTCTTCCTATATCTTTCTACTTCCTGGAGTTAATTTTCTGCCTCACATAAAGGGCTAAAGAGCTATTTAAACACAGAAAAAATGGGTATGCTATTAATTTCACCTGTTTCAAATTATGAATATATGTATTTTTCTTGTTTATAATTTTGTCATTAAAATTAGAAAAAAAATCTGTGATAAAGACAGCAAATGACAAATAACAGCAAAATATTGTATTTTAAACCAGTAAATATCCAAGGGAGCCAGAACTTGAAGTGTCAATATTCTGAAAAGAAGTGAAACAAAGAAAGGTAAAACCCAATAGTCTCAACCATTTTCATTCTTGACCTATTTCCTGGTGAGAAAATGGTAAGGAAGCAGAAAGGGGTAAAAAGAGGTAAAGTATTCTGAAGTCCCTGCATTTTCCATGAAGTGGTAAAAGTACCAATGCCTAGAACTAATAAATCAAGGATACATGTAATAATCTCTAGGGTAGCCTACTGAACAAAAAGTAAGAGAACATATAACAAGGTTTTGAAGGTAACAGAAATAAGGGGAGAGGAAAGAACAGATGTGACAAACAGAAAACAAATAGAGGATGGTCTGAAACCAAACATATTGGTGATTATGTTAAATGCAAACAGACTATAAATCAATAAAAGACAAAAACAAATTTAAAAAACAAAACTCATATATATCCTGGGCATTGGCATATGGATAAGACAATTATTTCAATGTAACACAGTAGAAAGTCCAGAAACAGATCTACAAAAATATAGCCACTTGATACATGACAAAGATGTCACTGTAGTACATTAGAAAAAGCAAAGTTTTTTCCAACAAATGGTGTGGGGTCAACTAGTTATTCATATGGGAAAAAAATGAATCTGAACTCTTAACCCACATCATATTTAAAAAATTAACTGCAGGTAGGCAGATCTAAATGTGAATACACAAAAATAAAACTTCTAGAACAAAACAGGAGAATATCTTTGTGACCTTGAGGTATGGGAAGACTTGTTAAACAGAACAAAAAAAAACACTAAGAATAAAGGAAAAGAAAAAGTTTTTGTTGTTGTTGTTGGTGGTGGTGGTGTTTGTTTGGTTTTTGAGACGGGGTTTTGCTCTGGTGCCTAGCAGGAGTGCAGTGGTGCAATCAAAACTAATTTTTTTTCTTTTCCATTTTTATTGTAGAGACAGAGTCTCACTTTGTTGCCCAGGTTGGTCTCAAACTCCTGGCCTCGAGCAATCCTCCTGCCTCGGCCTTCCAAAGTGCTGGGATTGCAGGCATAAGTGACTGAGACTGGCTTAGAATAAAGGAAAAGATTAGCTGGATTTCATTAGAATTGATGATATCTTCACCAAAAGATTCCTTTAAGAGAGTAAAAAAAATACCACAGAATGAGAGAAGATAACTGCAATACCGTACATGTATCTGAAAAAGGATTCATAATCAGAATGCATAATGAACTCCTATAAAACAGGGAAAAGGACTGAATAGGTGCTTTAAAAGAGGCAATCTAAAAAGCCAATAAACACACAAAAAGGCATTTAAACTCATAAATCATCAAGTAAACATAAATTGAAACCAAAATGAGAGACTACTGCAACCACACTGGAATAGCCAATTTTTTAAAAACTGTTATCATGTATAGGTGAAGATGTGGAGTAACTAGTATTCTCACACATTGCTAGTAGAAATGTACATGCTATATCCACTTTGGTAGTATCTTTGAATAGGGTAATTGACAAAAAAAAAAGAAATGGAAGTATCTCTGATAGTATCTGATAATGCTGAGATATACATATTCTATGATCTAAGCATTCCATTCTGTGATATAAATCATACAGAACTGTGTACATAATGTGCACTAAAACATATGCACATGACAATTCATAGTGGCACTGTTAGCAATAGCCAAAATATGAAAAAAAAAAAAAAAACCAAATAATGAAATATCAGTGTAGAATAACTAAATAAATTGAAGCATGTTTACACAATGGGACACTACACCAACAATGAAAATACGTTAACTATTGCTATACACGACAATATAGATGATTTTGAAACGTAAGTAAAAGCCACAGACATAAAAGAGTACACAGTATGAATTCCACATACATAAAGTTTAAATACTTGCAAAATTAATCTAGATAGAAATCAAAATAATATTGAAACTGAAGGTGGAACAAGGAAGGATTCTGAAACTACTGGTAATGTTTTACTTCTTGATTGAGGAGTAGTTATATAATAAATGTTCACTTTGTAGGAATTCATCAATTTCCACACTAAGATGTGATGATTGCACACCTCTCTGTATTACATTATATTTAAAAGCTTACCCTTAAATGTAGTAGTTTCTTTTGGGGTGGTGAGAATGTTTGGAACGAGATAGAAACGGTAGTTGCACAACACTGTGAACCTGCTAAATGCCACTCAGTTCCACACTTTACAATGGTTAAGTTTATGTTATGTAAATTTGATCTCAAATTTTTAAAGTTACTGAAAAATTCAACCTCAATAAAATAGTGTACATATTTATTAGTGGATATTCATGAATACAAACATTAGGCTGTCATGCTGAACTTACCAACTGCAGTGTCACCATCTAATAAATTGTCATCTTCAGATGTTTGAAAGTCCATAATAACACCTGCTCCATCTAAAAGTTCCTCATCACTACTTGCACTTGTTATACTGTTGTAGCTGTTTCTATAGTAGCCTCTATGGAACAGCTGCTCAGACTCCATTTAGCTGTCTGATTATCTGTGGGGGGGAAAAAGTAGTTTTAACATTTTTCAAACATACAATAAAAATCATCTAGTTTAACATCACAAAAGGAAAGTTATGATCTATGTGCTAAAAAAAATTAAGCGTATTCACTGTAACAATAGTTACCTTTATTAAGTATTTTGGGGTGAGGTAATAATTTTATTCTCATTATACAGTTGTAAAAAAGAATGAAGAATTTCTCCAGGTAGATCTCCAATTGTTAAGTTGAAAAATGTAACGTATATTTACATTTTTGCTTGTGTATGTATAGATTTGTCTCAGGAGAGAGTTCCAAGTAAGTTGCCCAAAGGGTAGGGAACAAGATGGCTGAAGTACAAGGTTTGAAAGACAGACTGCCCCTTTTGAATATTTTATCAGGTGTAAGAGGTGTAAGTACAACCTGATTTTAAAAATAAATACTACAATTAAAAAATTTTAAAATATTTATTTCATTCTCCTTTCATCCTTTTAAAATTTAAATCTTCAGAGCCTATGGTCAAACATTAGCCACTGATAAAATGGTAACAGGCAACAAATCAAAAAAGGGTATGTTTTCATTGTTCTTACTCTCCATATTCTTAAATCTGTATTACTCCTAACTAGTTTGATTTTTAAATACCTCCACTTACTTACTCAACACCAAAATAAGAGTTCAACATAAGTATGGGGACATTAGTAATAGACTTTTAAGCTGCATGGGTGGGACTTGAAAGATGCAGTCATAAAAGCAGTCAAACCAGTAAGCCTTGTAAAACAAGACTTAGCAGATATGGCCTAGTAAGTACACACAGAAAATGACAGATGAAGACTAAAGTAAGCACAGTTCAATTCCAGTGATGAATTCTAGCAGTGAATTCTAACACTGAAGACGTGGAGTGTTTTAAGACAATCTCTTCTACTCAGTAAATTTTCCTTCTGCAAATGGAAAGATAACCTCAAAGAGCTTTAATAACAAAAAGGTATTTATGAAGTTTTAGAAAACTAGACTATTACTGACAATAAATATCTTTTAAACAGATTATATAAATTTCCTAACTTAAAGATCACTTTGAAAAAGGTGAAGTTTTGAGAGCTCCTTGAGAGCATGCCTCTGCTCTCCACATCTGGCATAATGACTGGCACAGTGTAAGAACAACAAATGTCAAACTATTCAATTAATGAGGTCAAAAAGAGAAATGTATTCAGTTTTCAATTTAAAAAAAAATCCTCTCTCCAAGAGTATTAAACTGTTCTTGGAGGAATAACCAAAATTAGCAAATTAAAAAAGAAAAATGTAAATACTTGCTGCTTTGCAACTTTATGAATGTTTTATAGTTATCGCTACCAAAGATGGCATATTATACTGAGATGAGATTTGTTAGAGTATATTAATTAAAACAATAGGAAAGTATGAAAGTAGTTGTTCATACTAAGAAATCTGCAGTTCCATAGAGGCAAACAAATTAAATATTATGTGGCTTTTGAGAAAATTACCAAAAGGCTTTTAAAAACATAAACATTAATAGCTTAAGAATCATTTAATTTTGATGTATCAAAGCATGTATGCTAAGATTTTTGTGAAGAACACAGACACTCTGTTTTTATTTCTTTACAGAATAGAAGGGCTTAATACATATGATAACATTTCAGTGAACATTAGCTAGAGGCTACACAGCACTAAGAAATCTCTGTAAAATCATTAAACCTTTTTATGTGTTAATACTTCAATCAGCAAATTCCAATATATCTCCTCCATTTTATCCCTAAAAGTCTCTCAAAAATCGTAAGTGGTAACTGGAAATTTAACTATTTCCGTTAAAAAAATTAATTTCATAATACCTTTGAGACACCTAGCCTGCAGATCATTCTTTGTAACACAAGCATGCAACTCTGCTCCAAATAAACCAATTAAACCCAGGCCTGCATGGGTTTCTATTTCTATAAATTTGATAACTTAAGATAAAAAAAAAAAACTATTCCACGTATTAACCCAGAAACCTATAGAGCTGTACTGACTGATGCAGCAGCCAGCATACATACGGCTATCGAGCCATTGAAACATGGCTGGTCCAAACTGAAATGTGCTCTAAGTGTAAAATACCTACCAGATTTCTAAGACTTAATATTTAAAAAGGATGTCAAATATTTGACTAGAAATTTTATACTGATTACATGTTGAAATATTTTAGATCCATTGGGTTAAATAAAATATATTTGAAATGAATCTCACCACTTTCTTTTTACCTTTTTAATGTGGCTACTGAAAAATTAAAAATTACCTATGTGGCTTGCATTTGCAGCACTAACACTTTTATTGAACAGCACTGCTATAAAATATTCAAATTTCTATAGTAGCATAAAGGACATATAACAGAAGGAAATCTGAACACTAGTGTTAAATATTTTCAGGTTCTAAACCCAATTCCCAGGCTTGGGCACAAAAGGCTATTTAGACTCTAACACAGCAGATGAAATTTTACATATTTAAAAAAAATAATGCAAAGTCACCTTTTCCATTTTAATCACCAAAAATATACTTATAATCATTTCAAAACATTGTAATAGATACACAGTAGCTTGTAAATATATTCTTACAAAATTATAAAAATTAGAGATAAGCTGGGTGTGGTGGCGCATGCCTGTAGTTCCAGCACTTTGGGAGGCCGAGGCAGCTGGATCGCTTGAGGTCAAGAGCTCAAGACCCACCTGGCCATGGTGGTGAACCCCATCTCTATTAAAAATAAAAAATTAGCCGGGCGTGGTGGCAGCCGCCTGTAACCCCAGCTACTAAGGAGCCTGAGGCATGAAAATCGCTTGAGCCAGAGAGGCGGCAGTTGCAGTGAGCTGAGATTATGCCACTGCACTCCAGCCTGGGAAACAGAGTGAGACTCTGTCTCAAACAAAGTAATAATAATAATCAGAGATAAACTATGAAAACTTCCAGTAATAAGGCCTCGTTTACCTAATAAATTCCTATATTATCTACGTGCAATTATTTTGCTTCCTTCGAATCTGATGACACTGCAGCCAGCACAGTTTTTTTTTCCAAAAAGTAAGTTTGCTCATAATCTCTCTCCATTCCATGTTAACATCTCTTAATCATTTCCTGCTACCCTTAAGAAACAAACTCTTTAATATAGCAGAAAAAGTTCTATGCAGCCCAACCCCTGCTAGTTCCCCAGCACTTTTTTTTTTTTTTTTTTTTTTTTTTGAGATGGAGTCTCGCTCTGTCACCCAGGCTGGAGTGCAGTGGCGCGATCGCTGCTCACTGCAAACTCCGCCTCCTGGGTTCAGGCCATTCTTCTGCCTCAGCCTCCCGAGTACCTGGGACTACAGGCGCCCGCCACTGCGCCCGGCTAATTTTTTGTGTTTTTAGTAGAGACGGGGTTTCACCATGGTCTCAATCTCCTGACCTCGTGATCCGCCCGCCTCGGCCTCCCAAATTGCTGGTATTACAGGCCTGAGCCACCGCGCCTGGCCCCAGCTTCTTTTAATAGCCATTCTGACTGGCGTGAGATGGTGTCTCACTGTGGTTTTGATTTCCATTTCGCTAATCATTAGTGATGTTGAGCATTTTTTCACATGCTTGTTGGCCAGTTGTATATCTTACTTTGAGAAGTATGTACTTCCTGAAGTACTCTAGACTCACTGATCTTTCAATCTCTCAGTCCTATCAAGCTCTTTCCTGACTCCTGCCCCAAGGCCTTTGTTGCTCCCTCTGCCTGGATCATACCCTCTTCTCTTTAACAACTCACTCTCTTAATATTTTGTTGAAGGTTTTTACATCTATGTTCATCAGGGATATTGACCTGTACTTTTCCTTTTTCATTGTGTCTTTGCCAGGTTTTGGTATCGGGGTGAAGCTGGAATGAGTTAAGGAGGAGCCCCTCCTCATTTTTTGGAGTCGTTTCAGTAGAATTGGTACCAGCTTTCTTTGTACATCTGATAGAATTCAGCTATGAATACATCTGGTCCAGGGCTTTTCTGGTTGGTAGATTTTTTATTACCGATTCCATTTTGGAACTCGATATTGGTCTGTTCAGGATTTCAATTTCATCCTGATTTAATCTTGGGAGGCTGTTTCCAGAATTTACCCATTTCCTCTAGATTTTCTAGTTCGTGTTTACAGATGTGTTCATAATAGTCTCTGGGGATCTTTTGTATTTCCATGGGATTGGTTGTAATGTCACCTTTGTTGTTTCTGATTGTGTGGTGATTTGGATCTTGTCTCTTTCTCTGTTAATCTAGCTAACGTCTGACAAAGGTCTAATATCTACAATCTACAAGAAGCAAACAATTCAACAAGCAAAAAACAACATTATTAAAAAGTGGGCAAAGACGGCCGGGCGCGGTGGCTCACGCCTGTAACCCCAGCACTTTGGGAGGCCTAGGTGGGCGGATCACGAGGTCAGGAGATCAAGACCATCCTGGCTAACATGGTGAAACCCCGTCTCTACTAAAAATACAAAAAAAATTAGCCGGGCGTGGTGGTGGGCGCCTGTAGTCCCAGCTACTCCGGAGGCTGGGGCAGGAGAATGGCGTGAAACCAGGAGGCGGAGCTTGCAGTGAGCCGAGATTGCGCCACTGCACTCCAGCCTGGGCGACAACAGAGCAAGACTCCGTCTCCAACAAACAAACAAAAAAAGTAGGCAAGGACATGAACAGATACTTCTCAAATTAAGATATACAACTGTCCAACAAGCAGATGAAAAAATGCCCAACGTCACTAATCATTAGAGAAATGGAAATCAAAACCACAATGAAACACCATCTCACACCAGTCAGGATGGCTATTATTAAAAAGCCAAAAAACAACAGATGCTGGCAAGGCTATGGAATGCTTATACACTGTCAGTGGGAATGTAAATTGGCTCAGCCCCTGTGGAAAGCAGTTTGGAGATTTATCAAAGAACTTAAAACAGAAATACCATTTGACCCAGCAATGCCATTACTGGGTATATACCCAAAAGAAAATAAATTGTTCTACATAAAAGACACATGTGCTTATATGTTCATCACAGCACTACCCACAATAGCAAAAACACAGAATCAACCTAGGTGCTCATCAATAGTGGACTGGATAAAGAAAATATGGTACAGGCTGGGTGCGGTGGCTCACGCCTGTAATCCCAGCACTTTGGGAGGCCAAGGCTGGCGGATCACCTGAGGTCAGAAGTTCAAGACCAACCTGGCCAACATGGTGAAACCCTGTACTAAAAAAATACAAAAATTAGCCGGGAGTGATGGCAGGTGTCTGTAATTCCAGCTACTCGGGAGGCTGAGGCAGGAGAATTGCTTGAACCTAGAAGGCAGAGTTTGCAGTGAGCCAAGATCGTGCCACTGCACTCCAGCCTGGGCGACAGAACAAGACTCTGTCTCAAAAAAAAATAAAAATAAAAAAAGGAAAGAAAAGAAAATATGGTACATATACACCATGGAACACTACACAGCCATAAAAAGAATAAAATCAAGTCCTTTGCAGCAATGGGGATGCTGCTGGAGACCATTATCCTAAGTGAATTAACACAGTAACAGAAAACCAAATACAGCATGTTCTCATTTTAAGTGGGAGCTTTAACATCAGGTACTCACAGATGTACAGATGGCAACAATAGTCACTGAGGACTACCAGCGCGGGCAATGTAGGGAAGGAAGCAAGGGCTGAAAAACTGTTGAGCACTATACCCACTTCCTGGGTAATGGGTACAACTGTACCCCAAACCGCAGCATCATGCTGTATACCCATGGAATAAACCTGCACATCTAAAATAAAAGTTGAAATTGTAAAAATAAAAAAGAATTAACTCTCCTACTCATTTTTCTTACAAGGTCTTACATCAAGTATCCCTTTATTTAACAAACTCTTAACCAGAGCTTACTATATGCTAGGCAATATCTTAAGCCCTTTACAAATTCATTCATTTAATATTCATATTAAATATATGACAACCTTAAAGAATAGGTGCTATTATTGTCCCCACTAAAAATGAGGAACTGAGGCACAAAGCATGTAAATAACTCGCCCAAAGTCATGCAGTTAGTAAGCAAAGCTTCGCTGACCCACTTACTATCTGGATCAAATTTTCTCATTATTAGTTCTTATAGCTCTCTTTTACAGCACTTACCACAGTTGAATATTAAATTTATTTCTGTGATTATTTAATATCTGTCTGCCATTGTAGAACGTGTCATGAGGTCTGACACTCAATTTTTGCTCAACACTGTATACTCAATGGTTAGCAAAATATGTCACATTAGACCAGGCGCAGTGGCTCACAGCTGTAATCTCGGCACTTTAAGAGGCCCAGGAGGGCAGATCACCTGAGGTCAGGAGTTCAAGACCAGCATGGCCAACATGGTGAAACCCCGTCTCTACTAAAAATACAAAAATTAGCCGGGCATAGTGGTGAGTGCCTGTAATCCCAGCTACTCAGGAGGCCGAGGCAGAAGAATCACTTGAGCCCAGGAGGCAGAGGTTGCAGTGAGCTGAGATCACACCACTCACTGCACTCCAGCCTGGGCAACTGAGCAAGATCTGCCTCAAAAAAAAAAAATGTGTCACAGTAGATGTTCAATTTTTTTAATTAAATTTTTATTTTGAGATAATTGTGGTTCCACATGTAGTTACAATAAATAATACAGAAAAAAATCCTGTATATCTTTTACCCAGTTTCCATTAATGGGAACATCTCGCAAAACTATAGTACAATATCACAATCAAGATAAGGACATTGATACAGTCAAGATACAGAATATTCCATCACCACAGGTATCTCTCATGTTGCCGTTTTATGGCCATCCCTCCTTAACCCCTAGCAACCCATAGTCTGTTTTCTACTTCAATAATTTTGCCAGTTCAAGAATGTTATATAAATGATATGATATGGGGATTAACTCTTTGTTCTCAGCACAATTCTCTGGAGATTCATCCAGGGTGTTACATGTGTCAATAGTTCCTTCCTTTTTATCAGAGTAGTCTATGATAACAGATATGCCACAGTTTGTTTAACCATTCACCCACTGAAGAACATCTGGCTTGTTTCTATGTTTTGGTGACTATGAATAAAGCTGCTACAAACATGCATGTACAGGTTTTTGAAAATGAATAGCCTTTATTTCTTTGGGCTAAATGTCAGAGTACAATAGTTGGGTCATACAGTAGTCACATATTTGTTTTTTAAAGAAACTGCCAAATTGTTTTCCAGAGTGGCTGTACCATTGTACATTTCTACCAACAATGTATGAGTGATCCAGTTTCTTGACCTCGTTGCCAGCATTTGGTGTTGTCACTATTTCTTATTTTAGCTATTCTGATAGATGTACGGTAGTATCTTGTTGCTTTAATCTGCATCTCCCTAATGGGTAATGATGCTGAACATTTTTTATGTGCTCATTTGCTATATGTGTAATCCTCTTCAGTGAAATGACTATGTCTTTTGTCCGTTTTCTAGCTGGACTGCTTTCATACTGTTGACTTTTAAGAGTTCTTTATATATTACAGATACTAGTTATTTGTCAGTTGTGTTGTCTGCAAATATTTTCTCCCCTCTCTAGTTTATCTTTTCATCTTTTTAACAGGGTCTATAACAGAGCAAAAATACTTAATTTTGATGAAGTTTAATTTATCAATTTTGCCTTTAAGGAGTATTCTTTTGGTGGCAAGTCAAAGAAACATATGCCTAACCCTACCTCCCCAAAATTTTCTTCTATTTTTCCTAAAATTTTATAGTTTAATATTTTTATATTTCAGTCTGTGATCCATTTTAATTTGTGCATGCACAGGGTATGAGACATAGGTTGAGGTTCCTTTATTGGGGGGTTGGGAATGGGACAGTGTATGGATGTCTAATTGCTCCAGTACCAACTGTTGAAAAAGTTATCTACCTCCGTTGAACTGTTTTCATGCTTTTGACAAAAACTAGGTATATTTATGTGGATCTATTTCAGAGTTCTCTGTTCTGTTCCACGGATCTGTGTCTTTATCTATGCCCATACCACACAGTCTTGATTACTGTAACTACATAATAAGTCTTGAAATTGAGTAGATTGATCTTTCACACCTTATTCTTCTTTTTCATTGCCTTTTCATGTAAATTTTAGAATAATCTTGTCCATATCTAAAAAAAATCTTGTTGGGTTAATTATATTGTATGAATAAATAACAAATGTATAAGAAATAAATGGTACATGTCTTCCTTGATGTTGTAAAAGAGCTAAAACTCAACAAGACCTAAACTAAATAAATATTTGCCCCAAAAGTCCTTGTCCTCCTACTTTTCCTATCTCAGTTTACAGGATCACCATTTATCTAGTATTCAAAGCTAGTTTTTGGAGTCATTTATTAATTTATTTGATAATCATTGACTGCACACTTAGCATGTACCAGGCACAAAGCCAGATGCTAGGGTAATGAATAAGATATGGTTTCTGTTCCTAAGGCAGTGAAGGTGACAGACATCAACAAGTAACAACAATATGGTATGATACACATCACAGGAGAGGTACATACAATGTATTTGATAAACCTGAGAAAAGTAAGCAAGCTGGCTGGCACACAGTCCGTAAGCACTTAATAGAGGGAATATTTTAGCAAAATATTGAAGAATTAGGATAAATTAATTGGGCTGTGAGGTAAAAAGTCAATACAGGCACACACACAAAAAAAGTATGCGCAACAGCATAAAAGCATCATAGTAAAACCTGCTTGGGTAGCTTATGTAAGAGGTAAAGGACCAGAGAGTAGCTACAGAGGCAGACATAGGCCAGATCATGAAGGGGAGGGGTTCATGTGTCACACTAAGAAACTTACATACTCATCTATACACAGGGGAAACCATGAAGAACTTTAGAGAAATCACATGATCAGACATGAATTTTAGTAAGCCAACACTAGCAGCAGTGTGAAAGCCAGATAAGAAGGGTAAGAGACTGAAGGACTACAGATAGAGAAGCTGGAGATGAGACTAGACGTCTGAACAATTCTAAACGTAAGATAGGGCATAACTGAATTAAGAGTGATATGATATATATTGGTTTTCATCCATGGTTCCTGGTTTATAAGTCCCACAGCTCTTATTACATTCTTTTTTAATATTAAATTTAATTTTATATAAGTAGAGACAGGATTTCACTATGTTGGCCAGGCTGGTCTCGAACTCCTGGCCTCAAGTGATCCGCCCACATCGGCCTTCCAAAGTGATGGGATTACAGAGGTAAGCCACTGTGCCTGGCCTTACTACAGTCTTTTGTATAATGTTGGGGCACATTAAACCTCAGAAAACAGAATCTCTTCTCTTGCTGACCTTTTCCTGCCCTCCTTTCCACCAACCCAAGGCAGAACTCTAATCTTCCACAGCCTGTCTGACTGTGGGTCATAAGACCTTCCCTTTAGAAGGGAGCTTGCCCCAGACCCTGGAAGAAGGAATGCTGCAGACAGGCAGAAGAAGTTGGACAGGCAGGCCTTGCTGGGTTTCCCCACTGGGTCTATTAGTGCTGTTAGGTCATACTCTTTTTGTCCAATCACATTTCTACACAGTTGTTGACTGTGCCTATGTAATGAAGCCTCCATAAAAACCCAAAAGGAGTGGATTCAGAGAGCTTCTGGATAGCTGAACATTGGAGGCTCCTGGAAGGTGGCGCACCATGGGAAGGCATGGAAGCTCCATGCTCTTTCCCCTATCTCCCCCTATGCATCTGTTCATCTGTATCCTTTGAACATCCTTTATAATAAACCGGTAAGTGTTTCTCTGAGTTCTGTGAGCTGCTCTAGCACATTAATTGAACCCAAGGACGTAAGGAGTGGGGGGGTCATGGGATCCCTGATTTATAGCCAGTGTTATCAGAAGCACAGGCAAAATCAAAATAACCTGGGGCTTGCGATTAGCACTGGAAGTGGGGGAAGTCTTTTGGGAACTGCCCTCAACCAGTGGTGTCTGACACTACCTCCAGGTACACCGTATTGGAACCGGGGGGCACCCAGTTGGTATCTGCTGCAGAACTAACTGGTTGGTTGCTGTGGGGGGAGAAACCCCCAAGCATCTGGTCACAGAAGTCTTCTGTGTTAATTATTGTTGTGTTGAGTGAGAGAATTAAAAAATACTTTGGCTGTGATTTTACCCTGCTCACTAAGACACATCAATATTGAGAAGCAGAGAGAGTTTGAAGAAATATTTAAGAGGACCTGGTAATTAATAAGATATAGGGAATGGTAAAGAAGAATCTAAGATATCCACTAAGGTTCCAACTTGATTAACTGAAAACAGTTGGCAGAAACAAATTTCAGTCTCCTGCAACTCACAGAACTCAAGACCAGCGTGTTCTTTCCAACTTTAGGATTATATGTCGAGGCTTTAGTTTCTATTCCAGGTCAGACTATAAAGAAGGTTACCTCCATTACACTGACCTGAGCCCCAAAACTGCAAACACTAAGCAATATGCCACCAGAATTTGGGGAGGGGAGCAAAAATAGGAAAACCATGGAAATGGGTGGCGAAAGGATCCACAGCCTGAGATATGCACACTAATTTTTCATGGTTCCCAACAAAGTTTTGTCTCTCCCATAAAGGAGACTGACTGGGTACAGCTGAGGACCACATCTAATTCCCAAAGGTGTGTCAGTCAACTCTCTGTTAAGCTAAAAAGAAAAGTGGATATAAACTGGGTGAAAGAAGAAAAAGATTGTCAATGTCAGCAACTAGAGAGATGGAACAAAAGTCTCAAGAGCAACGATGGCAGAGAGGTGAAAATCTGAGCTAGCCATTTGTATGTAAGGAGCATTTTCATATAAATATTGTAAAAACTGTGCTAAGTACTAGTCACAGATTGAAACGTGAAAAGAGGCCAGGTGCAGTGGCTCACACCTGTAATTCCAGCACTTTGGGAGGCCGAAGTGGGCAGATCACCTGGGTCAGGAGTTCAAGACCAGCCTGGCCAACATGGGGAAACCCCGTCTCTAATAAAAGCACAAAAATTAGCCGGGCATGGTGGCGGGCACCTGTAATCCCAGCTACTCAGGAGGCTGAGGCAGAAGAATAGCTTGAACCCAGGAGGCAGAGACTGAGGATAGCTGAGATCGCGCCACTGCACTCCAGCCTGGGCAACAAGAGCAAGACTGAGCCTCAAACAAAAGAAAAAAAAATGTGAAAAGGAATTTCAACATAACTTATTCATTTACTAACATTTATAGAATAGCTAACAATGTACCAGAAATTATAATAAATATGAACACAGTTTTTATTGTATTAATGCCATTATATTTGTATAGGCCCTACAGCTTTCAGTAGACTTCAGCATAAATTACATTATACATTTTCCTCAAGAGGGATGCTGTAATAGCTTTCTAAAAATTAGTATGTATTCCAGCCCAGTGCAGTGGCTCATGCCTGTAATCCCAACACTTTGGGATGCCGAGGTGGGCAGATCACATGAGGTCAGGAGTTTGAGACCAGTCTGGCCAACAGGGTGAAACCCTGTCCCTACTAAAAATACAAAAATTGGCTCGGCACGGTGGCTCATGCCTGTAATCCCAGCACTTTGGGTGGCCGAGGCGGGTCGATCACCTCAGGTCAGGAGTTCAAGACCAGCCTGGCCAACATGGTAAAACCTTGTCTCTGCTAAAAAGACAAAAATTAGCCAGGAGTGGTGGCGCGTGCCTGTAATCCCAGCTACTCCAGAGGCTGAGGCATGAGAATCGCTTGAACCCAGGAGGCAGAGGTTGCAGTGAGCAGAGATTGCACCACTACACTCCAGCTGGGGTAACAGAACAAGAGTCTATCTCAAAAAAAAAGTCACTACTATACCATAGGAATTAGTGTGGTCTACTGATTACATTAGCACTGGGCAAGGTTCAGTTTAAATCAAGTTCTCAGAGTACCCAAAGTAAAATCAACATATCTAATCCTTGCTATACTGACCTAATTTTAAACTGATTTTATAGGATTACTTTTCTTTCTTCCAATACAGTGATTCATCTTCTGCATTTAAGGTCGATATTAGAGATATCTAAAAGGATCTATGATGAATGGATAAAGAAAATGTAATATATATACAGAATGGAATACCATACAGCCTTTAAAAGGAAGAAAATTATGTCATTTTCAAAAACGTAGATTAACCCGGAGGACATAATGCTAAGTGAAATAAATAAGACACAAAAAAACAAATACTGCATGATCTCACATATGTGTAAAATCTAAAAAAAAAAGTCAAACTCAGGGAGGCAGAGAGCAGAATGGTGGTCTACAAAGGCTAGGGAGAAGGGGGAAAAAGGAAAGGAGAGAGGTTAGTCAAAGAATACCAAGTTTCAGTTAGAGGAGTAAGTTTTAGAGATCTATTGCATGCCACGGTGACTATAATTAATAATAATGTACTATATACCTCAAAATTGCTAAAAGTTAATTTTAAACGTTCTCACCACAAACAAATGGCAAGTAGGTGATATGATGGACGTGTTAATTTGCTTGATTTAACCTTTCTACAAAATATACATTTATCAAAACATCACATTGAACCCCATAAATATACACAATGATTATCTGTCAATTAAAAATAAATAAAAACAGACAAAAAAACCCAAATTCCTCAGGGGCAGCGGGTATAAATGCTAGAGGCTTTCAAGAGGACAACGGAATAAACACACATACAAATATAACACTCAGATTATAACAAGGAAGAAAGATAAAACAATAAACCAATAAAAAGTTGCTGTGGAAGACAGAAACTTTGAAAACTAAATAGTCTTCATGATTTTAAAAGACAGAAACTGTTCGATTATTTCTCACAAGAAATAGCAAGAAATATATTTATTTAACTTGGTTCCAGTCAAAGTTGCAGATCAAATCTCTCTGGATTTCAACAATGAAAGTGAGGCAGTGGGGTTCAATCTCCATATTAAACTTCACTGAAGATTTATCTTTAAGAACCAAAATGAATCACAGCTACAATGTTTATGTACAGATGTGAATGTGCATATTTAAAAAATTAAAATGTTTATTAGAGTAGTAAGATTATGAGTATTCCTTTTAAAAACACTGTTTCCCAGACTCTCTGTAATTTTACATTGCTTTTATAATTGAACCTACAAGCCACGTCCCTCCTTGTTTTTCTCTAGCATTTTGACTATTCTAAACTACACTATGGTGCAGCAGAGAGCAGGAACTCTGAAATCATACTCCCAGGCTTCAGTCTCAGTTCTGACAGTTACTGTAGGGCAAGTTAGTTAAATTTTCTGTGCCTCAGTTTCTACGAATGTAAAACGGGATTAGTGAAAGTACCTACTTCGTGGGGTTAGTGTGAAAATTGAGATAATTCACAAAAATTACTTGGAAAAGAGCCTGAAAACACAGAATGCATTCAACAAATATTAACACTTATTATAAAATATTATACATTTTAGATCACTGCTGACAAGTTTGACTACCAAACTAAGTTGGAAGTTCTACAAAACAGCGATAGTGGCCAAACCCCACAGGATACTGCTTTGATATAAGACCCACCACAGAGATCAAATCTGGCTTCCTGAGCCGTCTGAAAATTATGACCAACATGTCACAACAGGAAATGGAAAGCCTACCACTAACATGACCTGGAAAATAGCCAATTTACTAACACAAACCCACAACATCAACAAATCTGTTCCCCTGAACCACATCTATCCAAAAGTAGTTTAAATATTTACATTCTTAATGAGCTATGTATGACTGATAACACATACTGAAGTACAATTTCCAAGTAAAAATGTAGGTACTATACATTCATATTGACTTCTTAAAATAATGTGACTCATCATTCAAGTAAAGCAGCAAAGTTTTCGAGGTGCTGAGGGGAGTAAGGGGTGGGAAGGGTATGCAATCTGTGATGAATTCTGCCAACAGTGGCTGTCTGTATTAACCAGAGGCCATATACGCATATTCAAGTTGAGAAAATATCTGTAGGTCACACACATGGTTTTTAAAGCCATATTATAGAACAAGACACTGAATAGCAGCAGCACCTTTTAAGATGAAAGTCAACAATTTATACACAAGCACTTTAACTCCCATATGTACTCCTGAACTGAACAAATATTATTTTGTAGTGACTCACAAAGGGACGCAGTTATTTCCATACCGACCTCATAAAAAAAAATCTTCTAAATTAACTCTTTAAAGATGAAAGTAAAAGCATTTCTGGAAAGATTCAACAATTATACAAGCCACAATGATGCTGCAGTAACTGAACTGCATAGCTCCAAAAGTTTACGTTTGTAGAACTGAACTTTTGAATTATATATCTGTGTAAAAGGTATGGTCGCTGTTGATTCAATTCCATGAACAGGAATTTCTTTCTAAAGGAAACAGAAATCTCAGTTTCTAATATGCACAATGCATATGTAATTATCTTCTATATGCTCCGCAGTTTTAAAATGCCATACAAACAAAGCATACCACATGCAAAGTCAATTTCTGAGATTCTAAGGCAGTTTCTGGTCAAGTTTAAGATCAAACCACAAATATATATACACAAAAAATATTTTACATACATATATATCTAAAGATAGAAAAACTGAATATTATTTTTAAATTGGGGAAAATTTAGCGAAAGTAAAACCCACTCCTCTAAGTTTAAAGTTAATCTTCTCCTGGAACCCACTTCCATTTTATTCAGAGGTCCTTCGACGGTTCCTGAAGCAGATGTGTGAAATTTTAAAGAATGTCTGAGGGTATATACCTAATCAGGATGGGTTAGCATCCCAATTCACGATGTACCTTTCAACATTATGTAGGTACATTGTAAGAGAAACCAAGATGAGCGCTGTGGCCTCACAGTTGACCCAAAATCTGTGAACAGGAGAGCTGACAACTCTTCGCTCATACAATGCAACTCACCTCGCAGCTCAGAGACATAGCAAAATCGGTGGCTGTTTTTTGCGCTGCCTTTGGATTCTGCATCTGTTTCAAACCTAGAACCTAGCTACCCTCGGAGCTCCACCGAAGAAAGCCTGACACAGCGAAAACTATCGCGATTTAAAAGATACCTGACGTTTTCTACCGCAGAGGTTACGAAAATTTTGCCCGGTGGGACTTTTATTGTCCTCCTTCAAACACGGGAGCAACATGAAGTTAAATCCTCTCGCTCTGGAGATCCCTAGAGTCAACCTGCTTCTGCCCAAAATTAAAAATAAAAATCTCCAATCTCACTTCCCCCTTAAGACTAAAACTGAATCCATGCTCTAACTCGGGAGTAAAGTAGGATGGCTTTCAACCCACCACACCCTCCTTGCTCATTATTCCGGGTCACGGGCGAACTAGAACACTGGGAAAGGGGCTGCAGGTTCCGGACCGGACCGGCCCTGACCCACGGAAGGGGAAGAGAAGCGGCAGGAGTCAGGAGCCCGAAAGGTACGCCCCAGCGTCGACGCGTGACGTCACTACGTTGACGTGAACGGCCGTTCAGCGTCCGGCCGTCCCAACACCTCCTCCTCCGGCCACTCGCTGAGTAGCGTCGGCGCCTATTGGGCGGCGTGGGAACGGTGGGCGGGCCGGGACTGGGTCTCGAGGAGGAGGAGGGGTGCGAGGTGCCTGGCTCTGAGGGCCGCCGGGGCTGTGAAGCCTGTCATTAGCGATTAGCTCACGTCAGTCACTCACGCATCCCTGTTTGCCCTGCTGCTGACCTCGCGCGAGGCGGCCACCTTGTGGGAGATGTTTTCGTGAGGCAACAGACGCTGGCCGTTCCCAGCGTCACGCAGAGTTCGGATCCACTCTAGCGAGAGACCACAGCGTCCGGGAGCAGCTTGTGAAACTCTGGCGAGCGTCAGCCTTGAAAATAAAAAGTATTGGCAGCCGTCGACGAGCACAGGTTCCTAAAACTTAGATCGAAGAGAAGTACCAGCCTTCAAAAATAAACCAGCACCAAAAGCCCCCTGTGCTTATAGGTGACGTGCGGGCTGGGAGTGCAGTGGTGTCACCTCGCCTTGTATGTCATCGCCGGTTGTGTGCCTAACATACATACAAAAAGGATAACTCGAATTTAGCCATCACGCATTTTCAAAAATACTGCTTGGAAATTGAATGTTTGGAGAAAAGATATAATCTGGGGTTTCTACACGGTCTGAATTGGGTTCATTTCCGTTTAGCAAACATTTATTGAGCTCCCAGCGTGGGTCACAGAATTCAGTAAACCTGATCCCGTGTTCAAGGTGCTATATTCCGATGCAGGGCAGGGCGATGCAGTGAAAGAATGGTGGCCACAGCAGTAGCATGCTAATAGCCTGGTGGGCAGGTACAGGTTTTGCATTTCTTTGGCGAGATCACTTTTGAGTGTCTCCACTGGGTGGCAGAATTAAGACCCGTGAACGTTTAATATCTCCTGTATATTTAGTATATTATGAATATATACTGATTAATGAATATTAAGTGCGTGTTGTATATCTTGTGCCTCATGAATATTAAATATGACCTGGTCTTGCCAGCCTTTTCTATTTTTACATATACGTGCTCCACCGACTGTTTTGCAGGCTAGGAACACGTGAGTTTTGTTCTCCTATTTCTTCTAGGGCAGCATTGAATATTCTCAAAGACAGTTCTGGGCTTCAGAGCTGGTATAGTGCCCATGGTGGTGATCACAGTGCGGTCAAGCTTCTTAGGACCTCTTTCATTACTTTTATCCAGGTAGAGTTTGTAGAACTATGGAAATACCCAAGCACGATTTTCTCTTACCTGGGACACTGTTGGCCAAGATCTTTAGATTCTTCTTAGAAAATGTGGAAAAGCAGGCAAAAATTTTTCCAAACCAAGTGGAATTTTTCACAAGACATTTACTCACATTTTTTTTTCTCTCTCACTGTAGTTACGTAGCTAATTTTGGAAAGGCACATGGATTTTGAGAATGTAGACAGTAGTTGTGGTCTATTAGTCAATCTTACCTGCTTTCTATAAGGATGAAAAATTATTTCATGGTAGTGTCGTAGTTTCTTAATGGAGGATTGTTCCAAGGATCTCTCTTAAGTGTGCAAGAACAAGTCTATTTGTACGTTTGGTTTTTTGTAATATTATCCCTATTATGTACTACCTTATTCCTTTATAAGAACTTAAAGTCATGGTCTCTGGCATACATAATCATCGCACCAGTAGTTCTCAATCTTCACTTTGCATCAGAGCCATCTAGGGAGCTTCAGAAAAATATCCTTGCTTAGGTCCCACTCCCAGAAATCCTGTCTTAATTGTTTCAATGTTGGACCTAAGCATTCCTGTGTTTAACTCTTCCCAGTTGATCCAAGGTGCTCAGTCAGAAACACTGTGTTACATATGGGGCAATATATTTAAACAATGTGGTATGTGATTGCTTGGTGATAAAACAATAGATCGCATCTGGGAAAAAACGTTCTCTGTAATTCCTCTGGTGTTTTTGTCAGAGAATCTGGTGATGTTGAACTTCCTGTTCAACAGACTGGTGGGAGGAAACACAGGGTAAGCACCATAGCCAGATCTTTGGTACATTTTAAGTGCCCTAATGTGAATACTTTCAGCCTGATCTCATTCCATCGTGGTAAATACTACAGAAAGGATGCTGATTGATTGGCATTCTTACCACATCCCTTATTTTAGTGGGAGTGATTAAGAAGGAACTTCTTAGGGCTGAGATAATTCCCAGTAAGGAGGTTTACAGATCCAACTGTGGGCTTTTCTCCCATATGAAAATAATTTAACAGCCCACCTGATCTCTGTACCGTAAATAACTGCTCCCAGAACCCTAAGAAGAGTTTGTATTAGTATCCAAGTGCTGTTGTAACAAATTCCCACAAATTTAGTGGCTTGAAACAGTACAAATTTTTGATCTTAGAGTTCTGTAGGGTAAAAGTCTGACATAGGGCTCACTGGTTAAAAATCAAGATGTTGGCTGGGCAACCTCTTGGTGCCACATGTGGTGGCTCACGCCTGTAATCCCAGCACTTTGGGAGGCCAAGATGGACGGATCACCTGAGGTTGGGAGTTCAAGACCAGCCTCACCAACATGGAGAAACCCCATCTCTACTAAAAATACAAGATTAGCCAAGTTTGTTGGCACATGCCTGTAATCCCAGCCACTTGGGAGACTGAGGCGGGAGAATCACTTGAACCCGGGAGGTGGAGGTTGTGGTGAGCCAAGATTGCACCATTGCACTCCAGCCTGGGCAACAAGAGCAAAACTCTGTCTCAAAAAAAAAAAAAAAAAAAAAAAATCAAGGTGTTGGCAGGGCTGTTTTCTTTTACAGGCTCTAGGGGAGAATCCACTTCCATGCCTTTTGCAGCTTCTAGAGGTCACTTGACTTCCTTGGCTCATTGTCCACTTCCTCCATCTTCAAAGCCAGCAATGGAAGGCTGAATGTTTCTCATATCATATATAAGTCCCCCTTGCCATGTAATCTGATATATTCACTGGTTCCAGGGATTGGGGCGGTGGGGCAGGGGGTGTTATCTTGCCTACCATAGGGTGCTTAAATTCATCTTTTAACCACAAGTCTCAGTATGCATTTTTTAAAAGGCCCCCAGTATACAGGAAGTATTTGGAGACACAGCAAAATAAGTTATGTGAAAAGGGTCAGTTTCTTCCACTGTAAATCAGATTTTTGGGCTAGGACTGGTTGGAGTTTAAGTTAATAACGAATACTCAACCAATATTTAAATTAGCTTCACACTTCTGCCACCAACCAACCAACAAAACTCTTGGGGCCTCAAGGAAAGGGAAAAAGGACAAAAAGATTGACTCACAGTGTAAGAGTTTACCAATTACAACCAGGTGTAGGATAGCCTGTTCACTAGTATATCTGGAACCCTGGCAGATTGAAACAAGAGAAACAAATGATAGACATTACCAGTGAGTGGAGGTGGTATAAACCTTGCCCTCTGTCAGCAATTCTCTCTCTGGGAGTGGCAAGTTGGATGATGCTATTTTATAGAAGTGGCAAAGTAAAGAGCACTGGGAATCATATCTCAGTTTCTTCTATCTTGCTCCCTGGACCAGTAAAGTTACTCTGAACTTCCCTTGAAATAAAAAAACCTAGAAATAGGATTACTTACCATAACAACTTAAAAGAATACACTTAAAAAAAGTTGCACAGAAAAACCAAACAAGATTGTATAGCTCTACTTCATGTATTTATGAGTTGTTTCAGAAAAAGAACTTTGATCTTGCCAGGAGCGGTGGCTCATGCCTGTAATCCCAGCACTTTGGGAGCCTGAGATGGGTAGATCACCTGAGATCAGGAGTTCAAGACCAGCCTGCCGAACATGGCGAAACCCCGTCTCTACTAAAAATACAAAAATTAGCTGGGCACGGTGGTACGTGCCTGTAATCCCAGCTACTCGGGAGGCTGAGGCAGGAGAATTGCTTGAACCCGGGAGGTGGAGGTTGCAGTGAGCCAAGATCACTCTACTGTACTCCAGCCTGGTGACAGAGTGAGACTCTGTCTCCAAAAAAAAAAAAAAAAAAAAAAAAATTAGCCCAGTGTGGTGGTGCATGCTTGTACTTCCAGCTACTCAGGAGGCTGAGGCAGGAGAATCGCTTGAACCTGGGAAGTGGAGGTTGCAGTGAGCCGAGAGCACGCCACTGCACTCCAACCTAAGTGACAAGAGTGAAACTCTGTCTCAAAAATAAAAAGAAAAGAAAAAGAACTTTGATCTTATTGTTTATGTTTCAGACACATTGGAAAGAGAGAGAATAGAAGGGATTAAAACATTCTATTATGAAAATAGTAGCATGGTTCTAGTCTAGAATTTCCTCCTGATTCCACTAACATCATAGAAGTGAAAATGACCTTTTCTTGTCTTTTGTCTTTTCCCCAAAAATAACAAGAAGTTATCCGAAATAGCTTTGCACTTCTAATTACAATTCGAGACCTTTGACATGGCAAACAGTCTTCCAGTTTAGTGTGATTGTTTCCCACAAAACTGCCTCAGTAGGACTTGATACACTCAAAGCTCTTTCAGCCAATCATATCCTGAAAACAGTCTCATGAAGTGACTCATTTCTCAGGCTGCACACAACTAAGGGCACAGTGTTTTGTTTTATTCATCCTAGATACAGATTATGATCATTCTTTTCAGGTGGTGGACTCATCTGTGAGCCCTGGCAGGTGACCCAATTCAGAAAGCCAGAAACTCAAAAGCTGACTAGATGTTTTATCTTTGCATATGGAGCTGGGCCTACCAGATTAAGATCCAGAAATTCAGTAGGCTGCTACAGTTTAACTCGTAGCTATGCAGAGTTAACAGTGAGTTCAAACCACATAAGGCTAGAGTAGACTTTCAGGAACGTGGCTTAAATAACTAAAAATTTCTCGCCTAGAATGTAGCAAGATGGAGTACTAAATGCCAAGACATTGACTTTTTTTTCTCCCTTGGATTTGAATATTACATGTCTGTAAAAGATCTGGATTTTAGAGAATGCTTTTCTTCATATTTAGTATTTTAGGCCCTTCTCTAATCACAAAAGATTGTAGGTAAGTATGCATATTCTCACTCATAGGTGGGAATTGAACAATGAGAACACAAGGACACAGGAAGGGGAACATCACACACCGGGGCCTGTTCTGGGGTGGGAGGAGGGGGGAGGGTTAGCATTAACATGTTAAATGACGAGTTAATGGGTGCAGCACACCAACATGGCACATGTATACATATGTAACCTGCATGTTGTACACAAGTACCCTAAAACTTAAAGTATAATTTAAAAAAAAAGATTTTAGGTGAGTATAATCAGAACTTATGCCTTCATAAATACATAGTCTTAATAAAATCATTTACATAATAATTTCACAAAGGGAAAATAGTGTAGTTCTATACCAACCATTTGCTCTAATTTGTTATTCTCTATTTTGTTTCACCTTGCTGCCTGCTTTCTAGAAAGAAGGAATAACAATATCCATTCTTTGAATATGTTTGTCCCCATCATCTAACATATAGTGCTTAATTGTGAATGCATGGCAGAATATATTTCTGAAAAATCTAGTAGAATAGCTTAGGTATACTGCTAGTCCCCTTCCATTTACTATATTGTACTACCACTATTAATAAGGAGTTAAGAAATTTTCATAACCAAGACATAGGAGTGTTAAAGTGAAAAAATATGCATACATTTTGACCCAGCAAACCTACTTTTCGAAATCTATCCCACAGAAGTAATTATACCATTGGAAACAATATGTCTACTGAATGGAGTAGATTTTGGTATAGCCATATCATGAAATATCAATATCATTCACAAGAATTAGTTGATATCCGCATAGATGTTCATATACTATTAAATTTAAAAATGTACGTTGCAAAATAATATGTATACTATAGTCCCGGCTAGGCACAGTGGCTCACGCCTGTAATCCCAGCACTTTGGGAGGCCAAAGCAGGCAGAATTACTTGAGCTCAGGAGTTCAAAACCAGCCTGAGCAACATGGTAGAACCCATCTCTACAAAACACACACACAAGAAGCCTGGGCAACATGGCAAAAACCCTATCTCTACAAAAAAAATACCGAAATTAGCCAGGTGTGATGGCACGCACCCATGGTCCCAGCTGCTCGGGAGGCTGAAGTGGGAGAATCACTTGAGCCTGGAAGGCGGAGGTTGCAGGGAGCTAAGATCGCGCCACTGCACTCCAGCTTGGGAAACAGAATGAGACCCTGTCTCCAAAATAAATAAGTAAATAAAAGACTAAGACTAATATATAAAATATAAAAATGCATGCTTATGTTTTTAGGAACTTAGAGAAAAATGTAGATGATATTAATTAACTGTTAACATTGGTTTCGTGGAGGACAGCACAGAAGAGCTCTGGGAAGGAGACGATAGGCTTTATCTTTGTGTACTTGTGTTACTGGCTTGTTGCAAGAAGCAAAAACTTTTTTGTTTGAAAGAAAAGTCCAATAAAATATTTAAAGAAAAAGAAACCCCAAAGCACTCTTGTTTAAAAATAAAAAAAAAAATCAATTGTACAGGGGTATATAAACCAGAAAGGGAAATCAGGTAATCTTCTTAGGTAACCTGCTTTATTTACTCATCAATATATCAATGGTATCTTTGTATGTCAATAAAGTAGATCTTGATTACTCTTTTAAATGGCTTTAGAGTATTTCATTGTTTGGATATATTATAATTTAATCAATTCTTTATTGTTATACATTTACAGTATTTCTAGTTTTTCTGGTTATAAACAATAACGGTTATCCTTGTATATAAATCATTGCTCACTTGTTCCAGAAGTTAAATTGCTGAGTCAAAGGATATGCATACTGCTAGCATACCTTCTAGAAAGACTGTAGCAGTTTGTAGTCCTACCAATAGTTTATGACATGAGCCTAAAGAATTATCTAAGGAGGTTAGCTGACTAGCCATTCTTCCTGTAAGCAGCAAAAAGAATTTGCTTAGATTAGTAATTGGCAACATTTCACTTCACTTTGATGTACAAAAGGATGTGGGTAGAACTACAATTGTGCATTCAGACATGATAATTCCTACTAACTGGGGGTAGGAGGGCCCACAGGAGTGTAGACTAGAAGTAGAAAGAATGAGGAAAATAAGTCTTTTGTAGCTGTATGGCGATTGAAGAGGAGATAAAACAAACTCTCCAGCTTTTCAGGTTGGGTGACTTGCAGCGCCATCGTCTGGCAAAGCCGCCAAAATCTTTCAATGTCCCTAGGAATAAAGTTGCCCTGAGTAGGGCCACTCAGGATGACGCCAGATGATATCCCTTATTATAGTTTTAGGGGAATCTCTTCCTACCTTCGCCAGTCCTGCAGTGAAAAAATGTACTTAGACTGCTGTACATTTCCAAACCCTTCAACATACAGACAAGTAATTTATACATACATTAGATGTAAAGGTGTAGAAAACCCCATACAGCTTTTTAAAAATATCTCAAGACTTAAACATTCTTCTGTTTCAACCATCCAAGATATAATAGGAAAAGACTTGCTTTTTAAAGCAAAATTGCTCTTTAAAATGTGGCATCCCTAAGTAGTGCGCTTTCATGTAAAATAAAAAAGTCCCTTTCTCGGTGTAGTAGCTGTGGGAAAATTTTATATGCTTTATATTCCAAATTGGTTTCAACTAGTGAGTTCTCTCCCGCATCTCTGCATGACTCTTAACAGCTTTACACTCTCTCCATCCTTTTCATCTCTCCCGTCTCGTCCTTTCTGTCTTCCCGCCTGCAGAGCCCGCCCCTCCCGTCCCTTCGCACAGCACCCCGCCCGCCCCTTCGCACAGCACCCCGCCCGACCCTACGGTTCTAGCCCAGCCTCACTGCTCCTTCCCAGCCGCCTCCGCTGCGTGCCGCCTTCCACGCGCTGACGTCACACGCCAGCGCCGGTGACGCGCCGGCCGCTCTCCCTTAGTCCGCATTCGCTCCAGGGTTTTGGGACCCTAGGTTGCGGAGTCCTTACCCTACCCTGGCCTCTCGAGCAGTTGTCCCCATAACTCGGAATCTAGAGCCGCTGTTGCGAGGCAGGAGCACGTGGCAGTCAAGTAGCTTCCCAGTCCCGAACGCCGCCCGTCCCCACCCCGCCGTGGCCACTAGCAACGACCTCTGTGAAGTTGGAGAGGCGGTAACGGAGGCACTCCCCCTGCTGCACCCCGCCGTTTCTACGGGGCTCAGAAACCAGTTTGTTTGTTTCGTCGGGGTAGTGTCGACCTGTCTTACGGGCGTCGCCCGAGACAGGACGGAGTCAAACCCGTGGTATCAACTGAAGACGAGTGTCAGGTGTGGAGAGTCTCAGTGCCCCCTTTCAGTCTGGACTGTGAGCTGCTGCTGGTTAGACAGTCTTGGTTTCTCTTTCAGGATGTCATTTTCAAAATGCGGGATGGTACCTCTGCTTTATTAAGCCCCGTAGGAAGACTGCCACACCTAGACTGATGCTTATTAGTCATCACCGTTATTCCTACTAACGTCCTGTGTCACTGAGGTGAGTTCCACTTGGGGGAAGGAATGACATGCAAAATGGTAAAAATCATCCTGGAAATGAGATGTGCGTAGAACTGCTTATATTGAGATTACACAGATACCTTAAGTGTTTGCAGGGAAAATACCTTAATCTCATTTAAATGTTAATTCTCTAAGACACTCTGTATTAACAAAGCGATTCTTGGACATTACGGTATTTTTAAAAACTAGAGCGGTAATGGGATTAAAATAATAGGAATCTTAGTATGGATAAGCAAGCATTTGCATTGCTTATGTTGTGTCCAATCTTAAATTACTGATAAATTTTAATTAGGAAGCGAATATGAGTAGTAGTTAGCTGGTTACCCTGTAATCTTAGATTTCTGTTTCCATGATTTGACACAGTTTCCATATGTAAGGCATTAATTGTTGTACTACTTTAAGAGTTTATCATAACTTTTTTTGCAGGCCTATTTTTTGTTCTTTAAGATCTGCTTTAGGAAGCAGAAATATTTTTTATTGCCTTGGTATGTTTCATTAGAAATGTTTATGAAGGATTAAAAGTGGCATCCAATCTAAGTTAATGACCTTTTTTTATGATGCAGCAGTATTGTAGAGCTGATGGAGGGGAGCCAAATTTGGAGAGAAGTAACTCCTTGTTTCTAGTTTACATTTGTCTGGTTTTAGAGGTTCTACAGATCTGTTTCACTTAAAATATCCATTGTTCTAGGTGAAATGTAAGGAGCCTATTTTGTGGGAAAACAGGTTTTTTTCACGTTAAAAGTCACTGTCAGGAATTTAATAAAGGTCGTCGGACTTGACCACAGAAGTTCTTTTGAGGTCGTGTGAATAGTACATTGACATTGTATTCCAAGTAAATTTTGCCCTGTCTAATCTCCTGCCTTCTAGTCTAAGTCATGAACATGACACCTTTTCACGAATGTACATTCTTTATTTACCTGTTGGTAGTTTCTACTACAAAATCTGTTGAATATTGTCTGAATAGACTTACAGAGAAGAAAAAATATTTTGAAAAAAGTCTAATAGAAATTCCATTTTTGCTTTCTGCTTTTTCGAATAAAGGAAGATAAAGAACTTTTTTCCTGAGAAGATAAATGGATCCCCTCCCACTATTCAAGATGGTATTTATTGCTTAGGCAGAACTGTATGTATGGATTGTAGCTGCATACAGCGCCAAAAGACTTCTTGAAACCTGTTGCCATGCCTTTACCATGTTTCCCTTCAAGACAGCCTGTCTATAGAATATCTGAAACACCTGATGAGAGCTTAATGCTTAACCTAAGTATGTGTTCCAGATTGATCGAAGTTGAGCTTTTCCATTCATATACTCTAAAATTGTTTATATGTGGCTCACAAAATTTTATTATGTCCAAAATTGCTTATTTGTGGCTTTAAAGAAATTCTTAGTGGCTGGGTGCTGTGGCTCTTACCTGTAATCCCAGCAGTTTGGGAGGCCACGGTGGGTGGATCACTTGAGGTCAGGAGGTTGAGACAAGCCTGGCTGACCTGGCGAACCCATATCTACCAAAAATACAAAAAATTAGACGGGCGTGGTGGTGCGTGCCTGTAATCCCAGCTACTTGGAAGGCTAACACAGGATAATTGCTTGAACCCGGGAGGCAGAGGTTGCAGTGAGCCGAGATACTGCCACTGCACTGTAGCCTGGGCGACTGAGTGAGGCTTGTCTCAAAGAAAAAAGAAAAAAAGAAAGAAATTCTGGGTCAGACGCTGTGGCTCACACCTGTATTCCCAGCATTTTGGGAAGCCGAGGCAAGTGGATCATTTGAGGTCAGGAGTTCGAGACCAGCCTGGCCAGTATGGCGAAACCCCGTCTCTACTAAAAATACAAAAATTAGCTGGGTATGGTGTCACACTCCTGTAATCCCAGCTACTTGGGAGGCTGAGGCAGGGGAATCACTTGAACCTCGGAGGCCGAAATGGCACCATTGCATTCCAGCCTAGGCAACAGAGCAAGACTCTGTCTCAGAAAAAAAAAAAAAAAAAGAAATTCTTAGTAAAATGTGAGGAAAGCTGTCTTATTTGACTAGAGGCTGAGGTACTTTTTTCTGGAGCATAGTTCATATACTTGAAAAGAAGCATGATGCCATAAGAAAACTTTGAATGTCAAAAGTGAGGAGTTTGGAGATGGGGAATTGTTGAAGGATTTTAATTGGAGAAATTGATTTAGCCAGTATTCTTACTATTTCTATCAGATATTATTGTTTTAATATTTATTGTTTTGAATAGATAATACATTTGTATGGTTCAAAATTCAGAAAGTACAAAAGATTGAAAAATCTTTTCAACTATTAAATGCCTTCTTTGTAGGCAGTATTACTAGTTTATTGTGTATCTCTCCATAGATATTATTTAATACAAGCCAGGGGTGCATGTGTGTATATATATACATATGTATATTTATACACATATATGAGTAACTGTAAGCATATATACTTATGTATTTCCTTTTACTAAACAAATGATAGCATGCCATATTTATTATTCTGATCCCTAAAAATCTAACAGTGTATTAAGAAATTATATCAGTTTAAAAGTTGCTGTGTTGACTGTATGTGAATGATTACATTTTGCTCTATTAGAAACAGTGCTGCAGAGGATAACTTTGTAGATACTTTGTTTTCCTACATTTGGAAATATTTGTAGGGTAAATTGCTAGAAATTGAATCACTACATCAAAGTTTCTGTCCCCTTATAATTTTGGTAGATGTTGCCAAATTATTTTCCTTAGTGCTTGTACCAATTTATAGTCCCACCATATTGTTTCCTGCTATTCCCCCACAGTACAGTACAATAATCAACTGTGAATTTTGCCATTCTAATTGATGAAACATGCCGTCTCTTGTGCTTTTTTAAAAAAATTGTGGTTAAATATACATAACATAAAACTTACCCCTTGTATTTTAAAATTGTATTTCTTCTTCTTTTTTTTTTTTTTTTTTGAGAAGGAGTCTCGCTCTGTCACCCAGGCTGGAGTGGAGTGGTGTGATCTCAGCTCACTGCAACCTCTGCCTCCCAGGTTCAAGCGATTCTCCTGTCTCAGCCTCCCGAGTAGCTGGGATTACAGGCCTGCACCACCACACCCAGCTAATTTTTTGTATTCTTAGTAGAGACAGTGGTCTTACCATGTTGGTCAGCCTGACATCAAACTCCTGACCTCAAGTGATCCGCCTGCCTCGGCCTCCCAAAGTGCTGGGATTACAAGTGTGAGCCACCATGCCCGGCCAAAATTGTATATCGTTTTACAGGAGATTGGGTATCGTGGCACATTTTAACATAATTTGTATTCATTCTCAGTGTTAACGTTTAACTTCATATCCTTTGTCCACTTTTCTTTTGGATTGTTGTGTTTTTTGGTCTTATAAATATGTACGAGTTTTTTATTTGTTAGAAAAATGAGATCGTTGTAATAGCTAAAATATTGGTCTAGTCATATTAATCCCTCAAGGTTTTTTGATTTTGTGTTGTGCTTCAGCTAACCACTCTAAGACAGAAGTCATTCTCCCATGTTTTATTTTATTACTATTATGCTTTTATTTCTTACATTTCAGTATTTTAGCATCTAGAATTTAGGTTGGTGTAAAATGAGGGAATAAATTAACTTTTTTTCCCCACATGGCTACCCAGTTGTCTCACTGCTGGCTTTGAACTTTTTATTTCAAAATTCATCTTTTTTCCTACTGATTTGAAATGTCACTATGATTATTAACCAAGTTTTAAAAGTTTTTTGATTTCTGGACTTCCTGTGATTTGCCTATTTCATAATTATTGTAGCTTTGTAATGTGTTTTGATATTAAGCCAAACAAATTTTCCTTCATTGCTCTTCTTTTTCAATATTTCTCTGGCTGTTCTTCTTCTTCTTTGTGTGTGTGTGTGTGTGTGTGTATGTGTGTGTGTGTCTGAACTTTAAAATCAGCCTGTCTAATCACCCCCAGCCCCAAAGCTTATGTTTTTATTAGGACAGCATTAACTGTAGAGATTAGGAATGAAAATCTTTATGATATTAAGTCTTCCTATACATTTCTTTCTCCACCCCCACCCCCATCCCGGTGTGTGTTGTTGTTTTTTAATATTTTTCTCTCAGTTTTTTTGTTGAATATTTTCTATTGGTTCATTTTATAGGCTAGTAATCCTGCCTTCTGCTGTGTCCTGTCTGCCGTAAATCCATGAATGAGTTCTTAATTTCAGATATTTTATATTGTAGTTTTAGAATGTCCACTTTTTAGAAATAAATTTTGAGGCCAGGCGCGGTGGCTCACACCTGTCATCCCAGCACTTTGGGAGGCTGAGGCGGGCGGATCACAAGGTCAGGAGATCGAGACCATCCTGGCTAACACGGTGAAACCCCATCTCTACTAAATATACAAAAAAATTAGCCGGGCGTGGTGGCAGGCGCCTGTAGTCCCAGCTACTTGGGAGGCTGAGGCAGAAGAATGGCGTGAACCTGGGAGGTGGAGCTTGCAGTGAGCCAAGACTGCGCCACTGCACTCCAGCCTGGGCAACAGTGCGAGACTCTGTCTCAAAAAAAAATTAAAAATTAAAAAAAAATTTTAATTCTTTGTTGAAATTCTCCATCTTTTAAAAAATCTGTTTTATCCATCTTTTTATCTTGTTTTCTTAGACATATTAATTAATCATGGTTACTTTCAAGTCCTCTATTAGTAACTTCATGTTTGAGTCATTTGTGAGTCTATATCTGTTTTTGTTTAATGTGCATCATTATTTTTTGATGGGATACTAGACATTGTGAATGAAAAGTCTTAGAGACTCTGAAACATGTATCTTGTAAAAATTGTTAGTTTTGTTTTGGCAGTCTGATGAAGTATCAGTGAATAACTTTGATTTTATCCATGGTTGCTTTTAGGCTTTGTTAGGATGAGACTGTTTCAGTCCTCCTCCATGTATGCACAGTTTAGGAACAGAATAACAGGAGCAGAACTTACTGTAGATTTTTGGACTCCTTCTATTATTTTTCCTCTTCAGGATTTTGGTAGCCCTGAACTCTGACCGCTTTCTCTCCTCAGCAAGACTGCTGCTTTATACTTGAGCTCCATTGTACTGTAGCACAGTTTGGAAACTCTCTTCAGGGAAAAGGCTGGGATGAATGTAGAACCCACTAGTATGTTTCCACCTTTCGGTGATTATAGCCCCTCAATGCATTGCTGTTTCTTTATATATTTTGTTCAGGTTTTAAGTTGTTTTGGAAGGTGAGGTGATCTGATACTAAGAACACCATCATGGTTGAAAGAGAGTCTCACGATTTATTATGTAGACTTTCACTTAATCTCCTAGATCATAGATGGGATTTCCATTCTTAGTTGTGCCTGGTGTACCCAATCTAGAGATATCTGTGGTCTTCTTTCAAGATGGGAGAGGAGTACTTATCTGACTGGGAGAGGTGGAGGAGGCAAACTAAGTGTCTGACACTTCTTACACAAGCTCTTCACCAATCCTGTTTGAGTCCTAATATTATCCTCACTCTTAGATGCCCCAGTACTTCCAATTATTGAGCTAGTTTGTGGTGGGAATTGACTTGTTTCTGACTTATTTCCCACTGCTGGCTTAAGGTACAGCTTTTCTCTATTCTCCTAAGTCAGTTGCTGCATGTTCTTTTGTGTTTGCCAGCTTCTAGAACTGTATTGCTGTTGCCTTCTCTTCTGTTTTGCCTTTTTGGTAATCCCTTTAAAGTCATGTTCCTCAGGTTTGGACAAGTAGTAGAGGTAAATATGTACGGGTCAATCTAGTATGCTTAACTGTAGATTACAGTTTATTTATTTTTACTTTTTAAATAATTAGGCTAAAGAAATTAGTATGACTTCTTTTAATTTTTTGATGGAATGGCTTTCCCCATCACTCTTACTCTTTGTGGCTAAGAGTACAATTCTAAACAGTGTTGACATTATATATTTTCTGACTTTTTAATTTTCTTCTCCTTGAGTCATAGACTAGTCGACTTGGCAAGGTCTATAAAATGGCATTAGGTTTAAATCTTTCGTGTTTCTAGATAAAGAAACTGAAGTCCACAAAAGGCAGATGGTTAGCGTTTGATTATGTAGCTAGTCTTGTCTCTTGATTCTGAATTCATTGCTTTATTAGGTGACATAACTCTTTGGAAAGCTCAAATATCAAAAAAGTCTCTGATTTTTTCCTTGTTGCTTATCTTCAGGATCAGCTATGTATTATAGAGATTGAATTGATATAATTATTAGAGACCTTAAGAACACTATAGAGTGAGTAAAGTTGGTATTGTGATTTTCATTTGATGTTGGAAACTGAATGGTAGAAAAGGCAAACATTAATTTGAGTTTATTACAATACTGAAGTAAACAGGATTCGTATGTTCCTTCAGTTATAAGTTATGATTTTGTATGTGGAAGCCTATAGTACAATTTGTTATTGTTTTCTATTTCATTTGGTATGAAAAATTTTATGGAATTATAATTCAGTTGAGAAGTCTCACAACTAGGAAGTAGCTCAGTTAAATATATTGTAAGATGCTGAAAGTAATCTATTTTTTCATGTTTTCCCTTTTACTTCCTTTATTGTACACTGACATTACAAAAAAGGAGAGTTTGTCTGTTTTCCTGAAAGTCATCTACCACAAGTCTTTTGTTGTTCAGAAAAGTGTCTGCATTTGACATATTTGATGGCAATTAGAGTCATCTTTCTTTACTAACAGGATCAGTAGGTCTGCTTTATAGAGTTAGAACCACAATGTTCAGTAATGTTGTTGGCAGTAGAATGCAACACTGGGGACTTTTGGAGCTTCTGTCTTATTAGTGTGGTCCCTAGAAAGGAATTGGCAACTTAATTTTAAGGAATGGCCAAATTGACTAATTTTGTTTCCCTCTCTTGGCAGAAAGTCGCAGAATAATGATGATTGTGAAGTAATCTCATTATATGGCTATTATTTAATTTAATTTTTGAAATTTAGATTACTAAGATGAGTTTATCTTGATTTTTTTTTGTAAGTAGCATAGTAATGTAATATATTAAACATTCATGTTCTGGAAAAATCATTAAATTGTGGCTGGTGCCCAGATAGCCATTATATTGTGCCAGTTAACACAACTTGGGCTTGAAAATATATTTGGAACAACTTTTCTTCTTTAACTCACTGATGCTAAAATGCTATAATAATGGTTTATTTCTTGTTTCTCTTAAAGTTGCTAAAGGCAATCTTGTTTTCTAAGGTAGAGAAAGGCTCTTTCTCACAAAATTTCATGAGTCATACTTATCTCATCAGTGCTACCACAGGCTGAGTTCTGGCCTGTGGTCTGGTCTTGTAGGCACAGCATATGATGTTTGTCATTTAAGGAGATTGGATCATTTTTAGAGGCAAAATAAAGTTAAAAACAAATTTGGCACTGATGGATGAGATAAGAACATGGATTTTTTAATTTACAATGAGAAATATGGTAAACTGCCACAGAAATTTAAAAAGAGTTTCACGACAAACTTATTTTCTCCTAGAAAGGAATCACACATTGGAAGCCTGCTATGAATGGAAATAAAAAAGAGCAAGCTAGGTGAATTAAATGTTTATTAGTTTCAGATTAGCATAGTAAATTCATGTATGTCTACAATAAGGGTGATATTGCCAATAGGTTGTACACATTATTGCTCTTATGACTCTTTCTCACACTTTTTTCAGCTTTCACTAGCTAGCTTATTGTATTCTGGCTTCTCCTGAAACTACCACTCTTTTGAAATTACTATTCCTAAAGATACTAATGACCTTAATCAATTGTTTTGGTATGGTAAGGGTTTAAGTGTGATACTAAAAGTAGAAATATAAAGAAAAGATTAATACATTTGTTTATATCAAAATAATCTTTTATACTTAAAGGCAACTAGGATATAAGGGAAAATAATTTATGACAGATAAGGACTTCATTACATAAGGAGTTTTTACAAATTAAAGACCAACTCAGTATAAAATGATTAAAGAACATGGATGAATAGTTCAAAAGAGAAAAAATAGAAATGTTCAATAAATGTGGCCGCTCATGGTGGCTCACACCTCTAATCTCAGCACTTTGGGAGGCCAAGGCGGGCAGATCACCTGAGGTCAGGAGTTCAAGACCAGCCAACATGGCGAAACCCCGTCTCTACTAAAAATACAAAAATTAGCTGTGTGTGGTGGCACACACCTGTAATCCTAGCTACTTGGGAGGCTGAGGCAGGGGAATCGCTGGAACCTGGAAGGTGGAGATTGCAGTGAGCCGAGATCGTGTGACTGCACTCCATCCTGGGCTTCAGAGTGAGACTGTCTTAAAAAAAAAAAAAAAAAAATGTTCAATAAATGTGGAAGAATTTTTCAAATTCACTGGTAAGCAAAAGAAATCAAAATAAAAACGAAACACCATTTTCCCCATTAGACGTATGGAGTAACAACAATAACAAATAGTGACACAGTGTTCATATGTGCCAAGTACTGTTTTCAGTACATTCTTACATTAACTAATTCTTCCAACACTTCTGTAAATATGTACTATGGTTATTCACATTTTACATGTGACCAAACTGAGCACATAGAGATAAGTAACTTGCCTAAGTTTACATAACAAATAAGTGATAAAGCTAAGATTTAAACTTTTTAGTGTTCTTTAACTACTACCCTTTATTGCTTCTCAAAGATTTTAATAAATAACAACCAGTGTTTTGTTGTTATAAATGACATTACAGTAAACATCTCCCTAAATACAAGAAATAATAATAACCAGTGTTAATGAGGGTACCTAGTAGCAGGCACTACTGGCTAAATACGTATTAGTAGACAGTTCTGTTAAGACACTTAATATGTTTGAAAGCCATACTGTAACATGGGCATATTCTTTGAATTCAGAATTTATCCTAAGGAAATCCTTACAATAAGCACATTAAAATATGTGTACAAAAACTATCCAAAATTGTTCTATACTAGCAAACATTTTAAACGAATGTTGAATAAGAGGGGATTAGTTAAATAACTTCAAGAAATAGTGTATTATTAGGTTTTCATTCTTTTTGGAGAAAATAAAGTAATGCTACTAATTAATTCATGTAAGTTTGCCTTTCTCTCCATACATTAAGTATATGCAGTATTTGGCTTTCCAAAGCATTCTTATAAAATTGAAATATCACATTTTTTTCTCTTTTTTGGATGTAATTAGGTTGTACTAGTAAAGTATATAAAGTGTAACTTTTAGTGAATATATTAAATATCCTTTTTTAAAATGTTAGCAAATCACTAAAGAATTAGAATTTGAATTAAACATTAAAATTGTTATGAAGTTATAATGTTTTATCTCATGTTATAAATGCTTTATCTTTTTTGTTAGTTTTTTAAATGTCTAGCATATCTGTAAAGATGCCTTAGAAAAAGAATCATGGAGAAGTATGTTAGACTACAGAAGATTGGAGAAGGTTCATTTGGAAAAGCCATTCTTGTTAAATCTACAGAAGATGGCAGACAGTATGTTATCAAGGAAATTAACATCTCAAGAGTAAGTATATTTTTAGTTTGGTTTCATGAGTAATGGTTTAGTTACAATAGAGCTCATTGTTAGAGATTTTCTTTAAAAAAAAAAAAAAGTAATCGATAACCTAAAGCAAAAGACTCCTTTATTCCCGCTAATATCAGAATAGCCTATATATTCTTTCAGATTTTTTCTATGATATGTGCTTATGTTTATGTGTTTAGAAAAATATACTTGCTGTTCTGTAACCTAATCTAGTTTGGACATCTTAAAATGTTTCTACTTACAGATTCAACTCATTCTTTTTAACTTCTTGCTATATTTTGTTGATTGAACTGTATTAATACTATTATGTTTTAACCACTCACCTATTGATGGACTTTTAGGTTGTTTATTAATGGTTTCATTTACTATTTTCTTTTTCCTCCCATTTAAGATGTCCAGTAAAGAAAGAGAAGAATCAAGGAGAGAAGTTGCAGTATTGGCAAACATGAAGCATCCAAATATTGTCCAGTATAGAGAATCATTTGAAGGTCAGATAAATTATGCGAGAGAGTTAAAAAATCCTAAGACATTAATAAATCTTTTTGTGAATGCATTCTTAGGAAAAAGATACCATTTTTGCTTAAAAACATACGCATATGAATATCAGCTTGATTCAAGGACAATACTGATATCATGCCTGCATTTTTTTTTTTTTTTAAATTGAGACAGTCTCGCTCAGTGGCCCAGGCTGGAGTGCAGGGGCATGATCTCGGCTTACTCCAACCTCTGCCTCCCAGGTTCAAGTGATTCTTATGCCTCAGCCTCCCAACTGTGCCTGTATAATTTAATACTGGCTGTTATTAGTGATTGCTTTAAAAGAAGCAATGCAGTAAGTGCAAGAATTTGGACAGAGCAAGAACAGTAATTTACATATTTTTTAACTGAACTTCCTGTAAGTGCTGCCACCACTACCACTGAGAAAATGTTCTGATCTTTAGAAAGTATCCTCACTCAGTATGCTCCTCTGTACCTCACTATTATAATAGTGAGGTATGTTGAAAGTTTTCTCAGGTTCTTAAAGTATTATAGCTATAATGCTGTTTTGGAACTATATGCATTATATTTAATAATGCAGGTATTAAGATAAGGCAAAGCTTCTCTAAAGGCAGGTCAAAGTGGTTTATTGAAGTCCTACCCAAATATTCTCATTATTATAAATTTCTGTAACTTAATTTCTGTAAACTAAAAACCAGGTAATCTAGATTGAAAGTAGAAGATAATTGAAATGACTCAGGGACATATCACATACCAGTTTCAGAGTCTGAATTAGAGCTAAAGTTACTACATTCCCAGATGAACTCTGTGTCTACTATAAGTCTCTTCTACTTTTATAAAAATGTGATTCAATTAATACATTATGTCACAAGGTACTGTATTTTTTATGCTGGCAGTGAAATGAAGATTTATATTTCATGTGAAAGAGTACAAAATTAACCAACTCTTCCTTTTCAGGACCTTGAATTTTCCTTTATCTTTCTCCTGGCATCTATCCTTTAGTTTCTTTTTTTGTTGTTGTTAACAAAATTTTAATATTTCAAGTTAAAAGGTTTTGAGCAAATATTCCAGCAGATGTTTTGGATTTATATTGACTGCTTCACATAGAAACATCTGTGTGATTCAAAAGGGGTAGCGTATTTTAAAAATAAGGCTTTATTATTTCTCTTAGTTTTAGAAGAATACATGCTAGCATCAAACATAAATGATAGCATAGTATATGTAATTTTTTGCTTTTTGTTATGCTACATACATTATAACATCTATATACATATAAATAGTGAATTATAGTTTTCAGGAGTTTTTTTCACATTATAATTTCTCACATGTATATTTGGATGATCTTTCCAGGTCAATCATAAAAAGTCATACAGATTCTTAATTAGCTTTATCATATAGATTCTTATCCCAGTGGCACATTACAAACAGTAGATCAAAAGAAGATATGTGCACCACGAGTGACAAGAATGTCACCACAAAGTATAAGAAATAAATACTCCTGGAGGCTGGATGCGGTGGCTCACAATTGTAATTTCAGCAACTTCGGGAGGCTGAGGTGGGAGGATCTCTTGAGCCCAGGAATTTGAGATCAGCCTGGGAAACATAGGGTGTTTGTAGACCCCATCTCTACAAAAATTTAAAAAATTAGCCAGGTGTGGTGGTGTGTGCCTGCGGTTCCACCTACTCTGGAAGCTAAGGTGGGAGGTTTGCTTGAGCTCGGGAGGTCGAGGCTACAGTGAGCCATCATCGTGCCATTGCACTCTAACCTGGACCCTGTCTCAAAAGAAAAAAAAAATACTGCTGGAAATAAGGCCATAGCACAGTCAGTGAAAGAAGTGAGAACTAGGAAAACTGTTCTTTGAGTTGTGATAGTCTCAGTACTATGTAGTGATTCAGAAAATGTTAAAAGTGATATTGGCCACTCTTCCTTACTTAAGAAGTAAGGGATGGAAAGAATCATCAAAGTGTTCTTCTAAGCTGGACACAGTAGCATGGGCTTGTAGTCCTAGCTATTGGGGAGGCTGAGGCGAGAGGTTCCCTTGAGCCCAGGAGCTCAAGGTCAGCATGAGCAAAATATTGAGACACTTTTTCTTAAAAGAAAAAAAAAAGCCTAAATAAAAAAAAGAAGTATTCTTGTAGTCCTTTCTATCCATAGGAAGAAGCACAGAAGTACCTTTCTTTGTGGACCGAGACATAAAGGTGGATGGGGCAGTGCCCATCTTCATGTTTGTTCACAAATCATATGCAATTTTTTAAAAAGTGCATAAAATTAAGGAAAGCTCAAAGAGGGTGGAAACAGTGTATCCTATACACTGTTGAATCCTCAGAGTTTATCACAACACTTATTATTTTATTTATTTAATAAGTAAGTGATTAAAGTGGATAAAACAAAGCAGAGAATTAATGGCCAGTCAGAAAACTAAGATAACCCATCTCTGATGTGATATATTGGTGGAAAAACATGATTTTATGTGTGACATTTAAGGAATTGTATTTATTGAATGAAATCAAGTATGTCTGCATTTTGTTTATATTTCAGAGATGTTTAGGTCAATGCAAACAGCACTATTCAATAAAATAGTGTATTTTTAATAGAAATCATTAATGATGGAGTTTTCTGTTAACCTAAGTCATTATACAATCTTTGTGACCGGTATACCTTGACTTTGTGCCCTAATTCTTTTGAGTATGGTCCTGTTTTTTGTTCAGCAGCTGCTTTTTAGTAAGCTTTTAAGTACTTTTAATTTAGCCATGCTTTTGATGTACGTTTTTAAAAGTGGACTGTAATGTTTATATTTTGTAGAAAATGGCTCTCTCTACATAGTAATGGATTACTGTGAGGGAGGGGATCTGTTTAAGCGAATAAATGCTCAGAAAGGCGTTTTGTTTCAAGAGGATCAGGTAAGTTTGCATTTAGGAAATTGACTCTTACTCTATTATTGAGAAGTAGTTCAAAATTTGTTTATGTGTGTATTTGTTTTTAACTACAAATGCTAATCAAAATTACTAGGGAAGTTTAGTATATCAATAGTTTACTCATATTTACCTCTAATTAGCTGCCACCTTTGTTCAGTTGCCCATCTCATTTATAGTCTGTAATGATATATTGTTATCTCTGTGATGTATGTTATATATATCATGCGTCTATGTATATGCCTTAATTATTCATTATAACTGACTAGTCTATATTCTGTCAATCTGGCTTACTGCTGCCAGACTATATATTCCTAAAATGTGGCTTTGCCAGGTAACTCCAGCTCTAGAAGCCTTGCACCGACAACTGCATTAAATCTAATCTCTCTTTTGATTTCCAGGATCTCTAAAATATGGCCGTTCCCTACCTAAGCAGCCTTATTTTTTTCTATTCCCTAATCTGTACCTCTTTTCATTTGCTTTAACAGATATTTATTGAGCATGTGCTTTGTGTTAGGCACCGGGCCACATGTTTGTACATCTCATTCTCCTTCCTGTGTATTTACTCTGATTATTTCATTTATTTTGGTAAGCCTTTTCCCCAAACTTTGTTATTAATACTCTACCTTTTTTTTTTAAGCTCAGTTCAAGTCCCAGCTTCTTTAAATTTTCCATAACTACTTTAATCTGTGATATTTTCCTTCTCTACATTCCTATCACATTTCTCATTATCACCAGTTCTTAATTTTAATTGCCCGCTTTTACATAGGGGAGTAGAGGGAGCACTGTGCTAGGAGTGTTGTATTTGTTATCTCTTCTAATTTGGATAAGTTTTTTCAATTTATAAGGAATCCAAGAGAGGTTAAGTACTTGCCCCAAATCACATAGTCAGTGTTTGAACCCACCTCTAACTCTAAAGTTTATAACATTTTCTTTTCACACACTTGAATTATAAAAGTATTGAAGTATACAGAAATGGAAAGTCTTCTTTCTCCACCCTTTTGTTCCTGAGATTACCACTGCTTTTAGTTTGGTGTATTCTTCCAGACTTTCTTTTCCATACTTAACACATGTACATATATACATTAAGACACACACATTCAGAAATGGGATATTATTATTATTTATTTATTTTTATTTTTATTATTTTTTTTGAGACGGAGTCTCACTCTGTCACCCAGGCTCGAGTGGAGTGGCACAATCTCGACTCACTGCAACCTCCGCCTTCCGGGTTCACGCCATTCTCCTGCCTCAGCCTCCCGAGTAGCTGGGACTACAGGCGCCTGCCACCACGCCTGGCTAATTTTTTGTATTTTTAGGAGAGATGGGGTTTCACCGTGTTAGCCAGGGTGGTCTCCATCTCCTGACCTCATGATCTGCCCGCCTCAGTCTCCCAAAGTGCTGGGATTACAGGCGTGAGCCACCGCGCCTGGCTGGGATATTATTATTTTTAAGATAGGCTCTCGCTCTGTCACCCCAGCTGGAGTGCAGTGGCACCATCACAGCTCATGGCTGCCTTGCACTCCTGAACACAAGCAATTTTCCCACCTCACTCTCTGGAGTAGCTGCTGCTACAGAAACGTGCCACTAGGCCCAGCTAATTTTTTAAAAATTTATTTTATTATTATTTTTTTTTTGTAGAGATGAGGTCTTGCTATATTGCCCAGGCTGTTCTCAAACTCCTGGCTTCAAGCAATCTTCCTACCTTGGCCTCTCAAAGTGCTGGGATTATAGGCACGAGCCACTGTGCCATTTCTGGCCAGGCACAGACATGGGTTTGAGTTCTTGCTCTACTTATCAAGTTGGTAATTGTTCTGTTAACAAGTTCTGAGATTATTTTCTCATTTGTTAATAGGGAGATACCTACTATACATGTGGTGAAGGTCAAATAGTAATGTATGTTAGTATATACAATGCTATTTTTATTAGAACATTGTCAGATATATTTCATTGTTTGTGCTTATTTTCATTCATTTATCCCTATCGAACTTTAAAATGTTTGCTATTAAATGATATTCCCTTATAAAGCACATTGATATTTTATAGATTTGATTCTACTCTTTGATAAGTACTCTTAGTACATAATGTGGTGTGTGTGTGTATGTGTGTGTGTATCTTGTCTTCCTGGAAATTATTATGGAGATTTGTATAGTTCATCCATCAGTGAAGTTATTTATCATAAATGATAAAAATTTGGCAAGCCATTCTTTTAAGTTAATAGCATTTTTTCTACCCTTCTGAATAGCAAGTTCTGTTAGCACAAATAAGGATGCTATTTATTTTAGCCTATTTAAAATAGGAAGAGGTCATTTAAACTACTTTCTGGGCTTTGAAACAGGAAAACTTAGAGCTCCATTAAACTGTAGCTTAGCATCAGTTTGAGATGATTTTGTCCCTTTCTAGAATGTAAGTGGGGAACAGGAAGACCTGTGAAACAGATGATTCTCCAGCTACTGAAGCCATTCTCTTCAGTGATACTTCCTGTTTGCATCTTTACTGGACAAAAATCTAGTCAGGTTAAGAAGCAACCTGAGTCTATGACTTTATTAATAGAAAATAATGAGATGAACTAAGTACGTTCCCTTGGACAGTCTCTACATAGATATTTTAAAGATGTACCAGTATTTTTGCCTTATTTGAAAGTTTTGGATGAGTTTTTTTGATAGTCTCCCCACATGTGACCATAAATAATTTTCAGAATATATTCTTGATCAAAATAAAATCTGGCTTCATTAGGGTTGGTCCAAATAGTTAGGTGCAGCAAGAATGTTAATTAAACAAAGAACTTGAGTTTGCTCTGAAAACCTAGAGCATTATATTATCAAACAACTACTAAGGTTACAGAATTGATTTCTGTCTATAAATTTTCATAAAGAATCTTTGATTGGATTTTTAAAAACTCTTATTATTTGTTCTTCTATCCTAACGTCAGGAAACTGAGCCCGATACATTCTCTACCAAATTTCACCTGTAGTACCTATAAATTGGAGTGAAGTTTTTTCTTTTTGAGAATCTCCAAATATGCCAAGGTCCCTGGTTGCTAGAAAGTGACTTTACCATTTACGACGCAGGGACCCTGTAAGTTAGATAACAGGACAGTTTCCTGGCAGCACTATGTAAGTATTGGTTCCACATATATTTCCTTTTTTTTTTTTTTTTTTTTTTGAGGTGGAGTCTGGCTCTGTCCCCCAGGCTGGAGTGCTGTTGCGTGATCTCGGCTCACTGCAAGCTCTGCCTCCCGGGTTCACGCCATTCTTCTGCCTCAGCCTCCTGAGTAGCAGGGACTACAGGCGCCCGCCACCACGCCGGCTAATTTTTTTGGATTTTTAGTAGAGATGGGGTTTCACTGTGTTAGCCAGGATGGTCTTGATCTCCTGACCTCGTGATCCGCCCGCCTCTGCCTCCCAAAGTGCTGGGATTATGGGCATGAGCCACTGCGCCCAGCCTGGTTCCACATATATTTCTTAGTAGTAGGTTTGTCATAACTGATTACATGAAAATCATCTCAAATAAGGCACTCCAGGTATGGCCTTGGTTGCACAATTGATTTGTCCAATTACATTCTGATAAAAAGGAATATAGATTCTTATCGAACCCATGAAAATTACCAATATTGTCCTGAAAAGTAAAAATATGTAAAACTATTTGCTTCTGAATTCTGAGTAAATTATTAAGATCAAATATCATTTTAAGTTTATAAAAACATAATCTAAATTGAGAATTAGATATAGCTTAAGAAAGAAAAAAGGCTTCCTCATCTATTCATTAAATTTTGAACATTAAAAATAATACCAATCATATTCCAAACAACCACAATTAAATTTTATTTAATTCAGTTTATTCATTCCTAGTAATTCTTGATCTTGGATCAAGCAGTTAGCATTCATGATGTTTGTCAGCTTATGTACAAAAAAGTCTTGAAGAAATTCTGACTCAGTTCATTGATAAGTTCCTTGATCATTTAAGCAATGTTAGGTCAGAAACTTGTACCCAAGAGTCTATTTTCTGAAGTGCCAGTAGTTTGGCATTCCTAGTGTAGTCCTTTTCAGGAGCTTTCTGGCAAGCATCAAGCAGCAAAGGCCTATTTGATAATGAGACTGAAAGGCTGTGGTTAGTTTATTATAGTAACCAATAATAGAATAAAATGCTCTGTTGGGGCAGAGTACATAGATTTGATAAGGGCTTGATGAATGTTTTTCTTGAGGATAAAAATGGAGAGCAAAGTTACTGACAAATCTCCAGGGCCTTCTCTAAAGCATGCATTTTGTGAAATATTAATAGTATTTTAGCTATACAGACTTAACCTAGGAAAGACTGAGCATCTTTTTAGATTTGGCAAGTCTTCCCAGGCATGTTGTATAGCAGTGTTGAGCTAATAGTTTTAGTGAGAAGTATCCTGAAAATTTTTTTTCTAACAAATAGGTAACATTCTTTGGTTACTTATTTAATCAAAGTGACAAAATATTGTAAAATGTAGATGAAGGAAATAAAATTATAAGGATCTTCACAGTGAGGAACTTTTGTTCAAAAAACATAACCAAATGATAAAATCAGTATAAAGCAGAGAAAATTATTCTGGTAGACATGAAATATCTACTCTTTGAGCAAATTACACAGACAGTAAATGGTAAGCTTACTTTCTTCTGGTTAGAAGTTCCAAGATCAGTTTACCATTCTAATAGAGAAGCCAAGTTCAAGTTTTTCCATTAGTATAATGTTTGGCAATAAAAGCTCATGCCTTTAAAAAATTAATGCATAAACCCATCAAAACTGAGCATACTTTGGGAAAATTCTAATACATTTTATTACACATAGAAATCTCAGTTTTGGAGCAGAGAAGATGAATTGTGGTACTGTTTGGTGCTATAAGGCCGTCTGTACTAATGCAAAATAACATACAACTGTAATTCAGACAACTATATGATAATTACTGTATGGTTCTTGATATAATACAACATAACATTTGAATTTAAAAGTCTTCTGAGCAAGAGAATCCCATTTTCGAAACAGTATTTTGTAAATATTAATATGGAACTAATGTGTGATGAAATAAAATGCACAGATTAGAAGCAGGGTTACAATTTTTTTTTTTTTTTTTTGAGACGGAGTCTCACTCTGTCGCCCAGACAGGAGTGCAGTGGTGCGATCTCGGCTCACTGCAAGCTCCGTCTCCCGGGTTCACGCCATTCTCCTGCCTCAGCCTCCCGCGTAGCTAGGACTACAGGCGCCCGCCATCACGCCTGGCTAATTTTTTTGTATTTTTAGTAAAGACGGGGTTTCACCGTGTTAGCCAGGATGGTCTCGATCTCCTGACCTCGTGATCTGCCCGCCTAGGCCTCCCAAAGTGCTGGGATTACAGGCGTGAGCCACGGCGCCTGACCAGGGTTACAATTTTAAAGGGCTTCCCTCTCCTCCAAGTCCAACCCCATGTGGTCAAACCCTAATGTAGCAAGAGTCTGAACTAGGGTAGACAAAGGGAATGAAAATGTAACATTTATATTTTATAAGCTGTGCCTTTCTTCTCTGCTTTGCTTACATATTCCATCAAAACTGAGCTCAGAAATCACCTCTTCTGTCCAGCTTTATTTTATCACCTCCAGACTGTGTTGCCGCTCCTTCTGTATGCTTTTTCAACTCAGGGCATTACTCCCTTTAATTACTGGTTTACTTACCCATCTCCCCCAGTAGTCTTTGATATGGATCAATAAACAATGGCCCATGAACCAAATTTGGCCCCCTATCTCTGTTAGTTTTATTAGAACACAGCTAAACTTAATTGTTTGCTTATAATCTGTGGTTGCTTTTATGCTATAATGGAAGACTTGAGTTGAGACAGAAACCATCTGGCCTGCAAAACCTAAAATATTTACTGTCTGGCCATTTATAGAATAAATTTGCTGACCCCTGATCTCTGAGCTCTTTCATTAATTTTTTTTTTTTTTTGCTAGTTCCTGCACATATCTGGTACATTGTTGGTACTGAATAAATTTTTGTCAAATTAAGAAGTACAAGTATGGGAAATATGGTAATAGAAGAACACTGTCTGTGAAATGAGACATGAGTGGTTTCTAAGATGTGTTCCATTTCTACTGGTAAACTCCATTTTATCAGTAATACTCAACTTAACATAATTTTCACTTTCTTTTTCCTGACCTCTCCCTTGTTGAATTAATTGCTGTCTTATTGTATATATCTCTGTTAAAAAGCTTATGCAATTATTATAGGTATTTGTGAGTATATTCCTTATCACTGTACGGACTCCTTAGAGAACTGTTTTTGATCTTTATACTTAAAATGCCTTACGTGAGTATAGAAAGGAACTTAACAATCTATGTAATCCTCATTAAATAAATATCTATAGAACTGAACTGAGAGTTTTTTTTTTTTTTAAAGAAAATTGTTTTTTAAAAAAATACTGAAGAGATAGAGTAAAAGGTAAACATGTTACCTTTCATTCCCTCTTCTGCCAATCCACTTCCCTGAGGTAAACACTGTTAACTGATTGGTAGCTATCCTTCTATGCTTCCTTCCTTTATTCCTTCTTTCCTTCCTCAGTGCACACACACAATTACATAGATTCAGGTATGGAATATAAGCATATTTTTTTAAATAGGGGTATACTATGCATACTGTTTTGGAACTTCCTTTTTTCACTTAATAGTACATAAACAGTATACATAGAAGTGCTTCATTCTTGTCAGTGACTGCATAGTATTTCTAGTATAGGGATCATACAATATATTTAATCAGGCCCCTTGATGAACATTCAGGTTGTTTATATTTTTGGGTTCTGGCTAACAGTGCTGTAGTAAATATCTTATATACATGGTTTTATATTTCTGATATTATTTGTAGGATAAATTTGAAATTGAAATTGCTGTTTCAAATGGTATGTGAATTTAAAATTTTCACATATTTTGACAAATGATTATAATTAACCTTTTCACAAACACCTGTGACAAAAAGGCTTCTTTTCCCAACATTCTGACATACAGTATGTATTATTTCATTTTAAGCAAGATAATATAGTATCTTAATTTTTTTTTTTTAATTTGTGAGGGAGTTTAGTACTTTGTATATGCGTTTTTCGGGCATTTTTTCGCCCCGTCATTTGCATCTCCAGTCTTTTGTCCACTTCTTATTTTGTCTGCCAGTACTTTTCTCAGTGATTTGAATAACTTTTGCATCTTAGAGAACTAGCAATCTATCATTTATGTTGCAGGTATTTTCTCAAATTATTATTAAACTTGATTATATGTATTTTGCTCTACAGTTGTTTTAAATTGTATGTAGTCAACTTTATCAGTCTTTTTCGTATGACTTAAGCATTTTATGTCATGTTTTGAAAGTCCTGCTTTAGTCAATTATTACAGATAATTAACCTATGTTTTCTTTTATTATTTTTTTTTAGTTTAAAAATGCCATGTACTTGGAATTGTTTTGATGTTAACAATGAGATAGAAATTAAGCCTTTTTATTTCCAAGTGGCCGTCTCCAGAGAAGAGTGTTTATATATAATAAATGTGGGAAGAGAAAAAAAGTCAGAGATGTCTTCCAAATTTCCAGCTTGATTTTTTTCCTTTTGTGATTTTTATATTTTTAAAAAGCATTATAGAGGTCAGATGCAGTGGCTTGTACCTGTAATCCCAGTACTTTGGGAGGCCAAGGCAGGAGGAACACTTGAATCTCAGGAACTCCTGAGACCAGGAGTTCAAGACCACTAGCCTGGGCAACATAGTGGGACACTGTCTCTGTAAAAAAAACAAAAATAAAAAACTAGCTGCTCGTGGTGGCATGCACCTATAGTCCTAGTCCCTCGGAGGCTGAGGCTGGAGGATCATTTAAACCCAGGAGTTTGAGGCTGAAGTGAACTATGATAACACGACTGCACTCCAGCCTGGGTGATAGAGCAAGACCCTATCCCTAAAGAAGTGGGGGGGGGGCGTTATAGAAAAAAGATGTATTAAAAACAAAGAAGAATCACCTGTTTGTCTTAATATTATAAAATATAAATTATTTGCATTTTCACTCATAAAGTTACTTTCCATGTTTGTTTTGATTTATAAGAGATGACCCAGTAACATCTCTTACATTTTGGATTTAGTATGTGCAGAGCTTGTGTTGACTTGAATATCTATTTAATGTCAGTGCCTACAAAGTTAAAAGAAATTGTAGCCTAAAATATCTTTTTAAGGATTTAGTTCCTCTCATCCCTAAATATTCTTGAATTCTTTTAATGGTCAAAGAGAGGCTTGACAGATCTGATTTTTCTTCCTAGATTTTGGACTGGTTTGTACAGATATGTTTGGCCCTGAAACATGTACATGATAGAAAAATTCTTCATCGAGACATTAAATCTCAGGTATGTTATTCTGTCACTGATAACTTCTGAATGGATAAAGACATGGAACCTTCATTGTTTTGGGCCAAAAATTTTTGAACCTGATTTAGTGTGCATCAGATTATCTGTCTTGTCTCTTCCTTTTTATCCTATTCATCTGCATCCTGTATTAGATCTCCTGCTTGCTTCCCATACTCTAAAAATTACTTTCCTTCCCAGTCTCTGAAACTTACAGAACATTTTTTATAACTCCAAAAAGAACCTCGTACCCATTAGCAGTGAGTTCCCATTCCTCTCCACCTAGACTCTGGTAACCCTTAATCTTTCTGTCTGTGTGGATTGGCCTATTCTGGACATTTTATATAAATGGGTATTATGAAGTATGTGCCTTTTGCCTGTCTGTCTGTCTGTCTGTCTGTCTGTCTATCTATTGTTTTTGAGACGGAGTCTCGCTCTTTTGCCCAGGCTGGAGTGCAGTGGCGTGATTTCAGGCTCACCACAACCTCCGCCTCCCAGGTTCAAGCGATTCTCCTGCCTCAGACCAACGAGTAGCTGGGATTGCAGGCACCTGCCACCATGCCTGGCAATTTTTTTTAGTTTTAGTAGAGATGGGGTTTCACCATGTTGGCCAGGCTGATCTTGAACTCCTGACCTCAAGTGATCTGCCTGCCTTAGCCTTCCAAAGTGCTGGGATTACAGGTGTGAGCCACTGCGCCTGGCCCCTTTTGCCTACTTCTAAGTCATACTATTTGGTTTTTTTTGTTGTTATTGTTGAGTTATGCAAGCCCTTTTCTTGATAAAAGTTTTTTCTCAAATATATGATTTGTAAAAATTTTCTCTCATTTTATGGATTGTCTCTTTTCTTGATGGTGTCCTTTGATGCACAAAAGTTTTTAATTTTGATAGTCCAATTTATCCTTTTAATTTTTTTGCTTGTGCTTTTGACGTCATATCTAAGAAACCATTCCCTAGCCCAATGGCATGAAGATTTATTCCTATGTTTTTCTCTAGGAGTTTTGTATTTTAGTTTTGATATTTAGATCTAGACTCCATTTTGAATTAATTTTTGTTTATGATTTGAGGTAGGGGACTTCATTTATTCTTTTGTATGTGAATATCCAGTTACTCTAGCACAATTTTTTTAACTGGATTTTAAATTTTATGAAAAATGTTGACTTAGAACTGGACTGTAACAATATTTCTAGGGTTTTTTTTTTTCCTGTCTTTTACAGAACATATTTTTAACTAAAGATGGAACAGTACAACTTGGAGATTTTGGAATTGCTAGAGTTCTTAATAGGTAACATGAATTTTAAACTTTGTTTTGATATAATGTTTTCAGCGAACCTTCAATCCATGATGATGTATATGTGATAATTTATGGTATCTTTAAGTACATTCTTTACTGGGATGTTGCTTTATTGGGACATGTTCTGAGAAAGGCATCATTAGGTGATTTTGTCAGTGGGTGAATATTATAGAGTGTACTTATACAAACCTAGATGATAGAGTGTGCTACACAGGCAGGCTGTATGGTGTAGCCTATTGTTTCTGGGCTACAAACCGGTACAGCATGTTCTGTACTGAATACTGTAAGAAATTGTAACACAATGGTATATATTTGTTTAAACATAGAAAAGATACAATATAAAAGATAAAACATGATATACCTTTATGGGACACTTACCATGAATGGAGCTTGCTGGACTGGAAGTTGCTTTCTGTGAGTGAGTGAGTGGTGAGTGAATGTGAAGACCTAGCACATTTCTGTATGCTACTGTAGAGTTTATAAACACTGTACACTTCGGCTATACTAAATTTATTAAAAAATAAAGTAATTGCTCTACAGTGTATGTCAGTCACCGTGTCACTAGGTGATAGGAATTTTTCAGTGTCATTATAATCTTATGGGACCAGCATCATATATGCGATCTGCTGTAGACCAAAAACAACATTAATGTGGCACATGACTGTGTCTTTAACTTCTCCAATAATTTTATTTTTCTTCTAGTACTGTAGAGCTGGCTCGAACTTGCATAGGGACCCCATACTACTTGTCACCTGAAATCTGTGAAAACAAACCTTACAATAATAAAAGGTATTTAAAATGATATTCATTATGTGATGTATTTGCTTTCAATTTTTTTGTTGTCATGTTTATTAACCTTTGGAATACTATTCTAAAATAAATAATACATACATGTAAACACATATGTATATATAAAATGTTGCTAATATATGGTGAGGGGAATTGTAAAAAAGCTATTTGATTATCTTACTGGAAGAACAGCAGAAAGAATCACCTTATTATTTATGTTATAATTGAAAGTAGAGTGCTTTCTTTGGTCTTTTCTTCATGATAGTCACTTCTTATTAAATTATTGCTAGTATTTCTTGAACACACTATAAGCCAGGTACTGTTTCGAGTTCTAGGTATTCTCTTAGTCTTCACAATAATTTTGGGAGATGTAGGTATTAATCATTCCTCCTCTTCTTATAAGGAAACCAAAAGCAGAGAGAGGCAAGGTAACTTCTTTGAAATCCTTGAGTCTAATAAGTGGTGGAATCAGCATCCAAACTAGACATCTGGCTCCCAAGCCCATATTTCTAATCACAGCACTGTAGTCTGGCTAGCAGACTATATAATATGTGCGTAGAAAGAGCAATTCTACCATTAAATTCCAGCTACCCTTTATTTTCTCTCTCTAATTGGAAAATCCCAACCAAGGTAACATTAGTCAGTAGCTGTTGCAAATTTCTTAATACATTTTTAATGTCCATTAAATTAGTATTTTGTTTTATAATTTTTAAAATCATGGTATTTTACAAATAATTGAAAAAAGTTTGAGTTTTATGAAATAAAAATAGAATTTACGTGAATTTTTTTGATATTGTTCTTTTAAATATTAAATTTCTTTAATGAAGCTTCAAAGTAATTGTTGGGGCAACCATTTTCTTTTTCCAATCTGGGACAGCTACTTTTGTCATTTGATTATGGTTGAAATTTTTAGTTTTAAAGGAAATTTTTTCTGGAGCACATATTTTTCCAAAACACTTTTATGCTGTTTGTGTTTCCTTTAAATGAAAAAATTTGAAATACTTAGAGGAAATTTCTCATTTTTATCTTCTCCAGTGACATTTGGGCTCTGGGGTGTGTCCTTTATGAGCTGTGTACACTTAAACATGCTGTAAGTAGAAGTTTCTGAAATACTTTCAAAGTTATGTTAAAAAGCGACTATAATGTTTTTATTATATTTTAAGTTATATTATCTTTCAGGTAACCCTCATCCTAGAAATTCTCCTCTAAGTCCATTTTTGAATTTCTCATTTTTTCTGAAGTATAAATCGATTTCCCTTTGTATATATGCATATCTGGTATATTTGCTATTTTATAATATTTCATATTTTCCAGAAAATTATTTCTAATGACAGAAATAAATTTTGCTATTTTCTTAATGTTAAATTTTGTATGAATTTGATATTTCAGCTTAATAAATTTTACTAGTTTTGTTTTAGTGAATTCTTTCAAAACACCCAGATTGAGTTTGGAATTGAACTAATTTAAAGAATTTCATTCCATATACTCACTGATGACTTTTATCAATTTGAGTAATCATTAATTCAGAGTATTTAAAATTTTTACTTTTGAGACTTTTTTTTGAAATAACATATAACACACTAAAAAGGGGGAGGGTTCTTGTCCTAAGTAGGTTTAATCTTAAAAAAGCAGTTTTTTGAAATGGAAAGTGATTAACATTTTTTACCCACTGATTAAACAATATTGTATTTTCATTACACAAAACTTCAGAAAATATAAATAAGTGAATAAGGTTCATAAGCAGTTCTTCCAGCCAGTATTGACTACCTGTAAAATGAAATTTTTTTTTCTTCCCCAAAAGTTTGATTAGACTTTATAAGAAGTTTTATAACCTGACTTTATTGCTTAATACTATTTGGGGAATATTTTTTCTTGTCATTCTTTTTAATGGTTGCATACCCTTTTACTATATTGCCTTAGTTTTTTTTTTCTTTCTTAAGGAAAAAAGCATAAGCTGACAAAGTAATGTGGGATGGTGGTTATCAGATGCTTATTTGAAATAATTGATCAGTTTTTCTGCAACACAGTTATTTGAGCTTTAAACCATTGGTTTGTGGGTTTTTAAAAAATCTTTGCAACTACATTGTTCTGTCACCATCTCTTCTTTATTTTGGGATTGTTTACTCTTAAGTAGCATGTGTCTTAAGATACATGAAATTCAGTAACTTACCCTTTATGAAGAGCGTGTCAATTGAGAGATAAACGAAAGTGCATTGGAATAGAGAACCACATCTTTTCTGCATTTAGGATTCCTATTTAGGTGTACAGATGTTTCTGTAAGATTGAATTTACTCAAATGACATTTAGGAGAGCTCAACATTTAGTAGAACTTTTGTAATCACTGATGCCTAATTTATAGTACATTTTATTTTATTAATATGTATATTAAGAAGATATCAACATTGTACAATTGTTCTGTAATATTTTAGTGGAGATATCAAAAGCTTAATATTGCCCTCTTTCAAAATGAAATCTTCAGATTTTAAACTGCCCTACCTCTTGTTTTCTTTTTACTTTAAAGTTTATATTGTGTTTAATTCTGACATATATATTCCTATTAAGATATTTTTTATATTGCTGATTTCCATAGCTTTTAGGAGCATCACACGCACACATAATAGTGAGCATTGTCTAAAAGGAAAGTATTAGTAGTTTTATTTATTATATTTTCCCCCAATACTTTTAGTTCTGTAGTTAATTTCTTGTTCTAGTCATTACAACAGAGGCACTAAAAGTCAGGTCTTAAATGAAGACCAGCAGGTTGTTCTTTTTCTGCTTGTGGTTCTTTGGCCCTAATTTTGCTACCTCTGAGGCATAACCTTTCACCATTTGATTATTGTTATAGTTTATGAAACGTTTATTTAATACATCCCATCTTTAAATATTTCGAATAAGTAAAAATTACTCTTATTTTTTGAGGGCTGATATTAATTTACAGATAACCAAGTAAACTTTGCTCTAGAAAACATATTCTAATTATTTGGAAGAGGATTGTGTTTCTATTCTATATTGGTAGGAAAAGAACTATTTCTCATTACCGATATTCTCAGTTTCAATTTATATATGTTTCCTATATGTTATTTATTTTCTGGAATTTAGTTTGAAGCTGGCAGTATGAAAAACCTGGTACTGAAGATAATATCTGGATCTTTTCCACCTGTGTCTTTGCATTATTCCTATGATCTCCGCAGTTTGGTGTCTCAGTTATTTAAAAGAAATCCTAGGGATAGACCATCAGTCAACTCCATATTGGAGAAAGGTTTTATAGCCAAACGCATTGAAAAGTTTCTCTCTCCTCAGGTAAGTTCTTTTTCCTTTAAAATTAAACAGTAGGGTTATGTTGCTTAGCTAAGACATGGCCTCCAGTGTTGAGGAGAACACATCTGGATCTTGGAGGAATGGTGTGCCTTTTTCAAACTACATTAGTGTCACTTTCCTTTCCATGGTCTTTCTTTTTCTTCAGACAGAGTATTGCTCTGTTGTGCAGGCTGGAGTACAATGGCAAAATCATAGCTCACTGCAGCCTCAAACTCCTGGGCTCAAGCAGTCCTTCTGCCTCAGCCTCCTGAGTAGCTGAGACTACAGGTGTGCACCACCACACTCAGCTAATATTAAAAAAAAATTTTTTTTAGAGACAGTCTCATTATGTTATTCAGGCTTGTCTGGAACTCCTGGCCTCAGGTGATCATCCCACCTTGGCCTTCCAAAGTGCTGGGATTATAGGTGTGAACCAGTTCGCCCAGCCTTTCCATTCTTATATAACTGTTTTCTTAATGTTTGCTTTCCAGTTATGCGTTATTCCTCTGTTCTCTGGATTTCTAACTGTAAAATCATTGAGCATTTCTGTGCTTCACTCTCCTCACCTGTGAGCAAAGGGATTATTAAATGTATCTATAAGGTTATTGTGAGAATTAAAAGTGATAATACACATAAAGTGCTTAATGTCTAGCATGTAAGTGCTCAAAATATTTAATGTCTTAAATATCACCTACATATCAATGTATTTTACTAATACAAATTTTTTTTAAATTATTTTTGAGACAGGTTGTAGTTCTGTTGCCCAGGCTGGAATGCAGTATCATGATCATAGCTCACTGCAACTGCCATCTCCTGGGCTCAAGCCATCCTTCCATCTTAGTCTCCCAAGTAGCTGGGACTACAGCCACATGTCACCATGCCCAGTTAATTTTTGTATTTTTTGTAGAGGCAGAGACTCACCATATTGCCCAGGCTGGTCTTGAACTCCTGAGCTCAAGTGATCTGTCCACCTTGGCCTCCCAAAGTGCTAGGATTACAGGCATGAGCCACCACGCCTGGCCTATAAATGTGTTATTAACGTAATTTATATATTATAGTTATATTCTTTTTGATAGGAAATGACTAGAAACCATTTATATGTAGGTATACTAGATTACTGACTCATGATTTCTCCTTTAGTGCACACATGTAGGTGCATAATATTTGTTGAGTTTAACTGAATTTTAATTTCACAAGATTTTTGAAGCAATCTATATCAAATCAATTAGCATAAGTTATTCATAAAAATTTGATCACCTGAGATTGGAATTGTTTTACTTTTCTGGTTTAGTGAGGTCTTTGTTAAATAACTGTTAACCTCTTCAGTAAATAAGATATTCAGCAAAACTATAGTTTTTTTATATTAGTTTTATATGCTCATGGAGAAGAAGGAAGTATCATATATCCTTCTGACTTAACAGAACATGCATGTGACCAAATACTCTTCAGAAAACAGATGTTGATTTTACTGTTACTACCAGGAGAATGCATTAGTATGCAAGAAAGCCAAATAAAATTTGGAGATTAAAGGTTACTTGTATAGGTCATAGCAGCAGCTTCTGAAATGTGGGTGTCTTACAAGACTCCTTTGTTATAAATAACGTTTGCGAGGACACTTTTATTATGTAGCATACTATTGTTTTTTTGGCAGCCACTAGAGAATAAACAATGACTTCATTTAGTCTTGCTGAGGTTTCTTTCTCCCTATACCAGGAGTTGGGACATACTGTCTCAAGGCTGAAGTACTGGAATTTAGCTAGCTAGCAATGAAAGAGAAAATATTCAAGCCTAAAATGTGCCAAACTTATAATATGAAAAGAAACAAGGGTAGATTGTGATTATTCACAAATGGGATATTTGACATTATGTGTTTATTATATACATAGACCCTACTTGTTACTATTTAAGCACCACTTAGATTTCATTCTTCATGAAAACCTTTATCTGCTGTTTCTCAGATTTATTTTCTACTATATATCGCTTGTTGTTTAAAGATAAAAACCTTTATCTGCTGTTCCTCAGATTTATTTTGTACTATATATCTACTTAGGTGAGAAGCTTTGTGATACTTTTTTTTTTTTTTTTGAGATGGAGTCTCACTCTGTCACCCAGGCTAGAGTGCAGTGGTGCAGTCTCAGCTCACTGCAACCTCCACCTCTGGAGCTCAAGCAGTCCTCCCTCCTCAGCCTCCTGAGTAGTTGTGATACCTTTTTTTAAAGGCTATAACTTTGAAACAATTCATGAGCTTTAGTGTAACATATAAACTATTATTTCCAGTATCACTGTAGTGCTCCCTACCATTTTAATACCTCAGTCCTCTCAAGGCCATCAACCGTGGTTGATAGGGCCTAGTTTTCAGTCTTGGGCACTGTGGCAACTTCTTCCTGGATATGGCTTGAAAAACCATGGGTAAGTTCTGATTCATTAGGAATGTAGGGGCTGTCCAGTGGAATGCTCTGTGATGATGAAAATGTTCTATATCTGCATTGTTCAATATTGCAGCCACTAGCCACATGTGGTTAGTAAGCACTTGAAATGTCCTTGGTATAACTGAAAAGCTTCATATATATATACCTTAAATTTTAATTCAAATAGGCGCATGTGGCTAGTGGCTACTCTATTGGAAAACATAACGTAGGGTTTTCAGGATCTTCTTGGATTCTATATGCCCCATCTCTCAATTCACATGAGCATTAACACAGGAAAACAAAGACTTCTCCAACAGTGGAAGAAATGATTAGATTTGGGGACAAGATGGAGATCATAAACCACCTGTTTTCTTCCAAGAAAAAGAAAAGGAAAAAAATGCATTTGTTGAGAAGAGAACACACGTTCACATGGTTGCTCTAAATTGCCTGTGAGCCAGACTTGGCTCTTAACATTTGTCCACTAGTGAAAAGGTTCTCAAACTTTAGCATGCATCAGAATCACCTAGAGGGCATTGCTGAGTCTCACCACAACAGTCTCGGTTTCAGTAATTTTGAAGTGGAGCCTGACAGTTTGCATGTTTACTAAGTTCCAGGTAATGCTGATCCTGCTGGTATGAGACTTTGAGAATTGCTCTAGGGATTTTCTTAATGGGAAAAACAACCCCCTCAGATCATGTATTTTTTTTTGCCTATTGGAGTGTCTGGACCACTGTTAATATAGGAAGATTCTCTCACCAAGAATCAGTTCTCTTGAAAAAAGAGAAAATTCACTTGCCTTTGCCTTCCCCACAAAGTAAGAAAAAAAAGCATAAATCGAGTTAATTCTTTGTTGGTATCATAGTTTTGAAGTGAAGGAGAGAAAAATATGGAGTAAGGAGAAAAAATTACTTGCAGAAAATGTAAATGATTTTTGTTCCTGATTTATAAACATCTATGTTTATAAATGCTGGAGAATATATAATGGAGCGTTTATACTAATATTAAATGGGTACATTTGTTGAATTAAGAATATTTACATATTCAATAACTTAATAAAATTAGTTATAATTTATAATTATGAGCTACAAAACTCATTGGAGATGTTAAGAGGATTCAGAGTAAATTAAAATAACTGAGAGATTACTAGATAATTTCTTTTGATAATGAAGAGATTCTTCAGTAGTTTTGAAGAAAGTGAAGGCTATGGATGCACACAGAATATAGAGATTTTTCCAGATAGGTAGTTGTGTTAAATTGCTGAGAGATGAAATAGGCGAGTAATGTATGGATGCCTACCTTGTTCATTACATTAATTTGAGAAGAAAGCCTCTATCTGGAGAACTAATAAAAATAAATTAGTGCTGGGCACGGTGGCACATACCTTTAATCCCAGGACTTTGGAACACTGAGGAAGGAGAATCACTTGATCCCATACATTCGAGACCAGCCTGAGCAACATAAGGAGACCCCCATCTCCATAAAAAATAAACCAAAAAAAATTTTTTTTAAATCAGCCTGGCATGGTGACACACGCCTGTGGTCCCAACTAATAGGAGGCTGAGATGGGAGGATTGCTTGAGCCTAGGAGGTCAAGGCTGCAGTGAGCCATTGTTGTCTCACTGTACTCCAGCCTGAGCAACAAAGTGAGACCCTGTCTCAAAAACATACACCCACAGATACATACATAAATAAGATTGGGAGGGAGTAAGCATGAGAGGAATTTATTGAATGGATTTTTTTTTATTTTTCTTAATTTTTAAAATAGAGACGAGATCTCACTGTGTTGCCAGGGCTGAACTCTAACTCCTTGCTCAAGCGATCTTCCCCTCAGCCTCCTAAAGTGCTGGGATTTCAGGCATGAACCACGACACCTGGGCTTCTTTTTTTTTTTTTTTTTTTTTTTTAACAACTTGGTTTTAGTACAGTTTATTTGGCAGCATAATTACTACTGAAAAAGGGGAAGATGTATTATAATTAATGGGTAGGTTTTTTATTTTGAAAATGTAACATCTTTTCTAATTTTTTTCTCTTTCAATCTCAGCTTATTGCAGAAGAATTTTGTCTAAAAACATTTTCGAAGTTTGGATCACAGCCTATACCAGGTAAATGAAATCTGATATGAAGCCTTTCATCTGTTTGCAATAATCAACCCTAATTAAACTGGAAATATATGTAGATGTAGTAAGTTGGGATAATTCTAGGATAAATTTAATCCAGAGAAAATGCACCTTAGAATTATTAATGTTTTATGGCAATATACAGTTTCTTATAAATTAATAACATTCTCATTTATTGTTCATTTTATTTAAATGAAATCTGGCTTGAAATCTTATGTCTTTATCAAATGCCTAGCTGATATTTTGAGAACGTTGTTATAGAATTGTAAAATGTCCAATTTTTGTGTAAATCTTTATATAAAATATTATCTTTTTTTTTTTTTTTTTTTTTTGAGATGAAGTTTCGCTCTTGCCCAGGCTGGAGCGCAGTGGCACAATCTCGGCTCACTGCAACCTCCGCTTCCCAGGTTCAAGTGATTCTCTTGCCTCAGCCTCCGAGTAGCTGGGATTACCGGCATCCACCACCAAGCCCAGCTAATTTTTTGTATTTTTAGTAGAGATGGGGTTTCACCATGTTGGCCAGACTGGTCTCAAACTCCCAACCTCAGGTGATCCACCCGCCTCGGCCTCCCAAAGAGCTGAGATTACAGGCGTGAGCCACCGCACCCAGTTGTAAAATATTTTCTTTGAGAAATATTTCATATTCTGAATTTTTTAAATTAAGTGAATGTAAAGTCAAGCACTTCATTAAAGATAGGTTTTCTTTTAAACAATGTGACCAGTGGTATTAGAATCATTGTAAGATTGTGAATATGGTTATATACTATGTATATGTATTTAGATGTATCTATGTGAGAGGGAAATTATTTTTTTCCTGAATAGAATGATTTCAGAATGGATTTCTAAAATCAATGGAAGTTATTTAATACGTGAAGGGTATATTGTTTTTCAAACGTAATTATTTGTACTACTCCATTTTGAATTTGGACAAATTAATAAAAATATGTATCATAAAAATGAGCCCATTTAGCTAGAAGTGGTATGACAGTGCGTTCTCAGGAAGGCAAGCTGCATTTAGCCCGTCTTTTTTTTTTTTTTTGAGATGGAGTCTTGCTCTGTCGCCGGGCTGGAGTGTAGTGGTGCAATCTCAGCTCACTGCAACCTCTGCCTCCCGGGTTCAAGGGATTCACCTGCCTCGGCCTCCCAAGTAGCTGGGAATACAGGTGCCCACCACCACGCCCAGCTAATTTTTTGTATTTTAGTAGAGACAGGGTTTCACCCTGTTGGCCAGGATGGTCTCAATCTCCTGACCTCGTGATCTGCCTGCCTTGGCCTCCGAAAGTGCTGGGATTACAGGCATGAGCCACCAGCTGCATTTAGCCCTTCTTAAAGACCCTTACACATCCTCTCATTGCAGAGACCACCAATCCCTGAGAAGTCAACTCACTTAGAATTTACAAGAGACCAAGAATCAGCATGATTTCTCTGGGCAGTGGGCAGTCAAGCTTCGTAGAAGTCATATCTTAATCAAAAGGCTCTTTGTCACAAAAGCTGGAAATACCCAGTGTCAGCACGTTCTTTCCACATGGATAAACCCATATAGGAATTAGAAAGTAATTTGTCGTAAGAGCATTTGGTTGAATGAAATGCTTAATAGGAGTAGTATTACTGATAAATACTTTGTCGCCTCCAGTCCCCTATGTTAAACTTCATGCCATAGGTAGCCTTGTCAATGATCCTGAAAAATACTCTAAAATCAGATAAGTAATTCTTTCTTTTCTCTGGAAAGTAGATGGGACTGTTCATATTTGTTTCTTAGAAATCTTTATTTTTTATGCTTTTGCGCCTCTAGCCCCTTTTCTGGCATGCGCTGTATTTCTTTGATTCTATTAACACGTTTAGCCAGGTTGCAGTATTGTGACTGTGTGTGTATATGTGTATGTGTATGTTCTAATTTGATTGTACTGTTGAACTCTCAAAGGGAAATCTTTTTTTTCTCATGCTTCCTGGTTTCTGGGTCAAGATGCAGTTGGAGTATGTGTTTGGAAAACCTTACCCTATCACGTCGTATATCCCATATTGTCAACAAAAATTACTTCTGAATCTCTAAAATGCCGACTTAATGGCTTATATTGTTTTTATTTTTAAAACAGTTTACTAAATTATATGCAAAATAGATATTTATTATAAAAATGTTTTAAAAGAAAAATTACCCCAATTTTAACACACACTGTTATATTTGATATATTTTTCTGTGATGATATATGCATAACTACAAATTGAGAATGCGTTATTAGAAGTTTTGTTTCTTTTAATTTATACTATTATATGATGAACATTTTCTATTACAATTACATTTTTTTGAAGAACTGAGTTTAGTCGTAGGATTTCATTTTGAACTACCAGTTAAATTTTTTTCTCCTTTCCCCTCCTAAAAAGTAAGAACACTTCTGGAAGAGATTGATTTAAATTGATTTAGCACAATATAAAATCCTGAGCTAGAGAGCAGTCTGCAAGTGGAAGAAAGCAAGCTGCTGCTTAGGCTTTAGGGGAGTTTGAGCAGAGGGGTATCTTGGCAGATATTAAAAATAAGAGAGGGAAAGAGGGTTTCAATAAGGGTTTATGTAGACTCTACTCTGACTTCTTTTAATATCCTCCAGAGATGTGAATAAATAGTAGAATTTCCTTTTTATTACCTTAGGGTGTTTTTCTTGAACTTATCCCTTCTAAGACTGAACCTCATCTAGGCTTCATTAAGGGTTAAATACATAATACTGCAGGGTTTATTCTTGTGCATGGAGTTTCTCTGATTATTTCTTTAATAATCAATTCATAAATAATATTCTTAATATAGATTGCTCTCCAGAAAGTGTAACCAATTTATATTTCTGCCAGCAGTCTTTAAGGTACCCATTCTGTGGAACCCTTAATGATAATGATTGTTTTAAGATATTTCTTTTTTGTCAGGTCTGTAGGTATAGATACCATTCAGACATTATATGAAGGAAAAAAGTTGCTTATATTGATGTAATTAATGCTTAACAGTGGCTCTTGATTATCTTCTGATTTTGAAAGTAGTTTCTAAAATGTGAATTTTTTAAAAACTATTATTATTATTATTATTATTATTTTTGAGACGGAGTCTCATTCTGTCGCCCAGGCTGGAGTGCAGTGGCGCAATCTCGGCTCACTGCAAGCTCCACCTCCTGGGTTCACGCCATTCTCCTGCCTCAGCCTCCCAAGTAGCTGGGACTACAGGCGCCCACCACCAGCCCAGCTAATTTTTTGTATTTTTAGTAGAGACAGGGTTTCACCATGGTCTAGATCTCCTGACCTCGTGATCCACCCGCCTCGGCCTCCCAAAGTGCTGGGATTACAGGCGTGAGCCACCGCGCTTGGCCTTTATTTTTAACAGCTCTATTGATACATAACTTACATACCATACAGTTTATACATTTGGTGTCTACAATTAAATTTTTTTTAGTATATTCATGATTAAATTATTTTTAGTATATTCACCGATACGTGCAACCATCACTCACAGTCAATTTCAGGGATTTTTTTTTTTAATATTAAAAACTTCAACATGTTAGAGGAATTTGGCTTTTAGCTTCTGTCAAAAAGTGACTTTAGGGTAAAATAGTTAAGGCATTAGTAAATACTAAGGGATGAATTAAGATATTTGATAGAAAGTTTAAAATACTATCAATGATTATGAAAATTAAACAGTGCTATCTTGAAGAATTCTGAAAGTAAAGAGTTAATGTAAAGAACTGCAGACAAAATTCTTTGTATCTTTTCATCTAGCTAAAAGACCAGCTTCAGGACAAAACTCGATTTCTGTTATGCCTGCTCAGAAAATTACAAAGCCTGCCGCTAAATATGGAATACCTTTAGCATATAAGAAATATGGAGATAAAAAATTACACGAAAAGAAACCACTGCAAAAACATAAACAGGTATGATCATGTTACATACCATGTGTTAATAACAAATTCAATTCAACCTTATTTCATTGCAGCTCAATTCAGTTACCTTGATATTATAGGATTACTTTTATTAAGTTACCAAGGAATGTCCTCCTTCTGTGTTTTACCAGTCCTCTAAAACTGAGAAGCCTTACAGGAGTCATAAAAAGTCATTAAGTAAATATATTAAGTAATATAATTAGTGTAATAAAAAGCGAGTGACATTATAAATGAAATAACTTTTGAGCAACCTAAGCAGAGCCATTTGTTTTTGTGCATAAATGAAATAAATACCTATGACATTCTTGATAAAAATCTGGAAATATTTGGTATTTGAGAATTCACAATCAGATAAACAGAATCATAGAGCTGGAAGGAATGTGATCATATAATCTACTCTGTCATATTTCAGATGAAAAATGAAGACCTGTAGAATTTAAGCGACATGCCCAAGAACACAGTGATAGTTGCAGGAATTTGACATTTTCTTTATGTCAGTAGCTGCATGCTTTGGTATATGGAGCTTGTTTCATTTTGGATTACATACACATACATATACATATACACAGCCTTAGATATGTATGTATACACACTGCTGTAAGATAAACTTTATATAGTAGGAATGATCAGTCACTTTGTTTAAAATCTATCATAGGTCAGGTGTGGTGGTTCACGCCTGTAATCCCAGCACTTTGGGAGGTCAAGGCGGGTGGGTCACTTGGGGTCAGGAGTTCCAGACCAGCCTGGCCAACATGGTGAAACCCTTTCTCTACTAAAAATACAAAAATTAGCCAGGTGTGGTGGCGCACACCTATAGTCCCAGCTACTCAGGAGTCTGAAGTGGGAGAATCACTTGAACCGGGGAGGCGGAGGTTGCAGTGAGCCAAAGAGTGCGCCACTGCACTACAGCCTGGGTGACCATGAGATTCTGTTTCAAAAAAAAAAACAAAAAAGAAATTTAGAAAAATTATAATAATAAAATGAGAGATTGTAAAAAAATTTTTTTTTTAAAGCATGCAGTAATAGCAGATACAGGAAGCAGCTGCTATTCCTAGTGCTGAGGCAGAGTACCCAAAGAAGACACAAATTTTTAAAGAAACCCTAACCCCATCGCGAAGGCTGAGATTCAGACCTTACTGGGTAGGGTATGGCAGTAGCTCACTCGATGGCCCCACAGTCTGGGGCTGGCAAAGAGGAAAGTGTCCACTGTGGAGCTGACGAAACTCCCTGCGAAACTGCCTGGAGTGTCAGTAGAATGTACTGGGAAGCCACTTGAGGAGCCGTTGAACTCACTGGGAAGCCTGCTGGGGTGCCAGTGGAACTTATCTGGTGCTGCTCTAGCTGGGATGCTGGCTGAGGCACCAGCAGAATTCTGTGGGAAGCTCTTCTTGCAGGTGCTGCTGAAACTCACAGGGAAGCTGGTAGGGGCACTGGCCAAACACTCCTGGAAGGTGCCTGTAGGGGTGAGTGCTGCTGTTTGTCCCACTTGCTGCAGTAACAGGAAGAAAGGAAACACACTAATCAGGAAGAGAAGCTTCTGCCTTTGCAGTGACCCTCTCAGTTTTACTGACAAAGCTTAATATTGTGTTAGCAATCAAAGAAGAAATGTTTACAACGTCCAGCTCTAGCATCACAAGCTGGACAATGAAGAGTAGATTTGGAGCTGAGGGGCAATATGGTAACTGGCCTGCTGGTTTTATCTATCTTTAAAAAGATGTATTCAAACCTAAGTGGGCCAATTCCATCTTATCGTTTTATCTCTCTTTACTTCAGTCACCACAGGAAGCCTAGGACTCCAGCTTTCCCTCACTGCCTAGACTCTCCTATTGCTGTAAGACTCTGGTCATACTCTGATCTGCCCCCACCCCTGCATAGTTTTCTATAGGTTGGTGCAAAAGTAGTTGGGGTTTTTGTCATTGAAAGCAAAACCGCCATTACTTTTGCACCAACCTGTAATCTCTTCCAGAAAACTCTCTTATAGTACATTCTTGGCAAAATCCACTGTATTTTAAACTTCTAAAGATGTCTTCACCTTTTTTGCTTGAAAACCTGGTTTGTCCCTGAACACACTGTTCTGCAGCTGTCTTACATGCTGGCTGTTTTCTCTAATCCCTTAATATTATTGGGTCTAGAGGTAGGATGAAGGAAATGTTTCCCTTGCTTCTCATTGCCAGACTCTCCCTGCTGCCTGATCCTGCCATTCTCCTCATCTCTCTACCTTGATGCTTTTGCTACCAGACTGTATCACCTACTGCTCTTCTGTGTTAGGATCATCTGTAGACACTTGTCTTTTTTTTTTTTTTTTTTCTTTTGAGGTGGAGTCTCCCTCTGTCGCCCAGGCTGGAGTGCAGTGGCACAATCTCAGCTCATTGCAAGCTCCGCCTCGCGGGTTCACGCCATTCTCCCGCCTCAGCCTCCTGAGTAGCTGGGACTGTGGGACTACAGGCGCCCGCCACCACACCCAGCTAATTTTGTTTTTGTATTTTTATTAGAGACGGGGTTTCACCATGTTAGCCAGGATGGTCTCGATCTCCTGACCCCATGATCCGCCCGCCTTGGCCTCCCAAAGCGCTGGGATTACGGGCATGAGCCACCACGCCCCGCCAACCCTTGTCTTTTGAAGAGTTTAACACCTGACTCACTGTCACTCCTTCCAATATTGTCATAATTCTTTACAGTTTTAGTATAAAAAAAGATGATACTTCCTATAGAACATGGCCTTTTGTTTTCATTTTCTTTCTTTCTCTTTTCTTTTCTTTTTGAGAAAGAGTCTTGCTCTGTTGCCCAGGCTAGAGGACAGTAGTGCGGTCATGGCTCACTGCTGCCTTAACTTCCTGAGCTCAAGCAATCCACCTCCTCAACTTCCTGAGTAGCTGAACCACAGGCAAGTGCCACTACACCCAGCTAATTTTTTATTTTTTGTAGTGGTGGGGTTGCACTATGTTACCCAGGCTTGTCTCAAACTCCTGGGCTCAAGCAATGCTCTTGCCTTGGCTGCCCAAAAAGTGCTGGGATTACAGGCATGAGCCACCGTGCCTGGCTTATTTTCTTGATCATTCTCTTTCAAATATCTTGTCTCCCACTTTAACTTGAAACTCTCACCTATGGCCATGCCATTAAAATTTTTATTATCAATAATAACAACTCTTTCTTAGCCTCATTTATAATCATCCCGTTCCCTGATCACCACTTCCTGTGTTTCTAGCTTACTTCTTTAGGAGTCTGCCTCCAAAACATCTGTCCCATTTGGATCCATGAATCCTAATAACTTCCTTTATTCCCCCTCTTTGTTTCTATTTTCCTTACCTGGCTTAAATTCCATATTCATTTATAATAATTTCCAAATGGTCAGCTCTCTTGCCCTCTCTTCCATTATTACCAATAACCAAAAAACTTAACTTTGTGAAATCCAACTCTCCACTTCATTTGTGCCTGAAGCTGGTCAGTGGAATATGGCTGGAGAAAGCATATGACTATTGTAACTAGTCTAACTTTCAATATGTAACCAACAATATCAAATTAGCACCTTCTGGTCACCCTATTATATTTCCTCAGTGTATTTACTCTTCTACTTCCTAGGTGATTATTTTTTACCTTCTCTTTGCTTTTCACAAGGACCAATATTTTCTTCCTACTTCACTGAGAAAATAGAAGCAATTGGAAGAAAACTTTCCCACAATTACTTCTGCTAGTCAGTCTTACCTGTTGGCAAATATTTTACCTTTCTTCGTTTTACTTTGGATGACCTGTTTCTGTTCCCAGTTAGGATCAACTCAATCATTTGCATACTGTGATTCTTTTTTGCCTGCTAAAGGACTTTGCGCTCTCTCCTGCATCATTATAGTTTTTTCTCTCTACTGAATCATTCATGTTAGCAAACAAATATCCTATATCTTAAGTCTTTTTAAAAAGGAACTTTCCCTTATGTCCTTCCAACTACCTCTCTATATTTCTGGTCCCTTTAACAACAAAACTTTCCCAAAAGATTGTCTATACTGTCTCCAGTTCATTTCATTTTGAACCCACTTCACTCATGGCTTTCTTTGTCACAGCTGTTATGAAACAGCTGTTGTGAAATGGCTCCTGATGTCTATATTATTAAATCCATGGGTCATTTTTCTTCTTCCTTGACCTCAGTTTTTGACTCACTTGATTGCCCCCTCCTTCTTGAAATATTTTCTTCATTTGAGTCCCTGGTATTACATTCTTCTGGTTTTCTTCCTACCTCATTGACTGCTGCTTCTCAGCCTCCTTTGCAAGTTCCTCCTCACCTCCAGGGCTTTTAAATGCTGAGGTGCTCAAGGTCTCAGGCCTCAGATATCTTCTTTTTTGTATCCATACGAACTTTCTAATGGATAACATCTATAAGCTGACTCTCAAATTTGTATCTCCACCTTGGACTCCTTTCCTGAACTGGAGACTGATACCTGTCTTAACATCTCCAGCTGTGTTTCTAATAGACATCTCAAAATTACCATATATAAAAATGAACTCTTGATTTCATTCTCTCTCCAAATTGATCTTACTTATTTCAGTAAATGGGAACTCTGCCCTTCCATTTGTTCTCATCTTCCATATTGGAGTCATTATTGACTACTCTTTCTACGTCATATCCTGTCAATTGTGACTTCAAAATATATTCACGGTCTGACTACTTCTCATTATTTTTACCACCATATTAGTCCTAGCCACCCTCACTTTCCACCAGGGTTATAATAATCTCATGATTAGTCTAACTGCTTTCAGACTTACCCTCTTAGTCTGTTCTCATGTGAGCAGCCCAAATGTTCCTTTTATGATGGAAGTCAGATCGTTACACTCTCCTGCTTGAAACTTTTCAGTGTCTTTTCATCCCACTCAGTAAAAGCCAGGGTCGGCCGGGCCCGGTGGCTCCTGCCTGTAATCCCAGCACTTTGGGAGGTGGGCCTTGTGACCTTGATCTCACGATGTCAAGAGATTGAGACCATCATGGCCAACATGGTGAAACACCTTCTCTACTAAAAATACAAAAAAAAAAAAAAAATTAGCTGGGCATGGTGGTGTGTGCCTATAATCCCAGCTACTCAGGAGGCTGAGGTAGGAGAATTGCTTGAACCTGAGAGGCAGAGGTTACAGTGAGCTGAGATCATGCCACTGCCCTCCAGCCTGGAGACAGAGTGAGACTTGGTTTCAAGAAAAAAAAGCAAGCCAGAGTCTTTACAACTGTCTACAAAGCCCCCGACAGCCTCATTACCTTTCCAAGTCTCATTTGCTACTCTTCCCTTGCTAGTCCCGGTACAGCCTTGCCAAACCTGTTGTCCTTAAACATGCCAAGTACTTACCTGCAAAAACAAGTTTGTACTTGCTGCTGTCTTTTCTTTGAGGTCTGTGCTCAAAACTTGCTTTATGAATAGAGCCTTTCTTGATCACACTATATCAAGTAATAACCATCCCTCTACGCCATTCCCACGTTTCTACTCTACTTTACTCTGCTTTGTTTTTCTCCACAATGTTATCACTTTCTAATCTATTTTCAATTAGTTTATTACCAGTTTCCTCCACTACAGTGCAGAAATTCATGAGGGTAGGGATTTTTGTTGTTGTTCACTAGTTCCTGGCAAATAGTTCCTGGCCTCAAGTAATCCACCTACCTTGGCCTCCCAAAGTTCTGGGATTACAGGTATGAGCCACCGCAACCAGGCTAAGCTTTTATTCTTTTTATTTATTTATTTATTTATTTATTTATTTATTTATTTATTTTTTTATTGATCATTCTTGGGTGTTTCTCGCAGAGGGGGATTTGGCAGGGTCATAGGACAATAGTGGAGGGAAGGTCAGCAGATAAACAAGTGAACAAAGGTCTCTGGTTTTCCTAGGCAGAGGACCCTGCAGCCTTCCGCAGTGTTTGTGTCCCTGGGTACTTGAGATTAGGGAGTGGTGATGACTCTTAATGAGCATGCTGCCTTCAAGCATCTGTTTAACAAAGCACATCTTGCACCGCCCTTAATCCATTTAACCCTGAGTGGACACAGCACATGTTTCAGAGAGCACTGGGTTGGGGGTAAGGTCACAGATCAACAGGATCCCAAGGCAGAAGAATTTGTTCTTAGTACAGAACAAAATGAAAAGTCTCCCATGTCTACTTCTTTCTACACAGACACGGCAACCATCCGATTTCTCAATCTTTTCCCCACCTTTCCCCCCTTTCTATTCCACAAAACCGCCACTGTCATCATAGCTGGTTCTCAATGAGCCGCTGGGCACACCTCCCAGATGGGGTGGTGGCCGGGCAGAGGGGCTCCTCACTTCCTAGCAGGGGCGGCCGGGCAGAGGCACCCCTCACCTCCTGGACGGGGCGGCTGGCCGGGCGGGGGGCTGACCCCCCCACCTCCCTCCCGGACGGGTATGCTGGCCGGGCGGGGGGCTGACCCCCCCACCTCCCTTCCGGACGGGGCGGCTGGCCGGGCGGGGGGCTGATCCCCCCACCTCCCTCCCAGACTGGGCGGCTGGCCTGGTGGGGGGCTGACCCCCCAACCTCCCTCTCGGACTGGGCAGCTGGCCTGGCGGGGGCTGACCCCCACCTCCCTCCCGGACGGGGTGGCTGCCGGGCGGAGACGCTCCTCACTTCCCAGACGGGGTGGCTGCTGGGCGGAGGGGCTCCTCACTTCTCAGATGGGGCGGTTGCCAGGCAGAGGGTCTCCTCACTTCTCAGACGGGGCGGCCAGGCAGAGACGCTCCTCACCTCCCAGACGGGGTCGCAGCCGGGCAGAGGCGCTCCTCACATCCCAGACGGGGCGGCGGGGCAGAGGCGCTCCCCACATCTCAGACGATGGGCGGCCAGGCAGAGACGCTCCTCACTTCCTAGATGGGATGGCGGCCGGGAAGAGGCGCTCCTCACTTCCTAGATGGGATGGCGGCCGGGCAGAGCCGCTCCTCACTTTCCAGACTGGGCAGCCAGGCAGAGGGGCTCCTCACGTCCCAGACGATGGGCGGCCAGGCAGAGACGCTCCTCACTTCCCAGACGGGGTGGCGGCTGGGCAGAGGCTACAATCTCGGCACTTTGGAAGGCCAAGGCAGGCGGCTGGGAGGTGGAGGTTGTAGCGAGCCGAGATCACGACACTGCACTCCAGCCTGGGCACCATTGAGCACTGAGTGAACGAGACTCCGTCTGCAATCCCGGCACCTCGGGAGGCCGAGGCTGGCGGATCACTCGCAGTTAGGAGCTGGAGACCAGCCCGGCCAACACAGCGAAACCCCGTCTCCACCAAAAAAATACGAAAACCAGTCAGGCGTGGTGGCGCGCGCCTGCAATCGCAGGCACTCGGCAGGCTGAGGCAGGAGAATCAGGCAGGGAGGTTGCAGTGAGCCTAGATGGCAGCAGTACAGTCCAGCTTCGGCTCGGCATCAGAGGGAGACTGTGGAAAGAGAGGGAGAGGGAGACCATGGGGAGAGGGAGAGAGGGAGAGAGGGAGGGAGGGAGAGAGGGAGGGAGGGAGAGAGGGAGAGGGAGAGGGAGAGAGCTTTTATTCTTAATGTTTAAAAGCAGCTGCTGACGATATCCCAGTTACTCTTATTTGATCATTACACATTGTATGCATGTGTCAGAATATCACATCTATCCCATAAATATGTACAATTATTATGTATCCATTTTTAAAAATAAAATCTAATGTAAAAAAACTACTTCAGGTTGAGGTAATGAAAAGGAAGCTCTAGAACATTTGAAATTGATTCTGTACCTACATATCTAATTCTTGAAATAGAGACTTTATTAAAGTTATTTGGTTCTTTGAAGTAATTTGAGTAGTATAACTTTGATCTGTAATTTTTTTCTGTGAAGTATGTATTTTAATAAACTTGCTATAACTTTTAGTGTGCTTTTAAGAGTTTTATATAATAAAAGCGTAAAACATATCCCCAGTATTTACACACGCATTTAATTTTACTAAATTTTGTTGTGGACCTTCCTATTTGTTTTTTGGGTTTTCTTTTTTTTTTTTTTGAAATGGAGTTTTGCTCTTGTCCCCCAGGCTGGAGTGCAATGGCGTGATCTCGGCTCACTGCAACCTCTGCCTCCCAGGTTCAGGCAATTCTCCTGCCTCAGCCTCCCGAGTAGCTGGGATTACAGGCATGTGCCACCATGCCCGGCTAATTTTTTTGTATTTTTAGTAGAGATGGGGTTTCACCATGTTGGCCAGGCTGGCCTCGAACTCCTGACCTCAAGTGATCCACCCGGCCTCCCAAAGTGCTAGGATTACAAGCGTGAGCCACCACGTCCAGCGGGCCTTCCTATTTATATTCAAATATATATTGCCCGTATTTTTAATATAGCTCAGAAAGTTTATAGATAATTTTGTGTTCTAGTGTTTTTACTTAGTGTTATATATACTTTTTGTATATTTTTACTTGTGATTATCAGTAGTTGTATTTCATTGGTATGAAATCAGTCAGGTGGGTTGGATTCTTATAAATGTCCTTTTTTAAAAAAATGTGCCGTGGATCAAAATTTCTTTGGAAATATGTTTTATGTTTTCTAATAGAGTTCAGTGAAATATGAATTCAAAGTAAATTTATTTCATGGACCATTTTTAAGATGCTTATTTATTCTAAATGGTTTACAAATGTAATCCATTTTAATGTTTGGAATATATACACATGGAATTCTCTGTCTTCCCATGGAATAAAACTACCATTGTGGGGGTAGAGAGAGATGGGAAGTTGGGAGTGTTTGTATCTTTACGTCATTATGTCTGTAAGGAATACACGCTCGAGTGGACTTGTAGAAGCGAGTTGCCTTATCTCTTGGCCATGTATCAGCCTGACTGAATGGAGAGATCAGAACTGTTGGTGAATCTGGATAAATGATATCATAGAAAGTCCCTAGTGTTTGGGTAGGATTGTAGCCAAGTGTATAATCTGTTTCTTCATATGGCTGACAGAATCAAGTAATGTGTTGGTTTTCTTAATGTTTTCCTTATTTTCCATTAATATTCAGTATATAAAAGCAGCATGCTTTGGAATTTTCAGATTTCAGTTAATAATATTCTGAATAATATCTCTACTATCAAATATTCTGAATCATAGGCAAATGATTCAGATGGTAGTTATAAATGTTTTGAATTTCAGGCAGAGTCGTTGCCCTCAAACTTCATCAGGCAGACAAGTATGGTCTGAGCTAGACCATTGAGAACTAAATAATAATCAGCCCTTGAAGTATTATATAGCTTATTTTAAAAACATTTCACTGGCTAGGTGCAGTGCCTCATGCCTGTAATCCCAGCACTTTGGGAGGCCGAGGCAGGTGGATCACTTGAGGTCAGGAGACCTGCCTAACCAACATGGTAAAACCCCGTCTCTAGTAAAAATACAAAAATTAACCAGGCATGGTGACATGTGCTTGTAATCTGGCTACTTTTGAGACTGAGGCAGAAGAATCACTTGAACCTGGGAGGTGGAGGTTGCAGTGAGCAGAGATGGTGCCATTACACTCCAGCCCAGGTGACAGAGCGAGACTGTGTCTCAAAAAAAAAAAAATTTTTTTTTTCACTTAAAACTAAGTTTCTGTGAACAACAATGTGAAAGTATTTAATGCCACAGAACTGCACACTTAAAAATGGTTAAAATGATAAATTTTGTTTTATGTATTTTACCACAATGAAAAAAACATTTGAAGAAAAGAAAAAGTAAGTAGGAAAAAAAAGAAACGGCAGTCGATTGTGTGGAAAGTTTTTCAAATCTTCTAACAAAAGAATTAAAAGAAAATAAACCCCAGATTTCTGAAGTATTTTAAATATGATTTTTGCATGATTGTAAATATAGGTTTTTCCCTTGATTTTTTTTTTCTTTTTTTTTGAGACAGGACCTTCACTACACTCAAGCCATAGTGCAGTGGTGCAATCTTGGCTCACTACAACCTCCACCTCCCAGGCTCAAGCAATCACCTCTGCCTCCCAAGTAGCTGGGACTACATGTGCATACTACCACACCCAGCTATTTTTTGTAGAGACGGGGTCTTGCCATGTTGTTCAAGCTATTGTCAAACTCCTGGGCTCAAGTGATCCACCCACCTCGGCCTCCCAAAGTGCTGGGATTACAGGCATGAGCCACCACACACGGCCTTTCCCTTGATTTTTTTTTATCTCATTTTTTTAAAAGACTTCTTTTCCCCCTGGAAATTAAAGCATCTTTTAGGTTGAAATTCACAATGGCCCGTTAGAATTTTTAACTTCAAGCCTGAAAAAGGAAAGCTTTAACCACTTAAGATACTGTCATGTTTTAATTGCACAAATTTAAGCTAATGTGCATTAAGTTGTTATTATTCAACCTGTCCACAAAATATTCATGTATTGTGAGACTTTTTTTTGCTCCAGTTCCTGTAAGTCATAGGTTTTTTTTTAAAGGCTCTGTTAAAGCAAAGGAGTGGCCATTAAGCCACCAGAGGGAGCTCCTTGAATATATTATGTTATACTTCAGTACTTTGGCTGTGATTTTTAAAAAGAACACAAACAGTTCTCTCAGTGTGGATGTTTTGTGTTTCGTATTATTCTCTTCACTATAGAAATAGTGTTCTGAAAATACCTGTGTGATCTTAGAGGAACAGCTTAGTATTTTCATTTCATAAATATTTGAATATCTTATATGTAAGGCAATATGAACCATTAGAAGATGAATACAATCTTGGCCTTTATGTAACTTACCCAAGAGTATATGAATATGTAAACATTCTCTTCTTATTCCACACTATTGTGTAATATATATATAATCCAGTTATTTATATTAAGTTGCTGTATTAATGTTTTTAAATTGCTTAATTGTTTGGTGTTGTAGTTCACAAATTTTGAGAATGGTGCTAGACTGGCTACTAAAGTTAACCTGTGCAGCATGTCAAAATATGGAATGTAGGGCTCTATGTCCAAAGATTATGATTTAGTAACTCTTGGGATATGTATTTCTAAAAAATAGCTTTATTGAGATATAATTCACATACTGTACGTAATTCAGCCATTAAAAGTTTTCAATTAAATGGTTTTATGTATTTATAGAGTTGCATAACGATCTGCACAGTCAATTTTAGAACATTTTTATCACCCCAAGGGAAATCCTTTTTCCATTAGCAGCCACTCCCCATTCTTCCCCCAACCCCGCAGCCCTAGGCAGCCTCTAATCTACTTTCTGTTTCTATACAGATTTGCTTAATCTGAACATTTTATATAAATGGAATCATATAGTATGTGGTCTTTTGTGACTGGCTGCTTTAACTCAGCATAATGTTTTCACAGTTGATCTATGTTGTAGCATGTATCAGTACTTCATTTTCTTTTTGTTGCCAAATATTCGTTTGTATAGAAGGAATATGTATTTTTACAAAGCTTCTGGGTAATGTTCCCCACTGTTTAAATTCTGTATACATAGAACATACCTTGAAATGTTAACTGTGTTTTTGTAATGATACTATGAGGAGCATTATCTACAATTTTTATTTCTTGTTCTTCAACAATAGTGCCCCCAGAGATCTCTCATAATTATTTTAAAACAAGGGGTTGCTATCCATTAGTGGTGGCAAAAACATTGTAGTGGGCAAAGAGCAGGGAATTTTTTGTTTGTTTGTTTCAAGTGATAGAAAGTAGCAGGGTCTGCTATACATATAGTGAAGATATTTTATGAAACTTAGGGGTGTGTATGTATCTTCCTGAGTCCAGATGGGAAATATATTTCTTATTGTGGGTCGCCTTTAGAAAAAGTTTGAAAGCTAATGTTCTTTAAATATTTCAGTATTGTTTTTATCTCATCAACTCTAATGTCTTTTCTGAGGTAAAGTGGTAACGTAAATGGTTAGCTTAAGTAAGAGTTGAATTGAAATAACTAGCCAAAATTAGAGGTTAGGAGTTAGGAACTAATAATACAGTGAGGGTGTGGGATAGTTCTAAGAACCCACTGCTTGGGTTATTTTGTCAGAGAGTAAATGCATTCTTTAGTTAGTCATAAGAGTGGAATCAGGTGTGAGATTTAGTACCGCTTATCACTTTGTTGCTATAGCCTTGAGTTAAAACATACCAATAAAATTGGCTTATGATCATTTAATTAAAATGCCAAAGCACATTACAAAAGACTCATTATTATCATTTATAAGTTTATTAACCCATTGGGTGGTATTACATATTTTAGATATCAGCATTTTCCTGGTCTCATACTCAATAATATATTCATTGAAGTAAAATAGTTGTGTTTCATTAGAAAGAAATATGCAGTTTAAATTATACCATTGCTTTCTAAAGCAGAAATGTTATCCTCTTGAATTGTTTTCAGTGAAAGTAAATTTTTGTATGCCTTTCTAATTTTTTAATATATGGTGACACATTTATTTCAAAAATGATGTGAGGGTCATGTTTATTTTGTAATATTTTGAATTTGCTTTTCAGGGTTAGAATTTTAGTGCCTATCTGTTATGGTCATTCTACATAATTTAGAAAACTGAAGCACAGGATAATATATAAAACTAATTTTATATCAATGACTTATGTTAAAATATAGCTGCTGTTAAAATGGAATTGTTAGTAGAGACAACTTTTAATGATATAATCAAATGCTGGATTATTTTACTAATAATGTAAATGACCATCAAAATATTTTTCCCAAGTAATTTTTTTAAGTAATGTCTGCTTTCCTTTGTATTGAAATCCAGTGTAGGTGAAAAATTGTACAGTATGCTTTTTAAATCTTTTTTTAAGGTGGCTGAAAAATGTAAACACTGGTACATGATAGAATAACTTAAACTTTTCTATAAATTTTTATCTTTTTTGGTATATAGAATTGTAGTTAGAATTGTTTGAAAAATTGATCATACATTAGGCTTAACCTTGATTACAAAATTGTGTAGTTAACACAGGGTAAAACAAAACTGTAGATCACTTGTAAGAACATATGCAGAAATCCTGGAAAAAAGAAAAGGACTTAAAAAGGGGAAAATCAGGCATTTTATCAAAAAATAATGTAATAATTATCAAATAGGATTTATTACAGCAATACAGGGACGTTTCAACAGTAGAAAACCAGTTACTGTAATTTTACTGCATTAGCAGATTAGAGAAGAAAACCATATAAAAATCATCTCAGTAGATGCTGAAAATTCGGTGAAACTTAACACTAACTTTTGTTTTTAAAAGTTTGATTCAAGAAACAGAAGGTAAGTTCTAATACAGTATGTATACACACCTGAAACCTATGGCAGGCTTTGTACATAATGATGAAACATTGGAAGCATTATCATTAAAGTCAGGAACAAGACAGAGGGATTTGCTGTCATTGCCATCGTTAAATTATGCCAGAGGTTCTAGCTAGAGCAATTAAAAGGAAAGAAATGTAAATATTGGAAGAGGAGAGAAAACATAGACATATCGTATTTACATTTGATATGATTACCTACCTAGAAAATCGTGGTGAAGCAGCATTAAACTATTAATAAATTAAATAAAGTGGCCTGATGGAAGGGCAACATGTAAAAAATAAATGATTAGAAAATAAATGGAAAGAATTACCCACAAACCCCCCAGATACTTGATTTTTTTATTTTTATTTTTTTTTTTGAGACAGGATCTCGCTCTGTCAGGCTGGAGTATAGTGATGTGATCATGGCTCATGGTAGCCTCTACCTCCTGGGCTCAAGAGATCCTTCCACCTCAGCCTCCTGAGTAGCTGGGACAACAGGTGTGGGCCACATGCCTGGCTAATTTTTAAAAATTTTTTGTAGAGATGGGGACTCACTATGTTATCCAGGCTGGTCTCAAACTCCTAGGCTCAAGCAGTCCTCCTATCTTGGCCTCCCAAAGTGCTAGGATTACAGGTGTGAGCTACCACATCAGTCCCGCCCCCAAATACTTTAGAATAGACCTAATGAGTAAAGTATAAGATAATTGTGAAAGAAAGGAATCAAAATTAATAGAATGCTATATATCCATGAAGAAAACAGATGCAGATATAAATAATAACATGAATGAACCTTGAAAACAGTGTTGAGCAAAAGCAAGATACAAAAGAATATATATTGTATGAGTCCATTAACAACCCCAAAGTTAGGTAAACAGTATATAAAAGAAGAAATGTAAATATCTAATATATACCATTATGCATTTCATCCATGTAACCAAAAACCACTTGTACCCCTAAAGCTATTGAAATTTTAAAAATTAAAGTCATTTTATTAACACATTAATATTACATGTATGTAAAAATCATAGCTAAAATTGTTGTATGTATATAGTTGAACTGTATATATAAGTACAAAAATAATCTCTGAAGGACACTAATGAAAATATTAACAGTGGTTACCGTTACTCTGGAGGTGGAGAGCAAAATAGACCCTAAATTTTTAATCTTGTTTGAATTTTATATACTGAATATATATTGTGTCACTAATTTTTTTAAAAAAATTATCTCCATCATTGGGCTTTTCAAATGATAGTCTATGATAATATTGGAAAACTTAAACATCCATACCTGAACACAAAACTGTTTAGTTGATGATTGGGGAAGGACCCTTTTCCACAGTTTCTTTGAATCTAATGTTTCTCTTTGTTTAACAGCATATCAAAGACTACGATTTTTTTTTTTAAGATAATGTAATTTGGAAGAGAGTTATGGAAGTATTGACTTTACCTTTTTCTTATCTTAAATTTCTGTAAATTTGGGATTTTCAAATAAGTGCCTCAAAATCTTTATTTAATTTGTAGTTTTACTTTTTGTCCAGGCCCATCAAACTCCAGAGAAGAGAGTGAATACTGGAGAAGAAAGGAGGAAAATATCTGAGGTATAAAGACATCTGTCTGGTTATTTTAAAGCTTTGCAAACATAATTTTAAAAAAGAAACAAAATCTTACTATAAAGCCTCCAAACCTTTCCTTATTTCTTTCAAACGAATACCTATAACTTCTTTTTTTTTTTAAAAAAAAAACCTCATTGAACATACCTCTGCCATTGGTGTACTAACTTTCCTGATGAAACTAGAAAAAACAGGAATTATTATGGATTAAAATGTTCTTTTTTTTATTTAAGGAAGCAGCAAGAAAGAGAAGGCTGGAATTTATTGAAAAAGAAAAGAAACAAAAGGATCAGGTAGTTTTTTGCTCTTGTTTTTCTACCTTTGGCAAGTTGTTAAGTGATAATAGGTTCAAGAGTTGTAAGAAGCTTGTCTTTAAAATTGTTACAGATTATTAGTTTAATGAAGGCTGAACAAATGAAAAGGCAAGAAAAGGAAAGGGTAAGAGGATAATCTATTAAATATACTTTTTTCTTAAGGAATACACTGATTTTCAGTTTATTGCTAAATGTATTACGTGTATTTTATATTAAATACTTGAAATGGTGTTTTGTTTATTTCTTTTCCCCAAAGTTGGAAAGAATAAATAGGGCCAGGGAACAAGGATGGAGAAATGTGCTAAGTGCTGGTGGAAGTGGTGAAGTAAAGGTAGGCATTTTATACCAATATGGTTATACTACCATTTTCCCCTCCAGTTCCACCTTGTTCTATAAAATGCATGTACTTGGGATTTTCTTTCTTTCTTTAGTGTACAATTAATTTTTACCTAGAATTCTTTAACATTTATTATGAATACTTAGCTTTCCTGCATGTATCTGATATGTAACTTGTGTTGCTGTTATGTGACTATACTCAAAATTGCTTTAAAAGTTTTTTGTGAAGACTATGATAACATTATTCCTGTCAGGAATTTTTAAAAATTATGTACAATTCATGACACTGCAGCCTAAAATCGTTCTGTAATTTCATGTAGCCTTGAAGATTAAGTTCTCAGAAGATGCTTCTTAATCTGATCCCTGTTGTCTCTCCAACTTCATCACCATCCATTCCCTACCACATACTGTATGCTCTATTCATGCTGAAATGAAGACTATATTTGTAGTTTCATTACTATATGTGGTTTGCCAAATCTCTTTGTCTTTGCACTTGTGTTTCCTTTTACTTAATAGCACTCTCCATCCCTCCTCACCCTCACGTCCCACCTCCATCCATTTAGCTAAATAACCAGTTACATAGATGAGTTAATCTAAACATTCCTTCTGGGTAGATCCACCCTATTTAACCTTGGGCACATTACTGAACTTTTCTGAGCTTTGGTTTCTTGATTTAAAAAAAAAAAAAAGTTTTTTTTCCAAGAACAGTGCCTGGAACCTGTCTGGCAAGGGCTTCTATAGTAATTTCCCTTTCCTTTCTTTGTTCTGCCAGTCTGAATCTTATACTTCCTCTTTTATTCATACAGCATCCTATACATATCTCTATTTGTAGTTGGTAGAATTCTAAGATGGTCTCCAAGATTCTCAACTGCGGTATACACACCTTGTGTTATTCCATTCCCTTGAGTATAAGTGGTACCTGTAAATACTGTAGTATAGCAGCTCACTTGATTAGGTTATGTTATATGGCAAGTGGTGATGGGATGGTCTCTCCCAGGGTTACGTTAACATATAAGACTCCTTCATAGCTGACTGGAAGGGGAAAAGAAATTAGAGAGAGAGAATTCTGCTCACCTGGAAGATAGTAAACATTCATGTGGCAAAACAGTAGAGATGACCTCTACAAGTAGTGGTCTCTAATGAGCAACTAGCAAGAAAATTGTGGTCCTAGTCATACAGCCACAAGGAAATTAATTCTGCCAAGAACCAGTAAACTTGGAAGAGATCCTGAGTCTCAGGTGAGAATTGTAACCCTGGCTGACACCTTGATTTCTGCCTGGTGAGATCCTGAGGAGGGGACCCAGCTAAATGCACCCAGATTCCTGAGCCAGGGGAACTGAGATTATAAATAGATATTGTTTTAAGCTACTAAATTTGTGATAGTTTGTTATACAGCAATAGAAGATGAATGCACTAATTTGTATCATTGAATAAACTGTAAGTCAATACATCTTTTTATTTTTTTGAGATGGAGTTTCGCTCTTGTTACCCAGGCTGGAGTGCAATGGCACGATCTCAGCTCACTGCAACCTCTGCCTCCCGGGTTCAAGCGATTCTCCTGCCTCAGCCTCCGGAGTAGCTGGGATTACAGGCATGCACCACCACGCCCAGCTAATTTTGTATTTTTAGTAGAGACGGGGTTTCTGCATGTTGGTCAGGCTGGTCTCGAACTCCCGACCTCAGGTGACCTGCCTGCCTCGGCCTCCCAAAGTGCTGGGATTACAGGCGTGAGTCACCGTGCCCAGCCTAAGTCAATACATCTTCAAACTATAAGTTTCACTCATGTACACCCATTAATCTTGATATTTAGATGTACAATAGATACTTGTCAAATTGGATCAATTATAATTCTTGGTTTTTTTTCTCCAAAAGTTATAATTTGAATAAAAGTTTGTTTTATCTAGACATATACATTCTGCCCTGGATTTATAGATTTGTTTTTCAGTCTCTTGAGGTGCAGAAGTTCTTCATATCATAGTAATAATTCATTAAGAGTAACTTTTTCCAAATTTGTATTAATATAGATTATACAGTGTTTTTAGTAGTATAATTTTATCTTACCTTTAAGTAGAACTTATTACCTCCTGAATGATCAGGAATGACTTAGAATCTGGTCCATTCTAAAATAACTAACCTCACATCTTACCTGATTGGAAAGAGAAAGCTTATCAACTTGTACTCCTTCAGATCTCAAGCATTTTTTTATCAAGTCCGTGATTAGCACTGAAGTTTTGATGATTTATTCTTCTCCCTTTTGTGTAATAAAGTGCTTTTTCCTATGATGTCTAATACAGTATTAATCAGTTTTATTAATGTTTAATAACTGAGACAATTTTCAAGTTACATACTGTGTACTGAATAGATTTCTGCATCACTTTATAAACTTCTGTAATGCTTTCATTGAAGATTAATAAAACAATTTATTTTCCATGATTTAAAGGAAATTCTATGTTAGTTTCTATATTTATTCCTCATTGAATTTGAAATATTTTAACTTGTTAGGCTGTTTGATTTCTACATAGTTGATAAGGACCTGGAGGCTCAGTATCATATGAATCAAATTAAGGAGATTCCCCAAAAGAAAGATAAAACTAAAACTAAAGTATTTCAAAATTAATACTATTATTACGTACTTCTAAATAAGAGGCATTTTTATTCATAGTATAAATATCCAATGTAAATGTTTTTGATTATTTAGTATCTGCAAAATCTGGACCTTCTTTGTTTTATCCATTTTTAATGTGTCTTTTATGAATGTGTTTTTAGAAAAATTATATATTCCACATGTATGGTTATATGGTGATTATAATATGGAAGAGGTGTATCTCTTGTTTGAAAATATATTGGAATACCATTTGGCAGTAAAAAGAATAGCCTGTTTATACATGCAACACCATGGATCAATCTTAAAAACCTGTGAGTGAAAGAAACCAGATAAAAGAGTACATATTTATGATTTTATTTACATGACATAATGGGAAAGGCAAATCCAACCTGTAGTGACGGAAAGCAGATCAGTGGTTGCTGACAGTGCGAGCATTTACTGCAAAGGAACACAAGGGAACTTTCTGGGGTAATGGATATGCTTTTGATTGTAGTAGTGGTTATGTGAGTGTCTACATTTGTCAGAATTCAGCCTGTGCTTACAATTGGTGAATTTTTATTGTACATAAATTATGTCTCAAACAAACATATTTCATCAGTATTCTCATATAGTATTTTCAACATTATTTTGAGTATGAGCATCTTCTGAGATGTTTACCTACTTTTGTTTTTGCTAAAGAGAAATGGAGCACTCAGTCAAGTTAAGATGATATTAGCATTGGGCTAAATTCAAAGAGTAACCAGTTTCATAGGAAATATGACCACCTTATAACTGAATTCTGATTCTTGACTTCAGATGTACATTTTGAGGATGTATGTAAGGACCACCTTGATGGAAGACAAATTTTGTCTTATTGGGTTACACTGAAGTTTCTTTTATTGGATTCTGACATTTTTCTTTGTTTCTTTTATTATTATTTTATTTATTTACTTATTTTTTGAGACAGGATCTCACTCTGTCACCCAAGCTAGATTGCAGTGGTGGGATCATGACTCACTGTAGCCTTGACCTCCTGAGTTCAAGCAATCTTCCCATCTCAGCCTCCTGAGTAGCTGGGACTACAGACACATGCCACTGCGCCCGGCTAATTTTTTGTATTTGCAGGGATGTTGTTTCGCCAATTTGCCCAGGCTAGTCTCGAACTCCTGAGCTCAAGCAATCTGCCCACCTCAGCCTCCCAAAGTGCTGGGATTACAGGCATGTGCCACCATGCCTGGCCTTTGTTTCTTTTTTTAACCAGGCATTTTCCTTAAGATGTTATCACCTGGAAGTTTTCCCTTTTTTACTCTCATTATTGTGGCTTCTGTTCTCATCACTTCACACACTCAGAAAATGGTTTTTTTAAAGGCTTCCACTCAGCCTTAGTCATATCTGGTGGTCTTATTCTCAGATAAGAAAAGTTAAAATAAGTTGACCTTTGCATTTGAGGTTATTGATTTCTTCTTAATGAAATTCTTTCACCATGACTTCTGTAGCATTATACAGTTTTTATTTACTTTTACCCTTATCCTTTTCTGACATCTCTATTTTTTACTATGAGTTTTCCATGTGGTTGAGTTCTTATGTCTCGGTGGTTGAGTCTTTAAGTCTTTGCCTTTATCCTTTGTCATTCCTGCAGAGAATCCAAACTTCCTTCAGCAGTTACTTTTTCATTGATTGCCTTTCTTGGCTTTCCAGGCTTCTTGGCTTGGTGTCAGGGCAGCAACATCCTTCTAATTAATTCCTCTGCCTTACTTTCTTATTTCTGCTTACCATGCATAATATTGACTTACTGACCTTTAAAACTCTGTTGATATACTACTGCTGCTAGAAACTTTATAAATCCTTTCTATTGTTATTTATTATTTGAACGCAAACACCAAGGGCAGATAGCATTTAGCATTTAGCTATACCAAGCTTTTATAGCCAAACTTAATACTTAATACTTTGCCTTCCTTGTATTTGTCATCATACTTCCTTCCTCTTCCACCTTCCATACCTAAATATATACATACATTGATTATTTTTACTTTAATGCCTTGGCTCATATTTACTCTCCTTACATTGCTATCAAGACCAGATTAAACAATATCTCTCCCCAAGGCCTTTTTTCTAAATAAGGATTTTACTGTTGATTTTTTTTTTTTTTTTTACTGTTTTGTGGATTTGCTCAGCACTTACTACTTTGGAATTTCTCTGTTGTCACTTGTTTACCATAGAATTGAATGTTTTTCTAGTTTTGTGCTATTTTTCCCAACTTACTTGGAAACTAAAGATAGATATGACTTTTTGCCTCTTTTATATACATATAGAACATGTTTTAATAATGTTTATACCTTCATATCTGCTTGGTGAATTTAAAGATTTGGGGTATATTAAAAGCCATATGCAGATGTTTTTGTTAAATATAATTCTGAGTGTTATATAAAAGGAGGCTCTCATAAGCTATACATAAACAACGGAACAGAATTACATGAAATGTATATTGGAAGCTTGTTTCAAAACCTGTTAATTAAGATCAAATTTTTCCATATTTACATGAAATTAGTGTCATTTTGCTGTTTTTGTTTGTCACATTATGCTTTATTATCAATTACAAAGTATACTGCTTTTTGGTTGTTAATAGTTATAATAGGAAAACATTTTGCTTTAGGCTTTATGTTTGTTAGTATGTTCATATTAAGTAATTACTTTTTAAAAGTGAAGCATTGAAATTTACTTTTTCTTTTGAGACTAGTACAGGCCTGTTAGGCCTTATAAGATAAACATGTGAGAGCTCTTTGTTTAATCCCTAGGCTCCTTTTCTGGGCAGTGGAGGGACTATAGCTCCATCATCTTTTTCTTCTCGAGGACAGTATGAACATTACCATGCCATTTTTGACCAAATGCAGCAACAAAGAGCAGAAGATAATGAAGCTAAATGGAAAAGAGAAATATATGGTCGAGGTCTTCCAGAAAGGTATGGCTATGTTCTGCAGAAGTTGCTTATGCTTTGCTTCTGAGATAGTAATGAAAGTCACTGTGCATATTTATCTACAGAGGAATTCTGCCTGGAGTTCGTCCAGGATTTCCTTATGGGGCTGCAGGTCATCACCATTTTCCTGATGCTGATGATATTAGAAAAACTTTGAAAAGATTGAAGGCGGTGTCTAAACAAGCCAATGCAAACAGGTTGGACTGTGATGATCCATGAATTCATCCATGTGTGTAATTTTGTCGTTTGTCATACATAGCTTAGTACCTACACTTTGTGGATGTTTTCTCCATTGTTCACATATGATGTTTTTTGCCTCTTGGGTACAATAATTTTCTGAGGTGCAAATTTGGCCCTTGATTACTCTGAAAGCATGTAGCTTTCCAGTTCAGCCTGATTTTTGTGTCTTGTTTGTGGGTTTAGACTGAATATACTATTTAAAGGAACATGTGATAACATTCTGCCAACATAATTATAACATTTTATCACCCACTTCCTTTAAATAAATCAGGATATAAATCTAAATTGAATCACACTTTATGCAGAACCCCAGTGCATTTTTCGCCCTTTTCTTCATCACTTCAAAGCCTACTTTTCTCTTTGTTGTCTTAGCATGCTTTCTCTTCACCTTCATCTCTGATTTATAACTCTTTGTGATCCTGTTCATCATATTATTTCTTTTCTTCCATTGAATTAATAATGGTAACTGATTAATATGTACTTGAGCAGAGATAAATGATTGAGGTAAATATAAATTAACGTTTATATACACATTATAAATTATATACAGAAGCCTGATATATGAAGCATCTATTTTTTGAGAAAGGAAGGTTACAGACTTACACATATGCATATTTTTTATGAATAGTGAGACAAATTTTGTGGGAGGCTTTTATTCTCCAGAATTATTGATCTTTCTAGTATATATATTGTTTAATTAGTAAACTTTATTTTTAGAGCGATTTGGGGTTCACAGCAAAATGGAGTGGAAAGTACAGAGAGTTCCTATGTACCCCTTCCTCACACATGCACAACCTCTGTATTGACATCCTCATTTGAGTGATAACGTTTGTTATGATCAAACATCGATCCATTATCACCCAAAGTCCATAGTTTACATTAGAGTTTACTCTTGGTATTGTACACTCCATGGCTTTTGACGAATGTATAATTATAGGTATCCACCACTGTAATATCATACAAAATAATGTGACTGCCTTCAAAATCCCCTGTGCTCCACCTCCCTCCAACCTCCCTCCCAACTCTTGGCAACCACTGGTTGCTTTACTGCCTTCATAGTTTTAGCTTTTCTAGAATATCATATACTTGGAATCATATAGTATGTGGCCTTTCACACTGGCTTTTCTCACTTACTAATATGCATTTAAGGTGCCTCCGTATATCTTCATAGTTTCATACCTTATTTCTTCTTAACACTAATATCCCATTGTATTTATGTAGCATACTTTTTTTTTTTTTTTTTGGTAATTTTTTTTTTTGAGACAGGTTCTTGTTCTATCCCCAGGCTGGAGTGCAATGGCATGATCATGGCTCACTTGCAGCCTTGACCTCTGGGGCTTAAGTGACCCTCCCACCTCAGCCTCCTGAACAGCTGGGACTACAGGTGCTTGCCACCATGTGTGGCTGATTTTTTAAATTTTTTGTAGAATGGAGTCTTGCTATGTTGCCCAGGCTGGTCTTGAACTCCTGGGTTCAAGCAGTCCTCCTGCACTGGCCTCCCAAAGTGCTGGGATTACAAGCATGAGCCACCATGCCCAGCCAGAATGGATGTACTACACTTTATCCATTATTCTACTGAAGGACATCTTGGTTGCTTTTAAGTTATGGCAATTATGAATAAAGCTTCTACAAACATTTGTGTGTAGGTTTTTTTGTGGACATAAATTTTTTAAGTATTTAAACAGATGCCAAGAGGATGATTGCTGGATCATGTCTTAAGAGTATGTTTGATTTTGTAAGAAGTCACCAAGCTGTCTTCCAAAGTGGCTATACCATTATGCGTTCCTGCCAGCAGTGATTAAGAATTCCTGTTGCCCCACATCCTCTCCAGCATTTAGTGTTGTCAGTGTTTCGGATTTTGGCCAATTTAATCAGTGTGTAGTGGTATCTCATTTTAATTACAATTCCCTAATGACATATTCAACATTTTTTCATATGCTTCATGCCATCTGTATATCTTTCTTGATGAGTTGTCTGTTCAGGCCTTTTGCCCATTTTAAAATTCATTTTTATATTGTTGAGTTTTAAAAGTTCTTTGTATATTTTATTTAACAGTCCTTTATCAGGTATGTCTTTGGCAGATATTTTCTTTTTCTTTGTGGCTCATCTTCTCATTCCCTTAATATTTTGTTTTGCAGAGTGGAACTTTTTTGTTGTAATGAAGTCCAGCATATCAATTGTTTCTTTCATGGATTGTGTCTCTGGTGTTATAACTGAAAAGTTATCACCATACCCAAGTTCATTTGGGTTTTCTCCTATGTTATCTTCTAGGAGTTTTATAGTTTAATGTTTTATCTTTAGATCTGTGATCCATTTGAGTTAATTTTTGTGAAGGATATAAGGTCTGTGTCTAGATTCATTTTTTTGCATGTGGATGCCCAGTTGTTCCACATCTCTTGAAAAGACTATATTTGTTTCTTTGAATTGCCTTTGCTCCTTTGTCAGTGATTGGTTGACAAAGGATTTTTATGTCAGTCTATTTCTGTGCTCTCTGTTCTGTTCTACTGATTAAGTCTTGAAATCAGGTATTTTCAGTCATCCAGCTTTGTTCTTCAATACTGAGTTGGCTATTCCGGTTCTTTTGTCTTTCCATATAAGCTTTATAATAAGTTTGTCCATATCTAAAGACTAACATGCTGGGATTTTGATTGGGATTGTGTTGAATCTGTAGATCAGCTTGGGAAGAACTGACATCTTGACGATATTCAATCTTCCAATACTTCATGTTAGACCTGAAATATATCTTTGATGTATTTCATCAGAATTTTTTAGTTTTCCTCATACCCGTGCATATTTTTTTAGATTTGTAACCTATGTATTACATGTTGGGGGGTGCTAATGAAAGTGATAATGTGTTTTTAATTTCAAATTCTACTTGTTCCTTGTTTATATATAGGAAAGCAATTGACTTTTGTTTATTAACCTTCTATCCTGCAACTTTGCTATCATCACTTTTTTTGAGAGGGGTTTTGGTGTTTCTTTTGAATTTTCTACATAGACAATCATGTCATCTGCAAACAAAGACAGTTATATTTCTTCCTTCCCAGTCTGTATACCTTGTGTTTTCTTTCCTTGTCTTATTGCATTAGCTAGAACTTCCAATATGATGTTGAAAAGTAATGTTGAGAAGGACATCTTTGTCTTGTTCCTGATGTTGGCCGGAAAGCTTCAAGTTTCCATTAAATATGTTAGCTGTAGGTTTTTTGGAGATGTTCTTTATGAAATTGTGGAAGTTCCTCTCTAATTTAGGTTTTCTGAGATTTTTTAAAATCAGAAATGGGTGCTGGATTTTGTCAAATGCTTTTTTTTTTTTGGCATGTATAGATATGATCATGTGATTTTTCTTCTTTAGCTTATTGATGTGATGGATTACATTAATTGATCTTCAGATGTTGAAACAGCTGTATTTTATTATATTTTGCTATAAGAATAAAAATGCCCTTTCCTTTCATAGCTGGTAATCACTTATAAGGAAATGATTTAATTACTATGTGTATAATTTTCTCGTGATCTCTTTCTTAATAATACTCATTGTCTTAGATTTACATACACACTGTAATCTTTTCACTGACATGGAGCAACAACTTTCACTACTCCAAATTTAAACTATTGTCTTTGTTCTTCAGTGTTTTGCTTTACTGAAAGGCATTTAATCTTTTTTTCCTTCCTCTCATTCTTACATTCTTTTTAATACTCTTTCTTTTGCTGAATATTCAAGAATTTTCACGTATTTCTGTTTTAAAAATACCAACAGCTAACTACCTTATTATTGTCCTTTCATACAGGGTTCTCAGTCACCTGTTCATACCTCCTTTTTCTCTCCTTTTTGCTCAGTAAAAAAGAAAACCTGAAGAAAAATCACAAGAGGCTTTTTTTTTTCTTGTTTTACTGCTTGCTAAGTGATGTAGGTTAGTTTTAGAAAAATTGGAGTGTATAGGAGGAGAGTGTTAGGAAACAGGAAAGAAAATAATTCCAAATCCCTATAGTGGTGGTCACTGCTGATGAAGACTTTGGTTAATTTTCTTGCATACCTTTTCCTTTTCTTTTTCCCAAGATAGTGGAAACAAAATCATACATACAAATTTTTATCTTTTTAAATTTAGTGTTCTTACCATACATATTTCCCATGTTGTTTTCAATTTTTTAATATCTACATAAGATTCCAGTGCCTGAATGTGCTATGATTTATCTAACAAATCCCCTAGTATAACCAGTTGTTTGTAATCCTTCACCTTTTTGAACATTTTTCTGCCACATTTTATTCTTCATTTTTTATTATTGCCTTGAAATATAATCTTGTAAGGGCAATTATTTTGCTAAAAGATTTGGTCATCTATGTTCCTGATGAAGATTCTTGAAAGAAATATTACTAAGTTTTTTTCTAGAAAAGTGCCAGTTTGTACTTAACCCAACAGTGTATGATAGTGCCTGTTTTATTGCCCCTGGGCCAGTATTAATAACTTCTTAGGAGCTAAAGAAGTTTTTTTTGTAATAAAAAGTTTAAAATCAAAGTAGCATAGGAGATGAAGTTTTCACTGTATTCTGCACTGTTTAAACAATAGGGTAATGACAAACTAGATTCCTATAAGTAAAAGGTAGCAACTAATATTTAATTGGGCACTTGTGCAAGGACCTGTTCTAAGTAATTTACATATATAGTTAATCTTTACTATTGTGGATTCCGTATTTGCGAATTTACCTACTTGCTAAAATGTATTTGTAACCTCAAAATCAATATGTGTAGCACTGTCATGGTCATTCATGGGCATGGGCATAGGCTCAGCCCATGTCATTCATGAACCTGGGGTCATTCATGGGCTCAGAATAGCAAAAGTGGCCCAAAAGCATAGTGCTGAAATGTCAAAAGGCAGCGATGTGCTTTAGGGAGAAAATATGTGTGTTAGACTTCATTTGGGCATTAGTTATGCCACTATTGGCCATGAATTCAGTGTTAATGAATCCACAATATAATGGATCCAGGAGTCTAACTCTGCATTTACCCTAGGAGCAGTGGTTCTGTTCAGTATTCATGGAGAGTTTATAGAACATAGCTATGAGAATAATGAGAATTGAATGTATTATTAACTCATTTAATCATCACCAATACTGTGAGGCAGGAATTATTATTTTTGCTATTTTACAGATTAAGAAATTGAGGCTATGTGTAATTAAGTAACTTGTTGAAGGTCACATTACTATTAGTGCAACCAGGAGTTGAAGCTGGACAGTTTGGTTCCTGACCTCACTCACTTAACTGTTGTACCATATTGACTTTATTAAGTGTATTAGTCTGTTCTCACACTGCTAACAAAGTCATACCCGAGACTGGGTAATTTATAAAGAAAAAGAGGTCTAATGGAATCACAGTTCCACATGGCTGGGTAGGCCTCACAATCATGGTAGAAGGCAAAGGAGAAGTAAAGTCATGTCTTGCAGCAGACAAGAGAGAGAGCATGTGTAGGGGAACTCTCCTTTATAAAACCATCAGATCTCGTGAGACTTATTCACTGTCACCACAACAGCTCAGGAAAGACCCGCCATCATGATTCAGTTACCTCCCACCAGGTCCCTCCCACAACACATGGGAATTATGGGAGTTTCAATTTGAGATTTGGGTGGGGACACAGCCAAACTGTATTGCTAAATCTTGAAAAATTTTATGAGGAATAATTAAAGAATCTGAGAATTGCACTTTGGGAGGTCAAGGTGGGCAGATCACTTGAGATCAGGAGCTCAAGACCAGCCTGCCAACATGGTGAAACCCCATCTCTACTAAAATAAATAAATAAATGAACTGGGCATGGTGGTGGGTGCCTGTAATCTCAGCAACTCAGGAGGCTGAGGCAGGAGAATCACTTGAACCTGGGAAGCGGAGGTGGCAGTGAGCTGAGATCACGCCACTGCACTCCAGCCTGGGTGACAGAGTGAGACTCCGTCTTAAACAAACAAAAAAAGACCGGGTGTCGTGGCTTACACCTGTAATCCCAGCACTTTGGGAGGCCGAGGCAGGCAGATCACCTGAGGTCAGGAGTTCAAGACTAGCCTGGCCAACGTGGCAAAACCCTGTCTCTACTAAAAATACAAAAATTAGCCAGGCATGGTGGCGCATGCCTGTAATCCCAGCTACTTGGCAGGCTGAGGCAGGAGAATTGCTTGAACCCAGGAGGCAGAGGTTGCAGTGAGCCGAGATCACGCCATTGCACTCCAGCCTTGGCGACAAGAGCAAAATTCTGTCTCAAACAAAAACAAAAGATGGGCAGCTGGCAAGATGGCCGAATAGGAACAGCTCTGGTCTGTAGCTCCCAACAAGATCGGCACAGAAGGCGTGTGATTCCTGCATTTCCAACTGAGGTACCCAGTTCATCTCATTGGAACTGGTTGGACAGTGTGTACAGCCCAAGGAGGGCGAGCTGAAGCAGGGTGGGGTGTCACCTCACCCAGGAACACCAGGGTTTGGAGAACTCCCTCTCCTAGCCAAGGGAAGCCATTAGGAACTGTACCGTGCACTCTGGCCCAGATACTGTGCTTTTCCGACGGTCTTCACAACCCACAGACCAGGAGATTCCCTCCAGTCCCTATGCCACCAGGGCCCTGGGTTTCCAGCACAAAACTGGGCTGCCGTTTGGGCAGACACCGAGGTAGCCAAAGGAGTTTTTTTTCATACCCTAGTGGCACCTGGAACACCAGTGAGACATAACTGTTCACTCCCCTAGAAAGGGGGCTGAGGCCAGGCAGCCAAGTGGTCTGGCTTGGTGGGTCCCACCCCCACAGAGCCCAGCAAGCTCAGATCCACTGGCTTGAAATTCTGGATGCCGGCACAGCAGTCTGAACTCTACCTGGGACACTGTAGCTTGGAGCGGGGAGGGGTGTCCACCATTGCTGAGGCTTGAGTAGGTGGTTTTACCCTCATGGTGTAAACAAAGCCACTGGGAAGTTTGAACTGGGAGGAGCCCACCGCAGCTCATCAAGGCCACTGTAGCCAGACTGCCTTTCTAGATTCCCTCCCCTCTGGGCAGGGCATCTTTGAAAAAAAGGCAGTAGCCCCAGTCAGGGTCTTATAGATAAAACCCCCACCTCCCTGGGACAGAGCACCTGGGGGAAGGGGCAGTTGTGGGCACAGCTTCAGCAGACTTAAACATCCCTGCTTGGCAGCTCTGAAGAGAGCAGCAGATCTCCCAGCACAGAGTTTGAGCTCTGATAAGGGACAGTGGGCCTCCTCAAGTGGGTCCCTGACCCCTGTGTATCCTGACTGGGAGACACCTCCCCAGTAGGGGCCGACAGACTCCTCATACAGGAGAGATCTGGCTGGCATCTGGCGGGTGCCCCTTTGGGACGAAGCTTCCAGAGGAAGGAACAGGCAGCAATCTTTGCTGTTCTTCAGCCTCTGCCAGTGATACCCAGGCGAACACAGTCTGGAGTGGACCTCTAGCAAATTCCAGCAGACCTGCAGCAGAGGGCTCTGACTGTTAGAAGGAAAACTAACAAACAGAAAGGAATAGTATCAAAAAGGACATACACTCAGAGACCCCATCTGAAGGTCGCCAACTTCAGAGACCAAAGGTGGATAAATCCACAAAGATGGGGAGAAACCAGCGCAAAAAGGCTGAAAATTCCAAAAACCAGAACACCTCTTCTCCTCCAAAGGATCACAACTCCTTGACAGCAAGGGAACAAAACTGGACAGAGAATGAGTTTGATGAATTGACAGAAGTAGGCTTCAGGAGGTGGGTAATAACAAACTCCTTTGAGCTAAAGGAACATGTTCTAACCCAATGCAAGGAAGCTAAGAACCTTGAGAAAAGGTTAGACAAATTGCTAACTAGAATAACCAGTTTAAAGAAGAACATAAATGACCTGATGGAGCTGAAAAACACTGCATGAGAACTTCGTGAAGCATACACAAGTATCAATAGCCGAATCAATCAAGTGGAAAAGGATATCAGAGATTGAAGATCAACTCAATGAAATAAAGCGAGAAGACAAGATTAGAGAAAAAAGTGAAAAGAAACGAACAAAGCCTCCAAGAAATATGGGAGTATGCGAAAAGACCAAATCTACATTTGTTTGGTGTACCTGAAAGTGACGGGGAGAATGAAACCAACTTGGAAAACACTCTCCAGGATATAATCCAGGAGAACTTCTGCAACCTAGCAAGGCAGGCCAGCATTCAAATTCAGGAAGTATAGAGAACACCACAAAGATACTCCTCGAGATCAGCAACCCCAAGACACATAATTGTCAGATGCACCAAGGTTGAAATGAAGGAAAAAATGTTAAGAGCCACCAGAGAGAAAGGTCAGGTTACCGGTAAAGGGAAGCCCATCGGACTAACAGCAGATCTCTCTGCAGAAACCCTACAAGCCAGAAGAGAGTGGGGGTCAATATTCAACATTCTTCAAGAAAATAATTTTCAACCCAGAATTTCATATCCAGCCAAACTAAGCTTCATAAGTGAAGGAGAAATAAAATTCTTACAGAAAAGAAAATGCTGGGAGATCTTGTCTCCACCAGGCTTGCCTTACAAGAGCTCCTGAAGGAAGCACTAAACATGGAAAGGAACAACTGGTACCAGCCACTGCAAAAGCATATCAGAATGTAAGCACCATAGATACTATGAAGAAACTGCATCAACTAATGGGCAAAATAACCAGCTAGCATCATAATGGCAGGATCTAATTCACACATAACAATATTAGCCTTAAATGTAAATGGGCTAAATGCTGCATTAACAGACACAGACTGGCAAATTGGATAAAGAGTCAAGACCCATCAGTGTGCTGTATTCAGGAGACCCATCTCATGTGCAAAGACACGTGTAGGCTCAAAATAAAGGGATGGAGGAATATTTACCAAGCAAATGGAAAACAAAAAAAGCAGGGGTTGCAATCCTAGTCTCTGATAAAACAGACTTTAAACCAACAAAGATCAAACGAGACAAAGAAGGGCATTGCGTAATGGTAAAGGGATCAATGCAACAAGAAGAGCTAACTATCCTAAATATATACGTACCCAATACAGGAGCACCCAGATTCATAAAGCAAGTTCTTAGTGACCTAAAAAGAGACATAGACTCCCACACAGTAGTGGGAGACTTTAACACCCCACTGTCAATATTAGATCAATGAGACACAAAATTAACAAGGATATCCAGGACTTGAACTCAGCTCTGGACTGAGCGGACCTAATAGACATCTACAGAACTCTCCACCCCAAATCAACAGGGTATACATTCTTCTCAGCACCACATAGCATTTATTCTAAAATTGACCATGTAATTGGAAGTAAAACACTCCTC